>NC_000001.11:218184587-218809587 GCF_000001405.40 Homo sapiens | reverse complement strand
CTTTTCCAAGCTTTTATTGAAGAACGTTAAATGGTTTATAGTTATAAAAGATTGTAAAGTCATCACGACACCAAGTTTGTGGTATGGTATTTTCCAGTTGTGTTTGATTATTCTCTCAGAAACTTTCATCTTGCTCAGATATGAATATTTCCAATTTGACATCCAAAGACCATTCGTGATAATTTCTTAGCCGGAAGACTTAGGTACTGGGTTCTTACATCACTGTAAAGGGCTACAATCAACTTGGATTTTCTAACAGAATGTGCTGGTCACCTGCCATTCTCTTCAACTATTCTTCTTTAGCTACAGATGGTGCTAAGTTTAAATTTAAAGTATCTCATTATTGTCCAATAAACGTTGGTTCTCTGGGGGAAAATTTACTGCCAGAAGAATATTGTCATCAGCTTACAATAACTACTGTCTTTTAAAACCTCACCCCCACCCTCAATAGGGTAATCAGAGTATTGAAAAAGCAAACTGAAATAAGAATTCTCAGGAAAGAAAAAAAAAAACTAAGAAAGACTGTATGAAAGAAAACTGACTTAGACAACTGAAGTGCACACTGAAGGAAAAACAGGAGTTGACTAAGGAAAGAGGGAGAAAGAATTACACACAGAACAGTGAGTACAGAGGTTCTACAGCAGAAGATTTGTGGGTAAATTAAGAGAAAGATCATAAAAGATTAAAGTAGAAAAATGTTCTAAAGGGACATAATAAAAAATCTCAAATTGCCAGCTCAAGAAGTTTGGATTTGCTTCTAGTATAATGGTAAAGTTAAAATAATCAAAACCTGGCAGATGTTTTTAGAATAGTCTGGAAGTATAAGAAGCCATTTTGACTGCCCAGATTCAAAGCAGAACAAGAGGAGTGGAAAGAAGTCAAATTTGCTAGAAATCCTGGAGACAGAATGTATAGGATTTGATAATGGATTAAAATGAGAAGTAATGAGGAAGCTGAATGAGTCAAATATCCGTCAATCTTTTGTAGTGGTAAGGTAAAATAATGGGTTTAATTATGATCAAGATGAATCTGAGGGACCTATGATTCACTCACATGGAACATATTTGGAACATAAGGTTAGAAATTTGAAGAGGTCAAGGCTAGAGGACTAGAATCAGAAGTCAACATTATGAATGCGGTCAATGAAGTCTGGGGAAAGTGTGAGCTCAAATCCGAGGACAAGTGGGATGAGAAACAGGGAGAATCAACACTTCTACTCAAGCAGAGCAAATTGAAAACATGCAGTTACTTCTGATTGTTCCTAAAACATAACCAGAATGACAGTGAAAGGATTAAAAGGAAACTTCTAAACAAAAAGAACAGTTAAGAAGAGAAGAGCAACATTTCAAAAGCTGGAAAACAAAGCAACAAAAGTGGTACTTGACCCAATATTATGAAGAAGGTAACAGCATGTATGGCAACGCCAAAAATACAGCCAAATTTCACAACTCTGTCTAGGAAAGGCTCAATAATTGCAGGTGGCTGGTGCCTTAGAAGGTGGGGGTAACAGTGGGTCTGAATACAGAAGGACTGGTTTAGATTCTGAAAAAATAAATAAATAAAGTATTAAACCACCATATCCTTTCCTATATCGATTCCATACAGCCAACAGGCATATTCCATTCCCAGTGGGGTGGGAGATTAAGTGGTTGATTCTCCAGAGTGGTTGAGCATAAGAAACTGAACTCAGGGTATCCAGGATGTATTGAGGACAGGGAGCCACTCCAAAAACAAGAGTTTATGTGAAAACCACTAACAATGGCTCTAAGTCTAGCTCCTCTCCCCATTTTGCTTCCAGTACAATGCAGTTAATTCTTAGCCTACATACCCAGGTAGAACTTAGGCCACTCTTATGGTATAAGGTATTGTCCAAGAGATTAGATCAACAGCAACACTTGGATTGCCTCAATTAATAACACCCCGCCCACCAAAAAAAAAAAAAAAACCCTTTTCTGGTTAATTATCATATAATGAAGCCAACTTCTTGGCAAAGGCCCTTGATAATCTGCCTTTTGTTGAGGTATTGAAATACGATATAGAAAAAAATGCAAATCATGAGTATGCAGATCAATGAAGTATGACAAAGAAAGAAACTATTACAATCATCACTCAGGCCAAGAAATAGAAAAACATTAACAGCATCTAGAAATTTACCTCATGCCCTTTTCAATTCTTATAGCCCAGTTTATAAAAGAGTAAGTGTAGTACTTACTATATTCACCACTGATTCATTTACCATAGGTTCCAATTGTCTTTGTAGTGCCTCACTCTGAAATACAAATGGCCAAAGATCCTTAGATATTTGAGGAAAACATTTAACTCAAAAAGCCATGAGTGCTTATCTGTGTGTATGTTTACATGTGTTACTTTATATACACGTATAAACATATGTATAAACACACAGTTTTCTATGAACCATGAAGTAAGAACAAGACACAATAAAGAGGAACATTTAGAGAACTAAAAAGATAGCCCTTGGAAATTAGAAATATATAGGGAGAAATAAAAATTATAATAGAAGAGCAAAAAATTGAAGTAAAAGAACTCTTAAGAAAGTAGGAAAAAATGGGTGAAAAATAAGAAAGACTGATAAGAAAATGAGATTAATCTATGAAGCCAATATATGACTAATAAAAATTTAAGAAATGAAAATGCAAAACAACAGCAATAACAACAGAGCAGGAATAATGAAAGAATAACTCCAAAAAATCTGAAATTGAAGAACATTAAATTCTAGGTTAAAAAAGTTGACTGGATGCTCAAAAGATGAAGGAAAAAGATTCATAATAAGACACGCCGTTGTAAAATTTGCAACACCATGTGCAAAGAGACATTTTTAAACATTTAGAGAGAAAAAAGACTTTATAAAGGATTTGAGAGTTGAAGTGACATTGATCTTCTCAAAAGCAACAACAAAAACTAGAAATAATGGAAAAACACTTTTTGAAACTTGAGGGAAAGTGCTTCCCAACTTGCAATTCCCCAAACTGCTAAATTATCATGTCAAATAGGATGTGAGAATAAAGTTTTCAGCATGATGGTTTAAAATATATATCTCTCATATATCTTTTCTCATGAAACTATTGAGAGTATGCTTTAATTATAGCTATTACTTACACAGTTCTATTTTGTCATGTGCTTCTCTAAATGCTTTACACATGTAATTCATTCATAGCACTCTACTGTGATAGAAAATATTACTATCCCCAATTTACAGATGAGCGAATTTCAGGCTAGAGAAACTAAGTAATATACAACATCTAGTAAGTGGTAGCAGGACTCAAGCCCAGGAAACTGTTCTCTGGAGTCTATACACTTAAACAAATGAGGGAATTCAGCACAGTAGAGACATGAGGATAATTCCCATTGATGGAGTAAACAGAATATTGGCTGTGTAGCAGTGTGTGATCACAAAGACCCAGATAGCTAATTAGACTCAGAGGTAACACAAGAATTAGTAATGACTGTCAAATAACACAAGAAGGGAGCCACATACAGCCTTTATCTTGTCAATATCTGGGAGTCCCCTAATCCACAAGACTCAGCTTCCTATGCCTCTTACCCATTTTGGTTGTGTTGGGTTAATTTCTGTGCATGATGCAAGCTAGCACGGGAAAGCTGCTAAGTTTTTGGGTCACTCAGTTTATAAATCTTATCACATAGTCATATTTTGACTACATGACTAATTCCCACTACCAGTGCAGCTATAGCCCATTAATCTATGAATTGCAGACTAATTTACAATAAAAATTCTAGGTACATCCTATTGAATGCATTCCTGGGTCAGTAATCAATATACAGTGATTTCCATTGAATCTTCATATATCTTTTAGCTGTGTTTGTATTGCAGGCATCATTTCACAGTGTTTTAGTCCAAGGTCAAGGTTGCTTCAGGTGTCCCTAGGAGGGATAGGAAGATTACAGATCTTCTATTGACTTCCCTTTTCAGGCAGTCTAGAGAACAACCAGAACAAATTAGAACAGAAGGACTGAGGGTTCCAAGATATGTCTTTAAGAAGAATAATGTGACAGAAAGATAACTTGTCTTGTTTGACCATATTGAAAGATGGTTTAAATTTTTGGCAGAGATTTTGGGATTACATTTGAACATAATGTTCTATATTCTAGTAAAAGAATAAATAATCAAATGTGTGATGTAACTATTTTGGGAAGATGAAAACTAAGAAAATGAGTTGTAAATTAGATAAAAGATTTAATGCCTCATCTTTCAAAGTAGAGACTAAAAAAATAGAGAAATGACCATACATCCAAACATCCTTATTATTTTCAAATATAAGACAAATACCGTAGGAAATATCTAAAGGGGGCGAAAGTGGTTTCCTCTGATGAGCAGTAAACATGCAGGATCTGGAAAAACATAGAAAACTATTGTTCTTCATTATACTACTTATATTTATCTTTTTCTAATCCATGTCTAAATATTATTTCAATAAAATAAAGCTTTGATTTTTAAAGAGTTAATATAATAAGCCTATATTTTATAAAATAAATTAAAAAGCTAAAAAAAGAAAATTATAGAAAGAATACAACCAACATGAAAAGAAATAGAAAATTCTGAAAAAATTGAGAATAGGACTAAGGAATGGTGGAACCCAAATTATAAGAGGCCAAGAGGTAAATAGGAGATTAGAAAGTTTGAAAATGAGCTGAGCAGGTAGGCATTCAATTATTGTTCATTTTTCATGTGAAAGATTAGGGTTTGGAAAGAGATGGTGAGGACAGAATGTCTAAATGGCAGGCTATAAGATGTAAAAGAGAATTTTTTAATGGTATGGAAGACTGTAATACATTATTCCTGGGGAGAAACAAACAAGAACAAAAAAATTGAAAGTTCACACACAAAAAATGAATTATTTACCTATTAAGGTAACAAACTAGTGGTTTCACAGCAGGCAGATAAACCAGACAATTAATTCCTTCAGGCATATGATATCATTGCCATATGCTAAGCTAGGGGTTAGGGTGAGTATGAAACACATATGAGTAAAATGACATCTCTGGCCTCAGGCTACTCACAATCTTAAATTCTTATAGCCTGATGGAAAGAGAGAGAAAAGTCTAAAGTGCCAGCTTTGCACTTAGGAGGCAGTTAATGATTTTCTCTTTGATACACTGGGGCACAAAATCACAAATATCTGGAAATACTACATTGGATCAAGCTGCTGGCCTGGCATTTATTTTAATACTGGAAATGAATTATTGGAGAATGTAAAAGTTGCTTTCCATGAAGTCATCAACAAAAGTTAGGAATGTGCCCAGAATAGTCTTAGCTTCCCTTCTTATGCCTCCTTCTTCAATTCTGCCCAGTGTTTCTTTTCTCCACCCTAAACTATTTCTGGCAAAAGGAAAAATCAATGAAGATGAGTAACAACCAGAACCATCATCCTTTTACTTCCAGAAAATGACAAATGATGTAGTCAGCCTTTTCAGAAAAGTACTATAATGTAGAGAGAGGATCTGTTCTAGGTTGTATGTAAATAGTCCATTTTGGAGTATAAATTCCTGGGTTTTAATTACATTTTTGTTATGTCTTCAATTGTCATCTCTTTGCTGAAGACTACTTAAAGTTGTCGTTTTGTCCCCAATTTTCCCTGGGTTCTTGCAAAGTCTGTCTAGAGATATAACAATTTATTTTCTATCTCTGAGGTAGTGGACCTCACACTTTATTTCTCTGTTGCATAATTCACTTTATCAAAATATCCAAATCCCCACTTGATAGCTATATGGGCCCATCTTCCAGGATTACCACTAGATACAATAAATGAGTCAGGGAGCCCCAGAATCCTGACACATGTATGTATCATAAACCCAGTGTTGGAAATTATATGTGTAGCTTAATTTAAAAAAATTTTTTGAAAAACAGCATAATTTAAGGATGTAGGAATAACCAGATAAGTTTCAGAATCAAATTGTCCAAATCAGGGGTCACCAAACTTTTTCTCTTAAAGGGCCAGATAATAACTATTGTCATCTTTTCAGGCCACACAGCCAGAGTTACAACTACGTAACTCTATCCTGTAGCAGGAAATTAGCCACAGACAATATATAAACAAATAGGTATGAGTGCGTGCCAATGAAACATTTATTGTGAATATTTGATTCTCATGTAATTGCATATCAAAAAATCTTCTTTTGATTTTTTAATGTAAAAACTTAAAAACTATTTTTAGCATATAGGCTGTATAAAAACACCCTATGATGGCAACAAAGCTCCTTGAGATTCAAGAGAAAGCTGAAACTCAGTCCAAGTAATCCAATAAAATGATGCAAGAGCTGAAAAGTAAAATAGCCATTTTAAGAAAGAATTGAACTAATCTTCTAGAGCTGAAAATCTCCCTACAAGAATGTTATAATACAATCAAAGTATTAACAACAGAAGAGACCAAGCTGAGGAAAGAATCTCAGAGCCTGATTCAGAACTGATGTTATTCGAATCAACTCAGAAAAAAATAAAGAAAAAAGCGTTTTTAAAAAATTAACAAAACCTCCAAAAATATGGGATTATGTACAGAGACCAAACCTATCACTTACTGGCATACCAGAAAGAGAAGGAGAGAGAGCAGGCAACTTGGAAAACATACTTAAGGATATTGTCCACTAAAATTTCCCAAGCCTCGCTAGAAAGATTGACATGCAAATTTAGGAAACTCAGAGAAACCCTGCAAGAAACTATACAAGATGACCATCCCCAAGACACATAGTCATCAGATTCTCCATTGTCAACATGAAAGAAAAAATATTATGGGCAGCTAGAGAGAAGGAGCAGGTCACATATAAAGGGAGCCCCATTAGGCTAACAACAAACCTTTCAGCAGAAACTGTACAAGCCAGAAGAGACTGTGGGTCTATATTAAGCAACGTTGAGAAAAAGAAATTCCAACCAAGAATTTCATATCAAGCTGAACTAAGCTTCCCAAGCAAAAGAGTAATAAAATCCTTTTTGGACAAGCAAATCCTAAGGGAATTCATTACACCCTGCCTTGCAAGAGGTCCTTAAGGGACTGCTAAACGTGGAAACAAAAAGCTGTTATCCGACACCACAAAAACACACTTAAGTACATATCCCACTGACAATATAGCAACTATACAATCAGTTCTACGCAACAACCAGCTAACAACACAATGACAGAATCAAATCCGCACAAAGCAATATTAATGTTGAAAGTAAACGGGCTAAAGGCCTCACTTAAAAGGCACAGAGTGGGAAGTTGGATGAAAAAGTAACACCCACCTGCGTGTACTCTTCAAGAAACCCATCTCACATGCCATGACACCCAAAGGCTCAAAGAAAAGGAATGGAGAAAGATTTATCAAGCAAACAGAAAACAAAAAGACCAGGGATTGTTATTTTTATGTCAGACAAAACAAACTTTAAACCAACAGTGATCAAAAAGGACAAAGAAGGGAATTACAAAATGATAAAGTGTTTAATTCGACAAGAAGACAACTATCCTAAATATATATGCACCGAACACTGGAGCACTCAGACTCATAAAACAAGTTATTATAGACCTGCAAAGAGACTTAAATTACCACACAATAATAGTGGGAAACTTCAACAGCCCACTCTAAGGGTTAGACGGTTCATTGAGGCAGAAAACTAATAAAGCTGCAGGATCTAAACTTGATCCAGCAGATATCTACAGAACACTCCATCCCAAAACAACAGAATATATGTTCTCATCTGCGCATGGCACATACTGCAAGATTGACCACCTGTTCGGCCATAAAGCAATTCCTAACAAACTCAAAAAACCAAAATCATACGAACCACATTCAAAGACCACAGTGCAATAAAAATTGAAATCAATACCAAGAGGATTTTTGAAAACTGTACAATTACATGGAAATTAAACAACCTGCTCCTGAATGACTTTTGGGTAAAGAATGAAATTAAGGCAGAAATAAAGACATTGTTTGAAACTTATAAAAACAATGATACAACATACCAGATTCTCTGGGATACAGCTAAAGCATTATTCAGGGGAAAGTTTAGAGTGCTAAATGCCAACATCAAAATGGTAGAACGATCTCAAATTAACAACCTAACATCCCACCTAGAGAAACTAGACAAACAAGAGGAAACCAATTCCAAAGCTAGCAGAAAGAGCCAAAATCAGAGCTGAACTGAATGGAATTGAGACATAAAAACCCGTACAAAAGACAAGTGAAACCAAAAGTTTGCACTTTTAAAGAATAAATAGATTAATATACTTCTAGCTAGACTAATAAAGAAAAAAAGAGAGAAGATTCAAATAAACACAATCAGAAATGACAAAGGTGACATTACCACTGACCACAAACAAATACATAAAACCCTCAGAGACTATTACAAATACCTCTATGCACACAAACTAGAAAACCTAGAAGAAATGAATGAATTCCTGGAAATACCCAACTTTCAAGATTGAGCCAGGAAGAAATCGCATATCTGTACAGACCAATAACGAGCTCTGAAATCTAATCAGTAATTAAAGAACTACCAACCAGAAAAAGTCCGGGAACAGATGGATTCACAACTGAATTATACCAGACATATAAAGAAGGGTGGTATCAACCTATCAAACTATTCCAAAAAATTGAGGAGGAGGGATGCCTCCCTAAGTCATTCTATGAGGGCAGCATCATTCAATATCAAAACCTGGCACAGGCCGGGCATGGTGGCTCACACCTGTAATCCCAGCACTTTGGGAGGCCAAGGCAGGTGAATCACCTGAAGTCAGGAGTTGAAGACCAGCCTGGCCAACATGGTGAAACCCTATCTCTACTAAAAACACAAAAACTAGCTGGGTGTGGTGGCGGGTGCTGTAATCCCAGCTACCCGGGAGGCTTAGGCAAGAGAATCACTTGAACCCAGGAGGCAGGCATTGTAGTTAGCCAAGATGGTGCCATTGCATTCCAGCCTGGGCAACAAGAGCAAAACGCTGCCCGCTCCCCGACCTCCACAAAAAACAAACAAACAAACAAACAAAAACACCAAAAAACCTGGCACAGACACAATGAGGGAAGAAAACTTCAGGACAATGTCCCTGATGAACATAGACACATACTAGCCAGTTGAATCCAGCACCACATTGCAAAGCTAATCTATTATGATCAAGTAGGTTTTATCCCTGGGTTGCAAGTTTACTTCAACATACACAAATCAATAAATGTGATTCATCACATAAAGAGAACTAAAAACAAAGACAGGATGATCATCTCAATAGATGCAGAAAAGGCTCTCAATAAAATTTAACATCTGTTTATGTTAAAAACCCTCAAAAAAGTAGGCATCAAAGGAACATATCTCAAAATAATAAGAGCCATCTATAAGAAACCAACAGCCAACCTCATACTTCCCATCATACGGAATGGGAAAAAGCAGAAAGCATTCCCCCTTAGAATGAGAACAAGACAGGAATGCCCACCCTCACCACTCCTATTCAAGACAGTACAGGAAATCCTAGACAGAGCAATCAGGCAAAAGAAAGAAATAAAAGACATTTAAATAGGAAGACTGGATGTCAAACTAGATCTCTTTGCGGGTGATATGATTCTATACCTAGAAAACCCCAGAGTCTCTGCTCAAAGTCTCCTAGAATGGATGGAAAACTTCAGTTTTCAGTTTCAGTTTTGTATCCTGAAACTTCAGTTTACAGGATACAGCTAACCAGGTAAGTGAAATATATCTACAGTGAGAATTATAAAGTATTGCTGAAAGAAATCAAAGACAACAAAGACAAATCGAAAAATATTCCATGCTTATGGATAGGAAGAATATGGTTAAAATGACCATACTGCCCAAAGCAATACAGATTCAGTGCTATTCCTATCAAACTACCAATGTCATTGTTCATACAACTAGAAAAAAGCTATTTTAAAATTCACATGGAATTAAACAACAAAAAAGGCCTGAATAGCCAAAGTAAACCTAAGGAAAAAGAATACTACCCAACTTCAAACTATACTACAAGGCTACTTTGTATACGAAAACAGCATGGCACTGTTACAAAAACAGATGCATAGACCAATGGAACAGAATAGAGAGCCCAGAAATAAAGCCACACACCTATAACCATTTGATCTTCAACAAAGTCAATAGTAACAAGCAATGGGGAAAGGACTCCCTCTTCAATTAATGGTGCTAGAATAACTGGTTAGCCGTATGCAGAAGATTGAAACTGGACCCCTTCCTTTCACCATATCCAAAAATCAACTCAAGATGGATGAAAGACTTAAACATAAAACCTAAAACTATAAAAACCCTAGAAGAAAACCTATGAAATATCACTGTGGACATAGGCCTTCACAAAGATATCATGATGAAGATTTCAAAAGCAATTGCAAACAAAAATAAAAATGTATAACTGGGCCGTAATTAAACTAAAGCACTTCTGCTTAGCAAAGGAGACCATCAACAGAGTAAACAGACAATCTAAAGAATGACAGAAAATATTTGTGAACTATGCATCCAACAAAGGTCTAATATCCAGATTCTATGAGGAACTTATACAAATCAACAAGCGAAAAACAAACAACCCCATTAAAAAGTGAACAAAGGACATGAACAGACACTTTTCAAAAGAAGACATACATGCAGCCAATAAGCATATGAAAAAATGCTCAACATCACTAATCATTAAAGAAATTCTAATCAAAACCACAATAAGATACCACCTTATACCAGTCAGAATGGCTATTATTAAAGAGTCAAAGAATAACAGATGTTGGTGAGGTTGCAGAGAAAAAAGAATACTTGTACACTGCCGGTGGAAATGTAAACTAATTCAGCTACTGTGGAAAGCAGTTTGGAGATTTGTTAAAGAACTTAAAACAGAACTACCATTCAACCCAGCAATCCAATTACTGGATATATACCCAGAATATAAATCATTCTACCAGAAAAACACATGTATGCACAGTTCATCACAGCACTTTTCACAATAGTAAAGACATGAAGACAACCTGGATGCCCATCACTGGTGTGGTGGACTGGATAAAGAAAATGTGGGGCTGGGTGTGGTGGCTCATGCCTGTAATCCCAAAACTTTGGAAGACCAAGGCTGGTGAATCACTTGACCAGCCTGGCCAACATGGTGAAATCTTGTCTCTACCAAAAATACAAAAATGAGCCGGGTGTGGTGGTGCATGCCTGTAGTCCCAACTATTCGAGAGGCTGAGGGAGGAGAATCACTTTAATCCAGGAGGCACAGGTTGCAGTGAGCCACTGCAAGATCACGCCACTGCACTTCAGCCTGGGTGACAGAGCAAGACTCCATCTCAAAAAAAAAAAAAAAAAAAAAAGAAAGGAAATGTGGTACATATAGACCATGGAATACACACAGCCATAAAAAAAAAAGGATAAAATAATGTCATTTGCAGCAATATAGATGTAGCTGGAGGCCATTATCGAAAGTGGACTAACACAAGAACAGAAAACAAAATACCACATGTTCCATGTTCTCACTTATAAGTGGGAGCTAAACCTTGACTACACATGGACACAAAGAGCAGAACAGTAGACACCAGTGTCTTCTTGAGGGTGGAGGATGAGAAGGAGGTAAGGGTTGAAAAACTACCTATCAGGTATTATGCTCACTGTCTGGGTGACAAAATCATTTGTATACCAAACCCCAGTGATATGCAATTTACTCATGTAACAAATCTACACATATACCTCCTGAATATAAATAAAAGTTGAAAGAAAAAATTATAAACAAACCACATAGAATAAAAATAAAATAACAAACACTTTATGGACTGGGTTTGGCCTGTGGAACATAGTTTGCCAATGGCTATCTAAATTAAGGTAAGACTAGACAAGTAACATATCACCATGAAGATGCAAGCAGAGAGCAGGAGAGAAAACAGCAAAAGCTTCTCAGATGGAACTAAGCCTATGAAGATGAGTACATGTATTACTTTCATATAGGTCTCAACTGAGGCACACTAGAGAAAAGAAAGGACGGTTTCAACTGAGCACTTTAATGTTGACATTACAATATATTCTGCTTTAAGTAAATGTTGAGAATATAAAAATTACAACAGCATTGTGATAAACATATTTTATGGTGAATACTTAGTAAAATGCTATATTTTATTTTGATAACTACCCACAAGGACTTGAAAAGTCAGTTTTCTGTTTTTCGTTATGGACCTGAGATATTGTTTCATATACTCTTCAGTAAGTTACTTTTCTTGTATGTCCAGGAAAAGAACAGAGTTTACTTTTTTAAGTAAAAGTTTAAAAATGTTTTAAAAATGTATGTTTAAAACTCTTAGAAAAAATGAGTCAAAAACAAATTGCAGGAATTCCTGGCTTTTCTTATAAAGTTTCTTACATTGTAAAAATAATTAAAATATACAAATGTGGAACACATAGTTAATAAGAGGCTCTAAATATTTTATGACTTTCCATTGAACAATTTGCTTATATTCCCATGTCTTAAGAAATCATCAGCAGGGGAGGAAGCATACTTTAAGGAGAAAAAGCACTAGGAAAAAGGGGTGCTACTTTCTCATTGCAGAGAAATGTGTATGAGCCTGAGTATCTGCCGTTGCTACCTATTACCTTGGTTACTTTCGTTAAGTGTTGTCTTTAAGGCTGAAGCTTTTTCAGAATGATGGGATTAGACCAAATCAGCAATTTTTCACCCTTTCTTATCTTACATTACAAACCTCTTAGGGGATGTGAAATTAAAACCACCTGCTATGGTCTGAATATCAGTTTTGCCCCAAAATTCATATGGTGGAAACTAATAGTATTAGAAAGCGGGGTCTTTTAGGAAGTACTTAAGTCATGAGGACTCCAACACCATGAGTGGGATTAGTACCCTTATAAAAGAGACTGAAGGGAGCTGCCTTGCTCTTCAGCCATGTGAGAACTCAGCAAGAGGTGCTATTTTGGAAGCAAATAGCAGCCCCTTACCAGACACTGAATCTGCTGGTGCTCTTGTCTTGGACTTCCCAGCCTCTGGGACTGTGAGAAATAAATGTCTATGATTTACAAATTGCTCAGTCTAAGCTAATTTTGTTATAGCCACCCAAATGGACTAAAATACCACTTTTTATGATGACCTCTTTAAATAAAAGTAAGACAAGGAGACAATGGAATGAGCCCCTATGGCATGGGCCGTGGAGTCCCACTGCTCAGCATAATCCTGCAAGAAGATTTCTTTTCACCTTCTTCCTCCAGGGCCCTCTTGTACTTACCTAAATAACGTCCATGGCCCCTTCCAGAGCAAAATTTTGTGAGCTTTCACACACAGGGCTTTATGCTGTGGAACAGAGAGGCCAGAGTTGGTGGTAGGGGTTGCAGGGATTTACCCGCTCCAGGGAACAGTCTGAGTATCACTTGCAAAGGGGTAAATAAAACAGGGTTAAGAGAGAGAATGTCATTCTACCTCAAGTCAGCTTATAGTCTGCTGAGAATTGCTGTACTCCTTTAAAAAGCCAAACTGTATCTGTTCCAGGATTAAGAGTGGAATATTTATGGTAGTCTTATCCTTAAAAATAGAGATGAGTGTCCGGGTGTGGTGGCTCACGCCCGTAATCCCAGCACTTTGAAAGGCCAAGGCAGGTAGATCATGAGTTCAAGAGAACGAGACTATCCTGGCCAAAATGGTGAAACCCCCAACTCTACTAAAAATACAAAAATTATCTGGGCGTGGTGGTGTGCACCTGTAATCCCAGCTACTCAGGAGGCTGAGGCAGAAGAATCATTTGAACCCAGGAGGCAGAGGTTGCAGTAAGCCAAGATCGCACCAATGCACTCCAGCCTGGTGACAGAGCAAGATTCTGTCTCAAAAAAAAAAAAAAATAGACATGAATTTTTATCATCTGTAGAATCTCTAACTATGGAGGAAATACTTTAAAATATCAGAATTAAGAATTTTGAGGGACTAACTACCATGCAAAGCTACCAATATAAGAAAATGTTTTATTTTATTTTGCTTTGGGTTGAAAAGTAGTTACTATAACAATTTCATAATTTGCATAGTTTTTATAGTAGCCACCTTCCCATCATGTGCATTACCACCACCCCCCTCCCCAATCCATTGCAGTCTGCATCAAATAAAACTGAAGACTACAATCAGTTAGGTATTCAAAGAGAGAGGAATCCTCTGTTTAAAGAGCATAATCAAGGATTGAGAAAGAGCTAGAATGCCTGCCTAGATCACAAAAACCCCTCCTGCTAATATCCAGAGTATGGTAGGAAGAATCATGGTCCCCCGAAGGTGTCTCCCTCCTAATCCTCAGAATCGGTGTATATGGTACATTACATGGCAAAGGGAAATTAAGTTTGCAGATGGATTCAAGGTTGCTGATTGCTTGACCTTAAAATAGGGTGTTCATCCTCAATTGTGTGGATGGGCCCAATGTCATCGCAAGAGTCCTTAAAAGTGGAAAAGAGAGTCAGAGTCAGAATCAGAGAAGGAGATTTGTTGACA
Source organism: Homo sapiens (assembly GCF_000001405.40). Classification (NCBI taxonomy): domain Eukaryota; kingdom Metazoa; phylum Chordata; class Mammalia; order Primates; family Hominidae; genus Homo; species Homo sapiens. The sequence continues at coordinate 218,795,134 of NC_000001.11, read as the reverse complement.
AAAGAAGGTCAGAGTGATTCAATTGCTGGCGTCCAAGGTGGAGAAAAGAGGGCAAGAGAACATCTTTCTCCATTTCATAAAGAATATGTTTATTTATTAGGTGTAAATTAGATAACATCAGCATTAATAAGCACATCCATGGACATATTAGCAGTAATATTCACGTTCATATGCCCACAACTATTCTGGCTTTTTATGCATGGGTAAGAAATGTGCTATACAGGGGCATGTTTAGGTTGCCAATGGCATACACTTAGGGTCCTGTTACCCTTGAAATAAAATACACTCATGGTATTCAGTCTTAGGTATATCACACTGTATTGATATGTCTATGCCAGGTTACTAGGATAAAAGTGGCAAGAGTTACATTAGTCCTCTTGTAGCTGTTGAATTTATAACTGTGAATGCATTTCCTTAATACTTGTAGAATATCTGGGCTATTTAAGTCCTGTTAACCTTAATACTAGTAGAAAATGCACCCAGGGCTACAACAGGAAGTGAGCATATGATTGGGAAGCAGTAAAATGCCTGAGCCAGCCACATCTGCTGCTCTTGTTTGGCCCTTTTTCTCTTGACCATCCAGAGTGCCCAAGTCTACCAAGTGACTTTCCCCTCTGTTCAATGCAAGCCCTAATCTCTGAAATTAAGCCCATGACTACTATTTTGGCAATGACACCATTTCTTTACTATGGTAACTTCGTTAGGGTCTGTTTTGAGGAGCACCAGTCTCAGCATGGTCTGGCCTTCAGAATGGGCCAGGGAACATTTCCCTTCATGCTTCTGCCCTATCCCGACCTGTCCAAGCCTTAGGAAACATCAACTCTCATGTTTCCTCTTAATTTAATGCAATTATGACTGTTCATATTAATGAGCCAGACTTTGACCCATCATATCATTTATTCATCATTGTGGGGGCTGCATTAAAAGGATTTCCAGGAACAAGCCCTGCAACAGGATGACAGAGGCACTATTACATTTCATTATGAGCTGATTCAAGTTCAGATTTTCTCTTTCCCCTTTATCTTGACTCTCATTTCATGGACCTGCCTCTGACCACAGTCCCCACCCCACACACACTCCCATGCTTGATCCCCTAAAATGTGAGCTTCAGGAACAACGCTGGTTGGTGTGAAGAGAATAAATGGAAAGAGAATAAACTGCCTCATGTGCTCAATCTTCTTCCTGTTCCTCAGCCAAGGAACTGGTTCTTCAGGTGACATCCCTAATCATGGATACATACATCTCACACCAAGTAATCTGAAAATTAAGATCGATCAGACTTTATTCTTTGTGCACTGAAAGACTCACCACAAAGCAAATGTAGAACTTTATCTTTACCTATCAGATTATAGAAAATAAAGGCAGAGAAGTGACATGAAGAGAGAAGGAAGTTTCTCTCCAAGCTCACCCCCAGACACCTATCATCTTCCAAAGAAAACAACAAAATCTTGTAAGAATTGAGTGCAACAAACCTTTATGAAACACCAATATGCGACTGGCATATAAAATAAATAGGACTTGAAACTCATTTTCAGGGAGTTCATGGTCTACTAGAAAAGATGGCCCCATAAAACTAAAATGTAATGAATCATGATAGATGTTACAGCTTGAAGAATATATGTGATTCTGTAGAAATCTTAGTCCTGAAACAAAAAAGAGTTCCTTTTCTAGCTGCCGGGGTTATGTGTATGTATGTGTGTGTGCATTTTCGGAAAAATTAGACCACAAAGTATAATGAAAAAAAAATTGGAGTTTCAGTTTGAATCTTCCCTTTGACATAATCTGAACAACTATACTTATTGAACAGATTATGCACATTACAGCTGTTTTTAAATGTTTTATAAGGTTGCTGTGTGTCAAATTTCTAAACAATTTAGAAAAAGGTTTTTGTAAAACAAGATACTTGAGACTTGCATATACTTAAAAGTTGAGGCAAAATTATTTCATCCAAAAGAAATTGGATCTGCCTTTAAACAAATGCATATGCCACAGAGAAACAGAAAAAATGAAGATAAAATTAATTTTTTTCAGAGCAAATAAATATATTACTAAATGTTCAGACTGGAAACACACATATTTTAAAATTTTTATAGTTGTTTCTATAATCCTTGTGCCAGAACACTGAGTCTCAATTTAAATGTAAAATTGTATTATTATTTCCATTTTACAGATTGGAAAATTGTGGTACATAAAAGTTGTCTTGCTCAAAATATTAATGTTATTTAGTAAGAGAGCTGGGGTTCTAAACACAAGCATAGAATCAAGGCTTCTGTTCTTAAACACTACCGTGTTATAGCCCAGAAGATGGAAAGTTGTTTGAATTATAGCTCTTGCTCTCCAGTTATTTCCTGGGATTTGTACATGCAACTGAAGAACAAAGTGGAATAAAATGTATTGTTTCTTCAGTTTTGTAACTTTATAAATTTAATGGAAAAAGATAGATTGATGTTTCTCACTGAGAATGTTTTTTTTAAGTGGCTTTCAATAGAAACAAAATACATTGCTTATATTTAATTTAGCATACACTGCTTATATTTAATTTAGCAGCCTGCAATTGAGTTCTCCCATTTGTATTCTCCACAATACTGACTAGGCTGGTTGGTCATCATAAAGGTACTGAGCATCTGCCTTGTACAGAGAACTTTGATGAACTCTAAATGAAAAAGAATATATATTCCTGCCCTATTTCACACAGCTTAAAATTTAGATAAGAAAACAGAATATCTACACAACCTTTTTCAGAACACTAACCAAAAGTCCACTTACAGAAGAATTTAAAGATGTAGAAATGGATTTATTCTGTCATTCCTTAGAAATTAAAGAAATTCAGATTGGAAAAAAGAAGTAAAACTGTCTTTATATTCAGGATACATGATTTTCTATGTACATGTGATGGAATCTACAAAAAATCTACTTGACCTTGACCTGATAAGTCAGACATTAAAGGAATCAGTATAGTAAGTTTTCTGGATACTTATTTTTTAAAAATCAAATGCATTTATACATACTAGGAACAAACTATTGGAAATTGAAACAAAAATACAATTTGCAATGGCATCAAAAACTTGAAAATTTAGAGAGAAGTTTGACAAAAGATGTATAAAACCTGTACACCAAAAATGATGAAACGTTGCTGAAAGAAATCAAAACTCTAAATATATGAAGAATATGTTAGTTCTATATGTCAACTTGGGTGGGCCACAGAGTGCCCAGGTATTAAATCAAACATTATTCTGGATGTTTCTGCAAGGTTGTTTTGGGTGAGATTAACAGTTAAATTTGTACACCAAATCAAACAGATTGACTTCCCTAATGTGGGTGGGCCTCACCCAGTCAGTTGAAAGACTTCTTCCCTGAGCAAGAGAAAATCCTCTACTTGACTGCCTTCAGACTTCATGTGCAACATAGGTTCTTTCTGGTGTTACAGTAAACATTCTTGAGGCTGGAATTGCAGCACTGGCTCTCCTGGGTCTCCAGCATGTGGATCCACCCTGCAAATTTTGGACTTGCCAGCCTTCATAATCACGTAAGCCAATTTTTTATAATAAATCTCTCCCTCACCCTCTCTCTCTGTTTTTGTCTATATGTACCTATACACACACACACACACACACACACACACACACATACACACACACACACAGAGAGAGACAGAGAGACAGAGAGAGACATTGTATTGGTTCTGTTTCTTTGGAGAACCCTAATACAGACAGATATACCTTGTTCAAAGGTTAGAAAACATAATATTGTTAAAATGACAACTCTCCTCAAAATGGTCTTAGATTCAATGAAATCCCAGTTGAAACTTTTTTTGTAGAAATGCACTCTTTCAAAATTCATATTATAATAGCCAAAACAGTGTTTTTAAAAGAGTTGAAAGACTAATCTTACCTGATTGTAAGATTTATTATGAATAAAGCTACAGTAATAAAGACAGTGTGATACAGGTAAAATAACAGAGAATTAGATCAGTGACACAAAATAGATTCTAGAAATAGGCCCACACATGTATATAGACAAGAGATTTTTGACAAAGGGGCAAAGGTGATTCAGTGAAGAACATATAGTCTTTTCAAAAAACAAGGCTAGGTCGATTGGATACACACAGACAAAAAAATTGAACTCCAGTCCACACCAAACACCGTTCACAAAAATTAACTCAAAAGGGATAAGAGATCTAAATGTAATGCATAAAATTATAAAACTCTAGATAAAAACATAGGAAAAGCTCTTTGTGATATTGGATTAGGCAGATTTCTTAGATATGACAATGTACAATTCATAAAACACAATAAATTAGACTTCACCAAAATTTAAGACTTCTGCTCTTTAAAAGACACTATTAAAAGAATCAAGAGACTAGCCACAGACAGAAATTATTTGCATATGATAAAGGACTTATTCCTAAAATATGTGAAGAATGTTCAAAACTCAATAATAAGAAAATTAAAGGCTCAATCTTTTAAATGGGCAAACAATTTGAACAGACATGTCCCAAAAGAGGATATATGGATGTTAAATAAGCACTTGAAATATGCTCAACATTACTAGTCATTAAGGAAATTCAAACTAAAACCATAATGAGTAATCATTACACTCCTGTATAGAAAGGCTAAATTTAAAAAGACTACCCCCATCCATAAAGGTAAAAATATGACAGAACTGGATTTCTTATGCATTACTGGTCAGAATGGTACAACCACTTTGAAAAACAGTTCAGCAGTTTCTTAAAACATCAAACACACACCTTCCATGTGATCCTATCACACTGCACTCCTTAAACTTACTCAAGAGAAATTGAAAGCACATATCCATACAAAGACTTGTACACAGGCCGGGTGTGGTGGCTTATGCCTGTAATCCCAGCACTTTGGGAGGCCGAGGTGGGTGGATCACCTGAGGTCAGGAGTTCAAGACCAGCCTGGCCAAGATGGTGAAACCCCGTCTCTACTAAAAATACAAAAATTAGCCTGGTGTGGTGGCAGGCACCTGTAATCCCAGCTGCTCAGGAGGCTGAGGCAGAGTATTGCTTGAACCCAGGAGGCGGTGGTTGCAGTGAGCTGAGATCGTGCCACTGCACTCCAGCCTGGGCGACAGAGTGAGACTCTGTCTGAAAAAAAAAGACTTGTACACAAATATTTACTTGTGATAGTCAAAAATTGAAAATGAAAACAATCCAGCTGCCTATCAAAAGATAGTTGTATAAATAAATTGTGTTATATCTATACAGTTAAATACAATTCAACAATAAAAATGAGCCGACTATTGATACCTGCAGCTAGCTGTTTAACTCTCAAAATAATTATTCCGAGTTTTGAAGTCTAGGGAAAAAAGCGTACACACTATGATTTCCTTTTGTAAATTTCTAGAAAATGCAAATGAATCTATAGTAACATGATGTGGATCAGTGTCTCCTTGGGGATGAGAAGAGAAGAGGGAACAAGACGTAGAAGGTGTCTTAGTCTGTTTTGTGTTGCTGTAAATGAATACCTGAGACTGGGTAATTTAAAAAGAAATAGGCTTGTTCAGTACATGATTCTGATGGCTAAAAAGTTTAAGATTGGCTTCTGCATCTGGTGAGGCTTCAGGCTGCTTCCACTCCTGGTAGAATGTGTAGGGGAGCTGGTGTGAGCATAGATAACATGGTGAGAGAGGAAGCAAGGGTGGGGAGTTGCCAGGCTCTTTTTAACAATCAGCTCTTGTAGGAACTAATAGAGTAGAACTCACTGACAACTCCTTCACCAAGAAAAGAATTTATCTCATATCTATGTATTGTTCCACCTACTTACTTACCTATCTGTCCTTCTGTCTATTTACATATAGCTACGTAGAATGTTTACCAGATGTTAACAGTGATTTGTTTGGCATGAAGGAATTTGGGGAATTACATTTCCCTCTATGCATTGCATTTTTTCTTCTGTTACATATATATGATGTATGCAAATCATCTTTACAAAAATTAAGGTTATTTTGAAAGGTGTAGTTAAATTGATCAACAAACAAACTTTATGTGCCAATTAATAGAGGAATTGGTCAGTGTTATGGGCTGAATTGTCTTTCCCAAAACTCATAGGTTGAGCCTTACCCCACAGTGTGACTATTTATGGAGATAGAGCCTTTAAGGAGGTAAATTAAAGATAAATGAGGTCATAGGCTGAGGCTGTAATCCAGTAGGACTGATGCCCTCATAAGAAGAGGAAGAGATACCAGTAACGTGCATACACAGAGTAAAGGTAGCCATCTGCAAGCCAAGAAGAGAGCCCTCACCAGAAACCAACCCCACCAGCACCTTGATCTTAGACTTCCAGCCTCTAGAACTGTCAGAAAATAAATTTATGCTCTTTAAACCACCTAGTCTGGGATATTTTGTTATGACATCTCTAGCAGACTTAATGCAGTGAGTAAATTCATTTATGTTGCCATTAAAAGGAATAATTCAAATATATATATTGAACCAGAAAATGCCTTTTGTGAATTAATAAATGACAAAAACAAATTTTGGGGTAATACGCAGTATGATTCACTTTATGTTTTGAATAAAAAGCAAAATATGATAAATTATGCATGTACATGATTTTATATGTTTATGTAAAGGGATGTACACCAGACAGTCAGGCAATTGATATTATTTTCCTCAGGGGTGGGACTACTGAGGAAAAGAGCCACTGTTTTTGTAAGTATTTCTGAATTGCTTGAAATGTTACAATATGCACGAATACTTTTGCAATTAAAAAAATTGATGAACACTTATATTAGGTTGGTGCAAGCATAATTGCAGTTTTTGCATTGTTGAAATTTGCCATTTGATATTGGAATACATTCTTAATAAATGTGGTTATGTTATACATCATTTTAATGTGCATTTCTTGCTTTTTTTTTGCTAATGACTTACTTGCTACTTATTTTATATTTATTTTAGACTATGGAAATAATGTTAGACAAAAAGTAAATTTGAGCAATTTTCTTATCCCAGTTCTAAATGGGTCATAAAGCAGAGGAGACAGCTGGCAACATCAACTATCCATTTGGCCCAGGCACTGCTAATGAATGTACAGTGTAGTGGTGGTTTAAGACGTTTTGCAAAGGAGAGCAGATCCTTGAAGATAAGGAGCATAGTGACTAACCATCGGAAGTTGACAACGACCAATTGTGAGCAATCGTTGAAGCTGATCCTCTTACAACAACAGGAGAAGCTGCCAGAGAACTCAGGGTCGACCATTCTATAGTTGTTCAGCATTTGAAGAAAATTGGAAAGGTGAAAAAGCTCGATAAGTGGGTGCATCATGAGCTGAGTAAAAATTAAAAATATCATTTTGAAGTGTTGTCTTCTCTTATTCTACACGACAACAAGGAACCATGTCTCCATCGAATTGTGATGTGCAATGAAAAGTGGATTTTTTATGACAACTAGCGATGACTAGCTCTGTGGTTGGACTTAGACAAAGCTCCAAAGCACTTCCCAAAGCCAAAATTGCACCAAAAAATGGTCATGGTCACTGTTTGGTGGTATGCAGCCAGTGTGATCCACTAGAACTTTCTGAATCCTGGCGAAACCATCACATCTGAGAAGTCTGCTCAGCAAATCGATGAGATGCACCAACAACTGCAATGCCTGCAGCCGGCGTTGGTCAACACCAAGGACCCAATTCCTCTCCACGACAATGCCTGACTGCACGTTGCACAGCTAGTTCTTCAAAAGTTGAATGAATTGGGCTACAAAGTTTCGCCTCATCCACCATATTCACCTGACCTCTTGCCAGCTGACTACCACTTCAAGCATCTCAACAACTTTTTGCAGGAAAAACGCTTTCACAACCAGCAGGGTGCAGAAAATGCTTCCCAAAAGTTTGCTGAATCACAAAGTATGGATTTTTATTCTACAGGAATGAGCAAACTTATTTCTCATTAGCAAAAAATATGTTGATAGTAGTAATTCCTATTTTGATTAATAAAGATGTATTTGAGCCTAGTTGTAATGATTTAAACCTCACAGTCCAGAACTGCAATTACTTTTTCACTAACCTAATATTTTGGGAAAAGTAACAAAAATGTGCCTACTTAGTGTTTGTATAGTATATGCGTATTGATTTCCATCTACATGTCATGTATTCACCAGAATTTTGTTAGGGATCCTAAAACCTTTCTATGGAGCTATTCTTTTTCTCACCAATGAAAATAATGTAATGATGCTTGTTCTTGTGTTTCTGGAAATAATTCTCAATTTACTTAGTCATTTCTTTGTTTTCAAACAGTGATTTTTCCTTTATTTTTTCTCATGAAATTCATGCCACATACACATTTGTATATGTAAACGTGTGTTTAAGTGGGCAAAATAGATAGTCTACAAGATTTGTCTTTTGTTGTGTTTTAACTCAGAGTTGGCTACAGAATAACAACAAAAAAATGGAAAGAATCACTTTTATAGAGAATTGCCAGGACCTCTGTATTGTATTCTATACACTGCCTAATTATGCATAGTAATTATATCAGACAGCTATAAAAATAATTTAAAATGAGAGATCCAGGAATAAAATACTACTGACAAATACTTTTCTTCTTCTTAATGCAAAATTCCCAGTATAGAAAACTGGTAACTTACCTAAAATTAGATTGATGAAACACATCAGGAAAAGTTCAGGATTGAATGGTTGCCTGTGGAAGGCGAGATGGAATTTATCAAGTCAAACAGAAGCAGGGGTCACAGGGCCAATAACTAAAAACAAATGCAAATCTGTGAGCTGTTATTTTAAAACCAAGGAAAAGTAGGTTACACAAGCCACTTCCATTTTTAAATGCTACCCCTCTGGTGGTGCGGGAGAAACCTTTTGTCCACTTGTCCTTTCTGCTAAAAATGCTGTTTTTCCACAGAGGCAAAGAGTAATATTTGAGGAAGAGGTTTTACAGATGCAATTACAGCAAGACACTGGCGCTCAGCTCTGCACGTGGGTAAACACGTGCTTTCTCACCCAGAGAAAAGTTTAGCTTGGCAGCCTTTGCTACAAAGCATGACTCTGATCCTAGAGAAAGCCAGAACTACAGAAACCCACATCATCTCCAAAAATAACACCAAAATTAAGGCCTTGAAACTCCTCACACTTGTCATACTGTGAAGGATGATACTCCAATGCTCAGGACCCACAGAGCTACTGAATCCTCAGGATTCTCTTTGTAAGTTCACTTCATTGGACATCTCAGCCTTTAGATGAGGCTATATTCTGGGCTAGAGTTCTAGGCTGTCTGTTGTTAAATTTAAGACTTACTTAGGAAAAAACATAGGACGGTATCTTTGAAGGCTTAACTAGGCCAAGATTTCTCTAGGACAATCCACTGATAAAGTTAACTTCATCAAAATCTATAAAATTTTCTGCTTATAAAAAAAAATCTTTCAGAAGATTGAAATGCTAGACACAGAATGAGAGGAATATTTACAATTACATATATCTGAACTATAACTTATAACTACAGAATATAAAGTGCTCCTACAAATTCAATTATTAAAAAGACAAACCAATGTTTTAAATATTAAGCAAAAGATTGAAGAGATACAAAGAGATACAAATACTCAATAAACACTTTAAAAATGTTCTGCATTACTAATCATCAGAAAAATGCCAATTAAGAAACCGCTTTATACCTACTAAGATGGCAAATAAGCCCAAACACCAAATATTGGAGACCATGGGAAGCAATTAAACTCTAGAAATTGCTGATGAGATTGTAAAAATTGTGGAATGCTCTAGAAAATGTATTGACATTTTCTTACAAATTTGGACAATGTACTTATTCTATGACCCAGAAATTTTACTCATAACCCAGAATAAATTAAAATATATATCCACATAAGGACTTGTATACAAATATTTATAATAGTTTTACTCATAAAACAAAAAACTGGAAACAACTAAAACATTAATTAACAGAAAAATACATAAACAAAGTATGGTATATTCATAGAATGGAGTACCACTTAGTAATAAAAAGGAATCAACTGATAGCACATGAATCTCAGAAACATGCAGAGTGAAGGGTACATAGTATATGATTCCATTTATATAAAGTTCATGAACAGGCAAAATTATTCATGATGATTGAAATCAGAAGAGTGGGCTGGAATAAGGCACAGGGGGCTTTCTGGAATGATGAAATATTCTATATGTTGATTTGGGTATTGATTACACAATTGTATATGTTTGTCATAATCATTAAACTTTATACTTACAACTATGCATTTTTCTATATTTGAATATTCAATTAAAAATATTAAATACATTGCTCTAATACCCAATTTAATCACACAGAAAAATCTCAGTATGCAATCAAGATTTTGGGGGTAGGAAGAATAAAAGGTATTATGGGTGCTATTTTCCTTACAAGACATTCATTCCATTTTTTATGAAAATGTATGTATTGCTTTATTCTTTTTTAATTTAGACATAATTATTGTACATATTTATGGGGTACATGTGACATTTTGATACATGCATACAATATGTAATGATCAAATTGGGGTATTTAGGATCTTCATCATGTTAAATATTTATCATTTCTTTGGGTTGTGAACGTTTCAAATCTTCTCTTCTAGCTATTTTTCCAGTATATCAAAGAAATGAAAGTAACAACATCCTAAAAACTTAAATGAGAACAAATTTTATTTTTTCCGGCTTCATATGAGAGCAACACAGGGAATCATTGGACACCTGGAAAATTGTTTATCATTTAGTCTAAGAATAATTTTTTATTTTTTTACTTTTAGTTTAGGTTCAGGGGTACATATGCAGGTTTGGGGATGAAGCTGGAGGCCATTACCCTTAGCCTTAGCAAACTAATAATGATTTAACATTAAATGTGGTATGGCAGTCTATATTAAGGGCCTAGTAATGTCATCAGACTGCACAAGGCTCTAGGGACACAGGCAGCCTTCCCATACAAGTATTCCTAGGACCTTGTTCTGCAAGGAGCATTGCAGTGGCAGATGAAGGTACTGGTGTCAGTAACCTTTGGGTAGTCATCTGAGGTCATTCCTGCAGGTTACTTCGTAGGCAGTAGGAGAGGAGAAAAAGGCTCCTCTGGGGTCACTGTTGAGCCTACTTTGTGTGTACTGACTTTATGTTAACTTTTTAAAGTACTCTGAGATTGGCATGATAATGCCACTCGCAATGTGAATCTCCTTTTCCCCTGATACGTTTTATTCCAAGTGATGTGAACCACTGACTAGAAGTTGACGAGAGATTTACTTAATTATGGCAGAAATAATTTGTTCATTCCAAAGACTAAAATGCTTGATCTCACAGAAGCTGTTTCCTTCCATCTGTAACAAAGAGCTGAGCCATTGTATGAGATCCAGTAGAAGGGCAGGTGAGCTACTTTCATAAGCACATATTCCGTGGCTGGAGCTCGCTCAGGTTTGTGGTGGGGCTGGGACCTGGGGTGAGGTGAGGGCCATTTTCTAGCCAGGGCAGCCACTGTGTTTGCCTCAGCCCTGCAATTTGAACCTGGACAAAATACCCACCCTATCCCCTTCTATACCACTCCCCCATGCCACTGACTGCTGCAACTTAAATACTATTCACTTAGAGAGAAATTGTAGAATGGATGTTTGTGGACTTCTGAGGAAAAATTTTAATCCAACTCCTCAGTTTACAGAAGCTTCTCAGTTTCCCTAAATAGAACTCCCTGGCAGGCCCTGGAGAGTTAGTATTCAGTTCTGCAAACACATTTGTGTTGGAACTAAAAAACAAAATTGGGAATGACGTGGCTTGCATACAGCAAACAGGCTCATGACACCACCACAGTTTTTGACAGTTCTGGAAAATGCTGCCTGGGGAAGGTTTAGCACTATGGACTGAATGATCTGGATAGAACAGCAGCAAAAGATTAGACAGGCATGTTAAAGAAAGCTCTGAATTTATGTCCTGTGGTAAGCAAAGCGTTCTTTAATCTGTCAAATAGAAAGCCTCCCTGCAAAACCAACACTTCAGAAATGCATGCGTTAGCCTGTGCAATGTTTTCTGAAGGTCAGGTTCAATTTCCAGGGTAAAGGTTATAATTTTGAAATATTGACAATAACTTGAAGACCCTATTTCCACCTGTGTAAACACCTTGAGACTCTGAGACACAAAATTGAGAACCATCGATTTATCCACAAAGACCATTAGCATTGTGAGGGGAAGGAGAGGCAGTTCATGTACTCTCTGGCAACGTGAGCTACTTTTTAGGTTGAAGAAATCCAAGACCAAGCACAGCTCTTGTTGGGAAGTGATGCTTCATCCACATATGCTGAGCTTAATTGAGCTGAGCCAGAATTTAAGCTAAGGCCTTTTAACTAGAAAGTCTTTTCTCTTTGCATTAAACCAGTGATAATACCAGTTGCTCTCCTCATCATGTGTATTTGGTCGTTCTCGCATTGTATAAAGAAATACTCAAGACCTAGTAATTTTTTAAAGCAATTTAATTGGCTTATGGTTCTGCAGGCTGTACAGGAAGCATGGCACCAACAACTCTCAGCTTCTGCAGAAGCCTCAGGGAGCTTTTACTAGTGGCAGAAGGCGAAGAAGGAGCAGGCACATCACATGGAGAAAGCAGGAGCAAGAGAGAGAGAGGGGAGCAGGTGCTACACACTTTCAAACAACCAGATCTCTTGAGAACTCACTCACTACCACAAGAACAGCACCAGCTGGGTGCAGCGGCTCACGCCTGTAATCCAAGCACTTTGGGAGGCCAAGGCAGGCGGATCATCTGAGGTCAGGAGTTAAAGACCAGCCTGACCAACATGGTGAAACCCCATCTCTACTAAAAAGATAAAAAAAAAAATTAGCTGGGCATGGTGGCATACACCTATAATTCCAGCTATTCAGGAGGCCGAGACAGGAGAATCGCTTGAACCTGGGAGGTGGAGGTTGCAGTGAGCTGAGATCGCACCGTTGCACTCCAGCCTAGGCAACGACAGCAAAACTCCATCTAAAATAATAATAATAATAATAATAATAATAATAATAATAATAATAATGAGAACAACACCAAGGGGATGATGGTAAACCATTCGTGAGAAATCTATCTTCATCATCCAGTCACCTCCCACCAGGCCCCACCTCCAACACTGGGGATATTAATCTCATCACAATATGAGATTTGGGCAGGGACACACATTCAAACTATATCACCATGCAAGTTTGTTGTGAGCATTTCATGGAAAAAAACCTGTAAACTACCAAGGACTACTATATAAAAATCAGAGATAATACTGGTGACGGGTGTGCTGATGATGACTATGATGATGACAGCAAGCACAACAGCAGTGATGATGCTATTAGAAAGATGTTCGTGACTAGCTCTGAGCTCTAGAGGTGCTAGCCACTCAGTTTGGTATATGTGAGACAAAGGGTATGTGCACATAGGTGGGTGTGTGGTTAGTGAAATGGGAGGGGAGGGAAGACAGCTGGAGAGCTGGTTAGTGAAGCAGACTGGAGAGAGGAAAAAATGCATCTACTTAGACCTACACTGATATTACCATAACGTCCATAGTTTAGCCTCTGTCGAACTGATCAGAAATAAGAGGTGACGCCAGCAACTCCTGGCCTGAAGAAGATACCAGTAGAGGGTATTTCCCTCTTCTGGTGCAAATGAAGAGGAAAAACTACGGTTTTCAGGGTTGCCAATCAATGACATTTTGATCATGTCCCAATTTGTTTTTCCTTCTGTCATTCGAAATTTTCTACTTGCATGTTATATTTGAAAAAGGCAGACTCCACTCCTGAAAAAATTATCTACTGCCAGATGAATTGCTATAATCTAGTTGGTGCCAATGACAAATGTCAAATGATAATGTTCATTCTTATTGTACCAAGTCAGCATAGTTGCATGCTAGGCTCTGAGCTCTAACGATTCACTAAACTAGAGAAAACTATGTTTTTTCCCCTCCTCTTTGTGTAATGTCTCTGCTTCCCAACTCACAAGAAATTATATGAACAATTATAAGGCATTGGTCTTTGTATATGTCAATGTAAGCATTAAAAATAAAAATAATTCTAGTAAAATATAATCTCTTATACTAACTTACCATTTTAAATGTTCAGAGGGGAGAGTTGAGGTCTCAGTATTTAAAGAACAACTTAAAATCAAAATAGTATTAACCCAGAAAGGCAAGACTAAAGCTCATGTATTCTGACTAACAGCACCATCAGCTTTCCTCTGAACCATGAAACTTCTTTCAAAATATCAATCAAAGTTAAGTAAAATCTTGAAGAAAAGGCTATGTTAATTCTTATTACCAGGCATCAATGGAAAGCAGCATGACTTTAATGGAATTTCAATAATATTTTTAAACTTTTAGGCTAGAATGTAAAGCCCATTCTGCTAGATGCAAAATAAAGGATCAAAAAGGGTTGAACACTTTTCCAGATTATGCCCATTGATTTTGGGAGGTGGATCACCTGAGGTCAGGAGTTCGAGACCAGCCTGGCCAACATGGTGAAACCCCTTCTCTACCAAAAATTAAAAAAAAAAAAAAAATTAAAAAAAATTAGCCAGGTGTGGTGGTGTGTGCCTATAATCCCAGCTACTTGGGAAGCTGAGGCAGGAGAATTGCTAGAACCTGGAAGGCGGAGGTTGCAGTGAGCCGAGATCACGCCACTGCACTCCAGCCTGGGCAACAAGGTGAAACTCTGTCTGAAAAAAAAAAAAAAATCAATATCAGGTTGTTGCTTTATGTCCAGAAAATAGGTACCAATTGCTGGCAATGTGTTGTGGTGGAAGCTGGGAACACCCGGTAAACTCTCAGGCTTTCGGGCCACACAGCCAGGTCTGGACCCTAGCTCCTCCTCTTAGGTCTTGTGTAACATTAGGCAAGTTATATATCCTCTTAAATCTCAGATTACCTATCTGTCAAATGGGGAAGCCAATTGCATTTACCCTCTCAGGATTGCTGAAGCTGGAAAGGGGGATGGTTGTGTACAACTGTGTGTCACATAAGGAGTACACAATGAAGGATAGTTATCAATGTTAAAGGGAAAAGAACATTTGACTAGAAGTCTGAAGCTTGTGTTCCCATCTCCTAAATTAGCTGTGTCATTTTGAGCAGTAACTTAAATTCTGTGAGCCCCGGTTTCCTTATTTGCACATTGAAAGGCTTGGGTTGGTGGCGTCTGTCTGTGTCCTTTAGGACTTTTTTAGTTACAAGTGACATAAAAATCAACCAAAACATGCCTACATGAAAAACTATTTATTTTCTCATGTAATGGAAAATTCTAAGTGCTAGTTTAAGGAATGGCTAAATGCAGAGCCCAGATAATGGCACCAGGACTTCGTTTCTGTGTGTGTGTTCTTCTTGTCATCACACAAGCTTCACAAAGCAAGCAGAGCCTGAGAGCAGCAGGCATGAAATAGCAGCAGCATGCAAATACTTCACAGGTTGTCATGAAGATTGAATGAGTTAAAAAACATCAAGCCCTTAGAACCCTGCCCAGCACCTATCATGTGCTCAGTAAGGGTTAGCTGTTAGTATTATTTGCCCACAAGCTCCACCTGAGGGCAAGATGATGAATGCAGCTCCAGAACTTACGTTCTTTCAGATTTATGCCTAAGGGAAAAGAATACCTACCTGAGTCCCAGAAGTTTCAGCAAATTTTTATGGCTTCTAATGACTTTGAGAGAACTTTTACATTCCTGAATATTAGATGTTGATTGACCAGACCTGAGTCATAGTGTGTAAGTGAGCCCAGTTCACCCATCATTGGCTCCACTGACAATGAAAGTACTATTCTCTAGTATTTTTGAAAAAGAGATGCAGTTTGCAAGAAATGACACAAGTTATAAAAACCTAAGATTTTGGCATCACACACACACACACACACACACACACACACACACACGAGTCATACATACATATACTCAAATGTCAATATAAAGGGCTTTATTTTTTTAAAGTCCTATGTCAGATTAAATTATTATTTATAGAAATATCTATGGCAGGTATAGAATTTCTCTGATCCTCTACAGTCAGGAATTAGTTTGGTTATTTTTATTTTTTGACTTTCAGATTTCAGTCTCAAATCACTACCCACATTGCCACTCTGCATAAAACCCTAGTAAACAAAGCCAGGGTTGTCTGGGAAATGCATAGCATGAATCGTGTGCAGCCACTGTCTTTTATGCAGTTAGCTTTTTAATTGACTTTGCATGCATCAACTGTGCCTTCCAGTAAGCAGATACAGCTCCCGGGGAATGTCAAAAGATTCCTATCTCAAGAGAAGTTCTAATCCAGTTGGTGCCATTGAGAAACCTTAAATGGCAGCTTTCATCTTATTTACAAAAATTCTCTGGGTTCAGGTTACATTTTAATCCCAGTTGCTATATCAGCTTTATGGCAGCGGAGGTGGGGGATGGACTTGGGTGGCTGTTTTTAGCTAAATTTTATTGTTCTTTCCTTTTATGTAAATTATTACCTCAAGCAGAATTCTATAATGGAGGGCACTTTCCAGGTCTGGAGGGCAGGCCAGCTTTGGACTCAAACATTACCATTTCTTCTTTGCTGAACAGAGAAGGCTGCAGCTTGTGATAGAGAAACAAGTTTATCTGTGCATCTTTTTTCAACATTACTAGGGAAAATTCGATCCCTTGGATATATCTGCAGATCTCCATTACCCAAAGCAAAGCTATAACCATAGTGGTGACTCATTAGCCATCATGACTCTCCAAAATGAAGAGTGTAGCATTGTCACCATTTTTTTTTTTGGCATCCAAACCCACACTGGGCTTGTTATCCTTGGATAAAATCTCATCTAGATTCTCAGTTTCCCATCCTGTCACATAGTCTGTGTGTGTGTCTGTGTATGTTTAAGAAAATGATACCCATCCCTTGAGCTTGGTTCTCATTTGTTTACCACATAGTATTTGGTCAGTCCATTTTTGCCTTTAAATACGAATAAAGGAATGTTGAGTAAGAGGGAAACACCTGTTACGTAGAGAACACGTGCCATGCTCCATAAACACTACCTAATCAAATCCTCAACATAATCCAGGGAGTTGGTGGCAGTTATTATTCTCATTTTACAGATGAGTAGACCTGAGGCTCAGATGCTTGAAGTGATTCTGTCAAGATCTGACTTCTAAAGGATGGCCTGGCTAAGATTTGAACACAGATTGCCTTCTCCATCAGACCACATGGCTTCGGAGTTGAGCATTGCATAGCTCTTCCTTGACCACCTCCCCTGCCTCTCAGCATCCTCTGTGCCGTGTCCCTTCTGAGCCTGGTACATGCAAGACAGTCTATTGGAGAGTTGAAAAATCAGCTACGAAAATCTTACTCACATGACACAATCAATTCTACTTTTACCCAAATCCATAATTTGGTAACATGTAACATGATCTGAGGGTTTCCTGGTAGACCCTTAACTCTTTCCTTATCTGAACCACCCCCACTGGGTGTCATTAGACATATGATCTCTGTGCTTTAAGCATTACCCTTCTCGAGGAGAAGTGTAATGAAAAGTCTAGGTAATAAGGTGATCAATATCAGATTATGATGGATTATGTGCTGTCCCAACAACTTATTGCAATTTCACCCATTAGAGCTTTGACTCCAGTAACAAGCTGCCATCTAGACAGTCTGAGAACAAGGTCACAGAGGGATGGTGAGATAAAAGTCAAATGAGCATCACACTGGGAGATAAGAGAAACTGCCAGCTGTCCTGGGATGACTGATGTAGCCTCTCAGGGCTCAGTTTTCTCATCTATGAAGTGGAAATAAAAGTATCTTTCATCACAAGTGTAATGTGAGTTTAAACGAAGTGACAGAGCCCTGGCTTTTGTATATATTCCATAGTAGCTATCTCTGATCAATATTACTCCTCTGCCCAATGCTCTCTGCGGAGAGAATGGTGAACCATGTCCAGGCTAGGCAGAATGCATGGGCCACTCTGTCAGTCACCAACCCTGATGGCCAAGGGCAGGTGGAGTCCTCAGGAAATCTCATGCTCCCAATCCTAAGGAGTTTCCAACATAAGAGGTGAGAAAGCTCAAGCACAGGAAAGATTTAAGAAACGCTAAAAAGAATATATAATCACGTAGAGCAATGGGTTAGGGCTTTGTGGATCTAAACACATAAGCACCAAGAGGAAGATGGGAGTAATGGAGTAATCTGAACCAAGTGGAACTGGTTTAAAATGGGCAAAACTTTAAGACATAGGAAGAAGGATGATAGGGCCGTCCTGTAAATCCCTTGTGAAACCATGGCTTGTCCTATGCAGTGCTGGGGTACCTAGGTGTTGCACACCCCAACTCTCTGATGGTTAGTACATTTTGAACAGAAAAAAAAACATCCTTAAAACTACCCTATGAGCTTTATATTATTCCCATTTTATATATGTGGTCCTCAGCATAGCCCAGATCCACGCATTTTCTTTTGTTTAGATGAATTAAGTTTATACTCTGCTTCCCAAACCCCTGTCAACACCCAAGGAAATCCAAAAGGCTTTCCTTCTTCTTCAGGGACAATATTGAAAGTAGTTAAAAACAGTACAGGCTAAAATCACAGTGGTGGGAGGGTCAGGATGCTTAGAGAAGGCACTTAGAGGGCCCACTATAGAAACTATGTACTAGCTGTAACAGGAGCACTTCAATATTCTCACAAACCTCTTGGCTATACACTAACGTGCAGGAGCTAAATTCATTTCTATCCTTCTCTCCGCTTTACCTATTATCTCAGAAATGCCCATGCTGATGATGGGCACCGTGAAAGTTTGGGAATACCAAGCACTGTTAGTATTGCTTTTACCATAATCATGCCTGGGTTTTGCCTTTGTGTGAAGAATTTCACAGTTTTCCTCAAACTGCTAGTAATGGGTAGAGCTTTGATAATAAGCAAAAGAAGGGGCTTGGGTCTCTCACCTTCTTCAATCTCTCATTTTCAGAGCTGCCTTGCACTTTCAGACATCATTAGCTAAAGTCCATTCCCACAATTCCCACTGCAACAAAAGCCAATAATACTTCTTAAAACTATGCAATCAGTATAGATTTCTGAGAAAATTCTTGTCATGGAGGCCTCTAAAAAGTGCTTCCTGTTCAGGATCCTCATCTGCAGAAATGACCTGGAGTTTGTCAGCCTCACTTCTTATCATGGCCCCCACATAAACAGAAAGACAAATGTAAGATGGCGCCCTAACTATGCAGCCAAAGATTGTGCAGTAAATCAGGACGCCCTGCACTCACATAGCTCTTCTGTGAAAAATGGGGTATTTTTTAATAGACTGACAGTAATAAGCCAGGTTGTGTAACCACCAAAACAAACAAATAAAAAAACACCCAGTTGAAGAGTAGAAGCAGGCCACGTGATAGAGTTGGGGCCCCCTCCCCCTCATTCGCACAGCCCCTTCAATCTTAGGTTAAGAGGAGTTACTGGAGTGAAGTTATTTGTATAACCCACAAGAAGGCCTCCCACCCCCACATCCTTTAACTGGATTAGGTCTGGAAAAGCTAAAATGATTTTTAAGTGTTCCATCAAAATCAGGATTCTTATCACTCTGGTTTGGCCACCAGCCTGCATTTAGCTCCCAGTTAATCTCTGGTGCTGGGCCTCTCTCTGGGGGAATGAGGAGGGGTGTTGTGGGGGAGGGGTGCCCATGCCCATGCTCACTGTCTTAAGGGAAGATTTACAAACAAAGTAAAAGTGAATTAACCCCTAGTGTTCCAAAGGTGTCCAGGAAAATAACTCAATTGAAATCATATCTTCAAATTCATTGGGACAGAAAAAGAAGCTTAAAACCTTAGAAGTGTCTTAGAGGCCCATGTGTAAGGAACTAAGTAAGAAAAGATCTGCTGTAATCAGTTCACTTATCAGTTATGAATGAGAGGAGGAACGTCCTTAATGGCTTCTTTACCTAAAGCTTGCAGTTCGCTCTAATATTGCTGATGAAAGGGTGCCAGGCAATCATATAGCCATTTACATTTCTGGGTTCAAATCACCACCCCAATTCCATTTGATATTTATGTGACTTTGGATAAGACATTGATCCTCTCTGTATCTCAATTTCATTTTGAGGAAATTAAAAATACCTTTCTTATTGCTTCATAGGATCATTTAAACCTAAATGAAGTTTCATAATGTATGTTAACAATGCATGACATATAGCAGGTTCTATGTAATCATTAGTCCCATTTCCTAATGGTATTTGCAGTGGGCCAAGCCCAGGGGAATCTCAACGTAAGCATAAATGGAAGTCCCTAGCTTTCAGTGTAGGAGCAGGTAAAAGGAAGTTATATAAGTATGAAAAATGAAACTGTCAAAACCTAGGTCCCGAACATTAGTCAATTCTATGCAGGGCTTGTGCCTTAGGGAGAAGGACAAGGGGAAGATAAAGCCTGGGAGGTCACAGTTTGAGAAAACTCCTCAAAATTGGCAAATTCCTGGCCCTCAGCTTGTTGAGTGTCATCTCCACCTAAAACCAATCCACATGAGGGTCACCATGCGTTGATTCAGTTGTATTCTTCACCTAGGCCACACTCATATATTTTGAAACTTGTAAGAGTTGAGGGCAGAACTGATCAGTATATATGAGTTTCCTTTCCATAATCTTCAAATCCAGTTTATATTTTCTTAAACTTCAACCTAACACCCACTTCCAGTACCAAAAGTGACACCAAAAAAATCACTTTTTGTAAAATATTATAAATATACCCTTAAACAAAGAATACAAGTCACTTACTAAGGCCTCAGACACTTCTATTGGTTGAAATCCCTCTTAAGCCTTGGGAAAGTGAGCCTGATAGGTCTTAATGTAGTATTTTACAAAAAGTATTATTAACAAAAAGCACTATCAAATTGTTTAGATTTCAGGAATGCACGTGCTAACTAACTGAACTCCTATCTCTCAACATCATCATAAGAATTTCCTCAGGACCTTCAGAGTCACCAGTTTACCTAGTTGGTATTTTTTTCTGGGCAATTACATTTGTAGTAGAAGAAACCATTCCGTTTTTCTCAAGTCTTCCTGATGCCCACACTATTAACAGAAAAAGAAAAACCTCTTCTGCTCAGTTTGGCAGAATAACACTCCCCTCAAAGCTTCCACTCCCTAATCCCGGAAATGAATATATTACCTCCCATAGCCAAAGTGACTTTGCCAATGTGGTTAAGGTGTGGATCTTAAAATAGGGTAATTATCTTGGATTATCCAGGTGGGCCTAAGCAGTTACATAAGCCCCCATAAACAGAAATTTGTCCTGCTGTAGTCAGCAAGACGCAGCAGCAGAAGAGGTAGAAGAGATGGGGATGAGGGGAGACATAGGGATTTAAAGTATGATGTCTCTATTGCATTTCTGGCTTTAAAGATGGAAGAAGGGGACCATAAGCCAAGCAACATAGTGGTTTTCCAGAATGATTCCTGGGTGACAATCATCAAGGAAATAGGGACCTCAGTCTTTCAACTGCATTGAAACTAAATTCTGCCAACAACCTGATTGATCTTGGAGAAGGATTCTTCTCCCAACCTCCTAATAAGTGTTTGCTTGGCTAACACCTTGATTCTGACCTTGTGAGACCATGAGCAAAGAGCCCAGCCAAGGCCACCCAGACTTTTGACCTATAGATTTGTGATATAATATTTATATTGGTTTAAAATGCTGAATTTATGGTAGTTTCTTACAACAGCAATAAGACTAATTTTCCACTAAGCATTTTCTTCATTCCCTAAAGTGGCACAAGTGAAGTCAACTGCCCTCATGTTTGGGGAAAATTTCAGTTCTGTATAGAACCAGAATCATTTAGGGGTGGAAAGTAGAGAGAAAAAAAAGAAAATGCAGCCTACCTCTTATTGGAAGTTCTTTCAAACAAGAATTTTCAGTAAGTAGGTAAAGGATCAATACTAAAGAAAAAAGAATTCCTAAAAATCTGCTTCAGTTGCTAAATAATTCCAAAACAAATTAAATAAACAATGCTTTTTCTTTGGTTCCAAATTATGAAGGGTGGCTACTGTTAAAGATTTAAATAGTAACTTGATATCTACAGCATGGAAATATATTTCAATTGAATTGCAAACCAGTATCTTATCTGACATTAGAGAAGATTTTACTAGAATGCGTTTAGAATGCTTTCTCTGCCCATAGCATTCAATAGTTTGGGGAGATAAGAACTCCCTCTGAAAAAATAAAGCAGAGAGGTTTTCATAATACAGGGATTGAAAAGGAATACGTTTTCTTCCTGGAAAGGTAAAATATAGCTGTAGTGTAAAAGCAAATGACTATGGTCATGCAGAGTAACTATGAGCTGTACCAGTGTGAGGTTATGTAAAAATTACATCCACTGGGTTATATAAAGCTGGGAAATTTCACTAACACAGAAAACTCACATTGTAATAACGTGGTTTTGATTATGACTTTTTGATGATGCAGCCAGTGGTGAATATTACTCATCACTTATGAGGTGTAGAAACGGGTGAACCAAGAAGTTACTTGCGAGGGAAAAGAACAGATGAATTTCAGTAAACAAGTTGCTATAAATTGTCAGTAAAGTAGCACACAAAAAAACCTACGTAAGACGTGAAAATCTTGGTTGGAGTTGGAGTTGTGTTAGGAAAAGAGCATTGACTATGTGCAGACTATGAGATCCTCCCTCCTAAATCTCTTAAGAAAACTAGAGATGACAATACAACAAGAATCCAGTCGAGTAGAAATGATGCTACTAATAATAAGTGGTGCAAACTTGGTCTCGCCTAGGCACATTACATGCAAACATGCAAGCACAAACCATTTGAGGTAGATATGTTTGAGGTTTACTTGAGTTTACTGTGGTCATATTTCTTGGTGCAACTTAAACATATGTTATACATTTTTAGACCTTGTGTATCCACAAGAAACAGATGCTTCTTGGAATTACAGACATGTAGATTTATTTTGTTCCAGTCAACAAGGTGAAATAAAAGAACAGAGCATTTTAGGTGAAGTCTTTACAATTTTCCATCACACCATCTGCATTCCCATACAGTCCCCAGATTACTTGGGAAAGCAGTACGGCTTCACTTTGAGGCCAAAGTTACTCGAAATCAATTACTTAAACACTGCCCCAGTGGGATTATCTGAACTTGTAAGACCATGCGTGTCTGTAATGTTTACAATTCCTTTTCTAATTTTTTATTTAAAAACATCTGAAGTATTTCAAGCTTTTAGAAAAGTGTAGAGGATAATTTATTGAACAGCATTGTGGTATTGTGATCACAAGAGAGCTTCATTAAAATGCACTTTTTGTCAACTTCATAATCAGATCAAGCGTAATAATTGCCGAAGGTATCTGATTTGTTCCAGATGATGAATAGACACTTTAATTTTACATATTTTTTTGAAGTATAGAGTTTATAGTTTGAGTTTAGCAATACCTTTGTCCCCTCTGTGATACCCCTTTCCACAGAATCACTGTCAACTCATTCAACTTTCTAAACAGGAAGAAAGGAAGGCTTTGCTGGGGATTTTTAAAATATGGTTTCTTTGAGTGAAATACTTAGTATCACATCTTTGTCTCTGTGATCCTCCCTACATCAAGCACTATCTTATTTTACTTAAAATGAGTCACTCACCTTCTCCCCGCACTGTAATGAGATAGTTACTACTAAGACTGCTAAAGAGCTATAATACCTCCCCATGTCTTGACGCCTACCAAAGGATACTTCCCCGGCTTTCCTGGCTTTCCTCTGCTGTCTCCTTTAACAGGCAGTCAGTTATGCTCTCCTCCCTCTGACTGTAACCCACAGACAGATACTCTTTGTCAGTGAACCCACTAATTCCTAAAGAGTATCTCCTTTCCATTCCCTGGCTCCATTTTTCTCCTTCTCTCCGCCATTCCTGAGCACACTTTAAATTATTTGCTGCCAAAGAATAAACAAAACAGGTCTTTAAAAACAATTAGAGAATTAAGACCTTTCTTGAATGAAGCTTAAGTAGCCTTTTTAAAATGTACACTACTTACTGTGTGGTAATGGTTTCTTGTTTCTATCAATGTCTTAATAGCTTAGCCTATCAGAACTTGGTAGAGCTAGCATACTCCATTTTATGGTACCTATTACGTGTAGGCATTTTACAAAGGAATGAAGTAGGTTTCTGCTGCTTTTATGAATTAAAAAAGGAGAGTTAGTTTAAAAATTAAGTAGCTTGTCCAGCTTCACATAAACATAGCCAGGAATTGACTCCCAGTTTAGCTGTCCGAGTGTGCTTTCTACTGTGTGGCACGACCTCCTAAGTAACTGGCAGTTCTGTGGTCTTTGTCTCGATGAAGTGTTAAATAGTTGAATATATAGGTTCACTCCTCATAAGACCAAGTAACATTTCCTTTCTTCTATACCCATAATACCCATAGAATTACCTCAAATCCAGGTCAGTTGTCTTATAGTTCAGCCTGTTGCTCACAGATCAGACTGCAGAGATGATAAAAAATAAATTAATCACTCACTATTTGAAAAAGTTTGGAAGCATAACTTACATACTTTTTCATTCATTTATTTTGATAAAAGAATTTCTTATATGGTCCTGTGTCATCAATTCTAATTCATATATGGCCAATTCCAATGGCTTGAAGAATTATCTTATAGATTAAAAGAAATTATAAGATGAATTGGTGTTAAGTTAGCTTAATTCAGAACATATCTTTGGATCCATTGAGATAAATGGCTTAAAAATTGCCATGAAGATTCATCTTTAACCAAATGAGTGCTTATGAATAGCTTGCATAAACTTTCCAGAGTGGCTGGTTGCAAGGAGAACATGCCCCCTGTCTCTTTGTTGGTGTTCCTGGCTGTTTCCCTGTACTGGTAGGAGGAAAGGAATCCATCCCTTCTTTCCATTTCAGTTCAGGTCTTCTACTTCTAGGCACAATGGGAATTGGATAGTGTACAATGTAAAATCAGTATTTCTTTTTAAGAAAGTTTCTATTACATAGTATTGAACTTTCTAAAAAGTTCAATTTGGAGTCATTTTTGTTTAGGTGAAGGGTTGGGTCATGTCTCATTTCCCCCAAACTAGTTCATCCATCTCAGCCTCTGAAGCTGGAGGAACTGAATCCTGAAACATGTTTTATTGCTGTTTCTTTAGGATAGTGAAGGAGTCTTGGAATTTAACATACCCCTGAAGCTGAAGAAGTTAAAGGCCCACTGTGTACTCTGAAATCAAAATCATCTGTTCAGGGAGGATTGAGACTTCCTGTGGAAAGTACAAACTTTAAAGGTTTCCATTTTCACTGCTCATCTAAATAATGTAGGATTTATGATTTCATACTACATACAAGTAGGAAAGCCTCCTCTTCGATGGTAGGTTATCCCTGTAGCTTTTGTGAGTGTCGGTCAATGGGTGGAGGGGCAGGCATCATAGATCCAGATGTGTGCGGAAACAAATGTCCTTGCCTGTTTTCTGGAACCAGGGATTTGGAGCCATGGGTATATAGTTTGTTTTTGCACTCCAGTTCCCTTCAATTATTTTAAATGCTTCCATAAATGGCTGTTATTCTTTTAAGAGTCTTTGCCTATTTCAATTTATGGAGGTTGCTTTTCTGCTATTTCGGATTATGCCTCATTGTGATACAAATAAATTAACATTTTATTTCAGGGGTCATATAAAGTCTGTTTCCATACTGTTGTTTGTTTGTAGTTTTCTCTTTAAGTACTTTTCCCCTTTGTGTGTGGGGGTGGGGTAGGGTGGGGAACTAAAGCCATAATTATGTCTACCCCAAAAAACGTCAAATATGTTGCACAGTACTTGTCAACAGGCATACAAGGAAGCTTCCACAGCTAAGTTGTTTCTCCCTTCTCATTTCAACAAGAAGCAAGACATCTGCAAAGCAAACTGAGGAAGCCGATAAAATAATTTCCGTCCAACTCATACAAAAATCTACATTGGCAATCCAACTCAACCCAGTTCCTTAGGTAATATTCCAATTTCTTATATCTTTTAGACTATGTAATCAAAGCAGTTTTCAGAGACACCAGAGAAAAAAATACATAAATTTGGGATCAAAGCTCTGCCCTCTCAATCATTTTTCCATTTCCAAGAGGGAATAATTATTTACAAAAGTGGATACTATATAGATGGGAATAAACAAGAGATAGATATGGAATTCTATAATATCTTTCTCAAGAATTCTTACAGAAACATGAGGTATTGTGGCTCACGCCTATAATCCCAGCACCTTGGGAGGCCGAGGCAGGCAGATCATGAGGTCAGGAGATCGAGACCATCCTGGCTAACATGGTGAAACCCCGACTCTATTAAAAAAATACAAAAAAATTATTCGGGTGTGGTGGCAGGCGCCTGTAGTCCCAGCTACTCGGGAGGCTGAAGCAGGAGAATGGCGTGAACCCGGGAGGCGGAGTTTGCAGTGAGCCAAGATCGTGCCACTGCACTCCAGCCTGGGCAACAGAGCAAGACTGGGTCTCAAAAAAAAAAAAATGAGGTATCCTTCCAGAGAATATGCTGACATTCACATTCATTCTATTTTTACATAATTATTGTTTAAAATCACATAAAATTACATTAATAGTAACTTGGACTAAAAGAATGAAACAACACTAAACCCATCATCCTAACAATATAACCATTTTATTTTCTTTCTCCTTCCTAGACTATCACAATTTGTGTCTATAATTTTAAAATGTCAAATGTCAATAACCATTAGGTATACATAATGCCATAGTTGAAATTTTCATTAGACTTTAAAGAACTTTTTAATGTTTCTTTAGTCAGTATTATGGTCACTTTAATGATTTTAAATAGTTCCCCTGTGTTGATGTAACATAATTTACTTAACTATTGTTGAACATTTACCAGCTCTATGACCTTGTTCCTGTTACAGTAATGTTATAGCCCCAGTTTTGTCATCTGTTAAATGGTAGTAATAATACTTATGTCATAAGGGTATTATTAAACGTCTGGCATTTAAGAAGACCTCAACATATATTAGGTGTTGGTTTTTTTTTTTTTTTTTTTAGATGGAGTCTTGTTTTGTCACCCAGGCTGGAGTGCAGTGGCATGTATCTTAGCTCACTGCAACCTCTGCCTCCTGGGTTCAAACGACTCTACTACCTCAGCCTTCTAAGTAGGTGAGATTACAGGAGTGCCCCACCACATCCAGCTAATTTTTGTATTTTAGTAGAGACAGGATTTCGCCATGTTGGCCAGGCTGGTCTCGAACTCCTGACCTCGTGATTTGCCCGCCTTAGCCTCCCAAAGTGCTGGGATTACAGGCGTGAGTGGCTGTGCCCAGCCTGTATTAGCTTTTAAAAGTAATTTTGATTCGAAACTTAAAACTTTTTCAGTGAATGTCTTCATTCGAGACACTTTTTCGTAAAACTACTTCTTAAATGATTGAGAGTAAGTGTTCTAAATAAAAGTATATTTGCATTCATTTAATCTATTTAGAAGATTTCTTTTTCATGAAACTAAAGGTTCTTTATGAAGATTGGATCATCAATATCATATTTGTGAAAAGGCATCTATGAAGTATCCATTTCTGCGTAATGCTGTGTAGAATATTGTTCCAAGCAAATTAAACTGAGTTGGTCATTGCGAAGAACACTATATCAAACAACCTTAGATTTCCAGGCATGACATCGTCCTGGCCACCCTTTCTTTTTCCTTGTTTCTCCTTTTTTGCCCCATCTCTCACATGTCAGCATGTCCCAAGACCCTCTCTTCGGCCCTCTAATTCTGTATCTCACCTTACAGAGAACTCACCTCCTCTTCTGCCTTCACACCCGCACAAGTAATTGTCAAAGTGATGAGATTAGTCCTGGGAAAATCAGGGCAGGCTTTAAAGAGGAGTCAGGCTTTTTGAGAGGTGATGAATTTCAGTCGGGAAACCGTGTGCAGGGGGAAAAGGCACTTGGTCTTTGACTATTACATTCCAAAACAGTACAATAGGAGATATATGTATGAGTCCTGCCGGTTCAAGTACGGACTAAAATAAGCTAAGTAAGTATAACGTAAGGCCGTAAATGCTGTCTCACTAGAGTCCTGCTAGCTCCAGGTATTTAAAATTGTGAGTAAAAGACCAAACCATAAAAAAGACACATTACATGAGCAAATAACTCTAAACACTGAGCATCAGAATAAACTCTGATGGCTAATAAGGGTTAAGAAGGAGAAGAACTCAGCTCTTGTCTGAATAGTCGGCAGGGAAAGACTGGGATTTTTCCCTTGATGGCCTCAGACACTCAGAAGTGAGAAAAATAACCAGTGTGTAAATGAAGCACAAATGGACCAGGAAGCTTCGTTTGTCCAGGAAGGGACTTGGGGACACAGAAGCAAGAAAGAAACATGCAGGTGTGACAGAAAAATGAAAGCACGGTTTATTAGTGTTTCTAAGGATCAATGAACAAGTTTCGTATCAAACTAGCAGTCTCCCTCACAGACCCAGAACTTCTCTACCTCTCTGTGCTTTAGTTAGTACGGTTTCCCTTATCTGAGAGCCTTTTCCCCCTGCACACGGTTTCCCAACTGAAAGTCATCACCTCTCAAAAAGCCTGCCTCCTCTATAAAGCCTTCCCTGATTTTCCCAGGACTAATCTCATCACTTTGACAATTACTTGTGCGGGTGTGAAGGCAGAAGAGGAGGTGAGTTCTCTGTAAGGTGAGATACAGAATTAGAGGGCCGAAGAGAGGGTCTTGGGACATGCTGACATGTGAGAGATGGGGCAAAAAAGGAGAAACAAGGAAAAAGAAAGGGTGGCCAGGACGATGTCATGCCTGGAAATCTAAGGTAACATACGTCTCTAAAGAAGGGATGTATAAAGGGATCTGGGTCAAAGTCAGACTCAGTCTAGCCCCTTTACTCATTGCCCTTTACTCAATCGAGAATTGCTTTTGACCCTAAGATACAAAGTCAAATACCACACCATAACTGCAGCAAAGCAATCACAACCCCTTCATACGCTACAAACGTATCTCTCCCACGTTTCTTAGTTGCTGCCCCCCAACTTAAGTATCCAAGTCAAAAAGCAATGGTTCTATTATTTTAGAGTTGAGAAAATTAAAAACTGTTTTCAGAGTATTGTAAAGGGTCAGTGACAAGGATACTTTTTGTGCCTCGAAAAACTTCCATTGTGGGCATTTCATAAGAAAATGGGCTTTTGTGCCTTTCATAGATTACAGTTCCTTTATACAATGGGCTTGTCTAAGTTTCTTCCTGTTTTCCCATCAGTTAAATTTAGAACGATTGTTTCCATCTCTTATGAGATATGATGTCTAGGAAAAATGAATGCCTAGATGTGATACCAGGGCCCAGTAAGTCTGTGAAATTCAGCTGTAGCCGGGGATATCACCCAACCCCCGGGCCTTTCTCTAGGTTTTCCCATGGGCACATGGAGTATTTTCCTTCTTCGTTGCTAGTTTGCCATTCCACAATATAAAATCCAAGTTTTTTGCTGCCTTATCACAGAAGAACTCCTTTTTTTATATACAAAACCACTTATTTTTAGAGGCCCCCTTTTAATTTTTACTTTATATAACTTTTTAAATCAAACAATCTGATTTACTACAATATGATTATTGTGGTAAAATGGGAAAATAAATTTAAACAAAAAGGGAAAAAATACCCGTTCTCCTACCACTCACAAAGAACCACTGTTAACTTTTTCGTATATGTTCTTCTAGATTTTATATATTTATAAATTAGCTAAACATTTATATGTTCATTTAAATATATTACATAATTTTATTTATCTTTCTGGTAAAAATTGCATGCTGTTATAGGGCTCTAAAACTTGCTTTTATTTTTCCATATTAGTGAGAAAACTTTTCCTACATGAATATGTGTCTATGTGGCTTTCAGTTGTATAGATGAGATATAGTTAATGTTCTCATTTTCTATTGTTGGAGGGCTAGAAAGTCATAAATCTTATAAATAACACCAATTTGAATTATTAGCATAATTATTAACCCAGGCCCTGGAGCCTATTTTTGCCACTTATTCACTGTGTAACTTCAGGCAATTTACTTAAGCTATTTGACTTCATCTGTAGAATGGGGTTTCACTGGGTTTCACTGGGTTCATTCTGAAGCTTAAGTGAGTTAGCATACACAAAGTGTTTAAAGGGTGCCTTGCATGAAGCAAAAGCTCATAATTTAGATGTCATTCAGTCTGGTGCTAAATTTTGAGTAAAAGCTGTTATAATACCATACAACATCCCAAGTTTAAGTTCTGGGCACCCAAAAGAAAAAAAATTCCAAAAGAACCTTTGACTTTCATTAACTAGAAATTAACAGCTCTATGGTGGAAGTTAAAACAAGTTCCTTTGTAGGCCCCTTGAAATGCAACTATTTGTTTGGTTTTAGGCCTGTGGGATGGAAACAAATACCAGTACTTCATACGAGCCCTGGCTTTTTCAAGACATTGATTGGTATGAGTTCCTTGGGATGGCTGGGAGAGAGATTGGGTCTTTTCTTGTTCCTGTGCCTGAATCAATATAGTGCAGGGATATGAACTTATTCTGCCTTCCTATAGGCCATGCTGACTCTCCTGCGAGTACAAAAATCTCTCCCAGTTGTGGTGATCATTTCTCCAATGACTAGAAAAATGTCACATGAAAAATATAAAACAGATTTTAGAGGCAAAGAAACAACATTATCTCTGTAACCTCAGTGGGCTCCTACATGGCAGCCTCAGAAAGATTTTTGCTTATTAATTTGAATTTGATTCTTTTAGACATTGGCTAGAAAATTCCAGTAAATGAAAATCTAATCTTGAAGAAAGTCTTAGATTTAAACCTAGCTTTATTTGATTTTGGCTCTCCTTGCTCCAGCCCCAACAAATTTAATCAGAAATACTGATAACTCTTATGAGTTTATAATCCTGTTGATAAAAGAGAAGGTTAATAAGTAGGGGTGGATTTAATGACTGTCTCCCTTATGCTTTCTTGGCTATATGGAAAATTATCCCACATAGTCTAGAAAAAAGTGCAGAAACTTGTTTTGTTGCGTGTTGAATAACTTGTCTTAAAAAATACTTTGGCAGCATTTGAAATTCTGATGAAAAGCTTACAATTGTTCTCAGGCATGAACCTAGAAAAGGGCTGCATTGTCCAGCATAGTTTTTGATTTACTAGTGCACACTGTTTGATTTGCAGTGCCGAAGAATTGTTGATGCCCTTAAATAAGATGCAAGCAATGCAGGAGGCAGAGAACAGAACAGCCATGCTCTGCAGGGTTTAAAGCATTGCAGCCCAAACATGATAGGTAGAAAAATTCTCACAAATATTTTAGATGCAGGACCTTATGGTAAAAGCTTGAGTTTCTTGAAATGCATCAGTGGCAGGCTGAATTGCAGCAGGAAATATATTTGCAAATGGGACAAAAGTAACTGCTTCAAGACCGCAAACCTAAAAAGGGAAATAGCATCCTAGAATGACCACCTACAAAGGCTATTTCGGTCTCAGTGGCTGTCATGGTCAGCCACCAACAGGTGAGGCTGTGATGTTATCACCCTATTCACTATAGATCTAAGATATGGGTCAATACTCCCTAACTCCATTTTCATTAAAGGCCCATGATTAAATGCTGATGGCCTAGAGCTTTCATCTGTTAATTCACTCACTTATAAGCAACTCTTCTAAGTAGCTTTGGAAATACAAAGATGAGATAGACATCCCAGCCCTGTTAGGGAGACAGACGAGTAACAGATAAACTAAATAAAGTGCAATAAGTCAGCAATAGAAGTATACACAAGGTGATACTGAGATCACAGGAGAGTGAAAAATTCTGTCCAGAAGTATACAGGTAGATTCAATAGTTGAGGTGACAATTTGGCCAGATTCCACAAGAAAACAGGGGTTTTCTGAGAGGAGTCATTTGAAACTCTATGCAAAGTCCCGGAAGAACCTGTTGTAGTCTGAAATGGTGAGAATTCTGAGAAAGATGAGGCTGGAGAGAATGGGGTCAGAGGATGATGGAGCTTTTAAATCAGTTCAAAAGGATTATTCTACAGTCAATGTAGTTTTTTTGCAAAAGAATGCCAAAAAACTCTTTATGTGGTCAATAAAGGGCAGAAGTTTTGGATTCTTAGACATTCAGTATTGTTGAGGTTGGAAAAAATCAGGTCCTACCTTCAGCATGAAGTGGGAAAAGTGATTTTGCTTCTTTACCTCCCTTTCTTACCTCTCTCCCTGGGGCTCTATCTCTCTCACATTGCCTCTATGCTGCCAGTCTGCCAGGTGTAACCAAAATGTGCCAAAATGTGCTGGCAAGTTTTTTTGTTTGTTTGTTTTGGTTTGGTTTTATTTAGAAATCTGCATTACCCTAGATAATTGTCTAAGCATTTTATGTTTGAATCCTCTCAGCTAATGTATTTTGCATTTTATTTTGGACTGTCAGTCACAGAGCTAGACAACAGAATGAAAGTAGATATTCCAGACCTTGCAACATGCTGCAGGAGGAAGCACTTCTTGGATGGGAGGATTGCAAGATTCCTCCAATCACAAATAGATGAGTGTCTTCCTCCAACTACTAATAAAGCTAGTCTTAGGGAGGAAATTATGTTAAGGAGGTCCAAGTGTAGGAAAAAGGAGAGAGGCTTGCTCTTAGGATGACTTGGTTTTGATCGCTGTCTCTGTCACTGAGAGAACATGTGTCCTAATTGCTTACTCTCAGTGTCATGGTAAACTCATATATTAAAAGGGAACAATGATACAGTAGGATCACTTTTACTAAATGATCAGAATTTCCTCTATCAACTACACTCACTGGTAAACTGAATGCCTAGCTCCAGAAGGCTAATTTCTCACATATTTCTGCTACCACCAGTTTAGTTGTCTAGAGTCCACGTGTTTGCCCCAAATTTTGTTATGCCAGTTGTCTTTTAAAGTATTTATGTACTTTAATTAAATATTATATAAATTGATAAAATATAAGTACACATTAAGATTATACATTTTTGAAATTTAGATAGAATATGCAGGTAAGACTCCATGAAGGTGAGTCAGTAAAAAAAAAAAAAAAAAGACAAAAAAAGAGAGAAAAGGCTGTTAAATTAGATGTGTGCAAAACCATGACAGAGATTAGGGGATAAATTATAAAATTCTCGCACAATGAACATAGTTTGAAGACAGCTCTGCATTTGTGCCAATACCTATGATCCACCCTCTTTCCAGTATTTTTAATTTGATTTGAAACATTCAGGAGAATTTGAACATCTCCATGTTTTATTTAAAATGTAAGCTGAACCTGAACAAAAAGTTTCCCAACATAATTTTTATAAGACTTTTCACTCATAAATTTAGGGCATAAAAAATCATCCGTTGATCTTATTTAAAATGTAGATTATTGAGTCTTGAACCCCTAGAGATTCTCATTGGAGGTCTGGGTTGAAGCCCAGTAATATGAACTTTTAAAAAGCACCGAAATGATTCTGATACAGGGGTCAGAAACTCAGGGTTTGACACTCTGTCTGGTGGTAAAGTCCAACCTTTATCAGCTTTCTTATTCCTAAGCACATACCTGGAGGAATATACTACACACCACCCCCCCAAAAAAAGACAAAGTAAATTTTTGTTGGACAAGCATTTCACTCTCTCAAGTCATCTTGCTTTTGGATATCAGCTCTTAAAGATTTTGCTCTATCGTAATTTTCTACAGTAAAAGGAAAGGAAGTTTTAGGTTAAGATTTGAAAGGTCTTATGATAGTGAGTAAAAACATTAGCATCTCAATTATTTTAAAGTTATTTGGTATTTATTTAGTGAAAAGGTCAACAAGTTTCATTGCTGAAAACATAGCCAAACATCGCACATATTTTCAGAATATTTGGTGTTATAATCAGATGCTGAAGACAGGAAGGACTTCACAGGTTCACCATGTCATTGGCTTCTTTCCATTAAGGCTGGCCAGAACATCAGAGACTAGATCTTCTATCGGGGAAGTTCTGAAGCCTTAGAGCCTTGTGTTATTTGTTCAATTTCTCTTCTTCCAGTAATAATTATTTTCCAATAATCCTAAACAGTTTTCTATTTAACATTTTTTCAGTATCACTTTAATTTTAATATTTTTGTTACCATCTCAAGGATTTACCTTCTTGGCAATTCTCATGACCTCTATTGAAACACCTTCCAGGGTTTTACAAACTGTCTTAAGTTTATTATAAAACTCTCCTCCTACAATCTAATCCCATGTCTGTATTCCTGGGTCATGATGCAATTAGAAAATAACATTTCATTACTCACATAATAACTTACTTTATACTCAGAAAGAGTTTAAATAATATACAACATTATTATAAGTTTACATCCTGTTCTCCATACTACTAATGAAGTAGTGGCCCAGGTAATCTGATACACAAGTTTTTTTTTTTTTTTTCAAGAAACAACTTTCTATTTCTCCTTGGAATGCACTAGGTTTTTTTCTCCCTCCTTTGGCAGTAGGTTTACATTCCAAATTATACATTTCTGAGGTTAATATTAAACAAGTTTTCCTTTGTGTTCAATGACTGATAGTGCAGGTCCCAGCTGTATAGATTGACAAGACCTAACCCAATTTAATGCTTTGTGAAATAAAAAAAAAAATCTTCAATTTTTAATTAAAGTCTAGCACAAAAATAAACTACCAGCTGCCTTCACTAGAAGACTGACTATGTATTCTCCCAAATTCAAAGAACTGCTTCTAATTGACCCATCAACTGTCCTCTTAGGCAATTTTCTTCTTTAAGAAAAAAATGTTTTCATTGCCTTCTGCTGGCCTACCTCTATTAAACCTAGAAACCTAGATATGGGTCCTTCTGTCTTTGTTTAGAAGCAGTGAAGCCTCTTTAGCAGTAAGTACTGGACGGGGTACTCACATGTAAATGTAAATATCAATTGTACAATTGCTTGCCACAAAAATTAACTTGTCTTGAAAGTGAAAAAAGGTAGATAAGGGTCGAGATGGAATGGATGGAAATTTCCAGTTGTGTTTACCTTTTCATTTGCTCCTCATTCCAACCTGGGTGTGGGAGTGAGGGAGAGTTGGGGAGGGGAGATGCACACGTTTCATCAAATATGCCGTCTTTTTTAGAGCTCTAAAAATTTTAGAAAGCTTGAGATTTCTTGAGTTTCTTGAGTTTTTCTTTAGAAAGCATGAGGATGTTTTTTTGCCATCCAGTTGATGTTGAAATCTCATAGATAACTGTGGAATTCTTGTTGAAATACACAGCATCCCTACATATCATCAGTTTTCATGGGTTGCTGATATAATC
Source organism: Homo sapiens (assembly GCF_000001405.40). Classification (NCBI taxonomy): domain Eukaryota; kingdom Metazoa; phylum Chordata; class Mammalia; order Primates; family Hominidae; genus Homo; species Homo sapiens. The sequence continues at coordinate 218,759,954 of NC_000001.11, read as the reverse complement.
AGGCTTCATCTACCTCCAGTCATGAGTCTACAGTGGTCTCTGCTGGGTCATTGACTTGTCCATCTTAGTTGATTCTGCGCTCATGTGGGGCATGTAGACAACATTCACCACTGTCTTAGGCCACAGTCTTTTGAAGGAAACTAAATCATGCTGTCTCAATCATAAGTCCTCCCTGGCTAGACCCACCATAGATACTTACTCCTCCTGAGCCATTGTGGACAAGGAGGATACTTGTTGTCTTTTGGGATTTTACCTGAAAATGAAACAGAGTCCCACCTCTATTTTCACTTACTCAAGTCTGGGACTGCTGGAGAAGAAGAAAGGGCAGGACACAAGGCTACCTCTCAGGGACCCACCCCAACTTCCAACTCCTTATCAAACCTCTGCTTCCTTCTTTGTTCTTCTCATGCTAAGAGCCAAAAACATGGCTGATTTTTTAAATCTGATCATTGCATACCTGTTTCCTTTGAGCAAATACTTTAGAAATTCCTCAAACCCAAACGTTAGGGGCTTTCAAACTATACTTTTTGCCATGGGTTTGAAATTTTTGTTTTGAAGCTGAGAAGCCACAGAAGGTCTCTCTTTCTGCATTTGTTCTGCATCATGTCTTTGCTAAAGAAATGAAAGCAGAATACTTAATTGCCTGACATGGGGTAGTTAAGAGTGAAGGGGATGCAGGTCAGTGGGGTGAGGTGGGAAGGTACAGGTGTGAGAAAATACTGGAGACAAATCACATTCTTTAGGAAAAAGACAAAAAATTAAAATTGAATTAAAATTAAAAATTTGTTCCACTGCATTTACATGAAAAGAAATCATGACCTACTTCTAAATATTCTGCCATGGCATTTTTATTTAATTTATAAAACAACAGTATATAAAAACTAAGGCATCACATAGATGCTACAAACATTTCACTTGACCATAAGTTGTGTAAACCCATGACACACAGGTTCTAAAAAACATTACTGGAAATTTACTTTTGCATCTGACCTCTGTAAATAGAAGCTCGCTCATTTCTGAAATGCTTCTTATTTTCCTCTGGCAAAAATATTTTTTAATAAGCAAACCATGAAATACAAACAGAAGTCAAAATGAGTCCAGCAGGATGGCAAGCCTCTTTATATATAGCTTTGAAGCCTCTTGCAATAATATTAGAGGAACTAATGAAATGGGAAATGGGAAAGCTTGCAAAGTGCACCTGGTGAGCTAGCACACAATCTCCTTCTCGTTCTCTCTCTTATATTATAAAAATGAACATGCTTAGTTCTCTTGCCAAGGGCAACCTCCCCCCACTTATCCTGTTACATTAACATTTGTGCTGGAATTCATTTTCTGCCTGTTCTCCAGGATTGGGTTGCCACAGTGAAACTTTGAGGTGGTCTTTCCTTGATCCGACTTCCCGCTTTCAGCTTCTGCTGGACTGCCCCCTTCTTACTTTATTCCCACATGCATGGAAGCTACATTTAAGCTGATCCTTTGGCCCAACATAGTTTGGTATTTTCAACTGACCATTTCTTTGGGGAACAAAAGTAAAATAATTGAGACAAGGAGGGATAGAATGTTATAGCACTCTCTCTACAGTATGGATGTTTCTTTTTCACTGTCAGTTGGAAAACCACAGTTCTGGCTGCCTTTTTGTCATGGAGCAGACTATTACAGGTAAAGAACTGACCCCCACCTCCTCCTTCCCTCCCTGCACTGTAGTTCTCTGGTTCTCTTTCTTCCCACGCTGTCTGTCATTCCAGTGATTGGCATAGAGTGTGGAGCAAGTAGCCACCACCTATGGCATTTTGAACAAAATCAATGCCTGGCACCTCACAAGGGAAGACAGAGTGTTCAGTAAAGTTTATTAGCTCTTGATGCTACAATTCTTCAGGGGAAGGAGACAATGGGGAGTGGGATGAGCAGAGAAAGGCAAGAAAAACTCATTATTTTCTAAGGCATCTCAGAACTTTTGATGACTTCGTCCTGGCATGGAAAATTATTCACTGGGGTATTACGGTCTGCATTGAAATAAATGCCTTTTATGTCCTATGGTAAAATAAATAAATGAAAAATGGGGAAAACTAAACCTGTAGTTTTTTCTTCTGGTACTTCAATGCTGTTGTTTTCATGAGTCAAAATGGCTTACTAGTGAAAAAGGAGATGGTGAGGACTGAGTGCAGGGAAACAATAAAAAGACCCCAAGTCACTTCACTTCTTCTTATATCAGGGTGATGCTTCTCCTTTCCCTTTCCCAATACCTAGCTATGAAGTAAACATTCTCACCACTTGATAGAGAAGAAATTTCCTATCAATGACTTTTGGTCAAATTCCACCACAGTGTCAAAACAGTATTATTCTCTCCTTTGTAAGCATAATCTGATATTTCACCCCTGCTTTCGCCTGAGTAGAAGATAAACTGTTTGATCATCTAGATCAAAATGGACTCTAAAGTAAGTAGATTGTAGTTGATAAAGATCCAAATGGACTATAAAGCAAGTAGATCATACTTAATAATTGTCCTCTGTCTGGCTTTTATAAATCTGCAATAGAATAGATTATGTGCACAGTGATATTGATAGTTTAACCTAATTGCGAGTTATAAAAAGAATCTCAGGGTTTCTAAATGCTTTAAAAGGATATTTTTCAACTTTTAACATTTTATTATTACATTGTTTTGTAATTTCCTGTTAAAAGTGATAAAGGGAAAGAATTAAGCATTTATTCTCTTTTTTCTTTCAATTTTTAATCTTTATGGGCACATAGTAGCTGTGTACATTTGTGGGGCACACAAAATATTTTGATACAGGCATACAATGTGTAATAATCACATCAGGATAAATGGTGTATTCCAATACCTCAAGCATTCGTCCTTTCTTTGTGTTACAAACATTTCAATTATACCTTTTTAGTTACTTTAAAATGTGCAATACATTATTGTTGGCTGTAATCATCCTGTTGTGCTATCAAATACTAGATCTTATTTACTCCATCTAAGTATATTTTTGTACCCATTAACCATCCTCATTTCACATCCCCATCCCCCACCACAGCACAGCCTCTGGTAACCATCTTTCTACTCTCCATCTCCATTAGCTCAATTAGTTTAATTTTTAGCTCCCACAAACAAGTGACAACATGCAAAATTTGTCTTTCTGTGCCTGATTTATTTCACTTAACAGAATGTCCTCCAGTTCCATCTATGTTGTTGCAAATGATAGGATCTCATTCTTTTTATGGCTGAACAGTACTCCATTGTGTATACATACCACATTTTCTTTATCCATTTGTCTGTTGATGGAAACTTAGGTTACTTCCAAGTCTTGGCTATTGTGAATAGTGCTGCCATAAACATGAGAGTGCAGAGATCTCTTTGATAAACTAATTTCCTTTATTTGGGGTATATACCTAGCAGTGGGATGGCTGGATTGTCGTTCTGGTAGTTTAATTTTTAGTTTTCAGAGTAACCTTCACACGGATATCCATAGTGGCTCTACTAGTTACATCCCATAACAGTGCATGAGGGTTCCCTTTTCTCCATATTCTCACCAGCATTTGTTATTTCCTGTCTTTTGGATAAATCCATTTTAACCGGAGTGAGATGATACCTCATTGTAGTTTTGATTTGCATTTCTCTGATGATCAGTGATGTTGAGCATCTTTTCATATGCCTGTTTGCCATTCGTATGTCTTCTTTTCAGAAATGTCTATTCAGATCTTTTGCCCATTTTTTAATTAGGTTATTAGATTTTTTCCTATAGAGTTGTTTGAGCGCCTTATATGTTCTGGTTTTTGATCTCTTGTAAGATGGATAGTTTTCAAGAGTTTTTCCCATTCTGCTGGTTGTCTCTTCACTTTGTTAATTGTTTCCTTTACTGTGCAGAAACTTTTTAACTTGATGTGACCCCATTTGTCCATTTTTGCTTTGATCGGCTGTATTTTTGGGGTATTACTCAAGAAATATTTGCCCAGATTAATGTGCTGAATAGTTTTCCCAATGTTTTCTTTTAGAAGTTTCATAGCTTGACATCTTATATTTAAGCCTATAATCCATTTTGATTTCATTTTTTATAGGGTGAGAGATAGAGGTCTAGTTTCATTCTTCTGCCTATGGATATTCAGTTTTTCCAGTACTATTTATTAAAGAGACTGTCTTTTCCCAAATATGCGTTATTGACACCCTTGTCAAAAATGATTTCACTGTAGATGTATCAACTTATTTCTAGGGTCTCTATTTTGTTTCATTAGTCTATGTGTCTGTTTTTATGCCAGTACCACGCTGCTTTGGTTACTATTGCTCTATAGTATAATTTGAAATAAGGCAAGGTGATTCCTCCAGTTTTGTTCTTTCAGACTAGGATCGCTTTAGCTATTCTGGGTCTTTGGGGGTTCCATATAAATTTTGGAATTATTTTTTCAATTTCTGTGAAGAATATCATTTGACAGACATTGCATTGAATTGGCAGATTTCTTTGACTGGTAAGGTTAACAACACCAATTCTTCCAATCCATTAAGGAAGAAGACCACCTCTCCCATTGTCTCCTGTTTCGAAAAGGAAGCAAAAAGTTAAGAAGAAGTAGAAGTGAGAGCAATAGGCAGATGGCTTGGTGCCAAGAATCAGGCCTGGTAGTTAAAGATCAACTCCTGACCTAACTGCTTGTGTTATTTATAGATTCCAGACATTGGATGAAGAAGCATTGTGAAACTTTCTGCTCTGTTCTGCTAGCCCCCATCGCTGATGCATGTAGCTCTCAGTCACATAGCCCCCACTGGCACGATGTATCATGACCCTTTCAAGTGGACCCCTTAGAGTTGTAAGCCCTTAAAAGGGACAGAAATGTTTACTTCCAGGAGCTCTGATCTTGAGAAGCAAGTCTACTGATGCTCCCAGCTGATTAAAGCCTCTTCCTTCCTAAAACCAGTGTCTGAGAGGTTTTGTCTGCCACCGGTCCTGCTACGTTTCTTGGTTTCCTGACCAGGAAGCCAGGTGATTAACAGACAGTTGAGGCAGCCCCTTAGGCAGCTTAGGCCTGCCCTGTGGAGCATCCCTGCGGGGGACTCCGGCCAGCTTAAGCGACGTGGATCCTGAGAGTGCTCTGGGTAGGCAATGGCCCCACTGGAATGCCTCGCCAGACGGGTGTGCTGCAGACCCCCACGGAGGATTAATGCAGTGGCTGAACACCGGGAGGAATCAGTGCTTGAAGTCCTGACTTCTGGAACATGGTAAGACTGGTCTTGGAACTTGCCCACTCCATCTGAGTGGAAGCATGGCCTAATCACCCACAGCGTGCCTTTATGAGCACGTTGGTTTTGGTTTTGATTTTGACTGGATTTGAACTGTTTTGGCTTTGATTTCGGTTCTGACTTTTAGATTTGAACTGTTTTGGCTTTTATTTCGGTTCTGACTTGGCTCAAATTGCTTGATGAATGAGTAACTCCTTATCCGTCCTTTGGTTTTAGTTTTAATTTTGATTTGGTATGAATTGCTTGGTGAGTGAGTGACTTTTTGCCCCTTTTCCCTTCTCTCTTTGTAGTAAGAGTGTCACTTTGTCCCCTGAGAGAGGAAAATGGGTAAAACACAGAGTAAGCCTACCATGTTTGGAACTATGTTAAGGAATTTCAAGAAAAGATTCAATGGGGACTATGGAATTGCTATGACACCTGGAAAGCTTAAGGCTTTGTGTGAGGTAGATTGGCCGGCATTAGAGGTGGGATGGCCATCAGAAGGAAGCCTAGACAGGTCTCTAGTTTCAAAGGTATGACACAAAGGAACTGGTAAATCAGGACACCCAGATCAGTTTCCATACATAGATACTTGGTCACAGCTAGTTTTAGACCCCCCACAGTGGCTAAGAGGACAGTCAGCAGCAGTACTAGTAGCAAAGGGACAGATAGCCAAGGAGAAATCTTGCTCCACCTGCCAAGGGAAGTCAGCTCCTAAAGTTCTGTCCGACCCAACATCAGAGGATACATGGCAGGAAATGGCACCAGTGATGCCCCCGCCCCTTACCAAGAAGAGAGGCTCCCCACATTGGAGCCCACAGCACCAGAGCCTCTACAAGGTACACGCACCCCAAAGCCACTAGAGTAGACAGAAGAGGATGTGAAGTCTCGGGAGAAACCCCTCCCTTGGTGGCTTCCTTGCGACCTAAAACTGGGATACAAATGCCCCTAAGAAGGCAATGGTATACTGGGGTAAACAAGGAGGGACATATGGTAGAAAGGCGTGCCTTTTTGTACCAATCTTTTACCTCTGCCAATCTCCTCAGTTGGAAAAATAACACCCCATCCTATACCAAAAAGCCACAAGCTCTGATTGACTTTCTCCAAACTATTATCCGAATTCATAACCCCACTTGGGCTGATTGCCACTAGTTGCTCATGTACCTCTTTAACACGGATGAGAGGAGGAGAGTGCTCCAGGCAGCAACTAAGTGGCTGGAAGAGCATGTTCCAGCTGATTATCAGAACCCCCAAGAGTATGTAAGGATCCAGCTACCAGGAACTGACCCTCAATGGGATCCAAACGAGACAGAAGGCATGCAAAGGCTAAATCGGTATAGGGAAGCACTCTTAGAAGGGTTGAGGAGAGGAGCCCAAAAGGCCACAAACATAAACAGTCTCTGAGGTTATCCAAGGAAAGGAAGAAAGTCCAGCGCACTTTTATGAGAGACTGTGTGAGGCCTATCACATCTACACTCCCTTTGACCCAGACAGCCCTGGAAATCAGCGCATGATTAACATGGCCTTAGTTAGTCAAAGCGCAGAGGATATTAGGAGAAAGCCGCAGAAACAGGCTGGGTTTGCGGGTGTGAATACATCACAATTACTGGAAATAGCCAACCAAGTGTTTGTAAATGGAGATGCAACGAGCCGCAGAGAGAGCCGCAAAGAAGGTGAATGCCAAGCCTGGTGAAACGCTGACCTACTAGCTGCAGCTATTAGAGGGGTCTCCCATAAGGACAAGGGAAGGGGGGCTCCGGGAAAAATACCCAGTCTGACCATCCACACTTGCAATGCAACCAGTGCGTCTATTGTAAAGAGACAGGACATTGGAAAGATAAGTGCCCTCAGCTGAAAGAAAAGCAAGCTGGTTTGGAGCAAAAGACCCCAGAAAAGGATGAAGGAGATTTGTTCAATCTGGCTGAGGGGTTGCTGGACTGAAGGGGACTGGGCTCAAGTGCCCCCAAGGAGCCCATGGTCAGAATGACAGTTGGGGGCAAGGACATTAAGTTTATGTTCGATACTGGTGCTGAACATTCAGTAGTGACCACCCCGGTCGCCCCCTTATCTAAAAAGACTATTGATATAATCGGAGCAACAGGAGTTTCAACAAAGCAGCCTTTCTGTTTGCCCCGGACCTGCTAAGTGGGGGGACATGAAGTGATTCACCAGTTTCTGTACCTGCCTGACTACCCCTTGCCTTTGTTAGGAAGGGAGCTGCTTAGCAAGCTGAGAGCTACTATCTCCTTTACAAAGCAAGGCTCTTTACAACGGAATTTGCCCAGAACAGGAGTTATCATGGCCCTGACAGTTCCCAGAGAGGAAGAGTGGCGACTCTTCCTAACTGAACCAGGCAAAGAGACAGGGCCAGCTCTGGCCCAGAGGTGGCCAAAAGTCTGGGCAGAAGACAGTCCCTCCAGATTGGCAGCCAGTCAAGCTCCTGTACTCATAGAAGTTAAGCCAGTCAGCCAAAAACAGTATCCAGTCCCCAGAGACGCCCTGGAAGGTATCCAAGTTCATTTTAAGCACCTGAGCACTTTTGGAATTATAGTGCCTTATCAGTCTCCATGGAACACCCCCCTCCTACCTGTTCCCAAGCCAGGGACCAAGGACTACAGGACAGTACAGGACTTGCACTTGGTCAATCAAGCCACAGTGACTTTACATCCAATTGTACCTAACCCGTACACATTGCTGGGGTTATTGCCAGCTGAGGAAAGCTGGTCCACCTGCCTAGACCTGAAGGATGCCTTCTTCAGTATCAGATTAGCTCTGGAGAGCCAGAAACTGCCTTTCAGTGAGAGGATCCAGGATCAGGTATCACCACTCAGTACACTTGGACCCAGCTTCCCCAAGGGTTCAAGAACTCCTCCACCATCTTCGGGGAGGCACTAGCTCAAGACCTCCCCAAGTTCCCCAGACTTAGGCTGCGTCTTGCTCCAGTATGTGGACAACCTCCTGCTGGGACACCCCATGGCAATCGGGTGCACTGAAGGCACAGACGCCCTGCTTCGGCACCTGGAGGACTGTGGGTATAAGGTGTCCAAGAAGAAAGCTCAGATCTGCAGACAGCAGGCGCACTATCTGGGATTCACTATCCAACAGGGGGAGTGCAGCCTGGGATCAGAAAGAAAGCAGATCATTTGCAGCCTACCGGAGCCTAAGACTAGGAGACAAGTGAGAGAAATCTTAGGCGCTGTGGGGTTATGCAGGTTATGGATCCCAAGCTTTGCAGTACTGGCCAAACCTCTGTATCAAGTTACAAAGAGAGGGGTGACACAGAACCTTTTGAATGGGGATCCCAACAACAGCGAGCTTTTCATGAGTTAAAAGAAAAACTTATGTCAGCCCCAGCCCTGGGGCTACTGGATCTGACAAAGCCTTTTACACTGTATGTGTCATAGAGAGAAAAAATGGCAGTTGGAGTTTTAACCCAGGCTGTAGGGCCTTCGCCAAGGCCGGTGGCATATCTCTCCAAGCAACTAGACGGGGTTTCTAAAGGGTAGCCCCATGTTGGAGAACCTTGGCAGCAACTGCCCTGCTAGTGCAAGAAGCAGATAAACTAACCCTTGGGCAAAACTTGAACATAAAGACCCCCCCATGCTGTGGTGACTTTAATGAATACCAAAGGACATCATTGGCTAACAAATGCTAAGCTAACTAAGTACCAAAGCTTGCTCTGTGAAAATCCCCATAAAACCATTGAAGTTTGTAACACTTTGAACCCCGCCACCTTGCTCCCAGTTTCAGAGAGCCCAGTTAAACATGACTGTGTAGAGGTGTTGGGCTCAGTTTATTCTAGCAGACCCGACCTCCGGGACCAACCTTGGATGTCTGTAGACTGGGAGCTGGATGTGGACGGAAGCAGCTTCATTAACTCACAGGGAAAGAGGTGGGCTGGGTATGCAGTGGTAACCTGGGACACTGGTATTTGAAGCCAAACTGCTGCCTCAGGGAACTTCAGCCTAGAAGGCCGAACTCATTGCTTTAACTCAGGCCTTGGAGCTAATTGAAGGAAATTCTCAAGCAGACTCAGAAGCTCGCAAAGCAGCGTCCACCCCCTACCGAGTACCAGTCATAGCCCGCCTGCTCCCTCAGGCACCCCATCTAGTGCCTACTTATTCTAAAGAGGAAATAGACTTTTTCCAGGCAGAAAGGAGACAAGCGATAAAGGAAGGATGGATCCGGTTACCAGACGGAAGAGTAGCCGTGCCATAGCTACTAGGGGCCGCAGTTGTGTTGGCTGTGCATGAGACCACCCATCTAGGCCAAGAGTCACTTGAAAAGTTGTTAGGCTGGTACTTCTACATTTTACATCTGTCAGCCCTTACCAAAATAATAACACAGCAATGTGTCACCTGCGGGCAGCACAATGCTAGGCAGGGTCCAACCGTCCCGCCTGGCATACAAGCTTATGGAGCAGCCCCCTTTGAAAATCTCCAAGTAGACTTCACTGAGATGCCCAAATGTGGAGGTAACAAGTATCTGCTGGTTCTAGTGTGTACATACTCTGGGTGGGTAGAGGCCTATCCAACATGAACTGAAAAAGCTCATGAAGTAACCTGTGTGTTTCTCCGAGATCTCATCCCTAGGTTTGGACTGCCCTTATGGATCGGCTCGGACAATGGGCCGGCATTTGTGGCTGACTTGGTACAGAAGACAACAAAAGTATTGGGGATCACATGGAAACTGCATGCCGCCTATCGACCTCAGAGTTCCAGAAAAGTGGAGTGGATGAATCGGACTATCAAAAATAGTTTAGGGAAAGTGTGTCAAGAAACAGGTTTAAAGTGGGTACAGGCTCTCCCCATGGTACTGTTTAAGATCAGGTGGCACCTCTTCTAAAAGAACGGGATATTCCTCTTATGAGATATTGTATCATAGACCCCCTCCCATATTACAGTGGCTTCCAGGCACTCCTCAAGAGCTAGGAGAAATTGAGTTACAGCGACAGGTACAGGCTTTAGGAAAAGTTACACAAACAATTTTGGTCTGGGTAAATGAAAGATGCCCCTTAGCTTATTCTCCCCAGTTCACCCTTTCTCCCCAGGTGATCGAGTGTGGATCAAAAACTGGAAAATAGCCCCTTTGCGGCTGTGATGGAAAGGACCCCAGACCATCATCCTGACCACCCCCACCGCCGTGAAGGTAGAAGGAATTCCAGCCTGGATCCACCACAGCCCCGTGAAACCCACAGCACCTGAGACCTCGGAGGTGAGACCAAGCCCAGACAATCCCTGCAAAGTGACTCTGAAAAAGACGACAAGCCCCATTCCAGTCACACCCAGAAGCTGACTTGTCTACGCACGGTCAAAGCATGAGGAAACTCATCGTGGGACTCATTTTTCTCAAAATTTGGACTTGTACAGTAAGAACTTCAGCTGATTTTCCCCACATGGAGGACTGTACCCAGTGTATTCATCAGATTACTGAGGTAGGGCAACAAGTTAAAACAATCTTTCTGTTTTATAGTTATTATGAATGTCTAGGGACTTACTTATATAATGCCACTCAGTGTAAAGTGTGTAGCCCAGGGAATGTTCTATTCTGCTAGCCCCCATCACTGATGCATGTAGCCCTCAGTCATGTAGCCCCCACTTGCACAATGTATCACGACCCTTTCACGTGGACCCCTTAGATTTGTAAGCCCTTAAAAGAGACAGGAATCTTTACTTCAGGGAGCTCGGATCTTGAGACCTGAGTCTACTGATGCTCCCAGCCAATTAAAGCCTCTTCCTTCCTAAAACCAGTGCCCAAGAGGTTTTGTCTGTGACCGGTCCTGCTACACATGAGCATGGAAAATTCTTTCCATTTTTTGTGTCTTCAATTTCTTGCAGCAATTTTTTATAGTTTTCATTGCAGAAATCTTTCACTTCTTTAAGTTTATTCCTAGGTATTTAATTTTGTTTGTAGTTATTATAAATGGGATTACTTTCTTGATTTCTTCTTCAGATTGTTTGCTGTTAGCATATAGAAACACTACTAATTTTTATATTTTGTATCCCTCAAGTTGACTGAATTTATCAGTTCTTATAGTTTTTTGGTGGAGTCTTTAGGTGTTTTCAGGTATAAAAATCATATCATCTGCAAACAGGATAATTTTACTTCTTGCTTCCTAGTTTGGAGGCCCTTTATTTCTTTCTCTTATCTGATTGCTCTACCTAGGAATTCCAGTACTATGTTAAATAACAGTTGTGAAAGTGGGCGTATTTGTCATGTTCAACATCATAGAGGAAAGGCTTTCAGTTTTTCTTCATTCAGTATGATACTGGCTGTGGGTCTGCCATAGATGGCTTTTATTGTGTTGAAATATGATCCTTCTATGCCCAGTTTTCTGAAGATTTTTATCATCTAGGGATATTGAATTTTATCTAATGCTTTTTCAGCATCAATGGAAATGATTATATGGTTTTTGTCCTTCATTCTGTTGATATGATGTATCACATTGATTTGCATATGTTGAATCATGCTTGCATTCCAGTGATAAATCCCACTTGGTCATGATGAATGATCTTTTTAGTAAGTTACTAAATTCAGCTTGCTAGTATTTTGTTGAGGATTTTTGCATCAATGTTCACCAGAGAGATTGGGCTATAGTTTTCCTTTCTTGATGTGTCTTTTTCTGGATTTATCATGAGGGTAATACCGGCTTCTAGAATGAGTTTGGAAGTATTGCTTCTTCCTCTATTTTTTGGAATAGTTTGAGTAGGATTGGTATTAGCTCTCCTTTAAATGTTTGCAAAATTCAGCAGTGAACCATTGGGTCCTGGGCTTTTTTTGCTGGGATACTTTTTATTACAGCTTCAGTCTCATTACTTGTTATTGGTTTATTCAGGTTTTGGATTTCTTCATAGTTCAATATTGGTAGGTTGCATGTGTCTAGGAATTCATCTATTTTTTTCTAGGTTCTCCAATTTATTGGCATACAGTTGCTCATAGTAGTCTGTAATGATCCTTTACATTTCTGTGATATTAGCTTTTTTTTTTTTTTAATTTTTGAGATAGAGTCTCACTCTTCACCCAGGCTGGAGTGCAGTGGCGTGATCTTGGCTCACTGCAAGCTCCGCCTCCCGAGTTCACGCCATTCTCCTGCCTCAGCCTCCCAAGTAGCTAGGACTACAGGCCCCCACCACCGCACCCGGCTAATTTTTTGTATTTTTAGTAGAGACAGGGTTTCACCGTGTTAGCCAGGATGGTCTCGATCTCCTGACCTCGTGATCCACCCACCTCGGCCTCCCAAAGTGCTGGGATTACAGGCGTGAGCCACCGCGCCCAGCCTGTGATATTAGTTTTAATGTATCCTTTTTAGTCTCTGATTTTATTTATTTGGGTATTCTCTCATTTTTTATCACTTAGTCTGGCTAAATGTTTGTCAATTTTAACTTTTCAAAAAACCAACTTTTTATTTTGTTAATCTTTTGTGGGTTTCTTGTTTCAATCTCATTTATTTCTACTCTGGTCTTTATTATATCTTTTCTTCTACTAAACCCTTTTATTTTGGGTTTTGCTTACTCTTGATTTCCTAATTCTTTAAGATGCATAGTTGGGTTGTTTATTTGAAGTTTTTCTACTTTTTGATTTAGGTACTTCTTGCTATAAACTTTCATCTTAGTACTGCTTTCACTTTATCCTATAGGTTTTGGTATGTTTTGTTTGGTATTTGCATTAGTTTCAAGGAATTAGTAAATTTTCTTCTTAATTTCTTCATTGACCTACTTGTCATTCAGGAACATGTTTAAATTTCATGTGTTTGCATGGTTTCCAAACATTCTCTTATTATTGATTTCTAATTTTGTTCCATTGTGGTCAGAGAAGATACTTGATATGATTTTAATTTTTTAAAATTCGTTCACACTTGTTTTGTGACCTAACATATGGTCTGTCCTTGAAAATGGTCCATGGGCTGAGGAGAAGAATGTGTATTCTGCAGCCATTGAATAAAGTGTTCTGTAAATATCTATTAGGTCCATTTGGTCTATAGTGCAGATTAAGTCTAATGTTTCTTTGTTGATTTTCTGTCTGAATGATCAATCCAATGCTGAAACAGGACGTTGAAATCTTCACCTATTATTGTATTGTGGTCTATCTCTTTAGTTCTAATACAAGTTGCTTTATATATCTGAGAGGACCAGTATTGGGTGCATATATATTTACAATTGCTATGTCCTCTAACTGAATTGACTCCTTTATCATTACATAAATGAACTTCTTTGTCTCTTTTTTATAGTTTTGTCTTGAAATCTATCTTGTCTAATATAAATGTAGCTACTTTTTCTCTTTTTTGGTTTCTATTTGCATGTAATATCTTTTTCTATCCCTTTATTTTCAGTCTATGCGTGTTTTTTTTTTTTGCTGTTGTTTTCTTAGGAGGTTTTGTTTTTGTTTTTGTTGTTTGAGATGAGTCTCACTCTGACACCCAGGCTGGAGTGTGGTGCTGTGATCTTGACTCACTGCAACCTCCACCTCCCGTATTCAAGCAATTCTCCTGCCTCAGCTTCCTAAGTAGCTGGGATTACATGTGCCCATCACCACACCCAGCTAATTTTTTTTTTTTTTGTATTTTTAGTAGAGCCAGGGTTTTGCCATGTTTGCCAGCCTGGTCTTGAACTCCTGACCTCAGGAGAGCCACCCGCCTCAGCCTCCCTAAGTGCTAGGATTACAGGTGTGAGGTGCCACGCCCGGCCTCTATGTGTGTTTTTATAGATGAAGTGTGTTTCTTGTAGGTAACATATCACTGGGTCTTTTTAAAAATGTATTCAGCATCTCTGTGTCTTTTGATTGAAGAATTTAATCCATTTACATTCAATGTTATTGATAAGTAAGGATTACTCCTGCCATTTTCTTATTGGTTTGTAAGTTGTTTTGTAGTCTTCTCATTCTTCCTTCCTGCCTTTTTTTGTGAAGGTGATTTTTCTCTGGTGGTATATTTTAATATCTTTCTATTTTTTGTGTATCTGTTGTAGTTTTTTTGATTTGAGATTAATAGGAGGCTTGCAAATAATATCTTATAACCCATTATTTTAAACTGAGGACAACTTAACTCTGATTGCAGAAACAAACAAAAAAGCACAGAAAAAACTAACAAACTCTACACTTTAGCTTCATCCTCCCACTTTTTAACTCTTTGCTGTTCATTTTTATATCTTATTATACAGTTTCTGTCTTGAAGAGTTGTCACAGTTATTATTTTTGATAGATTCATCTTTTAGTCCTTCTACTCAAGACACAAGTAGTTTAAACACCACAATTACAGTGTTATAATATTCTGTTTGACTGTGTGCTTACTACTACAGTGAATTTTGTACCTCCAAATATTTTCTTATTGCTCATTAACATCCCTTTCTTTCAGATAGAAGAACTGCCTTTAGCATTTCTTGTAGGACAGATATGATTGTGATAAAATCCCTCAGTTTTTATTTGTCTGGGAAGTCTATTTCTCCTTCATGTTTGAGGGATATTTTCACTGGATATATTCTTCTAGAATACAAGCTTTTTTTTCCTTCAGCACTTTAAATATGCCTTGCCACTCTCTCCTGGACTGTAAAGCTTCCACTGAGAAGTCTGCTTCCAGGTATATTGGAGCTCTTTTGTATGTGATTTGTTTCTTTTCTGTTGCTGCTTTTAGAATCCTTTCTTTATCCTTGACTTTTGGTAGTTTGATTATTAAATGCCTTGAGGTAGTCTTCCCTTGGTTAAATCTGCTTGATGTTCTAAAACCTTTTTGCACTTGAATATTGATGTCTTTCTCCAAGTTTGGAAATTTCTCTGTTATTATTTTTAAATGAACTTTCTACCCTGATCTCTCTTTTTCTACCTCCTCACTAAGGCTAATAAGTCTTTAATTTGCTTTTTTATGGCTATTTTCTAGATCTTGTAGGAAGGCTTCATTCTTTTTTATTCTATTTTCTTTTGTCTCCTCTGAGTATAAATTTTCAAGTAGAGTGCCTTCGAGTTCACTAATTCTTTCTTCTGCTTGATCAATTCTGCTGTTAGAGACTCTGATGCATTCCTTTTATGTCTACTGAGTTTTTCAGCTCCAGAATTTCTGCTTCATTTTTTTAAAAATTTCAATCTTTTTGTTAAATTTATCTGATAGGATTGTGAATTCCTTCTCTGTCTTATTTTGAATTTCACTGAACTTCCTCAAAACAGCTATTTTGAATTGTCTGTCTAAAAGGCTTAATATCCCTGTCACTCTGAGGTTGATCCTTGGTGCCTTATTTAGTTCCTTTGGTGAGATCATGTTTTCCTGGATGACCCTGATGCTTGTGGATGTTTGTCAATATCTGGGCATTGAAGAGTTAGATATTTATTGTAGTCGTTGTAGTCTGGGCTTATTTGTGCCTGTCTGTCTTGGGAAGGCTTTTCAAGAAAATTGTGTGTTGTGATCTACATCTTTGATCACTGTATCCCTATCTGCCTTAGGGGGCACCCTAAGGGCAGTAATGTTGTGACTCTTACAGACTCATAGAGGTACCTCCTTAGTCTTTGGTGAGATCCAGGAGATTTCTCTGGATTACTAGACAGAGACTCTTGTTTCCTTCTCTTACTTTCCCCCAAACAAATGGAGTCTCTCTTCCTTCATGCTGAGCTGCCTAGTGCTGGGGGAGGGGTGACACAAGCATATGGAACTATGCCAGGTCAGACCTGAAGCCAGCACAGCACTGAGTCTTGCCCAAGGTAACCACTTCCTGGCTACCACCAATGTTCCCTCAAGGCCCCAGAGTTCTACAATCAGCAGGTATTGAAAACATCCACACTTGTGTCTTTCCCTTTAGAGCAGCAAGCTACCCACAGGTCCGAGATAGGTCCAGAAATGCTGTCCAAGGGCCAGGACCTGGAGTCTGGAACCTTAGGAATCTACGTGAAATTCTATTTTACTGCGGCTGAGCTGGCCCTCAAGCCACAAAACAAAGTTCTTCCCACTTTCCTTTCTCCTTTCCTTAAGTAGAGGAGTCTCTTACCATGGCTACCACTGCCTTGGACCCATGGCAAGTACTGCCTGGCTACTACCAATGTTCACTCAAGGCCCAAGGACTCTTCAGTCAGCTTATGGTGAATGCTGCCAGGCCTAAATCTCTCCCTTCAAGGAAGTGGACTCCCCTCTGATGTAGGGCAGGTTAACAAATGTTATCCAGGAGCCAAGGCCTGAAACTGGTTACCCCAGGAGCTCACTTGGTGCTCTGTCTCACTGTGGCAGAACTGGAACCCAAACTGCAAAACAAAGTTCCTTTACTTTTCCTTTTTTTTGAGACAGAGTCTTGCTCTGTCGCCCAGGCTGGAGTGCAGTGGCGCAATCTCGGCTCACTGCAAGCTCCACCTCCCGGGTTCACGCCATACTCCTGACTCAGCCTCCTGAGTAGCTGGGACCACAGGCACCCACCACCACCCGCGCCCGGCTAATTTTTGGTGTTTTTAGTAGAGACGGGGTTTCACCGCGTTAGCCAGGATGGTCTTGATCTCCTGACCTCGGCCTCCCAAAGTGTTGGTATTATAGGCGTGAGCCACCACGTCCATCCTTTTTTTTTTTTTTCACTGAGGCAGAAGGAGACCCTCCTTATAGCCACCACAGATGGGAATGTGGTGGGTCACACCTGAAGTGAAGACTGGGTCTCACTCAAGGCTTATGGTGAATGCTGCCTGGCAACTGTTGATGTTTACTGATGTTTATTCAAAGTGCCCTTGAGTCAGCAGGTGATTAATCGTGCCAGGACTATGGCCTTCCTTTCAAGGCAGCAGGTCTCCTTCTGGCCCAGGGTATGTCTAGAAATGTCTGGGACTTAGGGCCTGGAATGGGGGGCCTCAGGAATCTGCCTGTAGCTGAGCTACAGGTATCCAATTCGCAAGATAAAATCCTCTTTACTTTTCCCTCTCCTCTTCTCTGCCCACAGTGACAGAGTTAGTTGGAACTCAGGTTTTGATCACTGGCCTGGACAACTCCTCTTTGTCTAGGTCTGGTGTAAATGCTCCCTCTGTGGACCTGGGCTGAATTCTGCCCCATGTTGCTTTCTGCTGTGACAGGGCAGCAGTAAGTTACAATGCCAAGTCCCACAATCACTGCACTCTCTCTCCCCGAGATGTGCAGATATTCTATTCATACCATATGGCCACTGCTACTCCCAGGAATCAGGGAGGGGCGGTACTGGCAATCCTAGACTGTCTTTCCTTTCCTCTTCAGTGCCTCTTTTCTTGTTATGATCTTAAAACTAGGTATTGTTATCATTCACCTGCTTTTTGGTTTTTATGAAGGTGCTTTCTTATGTGAATAGTTTTTCAATTTGGAGTTCCTGTAGGGAGGACAATCAATGGAGGGTTCTGTTTGGCCATCTTGCTCCACCTCCCCTCTGTTTTTTGTTTTTTAAAGTAAACGATGTTTATTTACAGATGGTAGAAGAAAGTCCTTCTTTATAAAGAGTAATGTGAGCTTATAAACAGATAGAAAATCACCATTGTGCCATTCCCCCAAGATAATTAAATTAGACAAGGATCAAGAAAGTCTACTAAGACCATTAGATTAAACGTAGGTGGAAAATAAAGCATTATTGTGATGCCAAATGGCATCTTACACACGACTTGCCAATCCAAAGGAAAAACATAACTTTACTATAGAAATATCCTGTGGTTGCACTTTGATCATATGACCAAATTTAGCGTTGTTATAGTGGGATCCCTTGATATTGTGCAATATGAAGTATGTAACATCATCTGTGGAATATTTTTGCCAAAACAATTTAACCAAAATCTAAACAAGCCCTTGTTTAGATATTTCCAATGGAAATATATGGGATAGTCATAAGTTAAATCTCACCACAAGGAAACAAACAAACAAATCTAACATGTGGGACATTATACAAGAAAACTAATGTGGTATGTTTTTAAAAAGTCAAAGTTAAGAGCAAAAAAAGGTTGAGGACTGTTCTTGAATAAAATAGCTAAAGAAACAAAAGAATCAAATCCAATGTGCGAAGTTTGGCTGGATTGTTTCAGAAAAAAAGCCACAAACAATATTTTGTTGACAATTTAGAAATTTTGAATATGGATTGAATATTGGATGCTATTAAGGAAATACACTTAATTTTCTTTTTTTTTTTATTTTTTGAGATGGAGTCTTGCTCTGTTGCCCAGGCTGGAGTGTGCAGTGGTGCAATCTTGGCTCACTGCAACCTCCACCTCCCAGGTTCAAGTGATTCTCCTGCTTCAGTCTCCCAAGTAGCTGGGACTATAGGTGCATGCCACCACACCTGGCTAATTTTTGTATTTTTAGTAGAGACGGGGTTTCACCATGTTGGCCAGGATGGTCTCGATCTCCTGACCTTGTGATCTGCCCGCCTCAGCCTCCCAAAGTGCGGGGATTACAGGCATGAGCCACCGCGCCCGGACTCAGTTAATTTTCTTAAATGTAAAAACAGTATTAAGGTTATGTAGGAAAGTGCCTTCTTTTTTGGAGATACAAGTAGACATGTTCAGGAGTGAAATGTCATGTCTGCAATTAACTTAGAAGTAGTTCAGCAAACGGGTAGTGGAATATGAGCTATCAGGATAATATTCTTTCAGCCTTTATTAGTCAGTTCTTGCACTGCTATAAAGAAATACCTAAAACTGGGTAATTTATAGAAAAGAGAGGTTTAATTGGCTCACGGTTCTGCAGGCTGTACAGGAAGCATGGCTGGGGAGGCCTTGGGAAACTTTCAATCATGGCGGAAGGGGAAACAGGCACATCCTACATGGCCAGAGCAGGAGGAAGAGAGTGAAAGGGAAGTGCTGCACGCTTCTAAACAATCAGATCTTGTGAGAACTCACTCACTACCACAAGAACAGCAAGGGGGAAATCCACTTCCATGATCAAAGCACCTCCCCCCAGGCCTCTCCTCCAACATTGGGGATTACAGTTCAACATGGGATTTGGGTGGGGATACAAATCCATAGCCTATCACAGCTTCTCTGCATGTTTGAAAATGATTTCAGAGTAAAATATTTGGAAGTGGAGATGAGGCAAAGGAAAGAGTGCCATCAACAAATGAATGTTCCTTCTTCACTGGAGGCATGGCATAGCTTTAGTTTCACCTTACCTAAATTCCCCTGGAGAACCCACTTAACATCTTTGTAGCTTCCGTTTCTTTGGTTCTTTTTAAGTGTATATCCTTATGAAGTTCATGTTTACAGACATATTTGGCATCCTGACTTTTTAAGAAGCATTGTAAGGAGCAATGACCAATCCTGAAATGAGCCTCCTTACTTGGGGTTGCTTACAGATTCATCTTGGTGAAATGCCAGAAAGAACCTTCAAGAATATTCCTTAGCGTAAAAATCTATCCTCAAAGTCACTTCCGTAGTCACACCTTTCATGCTTTAATTCTAAATCTGGTAGTCCTGGGCTGTGTCACACCACCAAGACTCTCTGAACTTCAGTGTTTTCATTTACAAGGTGGCGATTATGCTGGCTGCCCAGCTCGCTACATGTGGCTTCTGTGCACCCAATGAGAGATGCATGAGAATGTGATCTGAAATCTGCCAAGCACACACAGATTTAATGATTATTTAATCAGGCGCCTCAATAAGAATAAGCAGAGTTTCTCATTTTACATGGTCACATTTCTAGCACCACATTCAGCCTATAAAACTTTGTTTTAAATGTTTCCTGGAATTCAAAATATCTCACTACAAAGTATTTATAACTTTTATTATTTTTTATTTTTTTCTTCATGACAATGGCAATGTCTAATGTGTTCTTACCTACTTCATATTCTTGGAGTGTTCTCACAGTGTCCTCCAGAAATGGGAATAGTTGTGTCCTTTTTTTGGTGGGGGAGGGTCCATTTTTGAGTTAAAGAGCAGAAAGAGTTTCATAAGGTGCATCACAGAACACTGTAGTGAAGGAGCTGGTCTTAACACCTAATGGTTTCCTCTTTTTACTACAGGCTGTGATGTCTACATTGGATACATCTGCACAAATAGGCAAGTTGATCTTGTAACTTTTCCAAGATCACTGTGATTTTGTCAGGGGCAGGGTGGGGACATTGAGAGATGCCTTTTAAAGCAGCTGGTTTGAATCTCTGGGGTCCCCGTTGCCAGAGTCTGTCCCTTTCTTGCTGTGTGGTGTTGTGCAATAGCCTCCCCTCAGCCCCACACGCAGACACCAGCTGGGCAAGGGGAGGAGTGGAAAGAGGGTGGAGAGCGTGGAATCCAAGCCAAGGGGGTGTCAAATAACAAAACCAACTGACCCAACTAGTGCATCATAGAAAAGAACATTTTGGACTTCCTTTAACATGACTGAATAGTATATATCATTTTAAAAGAAGTATTTCAGTTAATTCGCTATTGGGCTAATGTTTGTTTGAGGGTTATGGTACTGCTTCCCTTCCTATTATTTCCAAACTAATTTATTTTAGTAGTACATGTTTGCCATTTTATAAACTAGGCACTTATGAATACAGGCCCTTGTTTATCTGAGTGCTAATAGAGATTCTTGACCATTGTAGATGATCAATAAATGTTTCATGATGATGATGATGATAAATTTTATGAAATATTTTCTTATTCTATGTGATTGTGATGAAAATTTCCCAATTTAATATTACTTATGGAGTGGACTTCAAGAATCAGATTACCACAATGACTATACCTGAGACTTGTGGTTGAATTATTAGAATAGATACATGTCCTTTATTAATCAAATATTTACAACTTGAACCAAAACTAACAAAGGATTATTTTATTTTTGTAAGGATCCTTTTACCCAATTTCTGATTGATTTCAATGTGTATAATATCCTTTTCACTCTTTCTCATCCAAAATCCTGTATCAAGAAAATAATCATTGAAATGTAACTTAACCTATAAAGAAGAAAATATCCTTTTTATAAAAATTCATAGTTTTCATCATATGAGTCTCCAATTCCAATCAGTCTGCTTTATAAAGATTTACAAGATTTATAATATTGGTGTTTTTTAAAGTTAAACACATTTTTATCATTGATTACTTACATCTGGCCACATGCAGTTTCATTTAAACTATAGGCTTTATGTGATGACTTCAGAATTCTAAAGTATAAACCAGAGTATCTATCAAAATAACAACCAATGGGCAGGAAAATCTTTATATGCCTTACAAATCCAAGTCAAATGGTAATAATACTATGTACACTATACTATGTCTAGTACTTTGAAATTTGTTAAGTAGATATTTTGAATTTCAGGGACAGTCTCAACTTCATATCATTTATTTTCATAAGTAAATGAAACTTATTAACTATAGTTTTAAAAAATGTTAATATAATTGTTTTTTTAAGTTACAAAGAATTCCTTGTTATATAGTGTCTCCATTTGTTGGTTTAGAAAAGATGATCATTGTATTAAAAAACCATTTGCAAAGCAATTCCATTTTCATTTTAATCTCCAAGATAATGATTCTGTTTTCCTCCTCAGACCCTTGGATCTTATCCTCTGCCCCTCACACACACAGCAGAAAAGAATGTTAAGTTCTTTATGCTTTAAATGAATTAGTTCAACTTTAAGATCTCTTGGGATTATTTGAATGGACCCTTGGAAACACTAGGGCTTTCCTGAGACCTACTACTATATTGTGAAGGAAATCATGCTTTACCTAGTGTAAGTGTAGCCCTGCTACCTGAGTCTCTGGATCAGAGTGGCATCTCCTCACCCGTGGATGTTCCTCCTAATCAATCATGACTCTTTCCCACTGAGCCCAGACAGACTCTTACAATTCTTCTTACCTCAGCACCCTAGTCAGTCAATACTGACTGATTGAGGATCACAAGCACGACAAAATTTATTTTCCTCTTCATTGGTACACTAAAGACTTGTAAGAATATTTGGCCTAAATTTCTGATACCTGGCCAAGAAAAGCTAAGTTAGCACCCAAAGAGATTTAGCAGTTTTGCTGAATATATTTTTGAATGGCAGAAGAAAAGAGCAATAAAGCGTAGCAAAAGGTAAATAAATCCTCATTGCCCCAATGTAAATGGCAGGAATGGGTGCATTGGGCTGGCTTGGCATTTACTGTGGCACCCAGGATTTATCTGTGACTCAATACAGGCCAAGCAAAACTGATTATTTAGATCTAACCCATTAGGATCTTTAGTTAACTGAAAAGTTCCTATAATCTCCTTACAGAAGCAATGGGAGCCATTAGAAAACTAATTGATGCCAGGAACGTGGTAACAAAACAAGTGGCGATCAAAAATTATATCATGGGGTTATAATATTTTTCCTCTAAACCTTTACCCATAGTTCTCAAGTGTCTTTACCTTTAGTTTCTCCAAGCTTTCCTCTCCTGTATCCCACCCTAGATTGGCCTTTCTATCCATCATTTCACCACATTTCTTTTATACTCCATCAAGACCCTGGTTGGTAAAACTGAAACCCCTTAGCTGGTTTTTCAAGGTTCTCCACCATCCAACTGAAACATACTTTTATTGTCCTAAACACTGTCCTCCAGATGCGCCTTGTGCTTTTCTACCTGAATGCCTTTACTCATCTCATTTCTCATGCCTGAAAGGCCTTACCACTTTATTCTTTTCAAATGCTATTCATCATTCAAGGTCCAAAGCAAATCCCACCTTGTCCACAAAACCTTTCTAGAAGACCACAGGCTATAGTGTTCTCTCTCGCTGAGCCCAATATATTTAATATGGTTGCCCCCAATTTCTTCATACTAATTGTTAAGAATTCAGGAAGTTCCACAATTATGTCATGCCCTGACTCTAGGGGATGACAAAAGCTAAGCAGTTAGAGATCCAGGCATGATAATTCATGTCCATGTAGCTGGAGCTTGTTTGTAACTCAAAGAAAATTTTTGAACCTTTTCTTCTTTCAGAAGTGAGCTTGTTGTTTCCACCATTGAAAGAGACCAGGCTTAGCACTGGAATCACACTTAGTTACCAGTCTATATAGAATTCATTTTTCCAGCTAGAACCACAAGTGCAGCTAGAGCGAAGTTTTACCTGCTGCAGTCATAACACTTTGAAAGATTTGTAATGGTACAGGACTGCGGAGTAAACAGTTTGAACTAGAATGCTATTGTTTAGTTCTAGACTCTTTCGCCTGCTCCATCTTGTTGTCTGAGAACTTATCATAAACCTATGTTATCAGTCATCATATATTTCCTTGAAAGAATACCACATAAGAATAGGCTGAGTATTTGTCTCCTATAGTTTCTTTGTGGCAAGCGATGGAGACTAACTCTAAGTTAAAAGCAAAAGAAAATTTGTTGGAAGGATAGGAAGTAGGACATCCATCTACTGGAGAGAACACCAAATAAACAAACTCAAAAAGGACAAAAAAATATAGTCCAACTCTGAGATTCTATGTAGCAAAAACTATTGCTAAAGTTCTCTGGGCACCACCACTGTGTTGAGATAGCACAAATCATTTTTATTTCATTTTTGTTTCACTCCGTTTTCAAAGCCCTAAGAGGAAAAGCCCAGTAGTATCACTGTAGGTCACTTGCTCAGCCTTGCATATCCTGATTCAGAGTCTCATCAATGTAGTGCTCAATGGCAGAGAAATCATTCTCCACAATCAAATATGGGCGATCTTGTCACAATAAGAGAGGATGGGTGCTGGAAAGGAAACACTAACACATGATCATAAGAATTTGGAAGAATTTTCCAGGAGAAGAAGTTGGCAAGCTACTGGAATGTATTGTGTGAATGTATTGGCTCTTCGGGAAATTTCAATATATAAAATACATATATTTTTTAATTTTCCAAGACAATAAATTTACTTGGGGCTGACAGAATGACCAGCTGACCTGTTGAATGCCTTTTTCTGACTCCAGTTCTAAGCTCTTTAAAGTCTCTTTTAGCTATCTCTGCTCACTTGTAACCCAGCTAAATTTCCAGTGGCCTTTTCTTTCTTTAGGTCAGGCTGGATTTACCATTCCCCTTCCATTAACCTTTTAGTTCATCTGCTCCTTGTGTCTGTCATCAGCTGTAGGAGATGCTGATTATGTTGGGAGCCTCTGGAAAAGGGGATGAGACAGAGAAGCACCAGAAGATAAGGAGACCAACAAGAAAAAGATTAAAAACCTCTCAGCACTAAGTAGTTAGGGCATAGTACTGTTGCAAACCTCTGCAATTGTTGGCTTTGGATGGGGGAGGATGAATCAGTTTAGATAACTCAGGAATGGGCTTGAACCTTTGCCCAGACCTCAGAATGAACCACCAAAAAAAAACCTCAGAGTTTTCCCAAATTAAGACATTGAGAAAAATATTAAAAGTGAGTTTCCCTTTCTTTCCCATATCTGCATCCCTAGGGAATAGCTGGGACCACAAAGCAATTTATTAATAATAACGAATTAGATTTTCAGTATGAATTCCCCTCTGGCCATTTTGATGTGTCAGAAATACTTTACAAATGTTAAGTACAGCAATTAATCTCCTGAAAAAGGGAGGGAGAAGAGTTTTGCCAGCTGTAGATTTTAGTAATTTCATTTAGTTAAGATTTTGCTATTATTTTCTGCTTTAGTATGTTTTCCTGGAAAGTCAGTCATCAAATATTTATTGATTGCCTACAATTTGCCAAGCATTGTGCTTGGTGCTAGGGATGCAGAGTGAGGCCTGTAAACCATGGTGCTCCTCTCCTGTAGCTTCTAGAGAAGTTCACCAGCTAATTTAATGTGTAAATTTCATTTGCTCAAACATCTAGTCACTGAATATAATGCAGAACTTTTTTTTTCCTCCTTTCATATTTTGTGTTTCATTAGGCAGGATGGGCAATAGGGGAATTATAAAATCCGAATAGTTTTTTTTTTTTTTTTTTTGGCATTTGACTTACTTATGGTCTAATTCTCCTTTAACCTCAGTATCAGAAAGCATCATTACCACTACTATTTCCATGATTAGAATTAGTGTGAGTTAATAAGATGACTCCTTCAACTTTTCATTCTTGTTTGAGTGGGCAAATCAGCATATTGAATGTATCCATCTTGACCTGTCTTCATAGAGCTAAAATAGCTTTGAATGATATCTGGAGGAGCTTGAAACATGTCCAGATCCCAGATGATGGCTTTTGGCAGTTGGCACTTACACCTCTCATTTTCTAGTCCAAATGTGGGATGCAAACAATTCTCTTTTGTTCAGATTAAATCCAGCTACTCATATTCTTCCGGACTCTCCTCAGACACTATTCCTATCACCACCTACCTCATCTCATCGAAAAGGGGAAATGTCTCTATAAACTGCTACCAAATGTGAGGTAGCTTGCATTTCCAGCTCAAGAAGCTATTTTCTGTTATG
The DNA here is from genome assembly GCF_000001405.40 of Homo sapiens. NCBI lineage: Eukaryota > Metazoa > Chordata > Mammalia > Primates > Hominidae > Homo > Homo sapiens. The sequence continues at coordinate 218,734,491 of NC_000001.11, read as the reverse complement.
TTAGTTGTATTCTTGGGAAATTATGCCTTGTGGCATAATTAGAGGGATTTTTAGTGGTGACTAAATCAGTCCCTGACTCTGCGAAGGATATATAGTTCATTCTAGAAAGTTGATTGTGTTTTTCTAAGAAACTTCTACAAGCTCCTAGAATTCTATCATAATTAATATGATGTGTTCCTTGTTTAGATCTTACCTGTAATGCTTGAAAGAGTGGCCAAAAATCCCAAAGATAAAGCTAGTATTTGATTTGATTCAATTTCCTGAGTGTTATTTAGGAAATATTTATTATCTTTATGATCAACTCAATTCCCTAATTTGAGGAGCACCTGCTATGCTTTATTCACTGTGGTAGAGCTCTAGGATAGAGAGATGATTTTAGCTGGGAGTCTAGTGGAAAATAAACGTAAACAAATACATAATAATACAAGATAAATGCAACAATATAAATATTTACTCTTCATAGTAGTGGTACAGAAGGAAGAGTAACTAATTCCATTCAGGGAGAAAAGTAAATCAAAGATCTCAGAAGAGAGAAATTTTAAGGAGGTATGTCGATCTTCTATTGCTGCAGAATAAATTGCCCTGGACTCAATGGCCTAAAGCAATACCCATTTATTATCTCACAGTTCAATATTTCAGAAATCCAGGCATGGCTTAGCTAGATCCTCTGTTCGGGGCTTCACAAAGCTATAGTCAACGTGTTGGCTAGGGCAGCAATCTCATCTGAGGCTTTGTTGGCAGAATTCGGTTCCTTGTGATTATGGGATTGAGACCTTTAGCCACATAATTCTTGCCAAATGGTCCTCTCCTAAACATGGCAGTTTGCTTCTTTAAGACCAGGGGTGAAACGTTTGCTGCTGCTGGTTTGGTGCTGCTGCTTCCATCTCTGACTTTTCAACCTTGATTTCAGGGCTCACCTGATTAGGTCAGGCCAGACCCGGAAAATCTTCATTTCTACTAACTTAAAATCAGCTGAGTAGAGACTTTAATTATATCTGTAAACCCCCCCATTTTGCCATATGAAATAATGTAATCACAGGAGTAATATCCTCTCACAGTCACAGGTCTCACCAGCACTCAGTGGGAGGGGATTATATAAGGGTGTGACTTTTTGGGGTCATTTTGGAATTCTGTTTACCACAAGTAGGTTTTGATAGCTAAATAGGATTTTTCCAACTGGACAATGGGTGGAAACATATAGTAGGCTGATACAGCAGAGGTATATGAACATCATGATTTCTTACTTATATTGATTGCTGCAGGAGCCTCCTGTGTTTAATTTCTCAGTTTCCGATTTCTCTCCCTCCTCTTCTGAAGGTCCCTCTCTGCTGTAACCCTTATCATTACTTCATTCCGTCCTCTACTCTCTTAGCAGAACTAATTTTTGTAGTCGTAGATCTGCCCAAGTGACCCCCTTGCTTAAAACTCTTTGATGATTCCATCTGACCTCAAAATCAAAGTCCAAATTCCCAAGCACGGCATTCATGATCTGGCCTTTCTTACCTTGAGTTCAGTTTTATCCCTGTGGTGGTTAATTTTATACGTCAATTTGGCTTAGCACACTTGGTAAAACATTATTCTGGTGGTTTCTGGGAGGAATGCTTTGGAATGAGATTTACATTTAAATTGGCAGACTAAAGCAGATTACCCTCCATAATGTGAGTGGGTCCCATTCAATCAGTTAAAGTCATCACTAGAACAAAAGATTGACTTCCCTCAAGCAAGAAGGAATTCTGCCAAGAGATGGCCTTCAGACTTCAACTGCAATATTGACTCTTCTCTGGGTCGCCACCTGCCAGCCCGCCTTGCAGATTTTTGGACTTTCCAGCCACTATAACCACATTAGCCAGTTCCTTAAAATAAATATTTTTTTAATATACATCCTATTGTTTCTGTTTTTCTGAAGAACTGTGACTTACACAATTTCTCACTTCCTCCATATTCATCAGCAATCTGAACTCTAAAAAACCTTGCTCTCTCTGGCCTCACTAACTTTGTGTACCCTTCTTTCTCTATCTGGAGTTTATTTCCTTATTCTTTCCTCCCTTTGTCTTCATTGAGTTACCAGGTACTCACCACTCAAGACTCAGCTTAGGTGTCACAATGTGAGAAAACTTTTTCTGACTACCCCATCCAATAATCTTGTATAGAGAAATTATTTATTACACTATACTGTCATCCTCTGTTTACTATAAACTGTAACAGTGAACTCCTTGTAGATAATTACCAAGCAATACTGGTCTTCATTTCCCTGACTATATTAGATATTTTATAAATATGAGATATTTAATAAATGGGTGAATAGATAGATTGATGGCAGACATTTTCGATGTGGCTACAATTATTTCAGAAAAGACTGAGTGCAAAGCATAAGGAAGACTAAGCATCAGAGAATAAATCTGGAAAAGGACTCAGGCACTGGTTGAGGAAGGGAATGGGAGACATGTTCCTTGCTGGAAACATGGACACGGCAGTTATTTCAGGAAAGATGTAAATGATCACATTGGCATTCAGAGCGATTTCTCTGGCTGCAGAATGGATGATCCACGGGGCTGAGAGGCACATTAAAATAAGAGATTATTGGAATAGCCAGGCACAATGGCATACATCTATAGTTCCAACTACTCAGGGGGCTTAGGCGGGAGGATTGCTTGGGCCCAGGAGTTCAAGATCAGCCCGAGCAACATAGCAAGAATCAGTCTTTAAAAAAATGTAATAATAAATAAATAAATTGTTGGAGTAGTCCCAGAGAAAAATAAGAGAGTATGAAATCAAAAGTGGCCATAAGAATAAAGAGAAAGGCCACATGTGGAAAGATTTAGGAGGTGTAAGAGAAAGATCTTTGTGTTATACCGGGTGATACAGGAAAGGGAGAGAAGAGAAATCAAGGATAACTTCTAGGTTTTTTACTTGAAAACTAGATGTACCTTAGTGCCACTAACTAAGGTAGAACAAAGGAGGAAAACAGTATTTGAAAACAAAAATAATGAGTTTAGATTTCTAATGTCATTTGAGGTAAACATCCTCAGATGTTACAGTGGATGTGGCAAATTGGACTTAGCATCCATTTCCAGCCCCCCTTTTTTTGATCAGTTTTTCTATACTTCAGAAAGTATACAACTAGAAGTAACATCATGCATACCCCCTTGTATCTGGATGTTAGCTGTAGATATAGACTAGGCTCCACCAAAAATTTGCAGTGACATAGAATCTGCCATGTACAAGCAAGGCCAACACCATCTTCTTGCTGCTTTGGTTGATTTCTGTGAGTGAGCAAGATCATGGAGTTGTGGGTATAATCTGCAGCAGGGTTTCAGTGTCCAGATCCTAGTTTCATGTCTTTCAAGAGGCCATTTATGTAGCAGCTAATGGTCAATGTTCTAGTATTCAGTCACCAGTTTCATGACTACCAAGAACTAGTTGTGGAAGTGGTAGCCATAACTTCCTGATGCCTAGCTCACAGTTAGTGTTGTTAGATAAACAAATTCAGTAGTTCCGGTGGTGACTTCTTGACTCTCCACTTTCTCAATGATCAAAAAAGCAACAATTTTCCTGTGGAGAATTCTTCCGTGTTCTAGAAGTCATTCCTGGAGGCTCACCTTGGAGCCTATTTTATAATCATTATAAAAATTTTGCAAACTGAATCCCCTATATCAAATTATTTCTGCTTAAAATACCTAAGGCTGTTTCTTTGTTTGTTAGTTTGTTTCCTTTTCTGAAGCCAGACTGATATAAATATATATTTTTAGAGATCAACAGAGAAAAAGATGTCAGGCTTGTTTGGATGATCATTCAGATGGCACTTCAACTCAAGAGGCATCAATTCAATTTGTCTTATGGAGCAGTCAGCCAATTTAGATTGAGGCCATCCAGAATAATAACAACGTCAGCAAAGGGAACCTGCAGTCTTGAATTTCACATTTTTGTAGTGTGAGAGGGGGCATATGAAGATACTGTGACAGTATCATCGTGCTAATAATTTACCAAAAACTTAACTGGAAGGAAAGCCCAAATGATAAGACATTTAATCTCCTCCTATAACAAACTGTTATACCTGTATTTTTAAATTTGATTGCATCAACCAACAAGCTGTAGCTCAGCATTTGAGATATGCATAGCTGCTGGTCATTAGGATCAAAAAAATCTCAGTTTCTTCACTTGTAAAATGAATAGGTTGCAGATGATATTCAAAATTGCTACTGAATCTGACATTCTATGATGGTAGAAAATCTTCAACTTGATGGTCAGTTCCGATGCTACACAGATATTATAGACTAAGTTGCTTTTTTTGTTTTTTCCTTTTTTTAATAAAGAAGTTACGTCTGTGCCAGCAGAATTTGTTACTATGTTCACAGGTCTTTTTCTTTCTTTTATTTTTTGACCTTCCCTGGCACACCTCAGTCAATGTGCTTGTTTTCTGTGTTCAGCATTGGTATAGTGGGAAGTGCCAGGGAAAAAGACAGGCAGAACAATTAAGCCAAAATCTTAACCTTGTAAAATTTGTGACTAACCTTGATTCAGTCACGTTGGGAATTTACAAAAGATGGAAGGAGCTGTTGACCTCATATAACTCCTGCTTTCAGTCCTGCAAAACTCCTAGATGCAAAGAAATAATAAGACCCTAGATATCAGCTTGGAAACTAAAGACGAAGAAAACAATAAAATCAATAAAATACAATCAGTAAAATTTATAATAGCTCATAAAACGTCCTGTCACAGTAGCAGGTGATAGAGCATGCACCAAAACTCCTGTCTTCTAAGTCCAGTGGTCTTTTTACTACATGACTCTTTTACAGCAAAATACTTTTTTCTTAGGTAAAACAAAAGTAAACTTCTGTCACTCTCTGGTCTGAATTTCTAATCAGTGGAGTCCAAGACAGAGATGTTTTACTCTTTGGGGAAAATTATCCTGGAAAGAGCCAGATTCTGTCTAAAGTACCATCAAGAATGTCAGATGTCTTGATGTAGGATTTGGAAAATGGATTTTCCTTAACTCCACCTCACTAAATATGTTCATGTTAACTCACTGCTTCTGCTTGCTGACAGCTGAGGTTCCTATTGCCAAGATCTCTGCAAATGGCCTGGATCTTTGGCTCAAGGATCAATTCAAACGATAGAGCCCCAGGCTATTTTCAAAGACAAATGTGATGGGATATCTTTGATTCACTTTGGGTTGTTTGGGTTCAGCCTAAGGGTGAGGGGATTGTTCAGCTCCCACACTGAATGATCAAGTGGCTGCAGCTCAGTGTCAAGGCTTTCTTGTTTGAGTAGCCCAGGCTTAGTAAGTGGCCTTCAGTCTCATTGGTTACACACAGAGCTGGGCCTGGGAGAGGGGGATCTACATGAGAAGGAAAAGAGACAGGCTGCATATAATTCCCTCTGGGAAAGGAAACAGAGCTCCAGATGCTGGAGAAGTTATCTGTTTCACATAACTTACTGATATTTTAAACTGGGGGTAAATAGATGCAGACTTTAAATTTATCTTATCAAGCTAAGTGAAATCATGTTGCCTGTCAGCTTTCACCTGTTTGAAATTATACAAAGTGAGAAATAAGTACAATTTCAATAAAATAAATAAATAGCCACATGATCAGCTTCCCTTCTTAGGTGTTATGCTAAAAATCAGTCACAGATTGCCCATGTAGGTGTCATGGGAAAGCATTACGGGCATCATTGGATTGTGTTATAAATATTAACTCTAGCTTACTACAAACAACAGGAGAACTCCTCCTTTTTTTTTTTTTTTCCTGTTCTTTGCTCAATGCTTGGGAGGCATATCATAAACCTACCTTAGGCAATAATTCTTTGAAGAATTGAATGGCATAAAGCCTGGTCGTGCTTCCGTGTATGGTTACCAAAATGATGTTAGCTCTACTACAGTGTAAGCACCTGTCGGCTGGGTATCCAATAGACACTTCAAGTTACTACAAATGAACTCAAGGCCTTCTCTCTGAAAACCTGCCCTTCTCCCTCTATTTTTTAAAAAAGTAAATTGACCTTTGTTTGTCATTCATTCCCCACTCAGACTCTTCCACCCACCACGCAGCCAAATCAATGCAATATCCTGAGCCTCTCTAATCTGACACCTTCTCTTCATTGCCCCACATTTAATCTAGCTCAGGTGTTCACTGTTTCTCACCATAATTTTGCAGCCAGCTCCTAACAAGTTTGCCCCCTACTAGACCATTCTCTCTAATTGCTATCACAGAGAGATTTTTACAAATCTATCAATCAGTTCTTTCCTTGCAATCCATCAATGACTTGTCATTAGCCTCTCAATAATAAAGTCCTAACTTTCCAGCTTGGCAGTGGTACATTCCTACCTCCCTCTGTAACTTAATTTAACACCATTCTTTGCCTCAAATACATATTCAATACAGCCATACAGGTATTCTCTTTCTCTCTCCTTGCTCTCGTTCTTTAATTCTTTGAGATAGTCACCTTATTATCTCTTGAGAGAATCTTTCATAATCCACCAAAGCTACATTAGAAAACCTATGTTTTCCCAAAGCATTCTGTTCACTGCTATCACAGTAATGTTTCTTAAAGACTATTGGCAATCTATATTTTTGCCACTTACTCCCACAAGGCTGTAAGCTCCTTGAAGACAGAGGGAAGGTTTTATGTGCATAACTACTTCCAAACCAAAGAATGGGCCTAGTGTTTGGTATGTATTCAATTCAAGTTAGTTCAATGAATAAACGCACCTTAGGACAGTAGCCTGTGCCAGAATTTAAACAAGCAGATGGGCATGCAATAAAATAAGAGAGATAAAGAGATTGCCCATTTTTTGATGACAGGTAATTAGTATAACTTTTAACAATTTCATTTGACTTTTGAGAAGCATATAATTGAACTAATACATTGGTTCTCAAACTGGAGTCTGTGGATCCCTGAAAGTTCCTGAGACCTTTTCACGGACCCTCCAAGCTCAAATTATTTTTTTCATGATAATACAAAGACAGAAGTTCCCAAAACTTCTCAGTTCATGGCACCCTTAGAGTCTCAATACTTTTTCCTCACAGCATTTCTAGGCTAAAGGAAATACTTAGCAGTCTGTTTATTACGTAGTTCGGTCAAAAGAACTCAAGTGTTTATGTCCTAAAAGCTTAACAGCCATTTGAAATAATAATACAAGTAAATCACGTATTTTTACTTTATTCTTAAATAACCACAACTATTTATTAATAGGATGTGTATATCTGTGGGCACAACTTCTCAAGCCTTGGAATCAGATGGAATACTGAAACTCTCATTTACTATTCCACATTGCTTTTTATCATAGAAAGCACTGAAAAGCAAGCTTTCAAAGATATTTTATCATAAACAACATAGAGAAATCTACCTTAAAACTGAACTACCTTGAACTAGTACTTGCACAATGTGCAGCAGATGTTGAGTATTGCTGAGTTTCCCTGGAAATGTTAAAATATCTGGAGGTAACCTGTGAGTTTATTGTGGCACTCCAGAGGACCTAGGTGCACAGTTTGGGAACCACAGTATTAAGATGTTATTTGCCTTCTTCACTGAGTTCAAATTTGCACTGGTGGTGCAAAATCAAGGGTAGGTAAACACCTGGCACCTTAACACAAATCAAGACAGTGGCAGTAAATCATGCTAATAGTTATCTTCTTTACTGCCATGGACTACAGTTTTTAGAAAATCCAATTTTATTTCACAACATCCTTGATGAAGCAGTAAAAATTATTAATTATATTAAATTCCAACACTTGTGCACATGTCTTTTTAGTACTCTGTGTGACAAAATGGGAAGTGTACAGAAGCACTTCTGTAGCACACTGAAGTGCAATGGGAGTCTTCAGGGAAAACACATGTGCTATTCCGTCCTTTGAGTGGAACTAGCCATTTTTTCATAGAACATTTTTGTGTGCAACTCACAAATTATGATCATTCAGGATTTGAGTATTTGGATGATATCGTCTTGAAATTAAACAAAGAGAACCAGTCACTTCAAGGAGAACAACTGACATTATTTGTTGTCTGATAAAATTTGAGCATTCAAGCAAAAATTAGATTTTGAGAAACCTGTATTCACCACTGTAAACTTGGTAGTCATCATGACTCAAAGACTATTCTGAAACTGGGGGTAAAATTAACAAGTATGATTATTTTGATGTATATAATAATTTGTGTCAACATTTGGAAATTCTGCATAATTCAGTGAACCAATATTTTCCAAAGGCTAGTGAATCATATTACAAAATCATGCATGAGTAAAAGATCCATTCAAAGCATAAGATAGAGGGAACAAAGAATAGATGGAACAAATAGAAACAAATAACAAGATGATAGATTTATACCTAATCTTACCAATAATATCAAATATAAATAGTCTAAAAGCCTCAATTAAAAGGAAGAGATTATCCTTTTCTAAACTTGTCTTGGTATCATCTATCTAATTTTTGTCCGTTGATGAGTATAAATAGATTACTCACCGATTTTAGTTTGTATTTTCTAATTAGTAGTAAGATTGAGATGCCTTCCAAATACATGTTAGATGTTGTCTTAGATTAGAATCTCAAGAAAGAGATTCTGACACAGAAATTCACATGAATAACTTTTATTGGGGAGTGCTTTTGGTAAACAAACCTATAAGAAAATAAATAAGATAGCCGGGAACGGTGGCTCACACCTGTAATTCCAGCACTTTGGGAGGCTGAGGCAGGCGGATCACCAGAGGTCAGGAGTTCAAGACCAGCCTGACCAACATGGAGAAACCCCGTCTCTACGAAAAATCCCAAATTAGTAGGGCATGGTGGCACATGCCTGTAATCCCAGCTACTCAGGAGGCTAAGGCAGGAGAATCGCTTGAACCCAGGAGGTGGAGGTTTTGATGAGCCGAGATCGCGCCATTGCACTTCAGCCTGGGCAACAAGAGTGAAACTCCGTCTCAAAAAAAAAAAAAAAGAAAAGAAAAGAAAAAGAAAGAAAGAAAATAAAAGAAATAAGACAGGATTGGGCATAAGAAGCCAACCTTAATACATTGGCAATTGATGCCTCAGCTGATTCTATGGGGAGTTATGAAACTGAGGTAATATTTCACTGTTTTCCTAACTAAATGAAAATGGGTCAGTCCTTTGTATTTCCATACCAGTCAGTTATTGATCACTGGCCACTTGAAGAGGGCATAATCTTGGGCAGCAAAGTTTCCTAAAGCTGAGGGCAATTTCCAACAAGAAAATCAGCTGTGAGCCATCAGTAGACACTATTTGCCTCAGCTAGGGGACGAATGTGTTAGCTGCATAGTTTAGGCACTGAATTAATCTATTTATTTCTTTCTGCACATGCATATAATACAGAAAATAAAACAATTCTATGAAGTAGAATTTCCCTTATGCCGCGCATTTCACCCAGCTAAACATTTTCAATTCCTTTAGCTGGTTATTGTTATATTTATGTTCAGTTATCCAAAAGAGTTCTTCGTGACCTTTTTCATATGGGGAGTACCATTAGGCCCTGCTCTATTTTGACCATTCTCTGCATAGCCCTGTCCTCTAGGAGATAAAAACCAGGACTTTGACTTTGCTCAGCTACCCTATATATTTAGGAAATCAATATCTTGAGGTTTATCTATAATCAATTATTTGTCTTTTGCTCCATTTTTTGTTTGTTTTGTTTTGGAGGGAAAATAGCCTAAGTATTATCTTTCAATTCTTTTATTAAGTATTTTATTTCTGTTATAATGTTTGTAATTTCTATGGACCCTTTTTGTTTTGTTGTTTACGTTGTGTTCTATGTGTGTTATATCATCCTACTGTCTTATGAGAGCAATATTTCATCTCTTTAGCAATTTGATAGTTTATGTGAAGACTTCTTCTCCCTGAATCATCTTAGGACCCCCTAAATTGCTGTTTTATGTTGTTTTTTAACCTCTATATTTAATTTTAGAAATCTTCAAATATCTGTTCGTTGTTAACTTTCTGGTATATTTTGAAATGTCCATAAAAAAGTTGATTGAAACACAAATAGGCTTGTTGATCATGTACTTAATGTAGGTCGATATTTCTGGGATGTTTTGTTATAGAACCCGCAATGAAGTGCTATTAGTGTTTCCTCTTGGGCTAGTCATTTTCACCAGTGAAGATTCTACTTAAAGAATATAATCCTGAATCCTGGCTACCAATTTTGAGATTTAAGTGGAAAAAAAAGCTTGAAATTCTCAACATTTTAAGTGTAGCCTTCGAATTAGTTACTTTTTTTTTTTTTTTTTGAGACAGAGTCTCGCTCTGTCGCCCAGGCTGGAGTGCGGTGGCGCGATCTCAGCTCACTGCAAGCTCCGCGTCCTGGGTTCACGCCATTCTCCTGCCTCAGCCTCCCAAGCAGCTGGGACTACAGGCACCTGCCACCACGCCAGGCTAATTTGTGTGTGTGTGTGTGCTTTTAGTGGAGATGGGGTTTCACTGTGTTAGCCAGGATGGTCTCGATTTCCTGACCTTGTGATCTGCCCGCCTCGGCCTCCCAAAGTGCTGGGATTACAGGCGTGAGCTACCGTGCCCCAGCCTAGTTCCCTTTTTCTTATGCGTGGTATGCTCTCTCTCTACTAGGCTAGTGCTAGTGTCTCTAAATCTATTTTCCCTCTTCAGATCTTCAATCTCTTTCTCTTCTTGGTTGAGGAGAAGCAGTCACTTTATGGCACAAAGGGACAGATGGTCTTGGTGAATCTACCTGTTTTTAAACATAGCCCCACCTTCAATTGACTTTCAGAGGTACCTAATGCCAGTGATTTATGTGTTTTGGGGGTTCTGTTTACTGTAGCTTTCTGTGTCCTTTTTTTGTTCTGGTAGGTTTAGATATTAGACATACACATGCTCCACACACACACACAATCTGCAATAGTACAATCTTTACTGCTAATTTAGTGGGCCTGGGAATACATTCAACATTCATTTTAGACAGAAGTCCTCTAAGCTTTTGTATTGTTTTTTAATTTTAATGCAAATCTAATATATTATGTTTAGGTAACATAGTGTTCATCAAGTTGGACCTTGGAATTTGTTGGTTTCATCTGTGATTAGTACATGGCTATTTTGTTGGTGTTTACATTTAAAAGAATATTTGTCATTCGTTATGTGTAATTTTTTATCTGTCTCTCTTAATAAGCTTATTAATACTATTCAAATTTTTTATATCTTTACTTATTTACTAACCATTTAATTACAAGGTGGTTATATTTAAATCTCCAACTACAATCATTACATTATCTATCTCTCACTATAATTCTATCAGCTGCTACTTTATATATATATTGATGCTACATTGTGGGGTACATATTTGGTTCCTGATAGTTATGACCTCTTATTATTTTGACTTTATGTGCATATATAGTTCGTACTTGTCCTTTGTTATTTTTTCAAGTTAAATTCTATTTTTTTCTGATATTAAAATTATCTGGTTTTCTTTTGATTCATTTTTGCCTAGAGTTTATCTTTCTTTTATTTCTGTTTTTTTCATATCTTTTTGTTTTAAGCACTTGTTTTGTAATCAAAATACTGTAATCCAATGTTATATTATAATTGCAAGGTATTATAATTTAGCTTTGGATTAGTTATTTTCATTGACTTACATGTATTAGAATAGACATCATATTATTTCTGCATTTTTAGTATTTTTTATTTACCACACATTTTATATTATGTTTTCTTCTTTCCTGCCTTCCATTGGAAATACAAATTTCTTTACATGGTCAGAATACTTTATTAAACCTAGTTTCTTTCTTCTTCTGGTTACTATAGATATATTAAAATTCTTACATACTATTATTTTATTTCCTTATTTCTTAATTTTATAAATATTTTTGTCTTCCCCCTAAAGAAGACAAGTACCTTAGAATAATATATCACATTCCCTCAATTCCCTTCACCTTGCATTTTAGTTTCAAATTATTGTAGCCAGCATTAAATTTTACTAATTTTACTCATATTTTTTTCTTATGGTGTCATTCTATATTTATTTCTCTTTTTGTCAGATTACTTTCTTCATAATATTTTCAAAGAGAATCTTTTTGCAGTAAACTCTCTGGAATTTATAGGTGTTTCAGTAGCTCTTTATTTCATGCCTGTATTAAAACATTGATTAGCTATGTATAAAATTATAGCTTTAGAATTCTTTTTTTAATACTTTGAAATATAATTTATTATTTTCTTACATCAAGAGTTATAAGAAAAATCTATACATCAGTAAGAGAAGTTCGATGTTGATCTGATCTTGTTCCTTTGTAATCTCATTTTCATTAAGTCAAATTTTTTTAATTTTGTATTTAATGGTGTTAAGTTTCATTATGTAGTTATTGGCTTTACCTTATCCACCTTTTTTGCCCTCTTTTCAATCTTAAATCTTTTATTCTGGGAGCTTCTTAGAATATTTTTTTTTCTGCTAGTTTTCCTTTTTTTGGACTACTATACAGATGATAATAACTGTTTCAACTCTTCATAGCTGTTGAATTTGGTTTTATAATCTGTACCTCTTCCTGATATATTGTGGATAAATTTCTCAATCTACTTTCTAGAATACAAATTTTTTTCTTCAGCCACATCTCTAACATGCTATTTAATTTAGCTATTAAACTCTTTATTTCAACTCTGTTTTTTCTTATCCAGGATTTTCAAATAGTTCTTTTTTTAAAAAAAAATTCTTTTTGCCTTTATTTCAAATAGCTATGTGGTTTCATATCTCTTTGAAAATACATATTATGTTTGGATTAAATTGGTTTTCTGTCTAATACTTTTATTCTGATCCTCTACTATAAATTGTTCAAAGTATTACCTTTCTTTTATAGCAGGTAACTCATAAAATTTCTTGTTATTCATTGTAACCTCATATTTCTCTGGAGGCATTATTACATTGGTTAATGAGGTGTCCAATGAGAGAAGTTAAACTCCAGGTCCTAACTTTTGACGTCACACAGACTTAATGGGTGTGGGGAAATATGCCTTAGAGGCTGGATGTGGTGGCTTGGCTGAGCGTGGTGGCTCATACCTATAATCCCAGCACGTTGGGAGGCCGGAGTGGGCAGATTACTTGAGGTCAGGAGTTCGAGATTAGCCTGGCCAATATGGTGAAATGCCGTTTCTACTAAAAATACAAAAATTAGCTGGGCATGGTGGCAAGCATCTGTAATCCCAACTACTCAAGAGGCTGAGACAGGAGAATCGCTTGAACCCAGGAGGCAGAGGTTGTGGTGAGCCGAGATTGTGCCATTGGACTTTAGCCTGGGCAGCAGAGTGAGACTCCATCTCAATATATATATATATACGTATATATATATATACGTATATATATATATATATATATACGTGTATATATATATACGTATATATATATATATATATACGTATATATATATATATATATACACACACATATATCCCAACTACTCAAGAGGCTGAGACAGGAGAATCGCTTGAACCCGGGAGGCCGAGGTTGCAGTGAGCTGAGATCATGCCATTGGACTTTAGCCTGGGCAGCAGAGTGAGACTCCATCTCAATATATATATATATATATATATATATATATATATATATATACACACACACACATACACACACACACACACACACACATATATACACACATATATATATACACATATATACACATATATATACATATATATACATATATATACATATATGTATATATTTCCATCTCAAAAAATATATAAATATATATATATGCATTACAATGGAGAATATTGGTATTTAATCTAGGCCCACTTACCACCCTCCTAACCAGTTAATCCTGTCCCTCAGTAAAACTTCCTGTTCCATCATCCTTAGCCTGTTCTTATCTAAGAGTTGTTTTCCTCAATTGTCATAACTGAATTCATGCAACAAGGGAGGAGGGAAGAAGAAATCTTCTAGCTCATCTGCAGTTCTTTGCTTCCCACTTCATGCACCTCTAGATGCACTGGAATGCCACCTTTCAACCTGGCAGACCTGGTAAGAAGCTGCTCAATTTTTGCTTTGCAGAAATGTTGAAATGAGCAGTGATCCTGTCAGGGCAATGTTGTGGTGAGAGAAGAGCAGATAGAAAGGCTTTTTCTCAACCCAATCCCTATTGTACATAACCCTCATCTTCTCTGAACTGCTGCTCTCAGCTCTATCAGATTTCATTTATCTTCTCTTTCCAGGGGTTTCTCAAAGTTGCAGCATTATTTTCTCAGACTGGTCAATCTCACCCTCTTCTTACACTTGTGTTATATTCAGAGTTGAATTTAGGAGAGGAAGACAGAGTCTTACGTTATTTTGACATCTTGGCAGAAATGGGAAGTCTCCATAACACTTAAATAAGAATATCTTAGAAATCTCAGAGATCAGAGCTGCTCATTGTAATCACGAGAATTAAGAGTATCAAGTCTTTAAGGAAAACTAATCCTTTTATTTGTGATTGAAATGTCTTAGAAGTTAAGTGGCAAATTTTAGTTGAATGAATGAAAGAATGCACTGTGTGTTCTTTTGCACTAGAATATGTATGGTGGTGGAGAGGGTGGTATAAATGATCATGCTTTTCTGCTTTCATGTGTTTAGGGATATATGACTGGTCACTTCCATGTGTGACTACAAGAGATGTTGAGGAAATCACCCTAAGCCTTGCTTTGAAAATATTCAACTACAATAAAAAGTCATCTAACATTCTAATTTTTCATGAACATAAAAGAACAAAAAGAGAAAGTACATTCTCTTGTAACATGGAGAATGTTACATAGAGAAATTACTATCTACTCATTTAATGATCATGTATTAAGTCACATGCTAACACTATACCAGACAGTAGGATCACAAACATAAGTAAGCTATAGTGAATTCATAACCTAATATGAATCTATAATTTAAATACCATCCATACAATAATAAAGATACACACAGAAGGTCACTGGAGCCAATTGAAGGGAATCCCCAATTCCAACTACTGAAGTCAAAGAGTGGCTGAAAAGATCTCTGGGAAGAGTCATGGAGTCAGGTAAAACTCAGGGTATGTGGGGGATGATAAGTCACATGACGTGGCCAGAGTGCAGTGGCACAGAGACCAGGAGGATGGATGACAGGAACTTCTTAGGAAGCTGGAGACATAGATGGAGTCATAGGACAAACAAAGTTAGGTGCCATCACAAGGAATTTATATAAAACCTCTAGCCTAAGTTATAGAAAGTCTTAACATTTTTATAAGATAACTTTTTTCAGATGACCTAAATACGCTGGATTGTTTTTGTGTTGCATTGAGGTCAATCTCTTTGAAAGCCTGTGAAAAATGCTGAAGCTTTTGGCTTATTCAAATAATCAGCATCCTTAAGAAGTTAACATAATAGGGTGATATAAACATACACTATGCAGTCAGACGTAGAAGCTTGGCTGATTCATCTATTCAACAAGCTATGTGACCTTGGGCGTATGGTTTAAACCCTCTGAATATGAGTTATGAAGTGGTATCTTATTTCACGTGATCTTTAGGTGGTTTAAATGAGGTAGCCCAGTAGATGTGCAATAAATGTAAAATTTTGAAGAGAGGACCATTTAGTATATGGCTTATGTTATAAAACAATAGTTTAAAATGAAAAGGTTGATTATTCAACAAAATTATTTCTTTATTATCATATGGAGGCAACTTATATCACATATTTTTAGAAATGAGTTTGACACATTGTAGATGTTCAGTAAATCCTTGTAGAATTAATGAATATACATATTTTTTATAACTACCAGGTTGTTCTGGACTAGAAGGTCAGTATGATGCTGCCCAGTTAAATAATATAACTTATACAATTATATTTAAAAGTATTTTCAAGACAGTTGTGCTTCATTTTAATCTCTACAATATGTTTGTTTTGTTGTTGTTGTTGTTTCCAGAGGACATAATGTCTTACTTTTTTGTATAACTGAGGCTGAAAGATAGAGTTTGAATTTAAATCAAGGTTTCCCTGTACCCAAGTGTATGCCCTTGCCAATAGTCTCTCACAGTGCTTCTTCCTTTTCAATGTCTCAGGCCAAAGGGCCTTTTTGTGGAAACTTATTAGAATTCTTTTTTGTGGTTAAGTGATCTAGCAATGAAAGCTGTGTTGTCCTGGTTTCCTAAATCTCTGGGAGAGGAGTTATTCTGCGTGCAAAATGCATGCAGCTGTCAGAGCAATGGACTCTGGAATAGGCCAACAATCTTACAGTTAAAGACCAGATGTGATTGAAAGTGTCGACAAAAAGCGGAGTCACAGGGTCAAGTGCTGATTTTTCAGATCAATTTTTAAACCATCTCTGCTGATTAGGGCAATGGCAGGATCCATATATATTGTGGGGGAACAGAAGCTAACACAATTCATCTCAGCTTAGAAAAATTGTCTGTGAGGTATTCTTGATTCATCCCTTTTTTTTCCCTGCACATTTTAAAACATTTTGGAGGGGAACTGTGGGAATCATCTTCCCCAGAACACTGGCAGATCTTTTTTAATTCCATTAATGGAAGCTTGGTGCCAGTTCAAAATGCTTTGTTAAATATTATCCTAACTGGTGCCCCTGTTTCCAGCATTCCATTGGCAGAGTTTAGAACCCAGATCTCTATACAAACGTGTTAAAAGGTAGGAGTCATTTTTTCTTTCATCTGACTGTTATCTGGGAATTTCTGAACTCACAGTAGTTGTTGAATGGTACTGTCCTGCATGAAAGAATACAGGGAGGGAAGTTCCAGTTTGTTTTTTTTTGAGAGTCACAGGAAAGAGCTGTGGTTCTGGATAATTTCCCATGCTCATTCTTTTCAAAATGAGGAATCCTGAAACTCAGCTATAGTATAAAATTACTCAAATTCCAGTTTTCTTTCCAGAAAACAGACAAAGCAGAATATATTTTGCATTGATAAGTAGGCAAAAACAATTGTTTCTTCCCAATCTTGAATTTACATTGGTGTCTATGTACTATCCAATAATCTCACACGGCTTTCATCTCAATTGTGTGCACTTGGACAGAATGATACAAAAAGCTGGATTCACTAGTCCTTGGAAAGCTGAACGAGACCAGAATGATTCTCAAGAGGAAAAATCAAGCACACTAAAGGTGAATTCCTTCTATTTCTTTTATGAAAGAAAGGTTTCACAGGGGAAAAAAAATTGTATCTAGGCCATTCTTCCGTTTAAGGCCACCACCGGCTTTATTCATTTGGATAAAGATGCAAAGTAATTGTTAAAACTGAAATTTTAGAAAATTACACCTATTCTTCAGCATTTGTCTAACCAATTTCCTGAGGATGTATTTTCATATGATCTTGTCCTTTGTAAGCAAATGGGAATACATAATGAATGATTAGCAGTTCTAATCTTACACTGGGTTCCTTGTATCAATGCCACTGGCCATGAAAAGCCTGAGCTATTGAATGTGTAATGTTAATATGCAAGGTAAGGGAGACTCACACTTCACCTGACATGAAGGCTCCACCTTTATTTGAGAAAATATTCCTTACTTGGTAGCATGGCATACCTCCCTTTCAAGTAGCACAAACAATATTTAGACAGGCATTTTAACGCAGAGAACACAGTATCAACAAACAAGGGATCTGGGGTATACAAAACAAAACTGAGAGTTTCTCAATATTCCTTTCTTACATTTTAATCAAACGACTACATATATTTAGGTCTAATAGAAGATGGTAAATATAATGCTATTGGGATGAATGGGGATCCATGGTGATCACAGAGCCAGCACCCCAGCCTGAGGATGTCAGGACTACTTAACATAGAAGACTCATATAAGCTAGATCCTACATGATGAATAGCAGTTTTTCCAGCAGAGAAGAAAAGGAAAGTGTGGTGGACAGAATTTGAAGATGACTGCAATGACCTTGACTTTGTATAATTCCCTCCAATTGACAGTGCATGAAATCTGTGGATGTAATGAGATATTACTCCTGTGATTGCACTGTATCTATGGCAAAAGAAATTTTGCAGATGTAAGTAAGGTCTCTAATCAGTTGAGTTAATAAAAAGGTGGATATCTGGGTGGGCCTTATCTAATCAGTTGAACATTTAAAAGGGTCTGAGCCCTTCCTGAAGTCACAGAGATTGAAAGTGTGAGATGGTCTATGGTGGGGACCATGTGGCAAGGACCTGAAAGTAGCCTCTGAGAGCTGAGTGCAGATCCCAGACAATAGCTAGCAGTATCATGGGAACTTGGGTCCTACAGCTACAACAAGGGCACTAATTCTGCTGAGCATCTGAAACTGCTTGGAAACAGATCTTTCCTTATTCAAGGCTCCAGCTGACTCTGACAACTTGACTTCAGCCTTATGGAATACCAATCAGGGAACTCAGCTCTGCCTGGCCTGGACTTCTAGCCTACGTAAGAAAATAAATGGATGTTTTAGTCACTTAGCCATTGAGTGTTTTTTTAAGACACTACAGCAATAGAAAACTAAAACCAAAGAGAATCCTACAGAGAAATAATAGCATGGGCTATCTTGTAGGTGAGAAGGTACATGAGGAATGTGGTGGTGAGAGGTGAAGCCAGCTGGGCTTCTGGGTCGGGCGGGGACTTGGAGAACTTTTCTGTCTAGCTAGAGGATTGTAAATGCACCAGTCAGCACTCTGTGTCCAGCTAAAGGATTGTAAACGCACCAATCAGCACTCTGTAAAATGGATCAATCAGCACTCTGTAAAATGGACCAATCGGCAGGATGTGGGTGGGGCCAAATAAGGGAATAAAAGCAGGCCACCCGAGCCAGCAGCAACAACTGGCTCGGGTCCCCTTCCACGTTGTGGAAGCTTTGTTCTTTTGCTCTTTGCAATAAATCTTGCTGCTGCTCACTCTTTGGGTCCATGCCGCCTTTATGAGCTATAACACTCACTGCAAAGGTCTGCAGCTTCACTCCTGAAGTCAGCGAGACCACGAACCCACCAGAAGGAAGAAGCTCTGGACACATCCGAACATCAGAAGGAACAAACTCTGGACACACCATCTTTAAGAACTGCAACACTCACCACGAGGGGCTGCAGCTTCATTCTTGAAGTCAGCGAGACCAAGAACCCACCGGAAGGAACCAATTCCAGACACAGTAGGATGGCCAATGTCCCTTGCCACCAGTCAGACATCTCATGTTGAGGAATGACAGGAGATGAGATGAAAATTCAAGTTAGAGCTACTGTGTGAAAGGCCTGTAAGAAGGAGCATGACCGGCCAGGCGCGGTGGCTCATGCCTGTAATCCCAACACTTTGGGAGGCCGAGGCGGGTGGATCATGAGGTCAGGAGATTGAGACCATCCTGGCTAACATGGTGAAACTCCATCTCTACTAAAAAATACAAAAAAATTAGCGGGGCGTGGTGGCGGGTCCCTGTAGTCCCAGCTACTCTGGAGGCTGAGGCAGGAGAATAGCGTGAACCCAGGAGGCGGAGCGTGCAGTGAGCCAAGATCGCACCACTGCACTCCAGCCTGGGCGACAGAGCGAGACTTCTTCTCAAAAAGAAGGAGCATGATCAGATTTTAATCAAAGAAGGAAAATAATTAGATCTACATTTAGAAAAATAAGTGGTAGAAAAATAATTGAATTGGAGGAAGATAATTTGGAATACAGGCAGACCAATAAGAAAGCTATGGTAATAAGGCAGGAAGTGCTGAAGGCTTAAGGTCAGGCAGAGCTATAAAAATGAGAAAGAAAGGGTGCCTTCAAGGGGCATTTTAGTGACCAACCTGACTTTTTGTTTTCAACGTTATTTTAAATTCCTCTGAAAAACATAATAGAGCTGTGTTTCTTCTAGCTGGCGATGAAACCTCAAGGAATCATCTGCTGATAGAAACAATTCATCATAAACTGAGAAAACATCAAGTTGCTCAAATGAAAACAAGTAGGTATAAGCAAAATTACATAAGCTATATATGTATGTATATATATGTATATGTGTGTATATGTGTGTATATATATGTATATGTGTGTGTGTGTGTGTGTGTGTGTATATATATATATATATATATATAGAGAGAGAGAGAGAGAGAGAGAGAGAGAGAGAGAGAGAGACTCACTCTGTCCCCCAGCATGGAGTGCAGTGGTATGATCTCAGCTCAGTGCAACCCCTGCCTCCTGGGTTCAAGCAATTCTCCTGCCTCAGCCTTCCGAGTAGCTGAGACTACAGGCACACACCACCACACCCGGCTAATTTTTTTGTATTTTTAGTAGGGATGGGGTTTTGCCATGTTGGCCAGGCTGATCTCAAACTCCTAACCTCAAGTGATCTGCCTGCCTCAGTCTCCCAAAGTGCTAAGATTACAGGCGTGAGCCACCACACCTGGACAAGCCATATTTTTACTTAATTCTTTTTCATTGTATATAAGTTCTGTGTTCATAGCATAGTGATTTGGTTGATCCAGGGCACTAATTTAAGATAAAGTCAATAAACTATACATGGAATGGATATACATGTTTTATCTTGTCTAGCCTCCTGCTTTTAGACAGGCAAAATATTATTATTTGCATGAAGTAATTGAGGTTAAGGAGGCCAACTAACCTGTCACCAGGCCATCAGCAGACGGGAGAGGGTGACTAGAGGTTCATTTTGCGGACTCCTCCTTTTTTCCATTACACCATCAACAGCAGGCCAGGCAGGTGATAGCATTGAAGAATCTGGGAGACATGTTAGCTCCAAGGACAGGGTCAGAGGAGAAATTATGTGGATGGAAATTTCCAAGATGAGTCTGGGAATAATGCGAGCAATAATAAGCATTTTCATTCTTAACTCTCTGCTATATTTAAATTGAGTATATAGAGTCTACTGTATATTTTTGATTAAACAAGAAAACATCTCACCTTTTAATATAGAATCATTTGCCAGCTTTTGTTCAATTCTAACAGCTTTACAAAACGGACTCAGATTCAAAATTAAATAACTATGTTCAGTTTTTTTTCTTTTTTAATTAACTCAGGGTTGAGATTTAATTGTGCCCAGGGCTTTAACAACACTGCTGTGCTTATTGGCATAATCCCTAGAATCCAGATGTTGCATATACACACCATGATAACTCTTACTGTTATGACTTCATGTAGCGTTTTCCTTTCTTGTACCTAATCTTTTAAAAAGCCAAGCCTCGTTATTTTAGGTCCTTACCTAGACGAAACATTTGCTTTTGCACTTAAGTGCTGTCAGAAACACTATGGTTGGAACACAGCAGGGTAACCAATGTTACGGGGCTCCTTCCAGGCTTCCTTTGAAGTCACTAGGAGCAAGGTGCAAAGAAGGGACACTCTCTATGTGGAAGGGAGTGATAAGGATCAACATCCTAAACTAGGGTGAAAATATGTTCACTTCCGAAAATAATATGTCTTTGGTTTCCATTTATATTCAATGTTTGTAAGGATCCTGGACAAATTGCACAGGAGCTGTGCTTTGGTTCCCTGATGAATTGAGCATTTGTTGCCTTGGAAAAAGAATCCATCCTGTGGGGGTGTCAGTGGCTGCTGAATGAAGACCAGAAAGGATGAAGAATTGCAGATCAAGCCCTGGCCCCAGTTGGATGTGATTTCAGCGACGTGTGGTATTATTTTTCCTTTTTGTTTAATGGCCTCGTGCTTTTCTTCCCTGTTAGGATGTGGGGTAGAGCACATTCAACCCAGGCCTGCGCTCTTAGGATGCCTGAGAAGGGCACAGCAGGCTCCCTACTCTAGATGTGTGGCATTTTCCTGGGGCTCCCCAACAGCCGGTTGTGTTGTTTGTGGTTTTTCCAGGTGTTGCTAAGAAATTTCTCATTGAAACTCTCTAGAAACTTTAGAAAGGCCTTTTTTTTTTTTTTTTTTTTTTTTGGTGGATAATGCTATTCCTGGGGATGACTACAGGATTTATAACAGGAATCAACGTTTTGACCAGGTTCCAATATGAAGCAACGCAATCAGCTATAATCTGGCCTAACCCTAACAGAATATTACATCACCATTAACTTGGGAATTTTGTTTTTACATGTTTGGGCTTAATCATATTTAACCCCATCGATTTGGCCACACATGGGAAAAGCTCCCATTCACTTCCCTGCAAGTGCAGTCTGCGAAAGGAGCTGTGTTCAGTGTCCGCGTTGCCTTTGAGTCCACGTGCCTTTAAGGCAATTACAACATCTTTCCCCAATTCTGACCTTAGCACTGAGACAGTTCTGCCAAGATCCCACAAGCTACAGTACCCTGGGCTTGTTGCTGAGATCCTGTAAAGTCATTCCCCTGGCACAGCTACAGAAAGACCCACACAGCCACACCCAGGACACAGCAGGCCCAGAGTGCTCATCTCTGCCCATTGTCCCAAGCCATCAAAAGAGAACACATGAAATCTAGAATCCTCAAAGAGAAGAATAGGGGAGGAGAACCATGGCACAAATGGGCAATGTTCCGTTCATCCATTAATGTCCCACATTGCATCATCTTTTGGAAGCCTTATTCACTCCTCCCTCACGCCCACCCTCTGTTTGTTGACATATAGTTTTATGATTTCCTGTGTCACAGAACTTACCACACTTCATTGTGCTTACATATCTTTCTCCTCCACTGGACTTTAATCTTCTTGAAGACAGTGATTGTCCTGATTTATCTAATCAAGCCACATTAATTGAGTGCCTGCTGTATACCAGAAATTTTTCTAGGTGTTGGAGACCCAGTTGTGAATAAGGCAGGCAGGGTATCCACTCTAGAAGAACTCAATTCTGCTGAGGGAGACAAATATATAGGCATTTTTTTCTAAATACTTTTTGTATTCCCAGATTATAACACAATGCTGATCATATAGTCAGAGTATAAATATATATATTAATTTTTTAATAAGTGAATGAACATATAACACAAGATGTTTACAAGATAAGATGCCTTTTAAGTATGGACTAAGTACTTTCAATTTTTTCTGCAATACTATATGGAAGTATTAGCCTCTTCGCACCTGTCTGCAGGCTACTGGAAGACCCACTAAACTGGTTCATAGAAGCGTCACAAGGTTTAGGACAATCCACAGGGATGGCTGTGGTGCTTGCCTTTCACCCTGCCCAGTAGGCATATCTGAGAGGGTTGTATGGTCCTATGACCAGGCTGAAGCAAGTGACCTATGAGTGGCACCATGGATGACATGGGAATGACAAAGCCCACAAGGAAGCCCCTGCTGTCACTCTTTCACCTTGCTGGGTTTCTAACTTTCGAGATCTGAGTCCCAACAGAATGTTCCCATATTCTGTATGCCAGTCCACCTAACAGAACTTGAGGTTCTGCATTGATTGAGTCCTTTCATTAGGAGTGATTCATCTTACAATCTTTCAGAATCCACATGCCATCACTTCCTGTTGTAGTGGATATCTATGTGCTGCCAGTGTCTTCTTTTGAAATCTGCCTCTTGCTTTCTCTAAGTGACCCAGGTGGGGCTGTTAATAGCCATATGGCTTCCTTGTCACAGGTTTGGTGGGTGTGGAGGAGATGCTGACTTAAGAAGTCTTTTTCAGGAACTGTTATGGATTCTGGAAGAGTGACTGTGCTTTTCCCTCTGAAGCCATGATCTCTAGGGAGATGTAAACAGTACTTATAACGCAATCAAATGAAATTATTTTTGTTTTCCATTATCCCTTCAAAATTTTATCTGACCTAGATAAAACTTTTTGTTGGCCAATTTTCGGATTATACATTGGTCCTAGAGTTACTTGAAGTCACCAATACAGTCCCAATTTAGAAATTACAATGCTGAGTCCAAAATGTTAATGACAACTTTAAACTTGATTTAAAGTAAAATATTCTCCTATTCCCCAACTTAGGCCTGCTTCCGGCTGGGAGGCGGCAGGGAATAGGGGTGGGGAGGAATGACATGGTTGACTTTTTTTTTTTGCATTTCTCTACCATATTTCTCTATTTTCCTAACGGCTCAATCCCCAAGCTTGTTAAGTAGTTTCTGATCCCTTTGAGATCAGAGTGATGGGTGGAGAAGAAGGGATGCTAACAAGTGAGAAAGACCTCTACTTAAAATGATTCTAAACTAAGCTGTCTTCATGCTATCTGGGTACCTCTCGCAGGTACTTTCAAAGTACCTTCGAATATTCCCAATATTGGAAAGCTATTTTCTGTCATTCCTCTGACTCATTTTGATGAATTTCTTGTGAGTCCCTCTGCAGACCCTAAGAACGTGCCATTCACCTCCAGTTTCTTGCTGTTGGGGTTACCCCCACCCTTCTTTGTGACCTTCTTGGGAAAGACCCAGGTTGAGCCCACACTGGCTCTTCTCTTACCTGGCCTTCCTCTAGGCCTTAGGAACACTGACACATCTCTTACGTCAGCAAACTCTGTGAGGGTCGGCCAATCTTAGTGCAGCTCCTCTACCCTGCTGTCATGGTGTCTGTAGCTTGGTCAGCTGTGACTTGCATATCAGTTGTCTATGTCTCTCAATTTAGAGAGCTCTCAGAGATGAATTCTCACTGGGCTTGAAATGAAAGAGGTATCTCATATGAAGAGGTGACAACATGAAGAAGAGTTACTGCCACACACACACACATGTGCACACACACACACACCCCCAACCTCTTTAAAAAAATCCTTCCCCTCTTCACAGTCACAACTTCTCCATAACCCCATCCTTTTAAAAACCTTCACCTGTCAGGAGAATCCAAGAGTGGTTAGAACTGGCTCTCTGTCCTTTACTTTGTAAATTCTGCATGGCATAATCTGGCACTGGAATCCACCTTTAATTTACCTTGGTGGCTCACTGGAAACAGCTTGAAAATTTTACAGATAATATATGGCCTAGAGAGGTCAAGGATCCTATGGAGAGATCCTATTTGAGAAGACAGACCAAACAGTTCAGAGACAGAAACAAAGACTTGCCTCTATCTGACATCTTCTGGGGCCCTAGATCTAGCACTTACTTGGAACTGTAAGTGCCTCTATGACCTCTCATATAATAACCCTATTTAGCCTCTGTTGATTTGCATTAGGTTTCTATTACTTTTGACTGGAAGGAATCCTTCTTAATGCCCCCATTCTTTTCCACATAGCCTATGAGCCAGGTCAACCAGACCCATCTCTGACTTCTGAATTTACCCCATGCTTTCCTCTCTCCACTTTTTTGTTTCAATATTTCCTTTTCAGGGAATACTCACTCCCTTCACTCCACTGCATATAGCCCCTTATGCAGCAGAGAGGAATAATTACTACTTTCATGCTTGTACATGAGTGGGGAACTCATGTGCACACACCAAGCAAAATAATGGGTAGATGACTGCCTTTGCCTTATAGGAACAGGGAATGCTTATCTCAGTGGTAGTTGGTTCTTTGTATAGCAAAAGAGCTTACCAGGCTGTTCTGTTAAAAGTTGAGGCCACTAGCCAGGCGTGGTGGCTCACACCTGTAATCCCAGCACTTTGGGAGGCTGAGGCAGGTGGATCACCTGAGGTCAGGAGTTCGAGACCAGCCTGGCCAAAATGGCGAAACCCTGTCTCTATGAGAAATACAAAATTAGCAGGGTGTGGTGGCGCACACCTGTAATCTCAGCTACTTGGGAGACTGAAGCAGGAGGATCGCTTGAACCTGGGAGGCGGAGGTTGCAGTGAACCGAGATTGTGCCACTGAACTCCAGCCTGGGTGACAAAGAGAGACTCCATCTCAAAAAAAAAAAAAAAAAATTGAGGCCACTGAGTCTGGTCTGGGAGGAGAGTATTAAAAACATGAGAAACCAAATTGTTTTGCATTTAAAATGGGATAGAAATCTAGGAGTTAGCTGCTGAGAAGTAGAGAAAAAAATTGAGTCCAAAGGAAGAAGTTTCTGAAAGACAAGTGAAAGATGTAGCAGGAACTCCTAGTTCTTCACCAACATTTATTCTCACCTTCTTTTGTAGTAAAGGAAATTGGGATAAACGAGTGGCCACCTGTGTTGGTACTACATTTCCCAGACTCCTTGAGGTTAGTTTGGTCTTATGACTGAATTCTCACCCAGGGAATGTGAGCAAAAGTAGGGTGTGCCGCTCCTGAGCCAGAGCCATAGACAGTAGGCAATATCTTCCCCTTTCATACTGGATGTAACCACTGGGGTGTGCCAGCCTTGGCCATGTAAACAATACAAGACACAGAGACCAGCAAAGCAACAACTCACTAACAGCCAGGTCCCTGAATGATTATATGGAGCAGAACCAAAGGCTAGCCTGGAAACCTTAATTCAGACTGCTATGTGAAAAAGAAAGTTTTTTAGTTCTTCGAGTCATAACATCAGGAGACATTTTACTTTTTATTACATCAGCCTTCTCTAACTCTAGCTGTGGCCCCAGATTAATGACAAGTGGCATCCTAAATAGAAAGGCTAGTAAGATATCTCCTGTGGCTGAGAAGACCACAGAAATTGGATGAGGAATATATTTAGTAGCCCATTCTCACACTGATATAAGGAAATACCTGAAACTGGGTAATTTATAAAGAAAAGAGGTTTAATTGGCTCCTGGTTCTGCTGGTTGCACAGGCTTCTGCTTCTGGGAGGCTGCGGGAAACTTATAATCATGGCAGAAGGCTAAGGGGACGTAAGCACGTCTTTGTATGGCCAGCAGCAGATAAGAGGTAAGGGGGAGGTGCTATACACTATTAAAGAAGCAGATCTCGGAGAACTCTATCACAAGAACAGCAAGGGAGAAGTCCACCCCCATGATTCAGTCACTTCTCACCAGGCCCCTCATTCAACACTGGGAATTAAAATTCGACATGAGATACCATGTCAATATATGGTATAAAATCTAAGATGTTGCCACTTCTGTGCCATGTTGCAACTCTTCTTGGTGGCCTTAAAATCTGAATGTTGAACAGCTTTATATCAGTGGTATCTTGAGAAACTGAGAACCACATTGATGTAGGGCTGGAAAAAAATTGCTTGAGAAGATGAGACACAGAAGAGACTGAGAAGTCAGTGGAAGCGAGACATTATAGGTAATGGTGATCAAAGGACACATAGACCCTTAAAGACCTCTGAGGTATGCTGAGGAAGGGTACTAGACCTTGTACTATATGCAAGATGGGGATTCAAGACAGTTTTCTCAATTCTTGAAAAATAGCCTCAGAATGTTGGGAGATGAGATCAGACAGATGACAGACACTTAAATTACATCCTTCCCTGTCATTTAAATCCTCCTTGCATTTCAGCCTTCAATTCAAATGTCACTTCCTTCATAAAGTGGCACAAAATGTGGCATCTGGACTCTTGGATCAGCATGAAAGGGGATACTTTGGGGGTTTTCTACCAAGTTCCATGGACAGGATGCCTGGTCTGTAATGGGTAGCCCTACACGGCAAATATGGCATTCAGCTTTGCATCATTATAAATTAAAAATGCAATTTATGAAACGAGTCTTTTGCTAAGGATAGGTTGGTTTATGAAGTACCATCATGGCCTATCATCAGAAGGTCTCAAAATGGCCATGCCTTTATCTTATTATTTTCTTTCAGTATAAATTTGAACTTTCATTGTACCAATGGGTATAATAAATACCTCCCATCTGAGGGTGTACTAGCCTAAATCAGTGTCAGAAAGATGACCTCAAATTCCTAGAGCCTCTACCATAGATGTGAAATTCTAAATACAAAGTTTCTGGGTTTTTTTCCCCCCCTTTCAGGAAAGAACTCCCATTTCACTTTCCTCAGCAGTGGAATAAGTGGCTCAAAACAGCAACTACTGATGAAAACTCAATTTCCAAATACATTCCATGGCTTATTTGTGGACGGAAATGTTCTTTACCTTTTGAACTTTCAGATAGCTGGCAAAAGTAAATGCGCAAGCCTTTTTTTGTTGTTGTTAATTAAACAGGAAAAAATATCACACCCTGGCTTGGCTAGTAACCAAAGTCAGGGGTTTCTGAAGAATCACTTCACAGATGGGAGGCTGGATGACAGATACAAAGACCAGGCATGGTGCTCATAAAGGTGACACTCTTGGTATCTTCCTAGAAACCAGCAGAAGCCAGAGCTTCTGGAAGGGAGTGATGAGGAGGAGTGTAAACGATTCATTTACTCTGTGTATCATAACCTTGCACCTTATTGACTATAAATCAGAATCGTTTGAAAAATCACCACATCCCTTTTCTGTCTGGGCCTGTGAAATTGCTTCCTTTAATCCAGCAGAGAGATGCCTGTGGTTTCAGAGCTCTGGGATGTTCCATTCCATGTGCCACATGCATGTGGTTAGTTAATGACCTGGGTGTCTACTGAGGTTTGTGACCACGGATTGTTGCAAAGCTCTACCTGACTCCATTCTTCTCCTGGAGAAGATGAGAACATTCTTACCATATTAGTCATGCCAAGCCTCCACTTTTTTTGAATACACAGGAAATGTTTCTCTCCAACAGCACATAATTTGGCCAATAGCAGCTTCCTAGGTTCGGAGCAACTTCACCACCTATCATGAGTTCTCCAAGATAAAGTTTGTAGTAACAGTTTTAGCGGTGGAAATGTCACCAAGTTGCATAAACTCAAGACATGCTTTGGCATTCAGTCACTCTGCAAATATTTATTGAACAGAGTTCACTGGGGTCAATAGGATGAAGTGGATAGCAGTTATTTCTCCTCCCTAGAATTTCCCCATGACACACACCAAGTCACACAGGCACTATTTTGTTCTTAAAGGAGTATTTTAATATTGAATTATGGGCAGCAGTGCGAGCAGCACCACTCTTCTTATATTAAAGAGATGAAGATTAGAATGGCCACAAAGTTGGACATGAGATCCAGATGGTGCTATTTGGGGGCTGAAATGTACCCCCATGGCATCAGGACAAACAACTGCCAAAGCCAAGCTCCCAGTGCTAATGAATTTGTAAACAAGATCATGCACAGTCCTCCTAATTAATATTTTGTCATTTGGAACCTGACTATAGCCTGCCAGACAGGAAATCCAAGTCTGAAGCCATCTACATAATTCAAAAGAGCCAGTTAAAAAAACAGAAGGTAGAGGAAAGAGGTGTCATAGTCCACACAAAGCCAGTCAGTTTGTTACTGGGTAAAAATTGGTGAGTCATCTGTGACGGTCAGTTTTAGGTGTCAACTTGGCCAGGCTATGGTACCCAGTTATTCAGGCAGACACTAATCGAGGTGATGCTATAAAGCTATATGGTAGATATGATGCTGTAAATGTATTTGGTAGTCATCTACACTCAAGTTGACTTTATGTGAATGAAATTATCCTAGATTTTCTGGGTGGAAATGATCCAATTAGTTGAAAGGCCTTAAGAACAGCACTGAGGTCTCTCTGAAGAAGTTCTACCTGTGGACTGGAGCATCAGCTCCTGCTCAGGAGTTTCTAGCTTGCTCTATGGATTTAGAACTTGGAAATTTTTCTGTTTTGTTCACTATTGTATCCCTAGTACCGGCCCAATAGGCAATCCATTAATATCTATTGAATGAATGAATACATGAGCTTAATTCCATGGTAAAGTCAGCCAAGTATGTGAGGTGGTATTATTTAGATAAAACAGTTGACGTCCTAAATTTTAATTTTCTGCCAGTTTCCCCCGCTCTCACACACACACACACAGATACTCTCTCAAATGTACTCACTTGTGATCAAACCTTGTTCAGTCTTTCTCCCCCTCTACTTTTCTGCACAGTGGACATATTGGTCACATTTTCCCTATTGAGAACCTCTCTTCTTTCATAATTCTGTGCTGCTCATCCAACAAACTCCATCTCTACAGTTACCTTTTCTATGAATTATTCTAAGATTTCCTTAATAGAAGTTGTCTTGGTATCTCCTGAAAGCCTCAAAGCATGTGTCATCTCTGCTGTTCATGGGACACATAGCATTGATTGCCTCCTTCTGCAACTACATATCTAATAGATTGCTGCAAAAGTAATTGCAGCTTTTGCATTAAAAGTAGTGGCAAAACTGCAATGACTTTTGCACCAACCTAATAAACGCCAATGCATTCTGAGGAGATCATCTGTGCCCTATGCATTCCTGACTCCCTGCAGCAGCTGGCACAGTGTTCCATAATGGCAGATTTCTAATTCATATTTGCTGGAGAAATGAGTAGATATATATCCTTAGTTACCTGCTTTTTCAGTGAAATGAAGGAAGAAGAGTAAAAAGAATCAAGATGCTGAAAAAACTGAGAAACAGAGAGAGGAGAGCAAAGCAACACAAGGCTTTCATATTCTGACCTGCTCAGCCTCATCTCCTTAGCCTATCACCTCATGTACCAGAGTCTTTTTTGACAATGGGGTTTCCATTCTAAGAAGGTATTCTGTTTTTGTCTCTAAAATATTATAAATGGGAAGAATTAGGAAAGAAAGATTGAAATTTGATTTTACTTTTCTTATCCATACTTGTTTTGCATCGTAGCATTTATCACCATCTGTGGTATATTTATCGGTACATTGTCTTTCCTACTGGACTATAACATCTTTGGAAGTGATGACTTAGTATATTTGTTCACCACAAATTCCCCAATGCCTAGAACAATATCTAGAATAAATAAGGGCTCACTAGGTATTTTGAATGAATGAATAAAATTATTTAACCAAAGCAGTTAGTCATATCAGTGTTTGTTTTGCCAAATTTGTTTATTTTCTCAAAAGGGGTTAATATTCTCCTTCCGTAAGTCTGATTGAAAACTGTTATTTAGTCACAACCCATTTTTTCTAAGTATACTGTCAAACCCCTTAGATACTTCAATTGCAGGGCCATGAGGCAGGATCATACTGGCTCCCGCATGTATAGACGCAGATGTAGTGTCTTCCATATTTTCAGACCTTGACCAACTATTCCTAGGAAAATTTTTAAAGGTTTTTTTGTTTTGGAAAGCAATTAGCAAAATAGCTTTAAGCCAAATTCTGGAGTGGATGGTGCTTGATGGTTGAATAACATGAAGGTACTTACTGCCACTGAACTGTGCACTTAAAAATGGCTAGAATGGTAAATTTTACGTAATGTATATTTTACTGCCATTAAAAAATAAATAATAAAAAATTAATTAAACAAATTTAAGCCCACTTGTATTATGACTTGAGCTATTTTCCTCCTGTGTAAACTAGCTAGCTAAAAATTCAGACAGTAAGATTCCCTCATCAAAGTGAACAAGAAGCAAATCTCCCTTGCTTGCCTCTCTCTATGCTGGAATTCATGTGCCTTTCCCCAGTTTGACCCCAGCCTGAGATATAGACATGTTATTGAACAATGACTTGACTTTTCAAAACAACATAATAAGTTTCTACCATTACAGCCCCTATATTGCATCCATTTATTTTCCAAAACCTCTTGAACAAAGAGTACTGCTTCATATCATGTTTACGTTCAATAACATGAATGTATAGTAGACTTTGAAACAGTCCATAATTTTATACTGAAGGCTGCCATCTGAGGGAATCTCAGCATTCTTCTACAGTTATTTATTAGTTCCTACATTTATTGCTTTTTCAAAACTCAGAAATAATGGTGAAATTTAAAACAGCTTAATTAAACTTCAAATGTGTGGTTCTGATAAGCCTGGCCCAGAGCCATGGCATTCCAAGATTCTCAAATAGCATAATCTAATTAATTTTTTTTCTAGAACACAGAAGTCATAAACACACAGTAATCTGAAGCACTTAGTGTCCTGCCAGCTGGCATCTTCTCATTTCCAGTTTCCCTGCACTGTAATTTTGCTGCCATTTGTGAGAAACTGTGGATTTCTCCACTTTGGTAGATTGTATTAAGTTACGTGCTATTCAGTTGAGGTATTTTTTAATGAACTAATTACATGTTAGTTAATAAGAAAACATTGCTTCAACAGTCAACTGTTGAATATCACTTTTAAAGAAATTACTTCAGTCTTACAGTAGGAATGTCTGGGAACAGGATTGACCCATGAAAACAGCATGATTGCTAGCAGTGAATTATTGAGTTATAAATACATGTATGAGTACTGGATATCATTATTATTAGCAATAACAACATCAACAACAAAGACATCTATGAAATTCAAATTTTAGTTTTTCCTGCCAAAATAATGTTTTCCATTAATGTTGTCCATGTCTCATTTTATCAGTGCATAATAACTGAAAGGCAGTGAGATATACTAGGCGGGTCCATTGCAAGACTCCAATCCAATGTTCTGGCTGTAAGGGTGATAGAGGTGGTTGCACTCTATGCTGTTCACTTTTAAAGTTTGCTCCTAATTCTTCCACATCTAATTCTAGATCTGATGAATAATAATCTCTTCATTGTGTTCAGATCAGTGATGATTTCGTAGACACTGATCCTCTCCCCTTTATGGCAGCATTGATCTTTCTGGATGTGCTGGTTCTGGACCTGTTTGTCTTCAAATCCATTTCTCACCCTCCCCTGCTTTGCTTTGCTTTGCTTTGCTTTGCTTTGCTTTGCTTTGCTTTGCTTTGCTTTGCTTTGCTTTGCTTTGCTTTGCAGAGCCGGGTTTCCCAGGCTCCTACATCACTGGCTTTTCCCTGGACTCATCCTATGAGAAAGAAACACTGGTAGGAGTTTGGAGGGTACAAGAAATGGAGGGAAGGCCAGGCCACTTCTCTTCCTGCCTCTCATGACATCTTTGGGCAGCAGCTGCATCTCTCCCTCTCGCCTAGTAGGCTTCCCACACTTCATGTGTCCAGCTCAGAGGTGGCAGCGTCTTCCTGCCACTGCTAATTTCTGAGTTCTTTCATTGTCCCATTAGGCTTCCTAG
This sequence comes from Homo sapiens, assembly GCF_000001405.40. NCBI lineage: Eukaryota > Metazoa > Chordata > Mammalia > Primates > Hominidae > Homo > Homo sapiens. The sequence goes on along the minus strand of NC_000001.11, from coordinate 218,701,867 downwards.
CTCTTCTATCACCAGTGTAGCCAATTCCCTGCATTAAAGTCCTCTTGTTCTAAATATTCAATGGCTTTTATTTCCTGGCAGACTATGACTGAGATTTCAGACTAAAAATCATTCTCCTAAGGCTATATCCATTTTTCTTTCATTGCAGATGCTTATTTATCATTTCTTGGTTACAACTTTTTGATGTAGAATTGCATAGAATATTTTTCTTCCTCTCTTAAAGAACACTTTGGATTTGGGAGGAGAGAGAAAAGTATAATGGGTGGATGAGCAGTTATTTATAAGGTACTATAATTTCTGCCTGACTTTCTATATCCTGGGGTTCACTGTTCCCACACAGCAAGGCACACATTTTTGTTGAGGGACATGATGTCATCTTGCACATTTTGTTACAAACAGGTTTAATAATGCATTGTTGCATCTTAAAGCCTGCGATGGAATGCTCTGCTCCTGCAGCCAAACTCAGGATCCATCTGGTAGACCTGTTAGTCAACGACCCCAAGAGCTCAGCACATTTCTGCCTGTTGAAATAGAACAGAAATGACTCCGACAGACTTAAGGCTCAGTTTTAAAACACAGCCATGATGTCATCAGTATGAAGGTTTTCTCTCTGTGTCTCTTCTTTATCTACTATTTTTTCTTTCTTTCTCCTCCTCCTCATTCCTCAAACCTTACCTGAGATCAAGTAGCTTAAAAACATTACATATATATGCTAAAAAATATTGGCATTTTTCATACACCAAGCAATTTGAAACCTTGTCTATCATTGTCCACCTAAGGGCTTAGCAGTTACAGAGAAGGATGCATCATTGAGACAACTTGGTCCGTTGTGGGATACACACGAGTTTTAAAGTGTATAAAAATGTACACTTCATAAATCTCATTAATTGCTGGTCACCACTTTTCCAATCTAAAAACTATATTGTTCTTGCTTCTGCCAACAATGTCTTAGCCATAGTCAATATTTCCTGAATTCTCCATAAAAGTGCTGACATCTCTTTTGTTGCTCGTGTTGTTCTTCCTCATTGGTTTCACTGAAAAATCTGACATCGTTCAAAGTCCTTCACAAATGTTACTTTCTCTGAAAGCGTCCCAGATCCTCCAGGGAAAGAAAGAAGATTAATCACATGCATACAACTGACCCTAAATCAATAGTGTATAGCTAGATGTATATAATCTTAACGGAAAAGAAGAACGAGAGAGAAGAAACAAATTTAGGAGCTAGGAAGTAGATGAATTCATGGTAAATGACTTAGATACCCAAGGAATGGAACTACTAAGTCACCAGTAGGGAAAACTAAAAATCAGCCCAGATTTATGCCGCATGATCCCCAAACGCACAACATGTGGCCTTATCACGTACCTTGAGAAGTGAGAGTGAAAGAGAGTAAATAAAGAAGATTAACTCAAAGTATTTTTTTAAGAAATAGACATCATCAATTCCCTAGCTCACTATGCCAGGCTGTCTGTCCTTTCCCAGTTTATTGTCTAAAAAGTATGAAACACCAGGCCTTAAGTGGCAGCAGGCATAGTTGATGGTGTGGGTATCTTAATGAAAAAAGTCATTTTATGCATACTGAAAGTAAACACCCCTAGCTCTCTGTGTCCACTTTGCTCCCAGAACATTAGCGGCCAGGCAAGAAGTGAAAAAAATCTTCCTTGGGAAATATTTCTTTGCTAAAAAGAAAGCTATAAAGGTATTGACGGCAGAGATTTCCTATTAAAATTGTCCAGCCAAATCACTCTACAGTGAAACTGACAATTTACAGTCCCCATTCATGCACTCAGAACATCAAATCAGCTTAAGAGTGTCCTGCCCTTAAGTATAAAATTTACCAGACCTTTGAGGAAAGCTTCCTAAGTGGTATATATAGAACAGAAAAGAAACCTTTTCCCCTTGTGCACACATATCACACAAAACAACTTGGTTGAGAAAAAAACTTGCAGACAGAAGAAAACTTCAGTAACTCCAAAAGCTTTTATTAATATCATCAGGGAGATAAAAATTAATGTAATCATGTAATAAGAACCAGAGATTTTGTTTGAAAAAAAGAAGCAAAAGAGAAAGGAAGAAGTTGTAAATAGAAGAGAAAAATATCAACATAAGAGGACCCATACAAGTGGTCCAAAATTCAAAAAGCAAGAGGTCTAAAAGGAAATGAGAAAAGGAAAGCATCAGTGAAATTATTCGAGAAAAGTTTCCATAATGGAAAGATACGTTGAAACAGCCTGCCAACTGCCTAGAAAAATAAATAAAAATAGACTCATACTGAGGCAACTCATTGTGAAATTTCAACAAAGAGAAGATCCTGAAAGTTTCCAAAGATGAAAAAACAATTAGGTCACATATGAAGGATCGGGAATCAGAAAGACTCTGGACTTCCCAGCAACTCTGAAAAGAAGAAATCAATAAAGCAACACCTTCAAAATTCTGAAGGAAAATTATTTTTGATCTAGATATATGAACCCTGACAAACTATCAATTAAGTATGAGAGTAAAATAAAGAGATTGTCAGATCTGCAATGTCTCAAAATTCTCTCTCCATTTTTCTCTTGCAGAAAACTACTGGAGCATGCGGTCATTCGAAGAAGATGGGTCACTAAAAGAAGATGTGAGATGCAAGCACTAGGGGACTGAAGACCAGAGAAAGGCAAAAGGAATCCTCAGGTTGTCTGTGCAGAGACCCCAAGATAGAGCTATGTCCCAGGCATGGAACAACCAGCAGTATGAGTAGCTCAGAAGACTTCGGGAGAAAATGTGGAAGATGAAATTAAATGGCAATCTAATGATCCTGAATTTTTAAAGAAAAGATTGACACAATGAATACAGTATTTTGGGTTGAATTAGTGATAAGTACATATATAATAAAGTAAATTTAAAGATAAAAATATATTAATTGTGGGGAAAATACAAAGATGTACAGGAAAGGAAAAGTAACCATATTTTATATGACTCAGCTGGGAATACAGTTTTCATAGCCACAGTAACAGAATATTAGCTTTAACCAAAAACACCACATTATTATATCGGGAGGATGAAGAAGGAAAGGATGCATGTGTATGGAAAAAAAAAAGGAGCTAAATGGTCATCTTCCATAAGGGAAAGTCAATAGATAAAGCCTAAAACTGGAAAATTAAGAAATAGCAATATAACCATGCCATGCAGAGACATGGAAATGAATAGTACGATAACCACCTAAAAAAGGTGACAATGACTGTTCTGGAGAAAGAGACACTGTAGAACAAGAGCTGCAAAATGCTAGGCTTTTAAAAAAATTTTATAAATCTTACAGAATTGTTTGAATGTTTACATTATATGATGTATAACATTGGTCCAAAAAAATCACTGTCAGGCAAATTTAATTGTTCATTCCTCTTTCACCATAGTGCATTGCTCAATTAGGGGCCCACCTATCATGCTTGGATAAGGCTGCCTGGGTGTCTATCTCCTAATAGATTGTGGGCTTGTTTAGGGCAAGTGTGTTTCCTTGCCTAGCATGATGCCTGACACAGAGTTGGCAATAAAAAAGTACTTGTGAAAGGATTGTTGTGGAATTCTTGGCCCTAATTCTACCATATGGCATTATGGAAATCAAGTCTAATTCCTCTTCCAAATGAAAAAGTCCAAATATTTTAATGCAGTTACCATACCTGCTCTTAAAGCTTCTCTTCACTAAAAATTCTCAATATGTCTATAATTTGTGGGTCATTTTTAAAGTTCACTCACTATCTTGGCATAGACTTCCAGCTAGTTCTGATTAGTCTTCGTCTCTTACAAGTGCTGGATAAAATATTTAAATGTGTGGTCTGACCTGCGCAGAACAAGTGGAATTCCCACCTCCCTAAATCTGGATACTCTGTGTCTACTGATACAATCTGAAATCACATGACATTTTCTGTAAACCATATTTCCTTGTTATCACATATTTAGCTTATAGTCACCTATAAATCCTCAAGTCTTTTTCTAATTGATTTCTGGCAAGCCTCCTTTCTGCCATTTTCTATGTGTACAGTTGATTTTAAGGTTCAAACATAAGACTGTACATTTTTCCTTATTATATAATTTTAGACCATCATGCCAATTCATAGAGACTCTTGTTCTTATTAAGATCTTGTGAATTAATATAATAATCCTTCCCAACTTCCCATGACCTGCCAATTTGATTTCACACCTTTATAAGCTAACTCAAGTCATTAGTAAATATTTTAACCAGGTTAAAGAGGAGGATTGAGGCCCTTGGCACAACATTAAAGACTTGCCATTGGGTTGGCAGCCTCTGTTAATGAGAATTCCCCAAGACTGACCATTCAACCAGTTACAAAGTCCCCTAACTCTTTATGTCATTCAGATAATAAGTATTCACTTTGTCTATAAAGATATCGTGAAAATCCTTGTCAAATACCTCGTCTAAGTAACAACAACTATAACAAAAACAATTTATCGGGTATGTGCCAGACATATACAAATAATGTCGATTTACAGATTAAAGCTCATTAAACCATTACAATAACTCCTATACTGTATTTCTCTGATGTGCCAAATTAGTAATCCTGTCTTTTTGCTACATGTTTTTGTCAAATGGTCTAAGTAAACAAGTATTGTGTCTTTATACCTTCTCTTGGAGAGAAGCTGTTAAATATTCCCACAAAATCTTGTAGTTAAGAAACAATTTTAGTATTTTTCACACAAGACTTCCTAAATTAATTTATTATATAACTTTTCTCAAGGATCTTGTGTTATTCAAAAGAATACAGTTGGGAAACGTTATATTGATCCTTTTCCAGCTGTTCCAGACGTTTTCACAAACTTTCTGTGTACTTCACTTCTTCAGGGCTTTGGCTGTAATTGTTCTATTCCACCGGAATGCCTCTATCTCTTCCCACCTTCATGGGTCTATAAACTCTACCCATTCTTCCTAACTTAAGTGCCATATTCTAAAAAGATTATGATTATCTTCAAAAGAGGAATTTCTTTCTCATATGAAAAAAAGTCTAGATTTTCACAGATATCTTCCATCAGGTGCTGTCACACAGAACCTCATATATTATTTCTGTCACAGAAGTCCCTCTGCGAGATTCAGAGCTCTTTAAGGTCAAAGACTGCCTCTTTTTTTTTTTTTTTTTTTTTTTTTTTTGAGACGGAGTCTCGCTCTGTCGCCCAGGCTGGAGTGCAGTGGCGCTATCTCGGCTCACTGCAAGCTCCGCCTCCCAGGTTCACGCCATTCTCCTGCCTCAGGCTCCTGAGTAGCTGGGACTACAGGCGCCCGCCAGCACCACGCTAGGCTAATTTTTTGTGTTTTAGTAGAGACAGGTTTTCACTGTGTTAGCCAGGATGGTCTCGATCTCCTGACCTCATGATCTGCCCGCCTCGGCCTCCCAAAGTTCTGGGATTACAGGCGTGAGCCACCATGCCTGGCCCAAAGACTGCCTCTTATTCCTATTTTTTTATTCAGAGTTTTGCCTATTATAATAACATATTTATAGTTGATGCTTAATAAAATCTATGGATTAGTCCAGAACTTAAATCTACTGACACCTACGGCTGTCACTGTGGTTGCTCTGTAGGAGGTCTTGTTGGGGATAAAATGGAATTTGTTTACTTCCTAATACATCCATGCACATACAGAATCCTGACTGGGAGAAATTACATATCTGAGGAGCAATCCATCCCAGCAGGATGTTAACCTTCTCAACTTCAGAACCTAGAAGTAGACGTAGAGACTTGAGTATTGGAGTCTGAGAGTTGAAGATATGTTGCTCTCATCTGACCAAAAAAACAAAACACAAAAACCATTCAATTGGCAGTGATAGAGAATATCACATAACCTTGAACATAAAAACAAGTGAGCCAAGACATTGAGGTGCTTGGTCTTTCAAGTTATTTGTTCACTTCCATGGATGAGCTGAGAGCTCTGGTCCCATGATTGCTCATAAACATTATTACAATCACTTCACGGAGATTATTTTGGCTGCAAGAGTCACAAGCCCAGAGATGGAAGAGGAATCACATCCGTGAGCTATTTTAATAATAAATTGTTTGCTTGCATTTCAGCTGAGATTGGTTGGATTTGGCCTCATTTTAGACTTAGCAAACATCTCAAACTGGTTTTCAAATGCTTTTGATCTTCTATAACCAAAGTATGTTTAGCTAAGCACTACCCTCTTAATTTCTAAAACCCACGCGTACTTTATAGGAAATGTTGCTCACATTGTTTTGACTCATTTACATGTTAAATCATCAAAATATTGTTTGGGAAGGGTGTTTTGATGTCCAAGAAGATTTTTCAAGCATTTTATAGGCTGGTTTTCTTAAAAACAGGAAGCTACATTTTGCCAAGAATAAACAAACTGAAAGCTCAAGAGGCAGGAGGTTGTTGGAAAACTCCAAACCCGCACGGTTGAATGGGTTCTAAACCTGGCAACACACCTTTCCCCATCTTTTTGTTTAATGTGGTTCCTTGTCTTCCTCCCAAAACCAAACCCCTAAAGCCACACAGGGATGCAGGATAAAAGCACAAACAGGAAGAGAAAACGAACAACAAATGGAGGGGAATTTTAACCCAGGCTTTATTCTGCAGGCTTCCTTCAGAGAAGCAGTGACATTATGCACCAGGAAACTGAGGCACCACAGGTTAGTTTTTCTCAAGGTCCCCATGCAAATTCAGGTCAAAACCAAGCAACCAAGAGGGAACTCTTCTTGCTCACTGTCTTATCCCTCGACCCTCACCCATCACCCCTGCCAATTGCAGAAAGCATACACAGTTTATACCCCTCATTCAAAAGATGAGCCCCTTCTAAATCTTACATCAGCTGTGAATCGTCAAGCCGTGCTGCTTCCAGAAGCCAGAAAGCACCTCAGCTTATGTTTTTGCCTCTGCCAAAGGAAAGGGCCCTGCCCAGTTTTGAATCTGCTCAAGTCCTGAGAAAGTTTGCAATGGTGTGTGTGGGAGATGGCAGTGTGGGTGGGCAACACTGAACAACCCTGTACCATACCACAGGAAAAACGTTTTTGGCTCCACTCATCATCTTTTCCAAGCACTGGCAGATTCCTTTGCCTGGTGCTTTGGTTCCCAGAGGTAGGCATCTCTGAAATTTAGGTTCACTTCCAAATCTTCTGAACAAAATGCAAAGCACTCCCTGGCCTGCATTTCTGAGGCAGCTGATGCCAGGAACTTATCTGCATTTTTTCCCTTTTATATCCTAATTCTGAATTTAGTTTTCTTTTTACATTTGGCCCTAGAAGCCAAGGAAAGGGGGAGGGCAGAATCCAACAAAAAAGCCATTTAGCCCAAGCTAAACCACATTAAAAATGAAATAATCATTTTGGTAAAGCTTTTAGATTCGCATTGCATGGCATTTCTGAATAATATGACCATGACGCTGAAAAACCCTTAGTATTTTTCTTATCCCATCCTTTACTCCAAATCAAACTAATACTAATTTTTTTTAAAAAAATCATAAAACACGTAATTTATCTCCTCTCTCGAGTCATCTCTGAGCCAGTCAAAAATTCCACCACATTTAAAATGATCAAATATGCATATGGAATTTTCATTGGAAATTTAAGGAACATGGTTATACTCAGTTTAATTGCTAGAGCATGCTTTCCACCTGTTGCCACTTATAACAAACTCAATCCACCCCCAGTACTAAAATTTTTGGGTTATTTATACCCCAACTTCTTCGGGAAACTAAAGAGTCAAGATAACAGGATGCAAATATATTTTGTTCTTTGTTATTTTTCACAAACAAGGAATACATTCTCCTTTCTCTAAATGCATTTAAGAGCTAAGGACAAAACTAAATGCTACACGTATATCAAAGAAAGCCTAAAGACTTTTTAAAGGCTATTAAAATGCCTCTGAAACGGATAAAGTTTTTATTCCTTTTATCTTACTTTTCTTCTTTCTCTTTAAAGGAGGCATAACCCTCTAAGTTAAGGCCATTTCTATACTGGAAAAGTAATAGCTGAACAGTTCAGCAGGTATGTGCAGAGAGACAATTGCAGTCCGGGGAGTTTAGGCTAATAAAAAGCTACAGTTTGGCAGAGTAGAAACAGACAGAGGCCACATAAAGGGAGTAAAAACTACGCTGAAGGGTAAGCCATAATTTGTTGAATGGGGATCTGTGTGGGAAGAGAATTCTGTGATTAGAACCCATCTAGACTAAAAACAAACAAATGAACAAGTAAAACAATATGAAAAAAACAGAAAAACAAAGCTGCTGGTATGGACCAGCACTTGATAATCACTAAGATTCCCTCTAACTCTCACGTGATTGTCAGGTTCCCTTTCTAGGGATTTTGATTTTGTAATTAAATGTCTGATGTTGAAAGCAAGTGTATATCTGTCCGGGCAGATCAGTAATGTAGAGGTCCTGGTGAGCAGGAGGGACTGTCAATTTTGCAGTGGCATTTCCAAGACCATACTAATCATTGTCTATGATTAGCAGGATTAGCTAGATTATTTGGGTGAAAACGTGCTCTGAAAATAAAATGTGTTCTTTTAAAACCATAAATTTTAGTGATAATCCAAATCCAAATCTTAACACATAAGCAAATTTGTGAATACGGCACGTGTACATTTTTTTGTTAATGTATAAAACCATGCTTTCTTATCTTACTGAAAGCATTCTGTGTGTAGATAAAAATAAAACCCTTTCTCCTCTTCCTAATTATCATCTACTACAGAAAGCTATCACCTCAGAAAGAGTTTATCTCCCTGTCTGCGCCAGTTTTTCCTAAGTTCCCTTTTTCTGTCTACAGTGATTCTGTCAATCACTAAAGCTAAATACCTTGATGTTGTCCAGGACATGCTTCTTCTGCTTTCTCTTCCACCACGTCCATTCACCCTACAAGTGCTGTCAGCTTGTGCTTTTCAGTGTGTCTGACAGCTATTCTTTCCTTCCTAATTGCTACTCCTGGCCTCCTCACTCAGCCCTAATCATCTCAAGCCTCACCTCTTGTGTGTGTGTTTCCTGACTGGGATCCCTATTTTCACTTTGTCTCCATCCAGTCAAACTGAAATATCACAGCCAAATGAAACTTTTCTGATGTCTCCTTGCATGATTAATGCAGAGTTCTGAACTCTTCATAGTTACTTCATAAATATGTTCTATAAGTGATTATCAATCCTTGACTCAAGAGCCTTTAATAACTACTCTATTTCCCATTAAGGAAAATCTGAAGCCTTCACCCAGCATTAAATGCCATCAATTATCTGGTCCCTTTGATTACGTCTAAACCTCATGTCCCATGCTCCCTTCTTTGAAAACGCCACTCTGGTCAAATCAGTCTATCCATTGCTCCCTAAACAAATCATCCACAATCCCCTCTCCACATCTTGGTTTACTCAATATCCTGTGCCTAAAAGCCCTTCACTTTCTCTTCCTGTACTTCCCACACTACAGCCTGATGGGTGCTTTCTTCTCCAGACTATAGCATTTAACAGTCACTTAACATAAGGTTTTTGAACTGTTGTCTGTCTTTTGTTTCTCAAACTATATTTAAATAATAAGAATGTTGATAATTCATTTTCTATAATCACCTTTTTATTAATTAAACATGTTATCTACTTCATTTAAGACACACAACCTTTGCCACAAATTAGAGAACTACCAGGCAAGAAGCATCTAATGTCAGATTCTCTGCTGAGGACTTTAGACCCAACAGCACTTATCATTCTCACAGCAACCCTGAGGGGATCAAGATACCTTCTATTTAACAATCAAGGGAGTAGAGACTTAGCGAACTTAGGAAAACTTCCAAAAATCACAATATAGGAAGTGCCACTACCAGAATTTATTCAAAGAGTTACAGAGATAATTGAGTGAAATAATGCACAGGTCTGAAATGGAATACACTCTTAATACATGCTGTGTAATATTACTGTGGCTGGAGAATATTTTGAGTGGTGTACTTCATTTTCTCCAGGGGAATAAAAGGTAGGGTGCTAGCCAAATTAACCAAAAGTCTTTCTGGACTTTTCCCCTAAAAGTTTATGGTCTTAAGAGATCTTAGATAATTTGTGGGAAGATAATGTGGGAAATTCCTGAGGATAGGAAGAACACATCGAAGGGGAAGCAGAGAGAGTAGACTTTTTCTTCCACACCTTCCCTCATTAGAAGATGATAGCTGAGCCAGAGGAATAAGGGGGATGGGAAGATCTAAAAGAATGACCACAAAAATTTTGGTAAATTTTGAGGCTGTGAAGACCCAGAATCTGTCTTCTAGAAGCACTGGAAAAGTCCATTAGACACCCAAAAATTAATAACCTATACATTACCTCTTGATTTCCCTCCCAACTTGTTCTCCCTATAGCCTTTTTCCCAGGAAAAGACTTCTTTCCTTGAAGACATTTCGACTCCTCTCTTTAGCTCCCATCCCACATCCAATTAATTGCATCATCCTTTCAATTCTGCCTTCAGAATCTAGCTAGCTTTTGCTGGCTTCAAACAGGGATCCAAGACTGCATCATTTCAATAGTCTGCTTTTGTCCCTTTCTTTAGTTATTTCAGTAGCCTCCTTTCATTTATTTCCTTAATTATTTCAGTAGCTTCCTGGGAGGCTTCCTTGCTCCTGCCCTTGTCTTGTCTCTCTATGACTTATTCTCTGCCCAGCAATCAGAAGGAGCCTGTTAAAACATGAGTGAGACCACATCATCCCCCTCCTCAAAACGCCCCAGACGCTGCCATATCGCCCTGAATAAAAGTCTGTGTAATGACCTTGGAGGCACCATGTCATCACCTCCTACACTGGCTCCTCAACCTCATCTTTTAATGTCAACCTCCTTCACTGTCCCCCAGCTATTTTCGCCTTCTCATCATTCTTCAGACACACCAGTGCACTCCTATCTCCAGTCCTTTCCAGGTGTTCCCTTCACCTGGAACTCTCACCCCCAGACATAAGCAAAACTCACTCCTTAGTTCATCCAGTGACGTCTTGAATGTTACTTTGTGATAGAGCTCTGTGAATCCAAACTATTGGAAATAGTGACTCCTTCCCCTACCCATTGCTAAGATGATTGTATAATTTATTGTCCACATTGAGAACTTTCAAGAATACATTGAGTGTTATTAATATTCATACCAGGGCAGCACATATAAACTATTCTTTAGCCTCCCTATTTTTGCTTTCCACTTCACTTACTGTATCACCACCTGGTTTATTTAGCATTTCATTGCTGATTTTCTGTTTTTTACCTTTGGATTGTGTGCTGTATGAAAAAGGAAGTCTTCATTTCACTTACTGATTTATCCCTAGAGCCTCAATAATCGCCACTTAATAAATATATATTGAAGGAATGAATGAGTGGACTGATTAGTAGTAAGACTCTAGAAAGAAATGGTTGAGTGGACAGATAGAAAGATGGATATCCTGAAGAATAATTCACAAAAGATGACATAGAAACACAAAAAGTTAAGAGTCTAAAGAGGCCATATTACACAGGGCTATAAATATCTCTGGCAGCTTAAAGAAGGCCACAGATTATTTGTCACTCCTCCCATGGACATTAAGAATTAGTCTCCTCCCCTTGAATCTGAATGTAATGAGCAGTCTTTATGATGGCCTTCCTATGCTCACCTCTTGGCATTCACACCCCTGGGTAACACCTTTCCTTTGAGAGTAAGACGGATCAGTGATGTTCTTCCAACCATTAGAACACAGCAAAAATGATTCCATTATGTAGGATTGCAACACTGGACTTGCTAGCAGACACCTTCCTTTGCTATCTTTGATGAAGTAAGCAGCCATGTTGGGGAGGCTCACAGGACAGACAACTGAGGATGACTTCTGGTCAACAGACAGCAAGAAATCTAGTTCCTCAGTCCAGCAGCCCACAAGAACCTGAATTCTGCCAACTACCATATGAGCTTGGAAACAACTCCTTCCCTAGTCTGACCTTTAGATGAGAACTCAGCCCTGGACAAGACTTGTGTGGCAGGCTTGCAGAGGACCTAGCCAAGCCATGCCTGGACACATGATCCACAAAACCTGTGAGATGATAACTCTCTGTTGTCTTAAGCTGCTAAATTTGTGATGATAGTGTTAGACAGCAATAGATAACTAAGATACTCAGTGACCTCTGTGACTATTCTGACAAATAGAATATAAAAGTAATTCTGAGCCAGTTTCTGAAGCCAGGCTTTCAGAGACTGGATGCCCTTACTTTATGTCTCTGAAATCTCTCTCTCTCTGTCTCTCTCTCTCTCTCTCTGTCTCTGTCTGTCTCTCTCTCTCACACACACACAGACACACACATCCCTGAGCCACTGTGTACAATACTGGTCCCACTGAAATTGCTATGCTGGAGAAGCCACATGTGGATTAACAGTTCCAGCTTAGCCACCACCTCCTCGAACTTCAAACATCCTTATATAGCTATTCTTACCTCCTGAGATTTTTTTATGTTCATGAACTTCATCTTCAAAAGTGGGACTACACTAGATCTTTAAAGTGAGAATGCTAATGCTGGTTCAAATGTATGTTACTTATAATTTTAGTAAATATCAGCATATATTCCAAAGTGGCTGAAGCAACTTGTATTTCTAATAATATTGCATGAAAGACTTCACCATCACTAGCATTTATCACTGATTTTAGTTCTTGCTAGACTGGTTGGTAAAAAGTTATATTTTTATTGTTTCTTTAAATTTTATTTCCCTGTTTACAAGAGGGCTTGAAAATCATTTTGTTGATCACTTGGATTTTCTTTTCTATAAAATTCTTATTAATATCTTTTGCTTTTTAAAAAAAAATCAGTTTATGAGACTATGCATTATGGCTATTAAATTTTTTCTTTATTTGTGTTGTATTGTTTTTCTAAATCTATCATTATTTATATATTTTGCTCTACATGATTTTAATATTATAAAGTCAAAATATTACCCTAATTCTTTCATAACTTCTGAGTTTTCTGTCATGGTCTCAATTATTTCCATATCTTAAATTGAACAAGTCATCTCCTATATTTTCTCCTAACATCCTTTATTGTTCTATTTGTTTAAATTTAAATATTTCCTCCATCTGGACTTATTCTTGTATAAAGTATGGGTCCAGCATGATTTTATTGTAGAAAAAGCCAGTTATACTAGCTCCATTTCTTAAATAAAGCACAATTTTTCTATTGTGTTGAAAATGCCATCCTTCTCACATGTTAAAATCACATATATAGTCTGGGATCTATCACTAGACTTTCCATTTGGTTCTCTGGTTTATTTTTCTATTTATACACAAATATAATATAGTAATTTGTTTAAAGTATAGACAAAAATTAAATGTAGCTTAAACTGTTGAGTTATTCAATAAAACTTTAAAGTTCATTTTTTATCCTTCTGATACTCTTATTATTTCCATATTTAGGTCTCCAGACCAAATTTCAAGTTCTCTTACTTTTTCCCTCAATATTTCCACCCCTGTGTATTTTTTCAGACTACTAATTTAACTCTCAGTAGTGAACATTCTCATCTTCATGGACCATATTATTTGAGTTTAAAAATCACTGAGTTTGGGATTTTTGTGGTTATTGTTTCAGAAAATCTGCTTTGAACTTTTCCTGAATATTCTCCTTTATTTGTTCCTTTTCTATTTTCTCCAGCAGTTCTGGTCCAGCTGTGTTTTTCATGTTGATTGTTCCCCCTCTCTCTGGTCTTTAAATTACTTCAGAAACAGAACCTTTTTCAGACCAACAGGGTTAGACTCAGAGGTGGCAATAACCACTCCTCCCATGGGTAGGTACCACGGTATCACACAAGTCATTGACCTCTGTGGAGAGACTGAGTGAAATCCTGCCTGCTGTCCAGCCTCCTCAGCCAAAGAGACTCATACTCACATACCTCACAGGCAGCAAGAACTTCACCTTCCTTTCAGATGTTCCTCAGTTCTTTAGGAGCCGGAGAAAATACCACACTCCTGTGAGCCATTGTCACCTTTCCTCCCAAGACCTCTGTGTCCAAAATCTCACCATAATTCACACCAATTGCCTCTGATCCTCACTGCAGAGCTCTCTGATGAAAGGCCCCAGCTCCTGTCGAAATCAAACAGAAGAAAGTGTCAGATCTCTTCTTCAAGACTCTATGAACCTCAGAAACCATTCTCTCCCCAACAGTCTGCCAACCTGCTGCATGCTGAAGTTAATTAGGTATGGACATGTGGATTAGCTGGTGATATAAGCAGAGAAGAGTTGAGGCCCATTTAAGCCCCCACCCTCCCTGAATCCTAACTAGGAGGTTAGGTTTAGATGGTTGAATTTAAAGGGCCTGAGAGACATCCTAGTGGAGATTTTGAGTAGGAAATTAGATGTACTAGGTTTTATTCGCTGAATGTTTGCATCCCCTCAAAATTCATGTGTTGAAGCCCTAATCCCCAAAGTGATGGTATTTGAAGATGGAACTTTTGGAGATAATAAGGTCAGGAGGGAGACTCCATTAAGGGGTTAGTGCCCTTATAAGAAAAGATACTATAGAGCTTTCTCTCTCTCTCTCTCTTTCTCTCTCCCATGTGAGGATACGGTGAGAAGGCAGCCATTGACAAGCCAGGAGGCAGGCCCTCACCAGACACAGGATCTTCTGGTACCTTGATCTCAGGCTTCCCAGCAGCCATAACTGCAAGAAATAAGTGATTGTTGTTCAAGACACCCAGTCTGTGGTATTTGTTATAGCAGCCCACACTGACTAAGACATTAGGACTCAGTTGAGGGATCTAAACTTGAGAAAATTCATAATAATTGAAGTCATAGATTCATCTACAGAGTACAGCATAGAGTAAGAAGAAGAGACCCTGGATTTGGCTTTGAGGAATACCAATGTTTAAAAATCCAATCCAATAAGAGCCTGTTGCTTAAAATAGGATGTCAAGAAAGAACAGCCAGAATGTGAGGAAAAATGAAAGCATGATGAGTTACAGAAGCCAGGGAAGATAAACCGAAAATGTGCATCAGATTTAATAACACAGTGCATACAGGTGACCTTACCAAGAATGGTTTCAAGGACCCAAAAAGAGTGAAAACAGATAATAAATTTAAACAACTTCAAATATTTTATAGAAATTTATGTCTTAGATAAGCTATGATTAGAGGCTACATAAAATCACAAGTCAAGTAAGTCATAAATGGGTTATTAAAACTGGAGCCAGAAGTTTGGCATGTCATTTAGCTCTTTTCCTTTCCAATTGCTCATATATTTAATTATCTCAAGCATGACCCTATGATGTACATTAGCTTTGTCCAATTTTTTTCTAAATTTGGGACTTTGGATAGAATGACTTGGGCAAAAATATGATTTGATTATTTGGCTATTTTTAGTTGGACAAAGTAATCAATTTTAAGAGCTTTGTTTATTCTCATTTTCTCCCTTTAAGCTCTTTTATTTCCTCACCATCTCAATAAACCTCCTTGTGTTTATGGTTAAGGGAATGAGTCACTCCCACAGAAGTGGGTGCTGAAAGATTTCACATTGTTTTTCTCTACACAGCACTAAAACAACCAACAAATTTCAGGCAGTTTATTGGAACAGTTGGTCAACACAGAGATAAAATTCATCAAACCAGTCATATGTAGACTCATGCAAGTCATTTGAATAAAAGAATAACCAGTCAGAATGGTTCAAGAAGATGGCACTGCTTCCTCTAAAAGGATAACACTCTAGGCCAGGCACGGTGGCTCATGCCTGTAGTCCCAGCACTTTGAGAGGCTGAGGCGGGCAGATCGTGAGGTCAGGAGATCGAGACCATCCTGGTTAACACAGTGAAACCCCGTCTCCACTAAAAATACAAAAATTAGCCAGGCGTGGTGGCGGGCGCCTGTGGTCCCAGCTACTTGGGAGGCTGAGGCAGGAGAATGGCGTGAACCTGGAAGGCGGAGCTTGCAGGGAGCCGAGATCGGGCCACTTCACTCCAGCCTGGGGGACAGAGCGAGACTCCGTCTCAAAAAAAAAAAAATTAAAAAAAAATAAAAAAAAAACGATAACACTCTAGTATTCAAAGAAAAGCAACAACTGAAGTTTCATAATATTCAGAGAATAACATAGGCCCAGTATTTGGAGATTAATCAGTCTAACAGATAGACTCTAATGTCTTCTTTTTCCAGTGAAATTAAAATATGCAGCTCTATGTGGGTGTTGAATTTATTTTGCTGAAGTTTCTGACAGAAATTATATTTATTTAATACTTTAGAATAATAATAATCACAGACCCAAGTCTTTATTTCATGTTTCTCAATGGAAGCACATCAACACTGTAGGAATGTCAGAAAGCAAAAAGAAAAAACATTTTCACAGGGAGGAAAGTCATTCAGTGCTAGTAACAATATTTTAATGAATAATGATAGACCAGCACCATTGCTTTGTCTACTGGGTTTTCACATAATGGTACTAACAACAGCAATAGTGAGCAAAGAAGGGTGACTGTGCTGCTGCAGAGGCTTGCCTGGAGATGAGTCCAGGAAAGGTAAAACCAACTCTGCAAGATGACAGGATTGACTTAGCACCAATTTGAGAATAAAAAGTGCAAGTAGCTAAGCTTTGAGCTCTCCATCAGAAGCACAGGTTTTGTCTGAACCACTAAAGAAATTGGTGATCTTTTACTGTGTCTGTATGCCATCAAAAAAGGAGTTTTAGAAATGTATATTATGAAATTGGATAGTAGTATGTGAAAGCAGAATGGAATCAAATGATAGGAGTCACTTGGAAATCAAGATGGCCAGAATGAGAGCCACTGGAGACCATTTGTTTTTCAGTACCCAGTAATTTGCTGAAGTAATGTTTTGAGGTATTTTCCAGCTCTCTCACATTGCCTTCCCTGAGAAAGAAAAGTCTTGGACAAGGTTTGGGTCTCTGTGCCTGTGCTGGGACCTTAGGATCATCCAACTGTTTCTGATTGGTCTAAGTCTAGAGTCTATTGGATGCTGAAAAACAATGGAATTCTCAAATTGAAGAGCTCAATTTAGAGGCACTGAGAAATCTTAGTCAGACGATGAGTACTTAAATTAAAGGAATACATGTATATTTCTATAGAAAAGAACATACAGAGGTAAGAGACTGGCACCTTGGTCATTTGCTACTGATGAGTCGGGAGAGAGATTCCTTCTGCAGAGAAAAGCAATGGGATGGACATACGGAGAGAAACAAAACTAAAGAACTTGTGGCCACAAACAGAGACAGACACAAAAGATCCCCAATGGCTTTTTTATTTCAGGTCCAATGTATTTCCATAAGATGCCATTTTAGTTTTCATTATATTCCTGTTAGTTTTTCTTGATTAGAACATTACCTTGTGACAAAAACAACACTAATAGCTACCATTTATTTACTTAATGTTTACCATATCCCTATGCATTTACATGAAATGTTTCATTTAACTCCCTCAACATCATTATTATTACCCATTTATAGGTGAGACAGCTGTGGCATTGGTCCAATTAGTAAGTGAATGAATGAAGATTCAATGCCAGTGGTCTGATTCTAAGGTTAACCCTCTTAATCACTAGCTGTGTGCTTCTGTGAATCTCAAGTTTCATTTTCATCTATAATGTGGGAATAATGATACCGACCATACAAGTTACACAGATTCAATGTGATAATATATGTAAAGGCATTTAGTAAATTTTGTAATTCTACATGTTAAGATCTTGTTTTGCTTCGGTTTATTCCAGGTTTAACAATTCATTTACTTTTACCATTCACCTGTTAAGCCATCTCTCCAAAAGTTTTACAGATATTTATTAAGCACGTATATGCAGTATATTGAAATGTGATGTAGACACATTTGAGGCACTTATCATAGGCATATATAATGGAGAAGATAACTATGTATGTCTTATTCATCACCAACATTACTATTCTTCCAGATTTAAGATGATGATGATGATAATGATGAATACACTCATTACCAATTCAGAGTTGTAACAATATGGGTTCCATTTATCACACACTATTAAAATTGTTGAAGTTTAAATTTCACGGTGATATGATAAATGTCTAGAAGTACTAGCTTTTGAAATGATGCCAAAATATTACCATTCCTGTAGTGCGTTGGAACTAATTAGTATATGTGAAACTACACAATTAAAAAGATATTCTTTGTTTTGATTTGCCTAAGTTTTAGCTTTAATTTTATAGCTGCTCTGCCAGAAAAAAACTGCACTGAAAGATATTTCTTTCCAATAAGTTTGTAGTTTATTTTCCTCAAAGCTGTTTTAAAAGCATAGAATCTGAGCAAAGAGAAATGGATTAGTGTGATGACTCTTTGAAAGTCCTGATATACCATTCTGGGGATGAGAGTGCTCATGACCCAGTATTTCATATCCATGGTCAGTACTGAATAAACACTAAAAATCATTTTTCCTTGGAAACTACCATTTCTAGGTCCCATGCTGCTCCTATCCCTTCTGACAACACATTCTTTTTATAGTTACAATTTTGTTGACTTAGTTATACCACATGTAGTTAGAGCATATCCTGGTGGTGTTTCCTCGCAACTATATTAAAAGCCTATATGCTAGTCTCCCTGATAGAATCTGGTTTGCAAAGGTCCTCCACCACACACTCACGGTTAACCTAAGTTACTATTATGACTCCATAGATATACTATTTAGAAATGTATAACCCAGGCAAAACTGTCCTCAGCTTTGACCCACCAATGAATATATCAGCTAGAATGTTTTTGGTTACAAGAAAAAGGAAAATTCAAACTATTTTAACAATAGAGAGAATTATTGCTTCGTGTAAGCTGTAGCCTAGTTTTCAGGCACAGTGTGTTTCAGACATTAACCATGTTTTTCTGCTATATCTTCATTTATGTGCTTATGTGCTTCTCTGTTAGCTGGCTTCATCCTTAGACTGGCTTCCTTTATGGTTAACAAAGGGCTACAGCAGATCCAGGTCTCACCTCTGCAAAACATACAGTTCAGAACAATTCCTTTATAACAAAAGTCTTGACCATTTGTTGTGAGGTTGAATTGTGTTGGCCTTGGATTCCTGAACATTCATGAGCCAATCATTGTGGTCCCAAAGGGGTTGAGACAATATTGATCAGGCTACTGTTATTCTGCTCACCCCTGGAAAAGGAAGTGAGAGTCAAGGCTACAAAAATTACAATGGTGGGTGCAGGTGTAATCATTGTTGGGAAGACAGCTACAGTCTAGTCTTTGGTTATACCACATTCATTTATGTCATGTTTCTGTACATATGCTTTCAAAAAATGTATTATATAAATTGCATGAACCCCCTCCAAAAACACAGACAAGTCAAATTCTCACCTAGTGAATCCATAACTAGACATAACAGTAATCCTAGACTCCGGGAGTCTAGTCATCTAGGATTACTTGGAGTCTGGGTTTACTGTGTAATCCTATACTACCTATTACTACATAATAGGATAATAGGCTCCTTCATCAGACCCAGCCAGTCTCCTCACCAGACCCTTCTTATAGACTGCTTCGAATACTCTCAGCCTCACTGGCCTCTTCTTTTCTGCTACCATCACCATACCATATGTAAGTGGGGTTCAACCAACTTCATGTAGGTGGTGCGTGGCACCACCTCACATCACCTCCTTCCTTGTGGCATCTCTGTTGATTCCAGGGTATCAGATACCATAGAACTTCACTTGGTGCCCATATACGCACAGCCCAGAGGTACAAAAGTATAGAACCCCAAAGGGTAAACTTTCAAGGTTGGGACACAAGAGCTAATAAAAAGCTCTTCCTTCTGTCTCCCTTCACCCTTCCACCTCACCTATGTACTATCCTAAGACACACTTTATCTGGCTCCACAGAGGATGGTCTTGTGAGATAAGCACTTAGCACTTAAGCACTTGGCAGCAGCCAACCCAATAATGTAACCTTATTATTGGCTCTCTCTTCTTACCTGATGCAATTCCCTTGCCTCTCAATCTGGCTTCTGTGGTTTGCACATCTTCATAAAGTACTAGCACACATGCTTTTGTCTCAGGTTCTCCCTTCTGGGAAACACAGGCCAAGATAACATGTAATAGATCCCCAACACATCCATTAACAAAAGTTAGTAGAGAACTGGATAAATGAAACAAAATTTTCATTTGGAAAACAGATCAGTGAGAAACACACAGAAATCACTAGTACATGGCACATATTATAATCTTCTGGCCATAAATAACAAGGACAACCTGCCCTGGCAATGGACCAAGGCATTCCTTGGTCGATTAATAACAAGGCCCCTGGTTCTATGCAATGAATGGATTTTCCTTGTCTGTTGTCTCCCATGGAGACAAATTTTGGAAAGGATGCAATTTCTGGAGCTGACCACTTGAGCAGCCCACTTCCTGTTGATGTGATTCCTGGATCCTTGGGATTATCTTAAGGTTTGAGAAATACAGGCTCTTTTTGGCCAGTCATAGGGGTATTTGGCAGTACAGCTCACTTAAAAATTTGGTAGGCTGCTGGTCTATTTGCTTTGGGTCTACGTGCTTGTGATCAATTCCATGGGCTAGTATCAAAGCCAACTCCCTTGTCGGTTCAGGGCTTCATGAATTTAGGCATTTTTGTCTTCCTTGGGTATATCTCTGTACTCAGCCTACCTCACAGCCCCTTGTTTAATGGTTTCAACCATATTCTTGGCCTGTGCCTTGAAGATACTTGAAAAAATACCTTTATTGACAGAGGTCCTAATAGTATTTAGGATACCCCTAAATACTATACCCCTATCTTTGTCTTCCCAGTGTGACTGTTTCCTTTGTTTGGCAAAAATACGCTTAGCAAGAGAAGCTTGGAAGAAGCCTGGTCTCATTCATTTCCTGCTTAATTCCCCAACTCCCTGCATCTATTGTTGCCAATCTTGGCTTGAGGTAGAGAATATGATATTTCTATCCCTACAAGATTCCATATTAGATTAGTGAACTCTCTAGCAACATGTATCTTTAACTTGCCTTTTTCTCTTACACTTCATACTTAATCCATAAGGCAGTCTGTCAGCTCTACCTTAAAAATATTTCCTACATTGGAAAACTTCTTGCCCTATCCATTGCCAGCCCATAGATGGTCCAATCGATCCACCACTATCTCTGCTGTAGATACCACTGTAGTCTCCTAACTTGGTCTTGCATTTCCTCTCTTATCCCCTCTCAAACGATCATGTGCCAATCATCAACTAGAGCCATCTTTCTAAGATTTCAATGAAATCATGTCATTCCTCTGCTTGAACCTCTCCAGTGGGCCCCATCATCATATAAACAAATTCTAATGTCCATAACTTCATTTAAATTCCCATGTGGTCTGGTGCATCTCCTCTGATCCTATACCCCCATGCTCACTGTGCTTCTGCCATCCGGAACATCTAGTTTGTTATTCTTTGAAATACCGGGCACACTCCAGCCTTGAGGAATTTATGCTTGCTGAAATCTCTGCCCAGAAAGTTTCCCTCAGATGTCCTAGTCATCCTATCTATAATAGCAGCACACATTTTCTATCCCCCTTTTCTGCTTTATTTATCTTTATTTATCTTTAACAACTTGTCACTACCTATTTTGGGTAATTTTTTTCTAGTAGCATATGTGTATGAATTAGAAAGCAAGATCCGTGGATGGGTATGTCCAATGATGAGGACACTGCTTGGCAAAGTAGACACTCAACACATACTTCTTCAGACATGCCACCTTAAGCCTAGACTTGTCTCTTTTTTACAGGATCTTTCTGCAGGTGGAGGAAATGACCTATCAAGTTGCCTAAAGCTACAGCTTCATCAAGTCTTAATAACAACACATAAAACCGCAACCTAGACACCTTTCTTGCTTGCACATAACAAAGATTGCCAACTTCCTACTCTGGAATAAAAGGGGCCCTCACTGCTCTCCTTCCTATCTCCTCTACTCAGCAAATTCCACATTGAAATGCCTGGTCTTGCATTTCATTGAAATGTGGTGAGTACCCGTTTCTGGCATCAATCAATTGATCAATCGATAGATAGATTGCCATCTGTTAGAATGTTTTGGGAGGCAACCAACAGAAAGTCTAAATCAAACTGGGTTAAATCATTAAGGAAATTTATTCATGGAAATTTTACTAGAAAAGAAGGAAGAAAATCTTCCAGACATATATAAGCTCTAGAAATAATTTGCTCCGAGCTTCTACTCCACTTCCTCCATCATATTCTGTAGTCTCTACACCCACCCCAGGTGTTACTTCTGTTTCAGGCTGGCTGCTCTTAAATTAGTAGTTACTGATTAGTTACAGCAATAAATTAGCTGCAGTAGTTCCAGGCTCCAAATATGCACATTATGCAATCTGGTATTTTTAATCCTACAGGAATTCTTAAAGAAAATATAATAAATTATTTACTCCTCTGCACATGACATGACATGATTTGGCTACCACTATTGCCGTAAGTTCCTTGTCTTCTGCCAGGCCAATTTGTTAGCTTGGTGTAAAATTTCAGACCTTTCAAGTTGTTTAAAATCTTTCCCCTCAAATCTGTTCTATTCCCAGTCTTCCTTATTTTGCTTAATCTTTTCAATTGCTCAGGTCAAAGACTTGATGTCATACTTTTTTGTCTCCTTGTCTCTTTTTCTCTGTCTCTCTGTCTCTCTCATCCCCCCACCACCACTTCATCATCTACTTGTTTGACCTCCAGCTATACAGCATCTGAGCACTTCCAAATACTTTTTTTAACTGCTACCACCCCACCTAAAACACAACTATTTCCCTTACAACATATTATTATAGTAGCGTCCCAGTTAGCATCCCAGCTTCTGCTCTTGTCCCACTATTATCTATTCTTAACAGAGCAGCTAGAGTGATGCTGTTAAAATATAAGTCAGATGATGTCACTCCTTTACTAGAAAACTTCTAATGTCTCCCTCCTCAGCACTTTTGCATCAGGTGCTCCCCCTGCCTGAAAAGCTCTTTCCACAGACAGCTTCATGGCTTGCTCTCTTTCTCTCTTTTAATGTGAGGACTTTTCTGACCACCCTATTTAAAATTTGAGTCTCCTCAACTCCAGCATTTCCTATCTCTTTCCCTTGCTTTACTTCTTGCCTTATTACTTTCTAACTTATCAAAGAATTTATTTTTTTCTGAATTCTCCAAATAGACAAAAAGATTGACAAGAGAAGGGGCTACACACACACACACACACACACACACACACACGCTTGCACATACATGACATACATGGATCATGGTATCCTAGTATCATGGACGTCAACAGAAGAAGGAATTTCAAGTAAGAATAAGTGATCAGCAGTGTCAAATATTTTGGAGAAAGTGAGTATGATAGGCTGATAAATTTCCAAAAGAAGGTGTTGGTGACCTTATAGTAAACAGCTTCTGTAAAGTGAATGAGGAAATAAAAGGAGGAAGGTGTCTGTAAGAAGGCAAGAGAGAATGAGATCCAGAACAAACTATGAGATACTTGTCTTTAAAAGAAGTTACTTCTCTTCCGTTACAATGGGGGAGAGAGAGAGAGAGAGAGAGAGAGAGAGAGAGAGAGAGAGAGAGAGATGATAGGAGTGGTCTATTAAGCCCCGAGATTGGTGGGTAGAGATTGACGGAGAGCCCATCATAGTTCACCCACCTTCCCTGGAAAGTAGGAAATTGGGAAGTCAGGTTATCTTTTGGAAAGGGGAGATAATAGGTAAATAAATTTGAGGAACATGTATATTTTAAATGGCCACTGTGGAGAATGAAAGAGGAATCTGAAGGAAAACATAAGGATGGTTGAATTATTCTCTGCAGGATTGCTTTGTTTTGTTTTCCTTTTGATAAAAAGGCTATTGTTGAAGATGAGTTAATCTTTAGTAATGGTGGCTCAGCCTTCCCTGTGCACATTGTGGGAAACAGGGTCTTGAGAACGGAATTATGAAACTAATTTCGTGAGCACCCATGGAGCCATTGGTATATGTGTAGATAGAGGTGTAGATGTGCATAGGTGTATGTGTGAAGTGTAGGTATTCTTTCATACATCTAACCTTGCACATCCCACACTTTCCTATGAACACCCTTAACTAGTCTTTGCTACGCCCAATATGTACTTTCATTCATCCATCATCAGACAAACATTTCAAGCTCTTACATAGAACTATCTGTCTTTACCATCTATCCGGGGAAAAGCTCCATTTTGACTGCCTACACAGCAGTTTGTGCAATTATCCAATATGTTACAGAATATTGGTCTTATGATTACGTTCATATACATGGAAATGGAAAACAGGTGGTGATAATTAAAAACATGACTGAGATAAATGGAAACTTTTAGGTGTTCTGAGACTGCAGGTCTCTACCTGTATATGCTCATTAGTAAATGCATGTAGTCAAATGCAAAAAAAAAAAAAAAAGATGAAAAGGAGCTTCTGAAAATGTGTCCCACTAGGAGTAAGGAAGGGCTAGTCATGCAGGCTTAGAGGATTTCAGATTCATGCTTATAGTCTGAATAAGAAATGAGAAAAGGGCAGCAGGTTTTTCTTTCTTCCTTAGAACACTTTGATTCTGATCCCTCACATTTTTGAAATTCTCCAAAACTTATCTGAGCTGCTTCCGCCATTGTCTGTTTCCTCTCCATGTACCAGACAAATCCTCCAGCTGCCTGACAAAGCCTTTGGGTTCTCAGTTCAATGGCAGACTGTTGCCCGTTAAAGGGGAAAACCCTGCGTCTTAAACTTGAGGATTTTCGCAGGAGCATTTGTCCACGTGCACTGAACCCAAAGAGCTCGATTTAGCTGCTGAGTTTACAGCCACTGCGGCTATCCTTTCCCCAACCTCAGCCCAAACCATGTATGAGGCCAACCACAATTAGTTGTTTCTTTATACTGGGAAGACTCAACTTGTAATTTAGACAGGAATGGCCATCTAAAAGGAATTATTCTATGCTACTTTTTGTGCCTATCCTGATTCTGCTGCAGTTTTCCTCTAAATTTACAGGTACTTAATATTTTGGAAGGTCAAGCAGGAAGAATTTATCTCTGGGAAAAGTCTGCATGCTTCCACTTCAGCTCTAAGTTGTTTGAACAAAATGACTAAAAATAAGGACAAAAAATTCCCATGGTTAGATTTCAGTAAAATTACCATTAATTTTACTCACACAATTTAATTTATGAAATGATAGAGTTTATTCCAAGTTATTTTATAAAGAGAAAGGATAGAAGTAATATTAGACCAGTTAAAAATGAAATAACTACCCACTGATGCAAAATGGTCTAGTTAATGTAGTGTAAGTGTTGTTCTTCCTTGGTAGACAAGGGAAAGAAATAAGATGAGAGCACTCATGAGCAGATAAATCCATCTTTTTTTACCTTCTAACTACTTTCCAACCTGGAACACCTTTAAGAGAGAAACAGAGTGCTACAAATAATTATGCTCAAACAGCCTGTATAAACAGGGATGATCCCGGGCACACTAAGACATATTGTTTCCCTACCTCTCTAGGTCTGGGCCCTCTGTATCCAAGACTTTGCTGCTGGTCCATGGTGGCATTCTTCC
Organism: Homo sapiens; assembly: GCF_000001405.40. Taxonomy (NCBI): domain Eukaryota; kingdom Metazoa; phylum Chordata; class Mammalia; order Primates; family Hominidae; genus Homo; species Homo sapiens. Next base: position 218,676,428 of record NC_000001.11, on the reverse strand, counting down.
CACCCTGTCTTCCATGGCAGAACCTCTTTCCTGGTGGCTAAACTAACTTGGACTACTGTTCAGCTTCCTAAAAGGAATAAATTTATCTACTTTGGCAATTGTAATGTTGGTCACCTTAATACATTTATCAACCCATGAAGATCTGGAGATATTAGCATGTTACTTTCAAATTTATTACTTTTATATTTTACACAAAATAGGGAGTTCAGTGCACAGACACAGTATGCAAACAAGTTTCCTGCATTCTTCCATGTCAGCTCTTCCAAACAGTATTGAGAAGTGTCTGATGAATGGATCTTTCTCCCCTATGTTCTAACTTATCAATAATTTTTAGAAAAAAAATGAAATTAGGCAGGTATTTAGAATCAAATGGTGCACAAAATACTTCACTTATTTTATTTATTTGATTGATTGACTCAATGGGCATTTAATAAGCACTTACTATGTGTCAAGTAAGTACTCTGCCAGAACTTTCAGTATTAAAATATATATAGTGTTATAAATATGGTCAGGTCAGGCATGTAAATCAGAAATTACAGTTCAGCATAAGTGCCATGAAATGGTATGCACAGAATGCATGGAGGGTCCTTGGAATTAATGGAAGATAGTAGGAGTGTAACACCTGGTGGGGCTGGTGGGGCTCTCAGGGACCCTAGAGTTGGTGATATTTAAACTGACCCTTAAAGGTACAGAGGCAGTTAATTAGCTTGAGGAAAGGGATCATTCCAAGGAATAGTGAAAGTGGGAGGCTAGGTAATACTGTTAGAATCTTAACAAGAGTGACTATGGAAAAAGTACTCCAGGGAAGTGGTGGAAAATTGGGGTGGAGACACAGATTTGAAAAAAAAAAAAGGAGAAAACACAAACTTCTGAGAAAACAAATCCAGAGAGCATGTTAGTACATCTTGGCTATGCTTCTATAATACCTGCAGATAAACAGGATGAGACAGGCTATGTAAGTAGTAGTCTTACCTCATTTTACAGATATAAAAGCTGAAAGTTAGAGGGGTAGGGTTTTCTAACTTTGTGAAGTAAAAATTATGCTCATCTTCAAGAGCTAAATTATGCTCTATAGGAAAACTGAAGGATAAAGAAGATAAGTTCATTTTGGTTTACGCAACCAAAAATAACTATTTTCTAAGTAGTCAGCCTCTGCAATTTTATAGATAGATAGATAGATAGATAGATAGATAGATAGATAGATAGATGATAGATATCTTTATATATAGATATATATCTTTATAGATAGACAGATGATAGATAGATATCTTTATATATATAGATATATATATCTTGATAGATAGATGATAGATATCTTTATATATATATCTTTATAGATAGACAGATGATAGATAGATGATAGATAGATAGATAGATAGATAGATAGATGATAGATGATAGATAGATGACAGATAGATGATAGATAGATAGATAGATAGATAGATAGATAGATAGATAGATAGATCGATCTTATTTGGGGAGCATATCATCTGTCTTGACTTTCTCCAGCCTCATAAAACCTGAATAACTGACAAACCTCTACTTCATTTTACAACATCTAGATGCAGAATAAATACACATACCACTCCAATTTAAAATGTTTTACCTCCCAAATGCAAATATTTTCAGTATCTCCTGTAAAAATATGACCTTGAGTTTTTAATTGTTGACTTGAAGACTTAGGATATTTCATATCGGCAGCAATTGAAAGAATGCTATTCATGTTAACCACAAGAGGCTTAAGAGAGTGAGCTAACTGCTGCATCCGCATTCTTGGAGCCGTCTGATAACAAAAGAGGCTGTTCCGCTGCTTGATGGCAGCAGGGGTCTGAGGGCTCTGGCTCTGGCTCTCTCACCGAGACTGTCAGGCAGAGAGGTGGGTCATGGGGCAGGGCTGGAGCTTCTGGACTCATCCATGACTTCTGACTTTGAGAACGAGGAACTCAGCGCCCACAGAGAATGAGATCAGCTGCTTTTAAGGACACTCTGGTTGTCAGGCTCAATGAACACCCACATTAGACATCGCTGGACAGGCAAGGAAAAGGACATGTGGTTCCTATGTTGTCTCCGAAATACTGACTCCACAGGGACACTTGTAGACATATTTTCCCAAAGGCCTTCCAAGGGAAAGAAGGCTGCTTGTTTTCCACAAGTTCGGTTAGTTTCAGGACACTATAACTTCCAAATAAAGTTACCTTCCCTCTGAATTCGAATTTGTTCTAAGGCACTGGGTTTCATATGTTCTTCAGACATTAAAAGTGTCTCCTCTAAGAGCACAACACATTTTTGTTCAGACAATTAAAGAAAAATACTTTAAGGGATTATTTTATTGTCTTTAAAGACCTCCAGGCTTTCAGAAATTGTATCTTTGAAGAAAATCTGTGTGTCCTGAGTTCCATACTATTCATGTACTCATGAGTATCCATGAGTCTTCAAATTTTGAGATACAGAATTCTTGTTGTGGCTGCAAAATGAAAGAAAAGCATAGCCTATCTTTTTTTTTTCTTTTTTTGCTCTATACTACATCAAAAAGCTTAGTTTATAGAGCCCCCAATATTTTATTGAACACCATTTTAATTAAAGTGGTCAAAGCAATTTGTATCATGAGGACACAGCAAAAATTGAGATGACCATGAATCATGTCACTTATCTATGACATTACCTTTAACCATAGATTTAAATCTATCTTTGGAGGTTTATCTTCAAAAATCTAACATAGAAAACATATACCCATAACCTCACTGACTGAACACTCGCTAATGTTATAACCAAGTTTAATAATTTTATGAAGATAAAGTCTATCTTTGTGAAAGTGTCATGAAATTTACCCATCATTAATATTAGACTGTCATTAATGCAAAATGAAAAGTTTTCATTTTAGGCCAATTTCACAGAAAAGGAAAGAAATTAAACCTCCTATTTTCTGTCTGAATTTGTATGTCCAGAATCCCTGCTCTGTTTTTGGTTATATTAATTTTATTGACTCTGACTAGCACCTAGGATGATTCACACCTACCTTTTGCTCCAGCAGCCTTTTGACCACCTTTGTACTGAAGATCAGTCCTTGGAAAGTAGCCTGCCTACCAAACCACTGGTAGTTATGGAAACCTGACTTATACGCACACTTTGGGGCTTACTTGCTCTAGATCTCAACCCACTTGGCCTGAGATACCAGCAGATTGACAGTTGCAGTTCGCCTGTCTCAAGGCTAATATTATTAACATATAGATGGAATTATTAATCCCATCTGTATTACAAATAGCATTTAGTTGATTCATATTTGAACCTCTGACTAATGACATAGATGAATTACATATCTCACCGTTACGATAAAATTTTTAACTTACTTCTTATCAATAAAGTGATGTCTCTTAATGATTATGTTAAGGATGAAATTAAACTATATATTTTTTACACATGAGGTTAGAGTTAGGGTGAGGGTTAAAGGATCTATTTAATAACAGGAAACTTTACGGCATATTAGATGCAAGATACACAAATTATAAAAGATAGATATCTCATCTGAACTTAAATACTTAATGCAAGTACCCTGTATTTTTAATTAATTTCCTTTTAATCATTTGCCTATATTGTCTCAAATATATTGTCAGCTGCTAGAAGACAGACTGTACCCTGCGCTTCTTGTTCTTTGCCTTGCACTTAACCAAGTATCTGCTCAGAGTGTGCACTCAGTACCTTGTATATGATATGCTTTATATTTACAGTTTCTGATTATAACAAAAATCAGCTGGGAAAGCAGGTATTGTGATATTTTTAGACACTCAGTGGGAGAGGTCGAGTGATTGCCTGGAGTCACATAATGTGTGGGTGATGAAGCCGGGATTCAAAAAGGTCTGTGTGTATCTCAAGGACTGACAGACCCCATGTGCCCCACTGGGTGCTCTTACCCCCAATAAGTTGAATCACCAATTAGAATGAGGCTGGAATACTGATAAATTTTTTTAAATACTTCCAATTTTAAATATTAAATTTTCTTTGATTATGGATTCCTCAAGACTATGGATACAGTTTAATCCTTGTGCATCTGGCTTATGAATAGAATGAACTAAAATCTTAAAAAGTCATTAATACCATTTCTATCAGTTAATCAGCATAGCAGAGATTATATTAAAATTTCTTAAACAGCTATGTTAAAATGTTAAAAAGAAATCAGAAAGCACTTGCTATGTATATTATTAGCACCTCTTATAAACACTATGTATAAACATGTTAAGGGAGATAGATTGGAAAGCAATTATAATTTACTCAGTTTGAGAATCTTGCTCTACACACTAATGCAAAGATCAAATCCATTTTCTTAATGTTGGATTTGGAGTTAACAACTGCAGTAGCATATGGACATTCACATGTGTAGATTAAGAACTATATCACTATACACCAGCACTTTTATTCTTTTCAAAACAGACAAGCTTCTGTTTCTTTTGTTCTTAAAGCTTTGACACTCATTCTATCTTGAATTTCCATCTGCACAAACAGAGTTTTTCTGTTTAGCCACGGTTAGGGATTCCTAGTGCCAAGTCCAAAACTCTACAGCGGGTTTGTCTAAACAACAGCTGTGCACGATGCCATCTTTCAGCAATAGTTTGTTCGCCATAAACTTATAATTATCTGCAGGTTATCAGATGTCCTCTTGGAGCAGGGCTGCCCTGGAAGCGTATGCACTAGCTAATTGCTTCTGAATTCTCTGCTCACTGTTTCCTTTACCCATCTGGAGGATCTTGTGGGAGTACACAAACAAAGCCCCTGGCTTCCCAGCAAGACCGTCAACACACCCTCTAGTCAGAGGTCACAAACTGGCCACCCTAGTGTGAATCTGGCTCCCAGATGGTTTTTGTTTAGTGGGCACAGCATTACAATTTTCTTGGCCCTCACTGAATACAATTGGTTCTATCCCCTAGATACTCAGGAAAATCAACTGGAAGCTTTTCATAAATATTTATGACTGATCTGGAATAGGATCTGGGCATCTGACTATTTTTCAATGTTTCCAGGAGATATTATTTTTTAACCATTTCACCTTTTATTTTAGATTCAGAGGGTACACATGTAAGTCTGTGATATGGTTATATTGCTTGATGCGGAGTTTGAGATACAAATGATCCCATCACACAGGTAGTGAGCATAGTACCCAACAGCTAGTTTTTCTATGCTCACTCTCCTCCCATCCCTTTTAGTAGTCCCCAGTGTTTATTGTTCTCATCTTCATGTCCATGAGTGCCAAATATTAAACTCCCACTTATAAGTTAGAAGATGCAATATTTGGTTTCCTGTTCCTGAGTTAATTTGCTTAGGATGATGGCCTCTAACTGAATTTGTGTTGCTGGAAAGGACATGATTTCATTCTTTTTTATGGCTGTATAGTATTCCATGGTGTACATGTACCACATGTTTTTTATCCAGTCCCATTGATGGACACATAGGTTGATTTCATGTCTTTGCTATGGTGAATAGTGCTACAATGAATGTACAAGTGCGTATATTTTTTTCATAGAATGACTTATTTTCTTTGGATATACACCCAGTAAAGAAATTGCTGGATCAAATTGTAGTTCTGTTTTTAGTTCTTAGAGAAATCTCCAAACTGCTTTCCACAGTGGATGAACTAATTTACATTACCGCCAATAGTATGTAAGCATTCTCTTTTTTTCTTCAGGAGATTTTAACGCCAGTCATGATTGAGAACCATTGCAGTCTACATTTAGAAAAGAACATCATCAACAACAAGGGTTTCTGATATAAACAACAAGATAAAGCTGAAAATATCTGAGGATGAAGACAGGTGCAGAAGCCACCCTGGCCCAGACTAATGATGGCTGAATAATTCCACATGGGGCATCTGGAAGAATCAAGAGAGACAGGGCATTGTTTAGAACCAGACACTCAGAGGCAATGTCTTAAAGGTGAGAACAAACAACAGAGCTAGACTTTCTCTGAGTCTGACTGACAGTGTCAAGGAATATATGGCCAGTTCTCTACAATGGAGACAGCACCAGGAGAGAAAGATCTCAGAACCAAGTGAGATGGAGTAGGACATTTACTGAAGAATAGAAAACCAGAATTAGGGAAGCAGAGATAAGACAAGGACCCAGTGGTGAGAAAAAAAGGCCAAAAAGGTAAGGAATCGGGCTGATGGAAGAAGTGGCTCGGCCAGGCGCGGTGGCTCACACCTGTAATCCCAGCACTTTGGGAGGCCGAGGCGGGTGGATCACGAGGTCAGAAGATCAAGACCATCCTGGCTAACACGGTGAAACCCTGTCTCTACTAAAGATACAAAAAATTAGCCGGGCATGATGGCACACACCTGTAGTCCCTGCTACTCAGGAGGCTGACGCAGGAGAATGGCGTGAACCCGGGAGGCGGAGCTTGCAGTGAGCCGAGATCGCGCCACTGCATTCCACCCTGGACAACAAAGCGAGCTCCGTCTCAAAAAAAAAAACATAAAACAAAAAGCAAAAAAAAACAAGTGGCTCAGGACTGAGGTGTAAATGATGAGGGTTTGATCATGCTGTGTATGTATTCTAGGAGTGGTTGTTGCCACTTAAAAAGGGATATAATTTGTGCAAAACATCTACAATCAGAATCAAGGCAACAAATCTGTTGCAATGGTTTAATATAAGCAGCAAAAAAGATGAACAGAACATCTGTTTCTATCAGAGACCTTTGTCTTCTGAATAGCTGCTCTTGAGACTGGTGTACTAGGTATCAGTAGTGGCAATTAATGAAGGCAACATGGAATAAGCAACAAGTTTTCCAGTAAATGGACAATGTAGCATCAGAAGTTAGATGCTGAGTCAGAAGGATGAAGTCACTCCATTGGAATCGCCATACCCAAGTCTAGACCTGAGCAATATCATGAAATCCTTCTGATGAAGAAAAGGGACCTGATTTGTTGGTTATTATTCCTATTGTTATATGGTCATGTTAGTTATCTATTGCAGCATAACAAGTCACCCCCAAAGTGTTGTACTTTAAATTAAAAATACGTATATTATGTCACAGAATCTTTGAGGAGCAGGGATCCAGGAGTGGCTTAGCTAGTGCTTCTGGCTTGGGTTATCTCATATGGTTGCACTCAAAGGTCTTGGCAAAGGCTGAAGTCATCCAAAGGCTTGAGTGGGATAAAGGATCTGCTCCTCAGCTTATTGCTGGCAGAGGCCTCAGTGCCCACCACGAGGGTCTCTCCATAGGGTTGCTCACAACATGGCAGCTGGCTTCCCCTAGGGAGAGAGACAGAGAGAGAAAGAAAAAGCATAACTAAGACAGATCTTTTATAACCTAACCTCTAAAGTAACCTACCATCATCCTTGCCGTATTATGTTGGTCACAGGCCAACACTGGTACAATGAGGGAGGAGTGATATAAATACCAGGGTATAAGTAACAGGAGGTAGGACTCCATCTCAGAGACTGGCTACCACATTGGTTATTGCTGTTATCTTTATTTATAATTTCTTTGGTGTCTCAAAAACATCCACATTGTAGAAATGAAGATACTAGGATTCTGAAAGACTTTTTTTGTTTGTTTGTTTTTGTTTTTTGGTTTTTGGTTTTTTTTTTGAGACGGAGTCTCGCTTTGTTGCCCAGGCTGCAGTGCAGTGGCGCGATCTCGGCTCACTGCAAGCTCTGCCTCCCAGGTTCACGCCATTCTCCTGCCTCAGCCTCCTGAGTAGCTGGGACTACAGGCGCCTGCCACCATGCCGGCTATTTTTTTGTATTTTTAGTAGAGACGGGGTTTCACCATGTTAGCCAGGATGGTCTCGATCTCCTGACCTCGTGATCCGCCCGTCTCAGCCTCCCAAAGTGCTGGGATTACAGGCGTGAGCCACCGCACCCGGCCTGAAAGACTTTGAACAAGGTCATGTTGCTGGTAAGTTGTTCTTAGTTGCTGGGGTTTTCTTGGTCACAGTGGCTTTGAACTCAATGACCAATCATAAATCTTCTTTTATTACTCAGTGGAAGTTCTACAAAACTGCAGTAGAATAAGAAAGACATGGACTGGAAGGTTTTCTCAATCTGCTTGAGCCTGGCCAGCATATCTGGCTTAAGCCCATTTACTTATAAGGAAATTTCCTTGGGCAATAAGGAAGCAGCTGGATTAAATCTTTTGTCCATGCCATAAATCAAAACTATTCTGTTGTCTCTACTGATTCTCAGAATAAGGCCTCCGGGTTTAAAACCTCACTCAGTCTTCTATCTGAATGAAATTTACAAATATGATTTAATGCTGTTTAAGCTCTAAGGAAGCTAAATTATGCATGTATAGGTCATTCGAATTATAAAGACATAATTATAGGATGACAAAATTTAGGAGCAGAAATGTATTTAGAAAATTGATGAGAGGTGGAAAGAGGAAAATGGCAAGAAAAGGAAATGTAAAATATAAGAAAAGGCATGTGTGAGGGGAATAATGATGCAACCAATTGCTTCAAGTGACACATGTTATAGACCACCTGCCATAAACACCCCCTGCACTTTGGAGTGAAGCCTCAGGCTGCTCCTGCCAGTCTTCTGTATTTGATCCTTATTTTATGAACACGTTCTTTACAAATAACCTCTTTGATTCTTTTTTTTTTGATTAAATGAGACATAGCATAAATTTTTTTAAATGCCCTCAGCCATTTTAATCCCTTCTCATGGGAATTTGTGTGCATCCTGCCTCTAGATATTTTATGCAAATATAAGAAATTTTGTATTTCTTGTTTTGATATTCTGTATCAGACAGTAATTTTTCCTTCTTTTTCTACAAATGATAATGTATTGTACATATAATTCTACGTGTTTTCTTTTTTTTTTTTGAGACGGAGTCTCGCTCTTTCGCCCAGGCCTGACTGCAGTGGCGCTATCTCGGCTCACTGCAAGCTCCGTTTCCTGGGTTCATACCATTCTCCTGCCTCAGCCTCCTGAATAGCTGGGACTACAGGCGCCCGCCACTGCGCCCAGCTAATTTTTTGTATTTTTGGTAGACACGGGGTTTCACCATGTTAGCCAGGATGGTCTCGATCTCCTGACCTCATAATCCGCCCGTGATAACTTTTCTAATCAATATTTCTTGGAGATCTTTATGTGAGTTCAAGACAAAAACCTTCCTTGTTCTTTTAAAACAGGTGAATAGTATTCCATTTGGGTCATTTAAAATCTTTTGCTATATAACCACTGACTCAAGGTATGACCTTATACACATGCCATTTTATAGACAAGGGTGAGTAGAAGCATAGGGTAAGTTCTTAGAAGCAGAATTGTGGGTCAAGTGGTATGTGCATTTATAATCTTGGTAGATTTTGCCAGATTGTCTTCTTAGAGTGGGCACTAGTTTCTGTGTCCACCAGCACTGTATGAAAGTGTCTATCCATTCACAATCTTGCCAGCACAGCATGTTCTCAAACATTTGAGTCATTTCCATGCTGATAAGTAAAAATGGTATCTCAATTTCTATATAGTGTTTACTTATATATATTACCATTTTTTTTACTGAGTTGCTGATCTTATTCTTGCTGATTTGTTGGAACATTTAACATATAACAAAATTAGGTAGGGCACAGTGGCTCACGCCTGTAATCTCAGCACTTTGGGAGGCCAAGGCAAGTGGATCATTTGGGATCAGGAGTTCGAGGCCAGCCTGGCCAACATGGTGAAACCCCATATCTACTAAAAATACAAAAATTAGCCTGGAGTGGTGGCGTGCACCTGTAATCCCAGCTACTCGGGAGGCTGAGGCACGAGAATTGCTTGAACTCAGGAGGTGGAGGTTGCAGTGAGCTGAGATCACACCACTGCACTCCAGCCTGGGTAAAAGAGCAAGACTCTGTCTCAAAAAATAATAATAAATAAATAAATAATAAATAAATAAATAAATAAATAATTAGCCCTTTGCCTGTAACATGAGTTTTAGTCATTTTCCCCTCATTCATATGTCTTCTGACTAATGACTTCTGAGGTTTGCAGCTGCCTTAGTCAGCTCTGGTTGCTATAACAAAATATCATAAACTAGGTGACTTATAAAGAACAGATATTTATTTCTCATAGTTCTGGAGGCTGGGAAGTCCAAGATCAATGCTTCAGCAGATTCAGTGTCTGGTAAGGATCTGCTTCTTGGTTCATTGATGGTCATCATCTCCCTGGGTCCTCTCATGGCAATAGAGGCAAGGGAGCTTTCTAGGTTATCTTTTTTAAGGGCACTAATCTCATTCATTAGGACTTTGCCCTCATGACCTAATCACCTCCTGAAGGCCCCACCTCCAAATACAATCACACTGGGGATTAAGTTTCAACATATGAACAGGGTGGGAGGCCATTCCCCTACAGCATGGTGTGCTACTTCTATATATAGCAATAGCGCACCATTTATTAGCCATTTGCCAATTGCCTTTCTTGCAACTATATAGAATCAAAAAAGATAAATCCTCAAATCAAACGTACAAAAAGCAAACTCTTGCTCAAACTACAAGGTGCTCTCCAAAAAAAAGTGATGGAAATGTTTTAAAACCCAAAAACTATTTTAAATAATTAATAGTCACTTGTCTTGTTTTGTCTGTTGGAGATCCATGAGTGCAGATGCCTTCTTTAATCCATTTTTGGCTGATCACTTGCCAACAAGGAAGAAAATAAGAAAGTAAGGAAAGCAAGAAAGCAAGAAAAGTAAGAAGAAAGGAAGGAAGGAAGGAGGGAAGGAAGGAAGGAAAGCAGGAAGGAAGGAAGGGAGGGAGGGAGGGAGGGAAAGAAGAAAAGAAAGAAAGGAAAGAAGGAAAGAGAGAGAAAGAGAAAGAAAAAGAAAGAAAGAAAGAAAGAAAGGAAGGAAGAAAGAAAGAGAAAAGCAAGCAATCATACCTTCCACTCTGAAGGTGTGGTGTGAACAAATGAATCAGTCAGATTTGGGGGTAAGAGAGTGCCAGGATTTATGGCCAAGGCTCTCCTCACCTAGGCAACAGTTGGTAGGCAGCATTTGTGGCAGTGGCTAAAAGCTGTTCCAGGGCTTGGCTGGGACGGTATCTGCTGAATAACTAGGCCAGTCCTAGAGCCAAGATCCACAGCTCAGCTGCTGTTGCTGCTGCTGAAGAAGGCTCAGAGATCGTTTCTGCTGAGTCAAATCTCTCTTTGGGGATTTAGAAAACAAATGAGGCTCACAAAAGTAGAAATTCTTCTGGGCAATTTTTTGGGAAACAATGCGGTTGATCTTTTCGCTATTTTGTTTTTATATAATTCAGTTAAAGGTAGAGACCCCATCTTCATGATAAACACAAAACTAACTCACCCTGGAAGCAACTTCCCTAGTTTTAGGCAAAAACAGTGGGATTAGAGAAATGAAAAATTGAGAGAAAAAAATAGTAAGGAAGAACAAATACATATAGACATATATTTCAAAATGAAAGACAGATGCACACAATTTTCTATGCCAGCTAGTCTGTGTGTATAAATAGGAGAAGCTCAAGGTAAACTACCAGAAAATGACTCATCTGGGCAAGAATAAGGGAAGAGATCAAGTGTTCCTGAATTATTAGTAACTTGAAATTACACCCGTATTCAGAGAAGCTTCAAAGCAGCATTCTCCAAGCCTTGACCTCTGGTGAATGCATGAACCAGCGATGACTTTAGGTAATAGAGCCAGGATATTCCAGGGAATGTTTAATATGTCCAGCCCACATACATTTCTTCATTTTTTTTAAGATGTAGAAAATACCTTCACTATTTCAAGTGCCTTAACTTTATGAAATATGTATATTTGAAATAAGAACTATATATATTTGAAAAAGAAATTCTCACTACCTGAACAAATATTCATTGAGTACCTACTATGTGTGAGGCACCATGCCAGGCTGTTGGCACGAATGCAAATGGTGTTAGTAATGGCTAGTCTCTTTCAGATATTCCTATTCTAAAAAGCCACATGTAAGGCACAAACATGGAGAAAGAGGAAGAGGAGGAGGTGGAGGAGGAAGAAGGGCAGAAGGAGAAGGAAGGGAAACAAGAGGGGATATTGAAAGTTCTGTTACTTACCACCCAGAGATGATACTACATTTTAGCTAACACAATTCAAACTTCACTGCCCTTGAGGCCAGAGCCAAAGTCAAGGCATAGTATAGAGACACCATCAGAGACACTGGATCAAACTTGCTCATAGGTGTATAAGTAGCATTTGTCTACAATACATCCCATTTAAGAAAAGTTCATTATTGTCTTTTCCTAGTCTTTAACTTTTATTAATACTATGAATAGAAAGCCATGATGACTTCCCAATCTAAAAAAATTGATGTTTATGTTAATATATGTGTCTGTCTAAGGGTTGCTTTTTTCTGAATATGTGACTGGTGGCCAGACATTTTGTACTAAGCATTAGCTGGCACCTCAGGGTTTCTGCTTACTTGAATTAAATGTTACCTTGGGCCTTTGTTGCCCCATGGCTTCTGTTTTCATGTAGTTTCTGATGCCTCATCTCTTCTATTTATTGCCTTTGACCTATGATTCTCTTGGTTTCTCCATGACTCTACCATCTGCTGACTTCTGCTCCTACCAAACTTCTCAAGAAGGATTGGCTCAGCCATTTACTTTATAGTATAGAAGAGATATTTCATGGAATATGGGGGCCACTGGCCAAAATATTTATTGCTGCCTTTGTATCAGGTGCATTCTTGGACCAATCATCTAATTACCTGTGATCAAGACAGTAAACTCATGGGGCAATAAGAGTATCAGCAGATGTGGAAGGAGCCCAGTGGCCGTTTCTCAAAACAGAGCTATGAGCATGACAGATTTCGCAGATCACAGGTTCCTTCTTGGTATTTTTGCTAAGAAACAGCTTACTTTACTATTTAATCAAGTGCCTGTCTGGGCTCTAACTTTAATTATAGACCTTTCAAGGTAATGTCAGTTACTTGGAATAAAGTGTTATTTTGACCAAATTGTAGAATTATAGCATTAAAAAGGGACTACAAAGTTCAGTTCTTTCATTTTTATAAATAAGTCATTGGACACTTTGAAGGACTAAGTGAACTTATCTAGTCCACATCTGGGAGTAAAACCATAATCTGTAGATTCCCTTGACAATGCCCTTTCTTGTGCACACTCTCCATTGTCCATGCTCTCCAGCTAACTTATCAGTTACAATAAAGGGCAGTGCATTTAATATCATGAGGACATGCTGCCATCGCAGACATTTTACAAAACAATTTCATCTCCAGTACCCATCCATACTTGAATGGATAAGTAAAATGTGGTATTACAATGGATATTTTCCATTAATAAAAAAAGAATGGAGTGATGATACATGCAGCAACATAGATGAGCCTCAAAATCAAGACACTAATCGAAAGAAGCCAGACATTTAAGAAACTATATAGTGTATGATTCCAGTTCTGTGAACTGGAAAATGCAAATCTATAGAGACAGAAGGTAGTTGAGTGGTTGCCTGGGACTGGTGGTGGGAAGAAGTGACTGCAATGAGCACCAGGGATTTCATGAGGATGATGGAAAAGTTATAAAATTGGATTGTAGTGATGCTTGCCCAACTTTGTATATGTATTAAATATCACTGAATTGGTCATTTACAAGAGAATTGTGTAGTATGTAAATTATGCCTCAATAAAGCTGCTAAAATAACAAAAAATAAAAGTAGCTTTATATATATTTTACACTAAGCTTTCCTAATTTTTTTTCTAGTTTTAATCAATCAGTCAATTACAACACAACAATTTTAGTACCAATAAAAGTTGGATCTAAACAGAGCAACATGCCAACACGAGCAAAATAATTTCTCATTGCCAAGAATAGAATAATATGTGGCTGAGAACTTTTTGGTTTGCCATGAACCATAAACATAGACTTCAAATGACAGAGGTCTGGACTCATTTATTTTTCTGATTATGAAACTGCCTTATTTAGTTGTGGTGAATTGAGTGGCCTATTGATCCTGGGGACATCAGAAAAAAATTCATCAAAAGCAAATTATGACAGATACATTCAGAGTAGGGGAAGGGAACAAATAGTAGAATAACCCTGAAAACACTTACTACATACATGTGGGAAATAACATACACTACAAATTGTTATTAGCTGATGAATGTGACTACACGTAAATGTAGATCTCGATACTGAAACCAGTTTGTTTGCAATTTGACAGAAGAAGATTATACTTCCCTAAAAGAAAAGTGAATTTTAGATATTTAAAAGATGGGTGGTTAAAACAAAATATTTTACTGATTAACAGGGAAATTCGTAAATTTCCTGAATTTACTGGGAAAGTTTTAATTTTAAATTCAATAATAATTAGCCATTTTATCTTTTTTAGTGAATATTATTTTTGTAAACCTTGAATCTGGCATTCTTCAAACCTGGCATTGGGCATCACCTGGATTTGAAAAAGCAGCAGCTAGTCTGTAGACAGGCCAGTTTCTACACTTACCACAACCTACTTAAAGCTTGTCAATCGGTGAAAATATCAACCTCTTACGAAGATGAATTTAGTTCGGAAAATTCTCTTTTAGTCATAGCAATGGTATTAAATCATCTAAACTGTTTCTAATTTATATTTAATCTCTAGGTTTTAAGGCATTCATTTACCATCAGAAGGGTTTAACTAATTCCTCTGTCTGTCCTTTACCCGTTACATGGCTTCATGACCTCTTCAGAAGCACATTGGCTTCACAAGTCCAGAGCCTATCAGAACCACCAACAATGCTGGGTTCCAAATGCAGTAGACACTAGAAACTGTTCCTAGAATAAATGAGGCATGGAGAAAAATGTAATAGGTTTGTTTCTTTGAATGTCCGCTGTGATAGCTTTTCAGACCAAACAATAGACCCTAAAGCTTTTATTCTAAACCAGGGTCTCTCAAACTCTGCACTATCTGCATTTTAATCCAGATTATTCTTTGTTGTCGGGGACTGCCTTCTATATAATAGAATGTTTTGCAACATCCGTGGCCTGTATTCACTAGGTGTCAGATACATCCACTGCCCTGAAGGGATGACAGCAAAAAATGTTTCTAGCTGTTGGCAAATGTCTGCTGGGGGAGCAAAATTTATCCCTATTTGAGACCCACTGGTCTCAAAGGTTTGGATGATAGTAGTGTTTAGAAATCAGGAGAGAATATTTTTAATCATACTGAGAGCATTTTTACCTATGGAATTATGTAATCTTTCTACAGCTACTTGGTTCAATTGATTAGAAATGAGAATAAGGTTAAGGCATTCTCCTTAAAATAACCTCAGCACTCTGTTAAATACATCTGATGCATTATTGCATTTAATCCTTGCAACAACTTTATGTAACCAACTTGCAAGATGAAGGGGAGATTTGAAAATAAAAAGTCTACCAAAGATCCAATGGCAATCCCCAAATTTAACACCAATTCTTCTTAACTAAAGTAGATACTCTTGATCACTTCATTACCCTTTTAAAAGCCCATTAGATAGACTCTGTTGCAGTTATAGACTACTCCCAATTCTAGATGCAATTCCTGGTCATAAGGGACCCTGATTAAGAGTATGGATGACTCAGCGTCAATGCATTCCCATTACAGGAAAAACATCTCAAGGGCTGTGATTTAGTGAAGGTGAGTCATTAGAGTCATAAAAAAAGAACAAAATCTGTATTTTACAGTGACACAAAATGAATCTCTACAATTATTCCATCTCAGATGACACTCTAGTTTATGGACCCTATCAGAAGGGTAACATTGGAAGAGAATTGTAGGATAACAGTGGGACTTTCTCCAAGAAAATGTGAAATAGAATCAAAAGGAAAGGGAGTGCTGTCACCTTCACATTTGACACTCATAGGCTGTGCTAAGGAAAGCATTTCTGGCATATTTTTAACCTTATTAAGGAAAGTGGACCCTGCTGGGTCACATGGACAAGTTTCCAATCCAATAAGAGTCAGAAATGCAAAAGAAAAATACCCTGGGAAAGTTTTCTCCTGCTTATATGTAGCAGAGACTATAGTGCATTCCCCTGTCCAGCCTATAATTAAGATGAAAGGCATGTGCCCCTCCAATTTGCCATCCAGTGGCATGGTTAACATTCCATCCTGGCTGCAGTGGCCTGATTTGTCTAATGCAACACATTTTTTCAGGAAAGAAAGAAAATAAAGTAAAACACACATTTTACTCTTAAGTGTTTCATAGGATGAGCTATTTCAGTTTCAACTATTTTTAACTCTGTTAAAAGAAAACATTTTTGAATTGAACGTTTCTTACAAGAACACAAATTTAAGGCTGCCTGTCTTAAAGTCTAGCTGTCTTGTTTGCTTAAGATGCTGCCTATTTTGTTGCTGCCATTGCCTGTGACGGGTCAGGCTAAAAAGGTTTGGACAGTGTGGTATGTGCTCAGAAGGCCAGATATTTTCCTCAGCCTCTTGGGGTATCAAAACTTGGCCAAAAAACCTTTGAGAAGAAGGCTGTTTGTGAAAACTCTAATACTTTTGAATTCCACCCAGACTGAAAATGGCATGAGAACAGTCTTTTTTCATAGAAAAGCCTCTCTTCCTACCTCTCCTTAAGCCCTTATAGCCCAAGCAGTCAAAAAATAATAAAGCATATCTGGACTGTGATCTTGATCTTAATCTACATAAACACATATAGAATTTTTTCAAAAATTTATATAAATTCTACACAACTATATATATGCACTCACAATTTACATATTTCTGGAATTTATACAGATACATATATTCATACAGCTATAAATGTCTGAATTCTGCTTTTGATCTTCTGGAAGGATTATCAGTGAATTGTCACTTATAATGTAACATTTTTTAATAGATTTCATTTCACTTACAGACTGATATTATTTGAAATATAATTATACCATAATTCCTCATGGTGATATGGAGTCAAAGCACACACTCATAGACCATTTTTTGTCTATAGAAATCACTTTTTGGAAGGTTCAGAAACTTATGGGTCTGACAAAATTAAGTCATTTCCATGGTAGCCACATTTTATCACCCCAAGGAGAATTCACATCAATGAATAGGTGAATCATTTCAAATCTTCCCAGCTGAAAAATTCAGACCAAAGTTTTAAAGTTTGGACTCTCATAGAAGGTGTGGAATAAATAGATGAATCTGCCTCATGCATGTTAATATCTTTCTTACTAATTGCAGGCCCAGTAAGACATCTTGCAGATGTATCCAATCCTGCACCTAAACTTAATGCCTACGGCCTTTTTACCAAGCAAACCCCTATTTTTTTTTGTTCAGGTCAATATACAAAAGGCAACGAGTTTCCTAGCACCACCCAGTCAGCTAGTCATTCGGCTACATTTTAGCCTCTCTTTAAAAGTTCTCTCCTGCCAGCTCACCCCACTCAGCTCACCCCTGAATGAGTCATGAGGCTTTTGATCACTCACGTCGTCTAAGGTTCTGCAAAGCCTGTGGTTCTGTGGTCCTGCTCAAAGACCACCAAACAGAATTACTCTGCCATGAGTTGCTACGAGTTCCCAGACCCAATTCTTCCAAAGATGTATTCAGTGGCTGTTCATTAATCAGTGTTCTTACTGCTCAATCCTACCTCTTTATAATTCTGACCGGTGAAATATAAAACAGGAAGAGAGAAAGGATTTATTTCACATCAAGATATGTTTTATAAATGCAACATATTATTCCCAAAATGACTACAGTCCTGATACAGGTGGGGTCAGCTTTTAAAAGTTAATTGTGTGAGAAATAACAGAGCGTAAAAGAAAATATGAGAAAGTTATCCATTCCTTTTAGAGATCAGTACACTAGAACAGTTATTTGTCAAGGCAGTTATTAAGCGTGAGCTATTGCTGAGGAAAGGAAAGAAGTTATACCTTGCCTAATGGTTAACATTAGTCAGGGTTAGTACTGGGACAGTAGAGGGGCTCAGACTAATGCAATAAACAATAAGCAACAAGGAAACTTGTTCTGAAATCCAGTAAATCCCTTCTGTACATGGTATGCACTACTGCTCCTACTGGCTCTACCACAAACTACTGGAAGAGAATTCTTTTTTATTTAGGTGTATCGCTTCTAAAGTATGCAAAGTTGTTAACTTACAAGAGGCAATTGATGTTCTCACTGGCTCATGTAGATAAGATTCAAACTCAGAAAGATTTCTATTAAGATGAATGGTGTCTATGCTGGTTTAATTCCAGCATAGCAAACTGCTTTTATGCAACTGGACTGGGATGGTCTGTCTTAGAATTCTTACCCCCAACCTCCTTGGAGCGTACAGCCAACCAACCACAGTAAAAGTACAATTGCAATAGGAATGAGAAGAAAGATGATCAACGATCAAAGAGAGGACCTCCTAATGCTTCAGAGAACAGACCTTCCTCTAAGTATTCCATCAGTGGCCAAACCCTCCTCTTGGCAGGAATGTTAGAGAGGACACCAGAACAATTGATGGTGCTTGTATGAGATAAACTTTAAGATTTCTTTCAACCTTGCAATGTTATGAAATGGCCTTATTCCAAATGACTGTTCCACTTTAGGAGAAAATTATGGTCTCTGAATTAATTCAAAAGAAATTTCCAAAAGTGTGCCAGGCTCAGCTGGATGTTATTAAAAAAAATAAAGAGAGGAATCTGCCTTGAAATGTCATTTGACCAACTCATCATTATCATCATCATCATTACATTATTGTTACCACCACAACTATAAAAGTGAAGGGTCTCAGAATTTTCCTCACTTTTCCATCTGTTTCTCTGAAATTCATTTTGCTATAATCTACCTGCTTAATATTAGAATTTATTTTCACTGTTGAAATAAAAATTAACCAGGCTGAAGAAGTTGATAGCATTTAGAGATGTTGAGTTTTGGAGCAGGAAATCCAGAACAAACAAACAGCAAAAAATCCAAACAAAGATAATTAAAAGCTGATTTTCCTCAGTAGAAAATGCCATTGACTTTTATTCTGATGCTGGAAACACACAAGGCAAATTTTTCCACACTGTATACCACTGTACTTGCAATATTGTCTGAAGAAAAGAGACACTGGAGAGTTGGCAGAACAAAGAAATGAAAATACAAATAGGAACCACCTCTGGAATGTGACTATCGTGAAAATTAGAGGACATTCATTGCTGTATATTGTTTATACTTGTTGCTGTTTATTGTCTCACTGGAATACAAGGATGACAACCCAGTTATCACAGTTTTGTGCCTAGCAGTGTGTACAACTCTTAGCACAGAGCAAGTGTATTGCAGGTAAGATGTGCTTGTCAAGGAGCAAAGAGACATTGGTGTTTGTCCTCAGAATGGCTGAATATATTTTGAAACAGGCAAGACTTTTGATGAAACTAGAGATTTTTTTAAAAGGGGGGATAAATGAGGTTACCAAAAGAAGTATAAAAAAGCAAGAAGTTCAAGCAACCAAAGGAGTTCTAAGAGCAAGATGAATTTAAAATAGGTCATTCCAACCTGGGACAAGACCCATCAGAGATGGCAGTTAGTAATTTGGGGGAGGGGAGAGACATGGGGGTGGAGTTGGCGTGGAGGATGAAATTTACCCAGGGCATGCCAAGATGAGGTTGCTACCAGATATCTGTCCACAGAAGCTCAGTGCCAGGAAAGAGAATGCCTGTCAGAGTCTGGGAACCAGGAGAAAGGCACAGAGCCTGGAAAGTAGGTCATACCATGACTCAGGCTGGAGGGGCTGAGTGGAAGATCAGCTATGGAATGAGCAAAGGTGGAGGACCAGAGAGTCAGGAAGGAAACATGGTGTTGGTGGACCTGCATGAGCAAAATCGGGACCTCACTCTCCACCTGCCACCAGTGCTCAGTGCTGCTGTTTCTCTACCAGCCAGAGTCTGAGCAGACCCTCAGTTGAATGCATTTTGTATGATTTCACCAAATAGACATATGACCACAATTATCTGAAATGTTTCATATGCTGTGTTCATTATTCATTGAACAAATAGACATTGAGTTCCCACTATGTGCTCAGAACTGTGCTGGGTGCTGAGACCACAGAAAGGAGAAAATCCTGGCTTTGATCCACCTAGTAATGCCTGTACACGTAAATCAGTCTGTAAACAGCAAGCTGTGGAGAAAACTGTCTTGTAAATATTTTTAAAGGTTGCTTTTATTAATTGCTCAAGAACTAGTCAAATAATTTAGGAGATGAGTTCAGCAGTGAATTTAGCAGCTTAGAAGTAGCAGAACTCAATAAAATGCAAAACATCACATGATCTATAGAAACCAGGGGGTGAAAAGCCGTAGGAGCAAAATCATTCCTCCATTATTTGGGAGGGAAAAAAGAGAATGAAAGAAACCCGACCTTAGCCGGTGGAAGCTGGAAAGTGACATCTTCTTTACTGAGTCATTTAAATAAGGGATAGATGAAGCTAGAAGCTGTTCAGGTTTTGTAATTATTCATCCATAATGACAGACTTTAGTCAAGTGAAAAATTGTTAAGAGCATCATTTAGAGCTAAGCAGAGGATTAAGTACCATCATTATTGGTTCATCTATGATTTTGAAGGCAGGACAAGGTAGTGGTCAGGAACACAGACTTGGGAGAGAGGCTGCCTGGATGTACACCCTCATTTCATCTGTTCACTAGTTTTAGAACCTGGGCAAGTGCCTTTAATTCTTTATAACTTTCTCATCCATTAAAGGTAAATGGTAATAGACTCCACCTCTCATAACTGTTGGAAGGATTAAATAGATTAATGTATGTAAAGTGCTTAGGATACTCTTTGTCATGTGTTTAATACTTCAAAGTGTAGCTATTACTGTGTATTGGGTACCCTATGAGCTGGGAACATAACTAAGTACCCTGGGAGCATAACTATGAACAAGGAAGTCACAGTCTTTGTCAAGAAGCTCACATTCTAGTGCAGACAGACAAACAAATAGATAAACAGTTACACCCTATAATAATTGACAGGAAGTATGAGCAGGGATAAAGGAGAGCAGAAGAGGCTATATAATTCTCTAGGGAAGTCAGGGAAGGTCTCTGAGGGGGTTATGTGTGCCTTGAAACTGAAGGATGCGAAGACAACACTGAGAACAGGGGAAAGTGGAGTGTTTGGTTTAAAGGAATGAGCTTGGTGGGTTCTGAGAGTTGATGGAAGGTTGAGAGTGACTGGTGTACATGAGTGAAGGGAAGACAGGGCTGTGCTGCCAAGATCCTCCCAGAGCTGGGAGACACATTTGGAACCTTTGAAGTTTGATGTGTCATAATGAAGGGTGCAGTAGGTTTCTAATCCAACACCACAGTTTTCAGTCCTGCATCCAATCACTCAGGAAGTCTGACTGCCACCACCTGAACTCAGGGCTACCCCTTGCCTAGAAACCTTCTGGAATATTTCCCTTGACCCACATGCTTGTTCCCTTCCAAGGAGACAAGTCTACACACAACAGCAAGAAGGACTTTTAAAAACGCAAATCACTCCTATTTAAAACCCTCCAGTGGCTTCCCATCTCACTAATAGTAAAAAAACAAAAAAATGCGAACTCCTTCCCATGGTATTTAAGGCACCACAGGATCTGGTCGTTGCTTACCTCTCCTAAATCTTCCCTCACACTCTTCCTCTCACTTACTAAAGCTCAGCCACATTCCGTTGCCTGCAAAGTGAAAGCTCATGTCAAGTCTATTATACTTTGCTGTACCTGCTGCCTGAAATATAATTCTCCTAGATATTGTGCACGGCTTGCACTTTCTCATTAATGTCCATTGTTAAGTGTAATCGCCTAACCACTGAGCCCCAAGTGACCTCCCACCCCTACCGCCCAGTCACTCTCTACACTGTACATTGATATTTTTCCTTCATTGAACTTACAACTAACTGAGACAATCTTGTTTAACTAATTATCTTTTATCAGACAACCCCTATTAGAATGTAAGCTCCAAGAGAGATAGTGCTTTATATGTCATATTGACTGCTATATCTCCATTGTATTAAAGAGCACATGGCATAGCAGCATATTTAATGCATATGCTAAATGTCAGATGAAGGATGCTGGTCCAGCCTAGTTCTAGTTGCATGACTTCAACAAGTCATTTAACATCTTAGAAACTTGCTTTCTTCCATGGAAAACAGGAAAAACTGTCACTTTTCTCTCCAGCACATTGTATCAAATGTTAGGCCGATTCACTAAGATTATATAGGCTAAAGTGATTTCTAAACTACAAAGCACTATATAACTATTTGAAAACTGCAAACTATGCTCAGAAAACACTGTTACTTAATGTTAGAGTATAAATGTTGCATTATAAATTGGGAAACATGACGGATATTAGGATGAATAGAATTAAGATTAATAGGAAAGCAGAGAATTTCTATTCTTTTGGCCTGTATTTTAATAAGAACAGTACCTGCAACTGGTTTGTTTTCCTGCAGCTGGTGGGTTAGCTCTGCTTTGTTTGAATCACGACACTCTGAGTTGACTTCCTTAACTCTTCATCTTTTGCTCATATTGGTTGGAGAACCCAGGAAGGTCAGTAAGTTGGGGTGACATATGGGGAGGGACAAGAGCAGTTCTATCATTCATAATAAGCCATGAGAGTTTATAGAGAGAAAATATACAACTTCCATTATTTTTACCTTCTAACAATGCGAGTGCTCCCATCTCCCACTGTCTTCAACATTGGAACTTAAGCCACAATCCCCAGAAAACAAGGGATTCAGTTTCACTTACTGAGTGCTTTCTATGAGCCAGACACCATAATAAATAATTTATATGTTATATTATTTAGTTTTCACCTTCTGGGAGGTAGGTAGTATTGCTCAAGGTCATGCCATTTATAAGCTGTAGAGTCATTTTATATAAAAGAATTTATTTTTATTGAAATTGTGAGATATATGGGT
Source organism: Homo sapiens (assembly GCF_000001405.40). Classification (NCBI taxonomy): domain Eukaryota; kingdom Metazoa; phylum Chordata; class Mammalia; order Primates; family Hominidae; genus Homo; species Homo sapiens. The sequence continues at coordinate 218,653,640 of NC_000001.11, read as the reverse complement.
AAATTTCAATAACATGAAACAGATTGCATTATAGCATTGAAGATTCCTATGCAAACATCCCTAAAGCAAATATGTCTAGATAACCTCAAACCACCCATTTAAGTCTAGTGCTATGAAAATAACCCAAATCATCATCTAACTATTGTTAGATGATCCACTGAGCAAGACCACCTCGCTCCCTGGCTTCAGCCCCCTTTCCAGGGGAGTGACTGGTTCTGTCTTGCTGGCATTCCAGGTGCCACTGGAGTACGAAAACAAACTCCTGCAGTTAGCTCAGTGTCTGCCCAAACAGCCACCCAGTATTGTGTGTGTGTTAGTATTGTGCAGTGGATCTCCCAGCACAGCACTCGAGCTCTGCTAAGGAACAGACTGCTTCCTCAAGTGGGTCCCTGACACCCGTGCCTCCTGATGGGGAGACACCTCCCAGCAGGGAGTCAACAGACACCTTATTCAGGAGAGCTCTGGCTGGCATCTGGCAGGTGCCCCTCTGGGATGAAGCTTCCAGAGGAAGGAGCAGGCAACAATCTGCTGTTCTGCAGATTCCACTGGTAATACCCAGGCAAACAGGGTCTAGAGTGGACCCCTCAGCAAACTCCAGCAGACCTGCAGAAGAGGGACTTGACCGTTATAAGGAAAACTAACAAACAGAAAGCAATAGCATCAACATCAACAAAAAAGACAACCATGCAAAAACCCCATCCAAAGGTCACCAACAGCGAAAACCAAAGGTAGATAAATCCACGAAGATGATGAAAAACCAGCGCAAAAAGGCTGAAAATTTCAAAAACCAGAATACTTCTTCTTCTCCAAAGGATCACAACTCCTCACCAGCAAGGGAACAAAACTGGAGGGAGAATGAGTTTGACAAATTGACAGAAGTAGGCTTCAAAAGGTGGGTAATAACAAACTCCTCTGAGTTTCTATGTTCTAACCCAATGCAAGGAAGCTAAGAACATTGATAAAAGGTTAGAGGAATTGCTAACTAGAATAACCAGTTTAGAGAACAACATAAATGACCTGATAGAGCTGAAAAACACAGCATGAGGATTTTGTGAAACATACACAAGTATCAATAGACGAATCCATCAACTGAAAGAAAGGATATCAGAGATTGAAGATCAACTTAATGAAATAAAGCATGAAGACAAGATTAGAGAAAAAAAGAACGAAAAGGAATAAACAAAGCCTCCAAGAAATATGAGACTATGAGAAAAGACCAAACCTACGTTTGATTGGAGTACCAGAAGGAGATGAGGAGAATGGAAACAAGCTGGAAAACATACTTCAGGATATTATCCAGGAGAACTTCCCCAACCTAGCAAGGCAGGCCAACATGCAAATTCAGAAAATACAGAGAACACCACAAAGATACTCCTCAAGAATAGCAACCCCAAGACACATAATCATTAGATTCACCAAGGTTGAAATAAAGGAAAAAATGTTAAGGGCAGCCAGGGAGTAATGTCAGGTTACCCACAAAGGGAAGCCTATCAGACTAACAGCAGATCTCTCTGCAGAAACCTTACAAGCCACAAGCGAGTGGGGGTCAATATTCAACATTCTTAAATAAAAGAATATCAACACAGAATTTCATATCTAGCCAAACTAAGCTTCATAAGTGAAGGAGAAATAAAATCCTTTACAGACAATCAAATGCTGAGGGATTTTGTCACCACCAGGCCTGCCTTACAAGAGCTCCTGAAGGAAGCAGTAAATATGGAAAGGAAAAACCAGTACCAGCCACTGCAAAAACAAACCAAAACATAAAGACCATTGACACTATGAAGAAACTGCATCAACTAATGGGCAAAATAACTAGCTAGCATCATAATGACAGATTCAAATTCACACATAACAATATTAACCTTAAATGTAAGTGGGCTAAATGCCCCAGTTAAAAGGCACAGACTGGCAAATTGGATAAAGAGTCAAGACCCATCAGTGTGCTGTATTCAGGAGACCCATCTCACGTGCAAAGACATACATAGGTTCAAAATAAAGGGATTAAGGAAGATTTACCAATCAAATGGAAAGCAAAAAAAAGCAGGTCTGATCAAACAGACTTTAAACCAACAAAGATCAAAAAACACAAAGAAGGGCATTACACGATGGTAAAGGGATCAATGCAACAAGAAGAGCTAACTATCCTAAATATATATGCACCCAATACAGAATCATCCAGATTCATAAAGTTCTTAGAGACCTACAAACAGACTTAGACTACCACACAATAATAGTGGGAGATTTTAATACCCCCATGGTCAACATTAGACAGATCAACGAGACAGGAAATTAACAAGGATACTCAGGGTGTGAACTCAGCTCTGGACCAAGTGGACCTAATAGACATCTACAGAACTCTCTACCCCAAATTAACAGAATACACATTCTTTTTTTTTTTGAGACAGAGTCTTGCTCTGTCACCCAGACTGGAGTGCAGTGGCTCAATCTCCGCTCACTGAAAGCTCTGCCCCCTGGGTTCATGCCATTCTCCTGCCTCAGCCTCCCAAGTAGCTGGGACTACAGGTGCCCGCCACCACACCCGGCTAATTTTGTTTTGCATTTTTAGTAGAGACGGGGTTTCACTGTGTTAGCCAGGATGGTCTCAATCTCCTGACCTCGTGATCCGCCTGCCTCGACCTCCCAAAGTCCTGGGATTACAGTTATGATCTAGTGCACCCAGCCAAAAGAATATACATTCTTCTCAACACCACATAGCATTTATTCTAAAATCTATCACATAATTGGAAGTAAAACACTCCTCAGCAAATACAAAAGAACAACAATCATAACAAACAGTCTCTCAGATCACAGTGCAAACAAATTAGAACTGAGGATTAAGAAACTCACTCAAAACCACACAACCACATGGAAACAGAACAACCTGCTCCTGGATGACTACTGGGTAAAAAACAAAATTAAGGCAGAAATAAATAAGTTATTTGAAACCAATGAGAACAAAGACACAATGTACCAGAATCTCTGGGACACTGCTAGAGCAGTGTTTGGAGGGAAATGTATAATACTAAATGCCCACAGGACAAAGCAGGAAAGATCTAATATCGACACACTAACATCACAATTAAAAGAACTAGAGACACAAGAGCAAACAAATTCAAAAGCTAGCAGAACACAAGACATAACTAAGATTAGAGCAGAACTGAAGGAGATAGAGACATGAAAAAAACCTGCAAAAAATAAATGAATCCAGGAGCTGGTTTTTTGAAAAGATTAACAAAATAGATACACCACTAGCCAGACTAATAAAGAAGGAAGGAGAGAAGAATCAAATAGACACAATTAAAAAATGATAAAAGGGAGATCACCACTGATCCCACATAAATACAAACTACCCTCAGAGAATACTATAAACACCTCTACGTGAATAAACTAGAAAGTCTAAAAGAAATAGATAAATTTCTGGACACATAACCCTCCCAAGACTAAACCAGGAATAAGTCGAATCCCTGAATAGACCAATAACAAGTTCTGAAATTGAGGCTGTAATTAATAGCCTACCAACCAAAAAAAGCCCAGGACCAGACAGATTCACAGCCGAATTCTACCAGAGGTACAAAGAGGAGCTGGTACCATTCCTTCTGAAACTATTCCAAACAAGAGAAAAAGAGGGACTCCTCCCTAAATCATTTTATGAGGCCAGCATCATCAAGATACCAAAACCGGGCAGAGAAACAACAAAAAAAGAAAATTTCAGGCCAATATCCCTGATGAACATTGATGCAAAAATCCTCAATAAAATACTGGCAAACCAAATCCAACAGCACATCAAAAGCTTATCCACCACGATGAAGTCAGCTTCATTCCTGGGATGCAAGGCTGGTTGAACATATGCAGATCAATAAACGTCATCCATTACATAAACAGAACCAATAACAAAAACCACATGATTATCTCAATAGATGCAGAAAAGGCCTTTGATAAAATTCAACACCCTTTCATACTAAAAAACACTCAATAAACTAGGTATTGATGGAACATATCTCTAAATAACAGCTATTTATAACAAACCAACAGCCAATATCATACTGAATGGGCAAAAGCTGGAAGCATTCCCTTTGAAAACTGGCACAAGACAAGGATGACCTCTCTCACCACTCCTATTCAACATAGTTTTGGAAGTTATGGCCAGGGCAATCAGGCAAGAGAAAGAAATAAAGATATTCAAATAGGAAGAGAGGAAGTCAAATTATCTCTGTTTGCAGATGACATGATTGTATATTTAGAAAACCCCATCATCTCAGCCCAAAAACTCCTTAAGCTGATAAGCAACTTCAGCAGTCTCAGGATACAAAATCAATGTGCAAAAATCACAAGCATTCCTATACACCAATAATAGACAGCCAAATCATGAGCAAACTCCCATTCACAATTGCTACAAAGAGAATAAAATATCTAGGAATACAACTTACAAGGAATGTGAAGGCCTTCTTTCAAAGAGAACTACAAACTACTGCTCAAGGAAATAAGAGAGGATACAAACAAATGGAAAAACATTCCATGGTCATGGATACGAAGAATTAATATTGTGAAAATAGCTATACTGCCCAAAGTAATTTATAGATTCAATGCTATTCCCATCAAGCTATCATTGACTTCCTTCACAGAATTAGAAAAAAAACTACTTTAAATTGCATATGGAACCAAAAAAGAGCCCATATAGCCAAGACAATCATAATCAAAAAGAACAAAGCTGGAGGCATCACGCTACCTGATTTCAAACTATACTACAAGGCTACAGTAACCAATATAGCATGGTACTGGTACCAAAACAGATATATAGACCAAGGGAACAGAACAGAGGCCTCCAAAATAACACCACACATCTACAACCATCTGATCTTTGACAAACCTAACAAAAACAAGCAATGGGGAAAGGATTCCCTATTTAATAAATGATGTTGGGAAAACTGGCTAGCCATATGCAGAAAACTGAAACTGGACCCCTTCCTTACACCTTATACAAAAATCAACTCAAGATGGATTAAAGATTTAAATGTAAGACCTAAAACCATAAAAACCATAGAAGAAAACCTAGGCAATACCATTCAGACCATAGGCATGGGCAATGAATTCATGACAAAAATGCAAAAAATAATTGCAACAAAAGTCAAAAATGACAAATGGGATCTAAGTAAACTAAAGAGCTTCTGCACAGCAAAGGAAACTATCATCAGAGTGAACAGGCAACCTACAGAATGGGAGAAAATTTTTGCAATCTCTCCATCTGACAAAGGAATCTACAAGGAGCTTAAACAAATTTACAAGAAAGAAGCAAACAACCCCATCAAAAAGTGGGCAAAGGATATGAACAGACACTTCTCAAAAGAAGACATTTATGCAGCCAACAAACATATGAAAAAAAGCTCATCATCACTGGTCATTAGAGAAATGCAAATCAAAACCACAATGAGATACCATCTCATGCCAGTTAGAATGGCGATCATTAAAAAGTCAGGAAACAAGAGATGCTGGAGAGGATGTGGAGAAATAGGAATGATTTTACACTGTTGGAGGGAGGGTAAATTAGTTCAACCATTGTGGAACACAGTGTGGCGATTCCTCAAGGATCTAGAACTAGAAATACCATTTGACCCAGCAATCTCATTACTGGGTATATACACAAAGGATTATAAATCATTCTACTGTAAAGACACATGCACATGTATATTTATTGCAGCACTATTCACAATAGCAAAGACTTGGAACCAACCCAAATGTCCATCAGTGTTAGACTGGATAAAGAAAATGTGGCACATATACACCATGGAATACTATGCAACCATAAAAAAGAATGAGTTTTATCTTTTGCAGGGACATGGATGAAGCTGGAAACCATCATTCTCAGCAAGCTACCACAGGAACAGAAAACCAAACACTGCATGTTCTCACTCATAAGTGGGAGTTGAACAGTGAGAACATATGGGCACAGGGAGGGAAACATCACACACTGGGGCCTGTCAGGGGGTGGGGGGCTAGGGGAGGAATAGCATTAGGAGAAATACCTAATGTAGATGACAGGTTGATGGGTGCAGCAAACCACCATGGCACATGTACACCTGTGTAACAAACCTGCACATTCTGCACATGTATCCAGAACTTAAAGTATAATAATAATAAAAAAAATCTTTTCATCTTTGATGCTCTGCAGTTTCATCACAATGTCCCTATTTGTGAATTTCTTTCTACTTATATTGTTTGCTATACACTGGGGTTATTTTGTCTGAAAATTCATGCTTTAATCAAGTCAGGAAAATTTTGTCATTGTTTCTCCTCTGTTCTCCCCTTCTGAGACAAATTAAATCTGTTAGACGTTCTCATTCTAGTTTTCATATCTTGAATGTTTCTTATGCTTTCATCTGTGCATCTCCATAATTCTGAATAATTTTTTTCACAACTATTCTCCAATTTACTTATGTTTCTATTCTGCTGGCCTAATTTGCTACTTAACCCATCCATGAAGTTTTCAACTATGTCAATATTTTTCATTTCTTAAAAATTATATTTGGTGATGTTTCAGACTTTTCTGATAATCTTTTTACAATCTTTTATTTCATGTTTATTTTGTAAATTCAAATTTTACTTCTTTAAGCAATATGTACAAAATTATTTTTGATTCTGCCTCTGGAATCTTCAGGTCTGAATCTATTGTTTATTGTTTCTGGTAATTCGCACTTACAGTGGCTTATTTCCTCATGTGTTTAGTGGTGCTGAACTGTGAGCTCATATTTATTTGGTCTTATTATATGGTAATCAGGAGCACTTAATGATGGAATGATTTCTTTTTGAGACTACTTTTTCTCTTCATAACTATTTGCTTGTGTTGGGAATCAGTGGATATTATTGACCTGAGGCCACGTTAACTTCCTTTTAGAATCCTATTAATTTCTAATGTTCTTTGTTTCAACTCTCCGACCATGCTACTGGTCCAAAGTTCAATATTCTGACATCGACATTTGCTCTCAGAATAAGCTCACTTTGCATTTGCTGTTTGTTTATTAAGTTACTTTCGGTGGGTATTGGGAGAAAATTATCCCTGAGTCTCTCACATTTCTACACACCTTCTGAATACAGGCATTGGCAGTTTTTGTTCTGAACTATTTTCTCTAGGATGTTTGCATAGCAAACAGTCCTGGAAGCTAAACATAATAACTCCCTTTAGGGAAGTTAGAAGATTTATCCAGGGTCAGGCAGGGTGGCTTACGCCTGTAATCCCAGCACTTTGAAAGGCCAAGGAGGGCAGATCGCTTGAGGCCAGGAGTTTGAGACCAGCCAGAGCAACATGGCAAAACCCCACCTCTACTAAAAGTACAAAAATTAGCCAGGTGTGGTGGCATGTGCCTATAATCCCAGCTTTTTAAGAGGCTGAGGCATGAGAATCACATGAACCCAGGAAGCAGAGGTTGCAGTGAGCTGAGATCATGCTACTGCACTCCAGTCTGGATGACAGAGTGACATGGATAGGAAGAATCAATATTGTGAAAATGGCCATACTGCCCAAAGTAATTATAGATTCAGTGCTATTCCCATCAAGCTATCACTGACTTCCTTCACTCTGTCTCAAAAAAATAAATAAATAAATAATAAGAAGACTTATCCAGAATAAAAACCATAATTTCTCCCGCTAGGGCAAAAGTTGAACAAGTTTGATAGCAGCTGTTTTAAAAGATTGGGCTTTTCCAATCTGGGCATTCCTCAGATGTGACATAAACCCACTGTGAGCACAGATTTCCCCTGGACTGCTCTATACCCCATAGGGCTAGGGGACAAAGAAGAATTTACAACAACATGAAGCTTATGATGTCTGCTGTGCTGTGAGTAATAATATGCATCATCTCTGACCCAGGTGTCTCAAGTCTTCTATTAGCATCCCTGAAACTATGGCACAGGACTTGTTAACTTGAAACGGTAAAATCTGAGATTCTTTACAGTTCTTCACAGTTGAAAGGACACTTGAAGTTCTTCTTATTTTCTAACAATTTATCAAAAGGTATGATTAGTTATTTTATAGCAGAAGGTCCTGTCTGAGTATCTATTTCAGCATCCTGACAGAGGTAAATAAAATACTAAAACCATATAAAATGATAACATTGCCATAACATATCAAACTTAATAAAATAACTAATTATGAGCCATTTACTCATTTCAGCTATCGTGTTACAGTGGAGTAGCATCATACTTACACTTAACTTATGAGATTCAACTATATGTGCTTGGTCAAAGAGAAAAGCCAATCTAGATAGTGCAAGTGATTTTGCTAACTGTTCCAAGCTTAACAAGTCTAGCCCCCAGAGTAAGCCTGAGACATTTGAAAGCACAGTTCCCTCAGTTGTTCTCATTCCCAAAGGCCAATCCTTTTCTATAAGTGGGGTTTTTGTGGTTCAAGAGACAAAGTTTTCACAAAGCAATAGGCCTTCACCTGACAATTGAACATGGAGGCCCATCAACCTGAATTAACAAACAGTTATGTAAAAATTTCTCTCCTCTGAACCTTGACAATTATACCTTACTATTAACGGAAGTTAAAAACTAAATATGGGTAAGGCTTTGTTTTCATATGACTGAAGTTGGCAAAACAACAAAGATGATGGAATTTAATTATTATTATGCATGTAGAGGTGTCCTGTTTATGGGCTGGTGATGCCTGGATGAGTAATAAAGACATACACAATTTATAAATTATTATGTATATATCTCATAAATATTTATTTTCCTTCTTTTGTTTTAGCAAAATCACTACATTGTTATAAACAGGATTTTCACAATTTGTTTTAATATAATATTGTTCTAGCACAAAGCAAAATATAAATACAAAGTATATAAAAATGTAAATAAAAAAGCATTATTTATATATGTTTTGTTATTTTGCTAAAATATTAATAAAAGCATTATAATTAAGACGCAAGATATAAATTATAATTCATGTTTACCTAAAATGTAAATTAGAATATTTAAATTAAGGTAAAATGGTTTAAAATTTTAATTCTTTTTAGTTTTCTCTAATAAAAAGACTGCTCACAATTCTAGTATCCAATGTTCATCTAGCTGCCTATGTAAAGAATTGATACTACATTTGACAGACATTATATCTAGACTTGCATCTTACAAACTTAAGAGTAAAATGTCTTATAGTGTGAGTATGTCTCTCAACTACTGTGTCCAACTGTAAATACCACAATAATTCTTAAAAATCTTCAGAACCATGAATTGAGACACCAAGAAAAGAAAGAATATGGACGTCGGGGGGGATAGGGACAGGAGACAGACAAATTCCTAGGCAGACAAGAACAGATCCTAGTGAAACCTGACCTTCAAACCAAGGACAGTCTGAAGCCTGAAAACTGAGTTGCCAGTTCCAGATAGAGTCTACGACCAGAGAACTTCCATTCTTATCTTAACCACTCTTTCTCATGTGGTTCTTTCTGAATGATGCCTTTTAACCAATTGAATGGTGCTTTTTCCAAGACCACCCATGGACTAATCAGCACACAGGCCCCATTCTAAGCCCACAAAAACCCCACACTCAGCCTCACAGACAGCTGCCTGCTTTCTAGTCCCTTCTTGTTGCTGAGAGTTTTCTTTCTGTATTCAATAAAATTCTACACTGCCTTACTCACTCTCTAGTGTCCACATACCTTATTCCTCTTGGTCGCAGGACAAGAACCCAGAACTCACCAAACTGCAGTAGCAAAAGAGCTGTAATACTCCTGCTTGCTGAGCTGCAGACAATGGGAGTAAAAGCTATAACATTCCCTCCCACTCATGAAACAACAGGAGAAAAGCTGCCTCAGGGTGCCACTTACCCTGGCTCACTGAACTACGGGAGTAAAAAAGCCACAACAGGGGTACTACTGGAAAACAATACTTTATTATTTTTATAATAAAATTTATTATATTAGATTAATTATAAATATAAATGTATTATATTTATTATGCAAGATTCCCTTGCATTCATATTATCTGAGAGTAAGGATTTGACAAACTGATCAATTCAAACTTTCCATAATTGCCTTGGGCATTACTACCCCCCAGCTCCCAATACACACACACACACACACACACACACTGAAGCAATGGTCTTTTCCATGTCAGCAGCAGCACCCTCGAGCGTTCACTGCATTTGCACACAGTGGACTTTTGTTTCAAAGATACAAGGTGGGAGAGGTGGAGAAGCAAGTCCTTGGGCCCAGAAGGGTAAACATCGCAAGGGAAGGTATTTACGGGTGTGGGCTTCATGGGCTTGGAATGTAATCACACAGGGCACCTACTAAGAAGGACCCTTAGCTTGGGCTTTAATGTTCTGTGGTTGCCATTTTGAAAATGTTCTAAATAACAATTTTATCTTTGAGTCTGTGTTTTCTTTTTTTTTTTTCTTTTTTTTTTTTTTTTTTGAGCTGGAGTCTTGCTCTGTCGCCCAGGCTGGAGTGCAGTGGCGCAATCTCCGCTCACTGCAAGCTCCGCCTCCCGGGTTCACGCCATTCTCCCGCCTCAGCCTCCTGAGAAGCTGGGACTACAGGTGCATGCTGCCATGCCCGGCTAATTTGTGTATGTGTGTGTGTGTTTTAGTAGAGACGAGGTTTCACCGTGTTAGCCAGGAGGGTCTCCTTCTCCTGACCTCGTGATCCGCCCGCCTTGGTCTTCCAAAGTGCTGGGATTACAGGCGTGAGCCACCGCGACTGGCCTGAGTTTGTGTTTTCTAAGTGAAGTCCCATGGGACAATGGAGCATGCCCTGAGGGCTTGGAACCTTCTCAGATTGTGTCTGTCTCCTGCAGTCTCCCTAGGACTATTCTAAGCCACCCACTCCCCTAACAGCCTGGGCTAACCCGGCTTTCCCTCAACCCTGCCTTGTGACAACACTTGGCTTGGGAAGCGTGTGGGTGGAGGCCTGGGAAGGGAGGGTGCAGTCATGCCTTGCATGCCCAGAGGTAGCCACCCCTGCCATAGACTACAACCAGACAGAAACCATGTCTCCCTGAAAGTAAGCCTCTTACCCATCCTGGATCCAGGTAACAGGCACCTTCAGGTGCAAACTTTCAACAATCCTTGTGGGGCTGCCAATCTGCCTTGAGTTGGGGAGTGGGACGGGTAGGAAAGAGAAAGGCAGAGCTCAGCTTCTTCAGATCCCGCCCCTGGCCTGGGTTCTGCACATGCCTTCAGTGGCTGGGCTGGTAGAACTGGAAACCCAGTGGCTGTCAGGTCCAGCAAGTGTGTGAGAGACTCATGGAGGGCAGAGCCTCCCAGACAGTAGTGTGGGGCTATACTCCCAACTCCAATCTCCCTACCAAGCACTCCCTCACCTGGCTCCATGCCCTTGGGGGGAATCCTCTCTTCCTTCTTCTATTTTTTTCTGGGTCTGGCTTGTGTTTGTCTCTTTTGGCCAGCTCCGGGGGTTGAGCCACAAAATGTAGATGGTGTAATTTCAGTGAGTTTGCATGCAAGTTAAATGCTCTGATGTTTGTATTTGAAACTGGAGTTGCACAATATAAAGAAGAAGAAGATTCATGCTAGTAATTTTAAATTTCCTTACTTAGAACAGCATTAAAGAACAGATAAAAACAACATGACAGGAGAGAGAGACCCTGGAAGAAGGAAAAACATTTCATGTGTTTATTTCATAGCATTTTGTCTGCTTTTTGTAAAAGAAACATTTTTATTTTGCTCCGAGCCATCCAGATTATGTAGCCCGCCTTGATTATGTATCACACAGTTCTAGTACTGAGCTCTGGATTCCAAGTGATGGAAGTAGTCATGTGTTTTTAAAACATGTATTTACTTTTTTGTGTGATATTCAGGAAGGCTGTCTGAAACACAGGGCCCAGGCCAGGGGCTCCTCTTTCCCAGGTCCAAGCACAGAACTGAAAAAAGCCCCTAAACACGAACCAGCTCTGATTCCTGAGGCACAGCAAGAATCAGTAACTTATTCCAGTGCTGAAGGAGAATCTGACTGTGTTGATCATGTTATGAGAGAGTAGAAACATGCACAAATCAAGACAAAATGAGAATTGTAATTTTTAAATTTTTCCTCTGACTTAGAGGGGTAAGTGGACTCCTTTGTAGAAAACCTTATTTGTCTGCATTTGACATTGGTAGGATTTTTCAACCAATATGTATGTGTAAACACAGTCACTAAAGTTTTATTACAATGATGTTTTTTGCTTCTTTTTTATGATTTTGTTTTGGAGATTAGTAAGATTGGCACTTCTCAAAAGATGTATATAATGTCTCTATTCATATTCCCCATGGAACATAGCATAGTGACTTTTATTAAACACTCAGAATTTAATATAAATTCATTGAGTTTAAAGTTTACTTTGGTGATTGGAATAATAATACATTTCAATTCTGAAAAGTTTTTAATTTTAGAACAACTTGCCTCTTACTAGATGAACTCAAATATTTCTAAATAATTAAAGTTGTATATGTCACAAACAATTGTGAATTTTATTTTTATCTGAACCTCATACCACCCCTCCCCACCTCCCAAAAAAGACTCCAAAAAAAAAAAAAAAAAAAATCACAAGTGGAAAAACAGCCCATATAAGAAAGCAATTGAATCTTCGAGTTACAAGACTCCATGGGTAATTATTGAGCCCTGGAAATTAAATTCAACTCCCCTCACTCTAAAAGTGTCTCTGACACTTTTTAACTGGCATTGCTGCAGTCAAATAACAGTTAAATAATAGCACATATTGTTTATTCAGTTTTTATAATATGGTATTGTTCTTTCCTTAACTTCTTCATCAATATAGGGGAAAAAAAGCCATCTACCACTTCCTTTCATTGCCTGAAATCATATTCTCACACTTCCCCACATATGTTTCAGCCACCTTGGCCCTCAGGATTCATTTTGAGTTTACCATTTTAGGACTCCGGGGGATGTGTGAAAGGTCCAGGCCCTACCCTTCTGCTCATCTACTCCAATTGCATGGACAAAGAGGCTCCTTTCTAGAATGGTGACTTGGCAACACCTTATTTCAAAATACTCCTATCCCTGGGTAGATACAGAACTATGCCCTACCTTCAACCATCATTTCAATGCCCTGCCCATCAGAGGAGTGCTTTACTAGTTCAGACTCAAGTTCCTACTCTTGTCTTGCATCAGCCATTGTTGTCAGAGGAACTTCACTTCCCCCCTGTATTCCCATCAGAGAAATAATGGAAGGCGTTTGGCTGCTTGGCCATTTGCACTCCAACTTTTCACAAGCTCTTAAGGGAAATAGGAGCAAATGATGGATGACATATTAAAGGAGACGGATGATGAGTAAATGAGAATGTCAGCTAGATTTTCATACTCTACAGGGCATGGTAAATGTAGTGTTTTGTTTGCATTTTTTTTTTAAAGCGTATCCATCTGTTGAGGCTCAGAAATTGATGCATGAGCTTCCAGGCACCATGCTGATGTTTCTGAGGTCAGGTTGATGAAATAGAATGGAACTTCAGATTTAGTGTTAAAAGCCATGAGGGCCAAACTTGCACTCTTTAAATCTGTCACGTTTAGCAACTATCAGCAGGAAAATGAACTTTCCATTGTCTCGTTGAGACAATTAACTTGTTTTCATTGTCCCAGAGTACTTTCCTCCCTCCTTCCAGCCAAACCCTATCTACATTTTAGTCTCTTCCCCCTAGAAAACTTCCCCAGAACACTGCAGCCCAGAGAAATCTTCCCCTCTTCTACACTTCCATCATTTGTTTTCTACAATACTTAATAGAAATTAATCTTCAGTGCTTTGTTTCGGTTCTTACATTATTATTATTATATTCTTATTATTATCATTTAGGTTGCTTGATACTTTTAACTGTTTAACTTTTAATGTAGTCATGCTTTGTCTCCTCAATCAAATTATTAGTTCCTCAAAGGAATTAAAGAGCTCTACCACAGTACTTCAATAACTTATCCTTTTGTCATATTAATGTATTTTATATTTATTTGTTTATTTCTAACTCTCCTTACTAGAATGTAATCTCTAAGAAGGCAATAACTTTGTATCTATCTCTGTAACTTTAGAAGCATGTCAGGTCCAGCAAGTGTGTGAGACTCATGGAGGGCAGAGCCTCCCAGACAGTAGTGTGGGGCTATACTCCCAACTCCAGTCTCCCTACCAAGCACTAGTGCCTAGCAAATTATAAGTGCTCAGTAGATGTGTTGGAAGCATGAATGAATAAATGAGTGAATAACTAACTTGTGTCTTCCTCTTTAATTTAAATGGTAACATTTTTAGCATTTGCCTTAACAAAGCTAACATAAAGCAGAACCTACATGGAGGTTAAAAGTTCAGTGTTTGTAGTCAAAAAGGTATGGATTCAAATCCTCTTCATTGTTTACTTCATTTTCTGGCTATCTGATATTTGTCAAACCACTAAACTTCTCTGCCTCAGATTCATCTCCTTTCAAATGACGATAACAACATCTGCTTCATAAAGTTGATGTATTAAATAAGATATGGTCAATAAAATTCTTGACATGTAATAAGTGTTTAACAGTTCATTGTACAAACCTGTATTGACTATTTACAATGCTGAGGGCACAGTGGTGGGAAAAAATATAGTGTTCAATTAATGCTGCTATGTATTGTATGTAGCTACTCACTGGCAACAAGTGTCTTCCTGAACATTCTTATTCAGATGGGGCTTTCAAACATGGGTCCACAATTTTATGCTAGAATTAGCAGAGAGACCAGAAGTAGCAGAGATGCATTTCCTGGCATCAATTAGATGAACTGAGAAACCAGGGGTGGTAAGTAGAGGTTACAATATGCCCGTGTACCCAAGCAGATCAAGTGTTAGAACCAATAAATATGGGTAATGAATATATTAAAGGAAAGTGTCAGGAAAAGCAGAGGTCCAAATACAGGACAAAAAGTAAAGACCAGGAGATAAGAATATGAATATTAGTCAGCCCAGGATGACAATGTGGCCCCCTCCATAGGTGACTCCTGTGTAGATAGAACTTCCTTATCAGATGCAACTGAAATTTCTCAATTTAAAAAAATCAGCTAAAGTGACAAATCTGTAAAAATTATATATATATATATATATGAGTTGAAATTTTATTTTCACTAAAACATGAATGTACCCATCTTTTGAAGTAGGACCAAGGCCTTTCATTTGCATACAGATCTATTATGGTCTGTTGCCCTGACTATCCTTTCTTATATAAACCACACACCACATTCATAATGTAGGGGCTATAATTTTGAGTTTCACATTCTTCAAAGTGAACCAAGAATTTAAGACAATTACAAAATAACATGAGTATAAAAATGTTTTAAGATTTTTAAAAATTTCTTTTCCAAGCTTTGTTTCACCCACACCAACTGGATAGACATATTTTAGCCCCCAGATGTTATCAAGTCTTTCAGAAACATTCAATTCATATTTTACAGAACAATTCTCTATCTTTGTGCACTATACTGACTGTTGAGTGAGAGCAGTGGGGTAGAATTGTGGGGTGGGGTGTGTACTAGAAAGTAGTTACTGGCTGTGAACATTCAGCATAGTGTTGGCATGAGCCATTATGCTTTCCAGAGGAGAAATGGTGTCAGTTTATATAACAAGTTGGTTAAATGGAGGCCCATTAACAAGCCTTCTATTCTACCTGGTGACATGTAATTTGGTTCTACTGCAACTCAAGTTGGCAGTCCTTTTGAATAAAAATAAACAAACAGCCAACAAACAAAACAAACAAAAACATCTTGCTGATATTTCCATCATTCCTGCCCTCACTATTTTAATGTGCTATAATATTTAAAGAATATCAACTTTAAGAGGAGCCAATTATCGCCTGCCCCAGTTGTACCTGGATATCTTGGCTCAACCCTATCTGAGACTGAAAGACTAGGGTGAAGACTGGAATTAGATGGACCACAGAAGGCCGCTGGCAACTGAGGTAACATCTTTATTCCAGGCTTAAGCCTTAACCTATTTATTCTGAAAAAGGAAATAGCCTCAGGAGAGCTGTGCTAAGCAGATCATGAATAATGGCTGATGGGAGAAGATGTAGACAGAAGTAAGCAATTGTGACTGGAGTCACAAGCTGATTGGTGGCCTTGATTGAGTTTTGTGAGTCTGTCTGCATTTTATCCTTGAGAGTTTCAGTGCTTGCTACTTGCTTGGAAATAACACAGTGGACAAGTCATTAAGCAAAACAAACACAAGTTTAGTGAACATCATAATTATTCAAAAGTTACCTTTTTACACTGATAGAAAAAATAAATTCAATGTTAGGAGAAAATGTCTATTCATCGATAACTCTCTCAATGTCCTTGAAAATAGTTGAATTGGTCACACCCTCTCCTTAGGACCATCAATTTCTCTCACCAAGAGTAATGCCAGTGAAATTTGCTAAGCATTTGCATTGCTACATTTGCCAATAAATTTCAACTGTCTAACCAATCAGTTGATAAATGTAGATGAAACAAAATGAAAATTCACAAAATTGACAAATTTTGGCAAGTCTTTCATATTGAATTAAAACATCTTGGCTTATCCTGAAACCATAAATAGGGGATTATTTCTTTCCATTCTCTTGGGAGCTGTGCCCTGGTATTCAGCATCAGAGGGTACAAGATTTATTTTTCTAGATGAGATATATTCTAGAGAAACTAGTAGGCATGCAAAAAGTGATAGATAAATATTTAAAAGTTCTTACAAACTTAAGAAAACTTCATTATTCTGTTGCCTTGTAACAAATAGTCATCAAAACCATGTTTTGCCCTATTCAATCTATCAATAACTCACCTCTATGAACAACACACTTTCACAAACCAACCAACCAGTGCCAGCACCTCCCTTCTGAAAGTCAGACAATCGAGGACAGACTCACTCTGGCAAACATGCCTCTGAGCTCCAACAAATCAATACCAATCTCACCCAAGTAAACATGCTCTGGAGATGATGTCAATTTACTTGGGTCTCTGGAAGTCCACCAAACCATGAACCATATTTCCCAAAAACTCTATGTGAAATAAGCAGTCTGCTGAATGGTATCTTATCTTGTGGTCTAATGATAACACAAGCATAATAACAACTAATAACCACTTTTAAACACAGTATTATTTCACTCAATGGTGACAACAACCATGTGCAGTGGATATTATTCCTTTAGAACGGGAGTAAAAAATAAAAACATATATAACACGTATTGAGCATCTATTAATTTCTAGCCACCTTATGTAGCACTTACCCTTTTTTTTCATTTAAACCTCACAATTTTTTAGGAAATAGATATAATCTACTCATTTTACAGTTACATATGAAGGTTAAAAAGATTAGAGGCAGGACTGAAGCCCACACCTTCTAATGGCAGAGTCACAATCCTCTCTGGCAGAGTAATGGTGATGAAGACTTAATAGGCACACAAGGCAAACGGGAGCTGGAAGTTTGTGCTTATGTGTTCCTCTGGGTTTTCTCACATAAATCCTAGCTAAGAAGCTCAAGCTAAATTTCATCCATGCCCTGAAAAGACTAATTTGTTTTTCCTACATTTCTAAAATTGAAAATAATTTTCCAAAATCTTATATTAGACTCCAATACTCCTGTAGTCTGAAAAAAATTAAATAACCTTGATAGAGAGCACTAGAAAAAAAAGCACTTGCTTTTGCATTTTTTTAAATTAGGCTAGGCTTCCCTAAGGAGAACATTGTCTATGGTATTGAAGGTAGCAACATATCTTTCATTTTTAAATTTCAAGTCTGATATGACTGACATTTTTTGGTCAATTTTTATTTTAGAATCAAGAGGTACACATGCAAGTTTGTTACAAAGGTATATTACGTGATGATGAGGTTTGAGGTTTGATTGAAATCGTCACCTAGGTAGTGAACCTAGTACCCATAAGCAGTTTTTCAGCCCTTGCCCCGCTCCTTCTCTCTCCCCTCCATTGTCTATTGTTCCCATCTTTATGTCCATTGCTTATCTCCCACTTATAAGTGAGAATGTGCAGTATTTGGTTTTCTGTTTCTGCTTTAGTTCACTTAGGATGATGGCCTCCAAATGCATCCATGTTGCTGCAAAGGACATGATCTCATTCATTTTATGACTGCATAGTATTCCATGGCATATATATACCACATTTTCTTTATCCAGTCCATTGTTGATGGACACCTGGGTTGATTCCATGTTTTTGCTATTGTGAATAGTGCTGTGATGAACATGATGAACATAAAAGTGCATGCATCCTTTTGGTAGAACAATTTATTTTCCTTTGGGTATATACCTAGTAATCAGATTGCTGGATTGAATGGTAGTTCAAGTCTTAGCTCTTTGAGAAATCTTCAAACTGCTCTCCACAGTGGCTGGACTAATTTCATTCCCATAACAGTGTATAAATGTTCCCTTTTCTCTGCAGCCTTGCCAGGATCTGTTATTTTTTTTGACTTTTTAGCAAAAGCCATTCTGACTCAAGTGAGGTGGTATCTCATTATGGTTTTGATTTGCATTTCTCTGAAGATCTGTGATAATGAGTATTTGTTCATACGTTTGTTGGCTGCTTGTATGTCTTTTTTTGAGAAATATCTGTTGTCCTTTGCCCAGTTTTTGATGGAATTATTTAATTTTTGCTCTTTTATTTGTTTAAATTCCTTATAGAATCTGGGTATTAGACCTTTGTTGGTTAAAATTTTTAATATTTTAATTTGAAAATGACAAATATATACAAAAATAGAATAATTAATAAAGCTCATGTGCCCACCACCCAGATTCAGTAATTATTAACTCTTGGTCTTATTTCAACTACAACCCACCTACTTCCCTGCACCTGGATTATTTTGAAGCAAATCTAAGCATCATATTATTTATATGTAAATAGCTCAGCATGTTTCTCTAAAAAATAATGCTTCTTTTCAAACATATCCATAAAAATATTATCTCTTCTTAAATTATGAATAATAATTCTGTACATCATTAAATATTTAATCACTGCTTAATAGCAATGCCCATACCACTGATGCAGGATTTTTTGCTCCTTAGCTCAGCTAAAATCTGGGTTCTTGTCTCATGACCAGGAAAAATCAGGCACGCAGACACATTGAAACGTGAGGAGAGCAGATTTTATTAAAAGAAAGCTCTCAGCAAAAAAGAAAGGGTCCTGCCAACAGGCTCTCACCTCACAGACTGAATACCAGGGCACCACAGGTGAGTTGAGGCTCAGCTCCTGCCCCTGCATGAGGCATGAATTCCTGGTGACTCCACCCCATTCTTCCAGTGTTCACGAGGGCCCTTACTCTGAGCCACTCCACATTGATTTATTTCCCTTACTGTGCATGTGTTACGGACAGAATTTTTCACTGTGGACATGTTTAGGCAAACCTCCTGTGTGCAGTGACCTAGGCAGCATTTGGCTGTCTCCTGTCTCTGTCACTACCATTAAAAAATACATGATATAAAAAGTTGGAGGGAGTAGGGCCAAGGTGGCCAAATAGAAGCCGCGCCGTTCAGAGGCTCCCATAAAAAAAAAAAAAACATAATAAGCGTGTGAATCCTTCACCGGCAACCAAGGTATCCAGATTTTCTCATCAAAATTGACTAGAAGGCTGGCATGATCCATGGAGAGAAGGAAGAGCAGTGTGGTGTGGCCACTCACTTGAGAGCCACACAGGAAAGGGGAACCCCCTCCCCCTAGCCAAGGGAGGCGGTGAATGAATGTGCTACTCAGTCGGGGAAACTGCGCTTTTTCCATGGAACTGTGCAACTCACAGATGGGAAGATCCCACTTGTGAACCCATGCCACTGGGGCCTAACATCCCAACCTCAGAACGTACATTCTTACAGCCTCTCAGCTGGAATCTGCTTAAGCCTACCGAACTCCTGGGGGAAGGGGTGAGCAGCACTGGCTGCAGCTGCCTGCTGTCTAAGCCGTTTGAGTTTCTTCAGGGATGGGAAGCAGCCAGCACTGGGATTCGCAACTGCCTGACATGCTAAGCTCCTGGGGCGGGGAAGGGTGGAAACCATTTCTAAAGCTCCAGGCTGTGTTTTTCCCCTGCTGGAGCCAGGGATGTTGGATGGCTTGGTCCCAGGTCTTGTCCCCACAACCCAACACACTGGCTGTGGCAGTCTGAAGCCAGAGTGCCTCTCCAGGTCTAACCCTGACCCATCCTTCCTCAGTGGGCAGGACTTCCCTGCAGAAGCTCTAATAGCTCCAGCCAGAGGCTCAAGGACAGAATTCAGATCTCCCTGGGCCTGAGCTCCTAGGGGGGAGGGGTGGCCACAGTCTCTGCAGACCAGCAGACTTAGCCTCTCCTCCTGGTAGTTCTGAGGAATCCAGACAGCCCAGACCAGTGGGTTTTCCCCCAGCGAAGCACACTCTCTCCACCAAGGCACAAAGTGCTTTATTAAATGGGTGCTTCTCCACGTGCCATCCAACTGGGTGAGACCCTCCAACAAGGGTTGTCAGACACACTATACAGGAGCCATCCTACTAGCATCACGTTGATACCCCTCCAGGTCAGAGGTCCCAGAAGAAGGAGCAGGCACCCATCTTTGCTGCTATCCTGCCTCCTTGAGTGACATCTCCAGGCACGGGAGTGAATCAGATGAATAGGGCCTGAAGTGAACCCCCAGCAAACTGCAGCAGCCCTACAGAAGGGGTACATGACTATTGAAAGAAAAACAAGCAGAAAGCAACAACAACAGCATCAACAACAACAACAAAAGACCCCTACAAAAACCCCTTCCAATGTTCAGCAGCTTCAAAGACCAAAACTAGACAAACACACAAAAATGAGAATCAATGAAAAAATGCTGAAAACCCGAGTGACCAGAGTGCCTCTTCTCTTCCAAATGATCACAATGTCTCTCCCTCAAGGCCACAGAACTGGATGGAACATCAGATGAATAAATTTACAGAAGTAGGCTTCAGAAGATGGGTAATAAAAAACTACGATGAGGTAAAGGAGCACGTTCTAACCCAATTCAAAGAAGCTAAGAACTTTGATAAAAGGTTAGAGGAATTGCTAACTGGAATAACTAGTTTAGAGAGGAACAGAAATGACCTGATGGAGCTGAAAAACACAGCATGAGAACTTCCTGAAGCATACACAAATATCAACAGCCAAATCGACCAAGCGGAAGAAAGAATATCAGAGTTTGAAGACCACCTTACTGAAATAAGACATGCAGACGAGAATAGAGAAAAAAGAATGAAAAGGAATGAACAAAGCCTCCAAGAAATATGGGACTTCATAAAAAGACCGAACCTACGATTGATTGGAGTACGAGAAGGAGACGGGGAGAATGGAAACAAGCTGGAAAACACACTTCAGGATATTACCCAGGAGAGCTTCTCCAACCAAGCCAGACAGACCAACATGCAAATTCAGGAAACACAGAGAACACCATTAAGATACTCCATGAGAAGATCAACCCAAGACACATAATCATCAGATTCTCCAAGGTTGAAATAAAGGAAAAACTGTTAAGGGCAGCCAAAGAGAAAGGCCAGATGACCTACAAAGGGAAGCCTATCAGACTAACAATGGCCCTCTCAGCAGAAACTCTACAAGCCAGAAGAGACTGGGGGCCAATATTCAACATTTGTAAAGAAAAGAATTTTCAACCCAGAATTTCATATCCAGCCAATCTAAGCTTCATAAGCGAAGGATAAATAAAATCCTTTCAGACAGGCAAATGCTGAGAGATTTCATCACCACCAGGCCTGCCCTGTAAGAGCTCCTGAAAGAAGCAGTAAATATGGAAAGGAAAAACTGGTACCAGCCACTGCAAAAATGCACCAAAACATAAAGACCAATGACACTATGAAGAAACTGCATCAACTAGTATACAAAATAACCAAATAGCATAATGATGAAATAATCAAATTGACACATAACGATACTAACCTTAAATGTAAATGGGCTAAATGCCCCAATTAAAAGACACAGACTGGCAAATTGGATAAGGAGTAAAGACCCATTGATGGGCTGTATTTAGGAGACCCATCTTACATGCAAAGACATACACAGGCTCAAAATAAAGGGATGGAGGAAAATTTACCAATCAAATGGAAAGCAAAAATAATAAGGGTTGCAATCCTAGCCTCTGACAAAACAGACCTTAAACCAACAAAGATCAAAACAGACAAAGAAGGGCATTTCATAATGGTAAAGGGAACAATTCAACAAGAAGAATTAACTATTCTGAATATATATGCACCCAATAAGAAGCACCCAGATTCATAAAGCAAGTTCTTAGAGACCTACAAAGAGACTTAGACTCCCACACAATAATAGTGGGAGACTTAAAACCCCACTGTCAGTATTAGACAGATCAACGAGAGAAAATTAACAAGGATATTCAGGACTTGAACTCAGCTCTGGACCAAGTGGACCTAGTAGATGTCTACAGAACTCTTTACCCTCAATCAACAGAATATACATTCTTCTCAGTGCCACATGGCACTTATTCTAAAATCGACCACATAATTGGAACTAAAACACTCCTCAGCAAATGCAAAAGAACTGAAATCGTAACAAGCAGTCTCTCAGACCACAGTGCAGTCAAATTAGAACTCAGGGTTAAGGAACTCACTCAAAACCACACAATTTCATGGAAATTGAACAACCTGCTCCTGAATGACTCCAGGGTAAATCATGAAATTAAGGCAGAAATCAAGAAGTTGTTTGAAACCAATGAGAACAAAGAGACAATGTAACAGAATCTCTGGGACACAGCTAAAGCAGTGTTAAGAGGAAAATTTATAGCACTAAATGCCCATATCAGAAAGCTAGAAAGCTCTTGAATCTAACATCACAATTAAAAGAGCTAGAGAGGCAAGAGCAAACAAATCCAAAAGCTAGCAGTAGACAAGAAACAAGCAAGATCAGAGAATAAATGAAGGCAATAGAGACATGAAAAACCCACCAAAAAATCAACGAATCCAGGAGCTGGTTTTTTTTTTGAAAAGATTAACAAAATAGATACACTGCTAGCTACACTAATAAAGAAGAAGAGAGAGAAGAATCAAATAGACACAATAAAAAATGACAAAGGGGATATGACCACTGACCGCACAGAAATACAAACTATCATCAGAGAATACTATAAACACCTCTATGCAAATAAACTAGAAAATCTAGAAGAAATGGATAAATTCCTGGATGCATACACCCTACCAAGACTAAATTAGGAAGAAGTTAAATTCCTGAATAGACCAATAACAAGCTCTGAAATTGAGGCAGTAATTAATAGCCTATCAACCAGAAAAAGCTCAGGGCCAAACAGATTCAAAGCTGAATTGTATCAGAAATACAAACAGGAGTTGGTACCATTCCTTCTGAAACTATTCCAAAAATTGAAAAGGAGGAACTCCTCCCTAACTCATTTTATGAAGCCAGCATCATCCTGATACCAAAACCAGGAAGAGACACACACAGAAAAGAACACTTCAGGTGAATATCCCTGATGAACACCAATGCAAAAATCCTCAATAAAATACTGGCAAACTGAATCCAGCAGCACATCAAAAAACTTATCCACCACAACCAAGTTAGCTTCATCCCTGGGATGCAAGGCTGGTCCAACATATGCAAATCAATAAACATAATCCATCACATAAACAGAACCAAAGACAAAAACCACATGATTATCTCAATAGATGCAGAAAAGGCCTTTGATAAAATTCAACATCCCTTCATGTTAAAAACTCACAATAAACTAAATATTGATGGAACATATCTCAAAATAATAAGTTATTTATGACAAATCCACAGCCAATATCATATTGAATGGGCAAAAGCAGGGAGCATTCCCTTTGAAAACTGGTAGAAGACAAGGCCCTCTCTCACCACTCGTATTTAACAGAGTATTGGAATTCTGCCATGGCAATCAGGCAAGAGAAAGAAATGAAAGGTATTCACATAGGAAGAGAAGAAGTCAAGTTGTCTCTGTTTGCAGACGACATGATTTTATACTTAGAAAACCCCATCATCTCAGCCCAAAAGCTTCTTGAACTGATAAGCAACTTCAGCAGTCTCAGGATACAAAATCAATGTGCAAAAACCACAAACATTTCTTTACACCAACAATAGGCAAGCAGAGAGCCAAATCACAAATGAACTCCCACTCACAATCACTACAAAGAGAATAAAATACCTAGGAATACAGCTAACAAGGGATATGAAGGACTTCTTCAAGGAGAACTACAAACCACCGCTCAAGGAAGTAGAGAGGACACAAACAAATGGAAAAACATTCCATTCTCATGGATAGGAAGAATGATTATGGTGAAAACGGTCATACTGCCCAAAGTAATTTATAGATTCAATGCTATTCCCATCAAACTACCATTGATATTCTTCACAGAATTAGAAAAAATTACTTTAAATTTTATATGGAATCAAAGAAGACCCCGTGTAGCTGAGACAATCCTAAGCAAAAAGAATAAAACTGGAGGCATCATGCTACCTGACTTCAAACTATACTATAAGGCTCCAGTAACCAAAACAGTATGGTACTCATACCAAAACAGACATATAGACTAATGGACCAGAACAGAGACTTCAGAAATAACACCACACATCTATAACCATCTGATCTTTGACAAACCTGACAAAAACTAGCAATGGGGAAAGGATCTCCTATTCAGTAAATGGTGCTGGGAAAACTGACTAGCCATATGCAGAAAACTGAAACTGGACCCCTTCCTTACACCTTATACAAAAATTAACTCAAGATGGATTAAAGACTTAAATTTAAAACCCAAAACCATAAAAACTCTAGAGGAAAACCTAGGCAATACCATTCAGGACATAGGCCTGGGCAAAGACTTCATGACAAAAACACCAAAAGTAATTGCGACAAAAGCTAAAATTGACAAATGGGATCTAATTGAACTAAAGAGCTTCTGCACGGCAAAAGAAACTACCATCAGAGTGAACAGGCAACCTACAGAATGGGAGAAAATTTTTCACTATCTACCTATCTGACAGAGGTCTAATACCCAGAAATTACAAAGAACTTAAACAAATTTACGAGAAAAAAAACAAACAACCCCATCGAAAAGTGGGTGAAGGATATGAACAGACA
This sequence comes from Homo sapiens, assembly GCF_000001405.40. Classification (NCBI taxonomy): domain Eukaryota; kingdom Metazoa; phylum Chordata; class Mammalia; order Primates; family Hominidae; genus Homo; species Homo sapiens. The sequence goes on along the minus strand of NC_000001.11, from coordinate 218,628,604 downwards.
CTTCTCAAAAGAAGACGTTACATGGTCAACAAACATAGGAAAAGAAGTTCAACATCACTGATCATCAGAAAAATGCAAATCAAAACCACAATAAGATGCCATCTCATGCCTGTCAGAATGGTGATTATTAAAAAGTCAGGAAACAATAGATCCTGGTGAGGCTGTGGAGAGATAGGAACACTTTTACACTGTTGATGAGAATGTAAATTAGTTCAACCATTGTGATAGACAGTATAGTGATTACTCAAGTATCTAGAACCAAAAATACCATTTGACCCAGCAATCCCATTACTGGGTATATACCCAAAGGAATACAAATCATTCCACTATAAAGACATATGCACATGTATATTTACTACAGCACTATTTACAATAGCAAAACCATGGAACCAACCCAAATGCCCATCAATGATAGATTGGATAAAGAAAATGTGGTACATATACACGTGGAATATTATGCAGCCATAAAAAGGAATAAGATCATGTATTTCTCAGGGACATGGATGAAGCTGGAAGCCATCATCCTCAGCAAACTAACACAGGAACTGAAAACCAAACACCGCATGTTCTCACTCATAAGTGGGAGTTAAACATTGTAAACACATAGACGCAGAGAGGGGAAGAACACATGAAAGGCCCTGTTTGGGGATGGGGGTGAGGGGAGGGAATTTAGAAGACGGGTCAATAGGTGCAGCAAACCACCATGGCACACATACACCTATGTAACAAACCTGTACATTCTGCCCATGTATCCCGTGGTGCTGTTGTTTTTTAGAAGAAATAAAGAAAAAAGAAAAAAAATCACTACATATGATTAGTGCAAGAAACACAAAATTTAGGGTTGTTTTTCATGGTTCTTTTTGTCTTTATATCTCATCTGGAATGTACAGTTTACTACTATACTGTAAAGTCACTTAGAGAACTCTTGTCTATGAGGTTATGCCAACAAATCAGTACATATTTAGGTTAGTCCATATGTTTGATTTTCCATTCAATTTCTAGGGATTGCTTATTCTTTTTAATATGATTTTAAAATTATGTAAAATATGTATATGGTGTCAATATCAAATCTATGAAACAAGGCATATTGACAGAATTTAAATTTCTATTCCTGTGTCCTTCTCATTTCCTACCTTCCTTCTAGGTAATCAATTTTTTAATATTTAGGTATCTCCTTTCATTTTTTAAACATAAGTGGATATGTATACATATTTTGTATATACCCCCATTTTAACTAAATGATGAGTACTTTACATACTTTTCTATTCTGCATTTTTACTGAACCATGTTTCCTAAAAGTCCTCTATTGAGATATGACATAGCTAACTTACAGCAAAGTATTCCATTGAGCAAATGTTACATAATTTGTAAAAGAAGTATCCTATTGCTATGATGAATACTGTTTTGCTTTTAAATTAAATTTTTTAATCAAATTAATTTTCAAAAATAAACTGTACAAGTTTTACACTTATTTGAAGGTTCTTGATAAGGCATGACCTTTTCTTTGAAATCATCTAAAATATTATATACAGTTTATAGAAACTGTTTTTATGCTCTTAAGATAAACTCCAATTGCTAAAGATACATTAAAAAACTTCAAACTTTGCCTATCTGTTGGTGTTAAAGAGTAAAAGTGTACAACATCTCAAAATTTTACTCTCATGCTGCTTTTCTTCCTCCAAAATACAACCATCTGATTTGAGGCCTAAGTGAATTCCAACACAGGAATACAAAATGAGAAATTAAAAAAAAATTGATTAAAACTTTTTGGAAAAAAAAAGATGTATTAGTGTTTACTTTTTTTTTTTTTTTCAGACGCAGTTTCGCTCTTGTCGCCCAGGCTGGAGTGCAGTGGCGCAATCTCGGCTCACCACAACCTCCGTCTCCCGGGTTCAAGCGATTCTCCTGTCTCAGCCTCCTGTGTAGCTGGGATTACAGGCATGCAACACCACACCCTGATAATTTTGTATTTTTAGTAGAGACAGGATTTCTCCATGTTGGTCAGGCTAGTCTCAAACTCCTGACCTCAGGTGACCCGCCTGTCTTGGCCTCCCAAAGTGCTGGGATTACAGGCGTGAGCCACTGCGCCCGGCCTGTTTACATGTTTTTAGTTGTTTTTACTGTCTTCTCTGGCCTTTATGTCTGAAGAAACTGCTGCTGCAACAAGAAAACCAGTGGGAATCTGAGCCCAGGCTCTCAGGATTTTCAATGTGCGGTGGCAACATTTACTTCTGCCTTCTTGTCACACTCATATAAATAAATGTATTTGTGAAAAAATATGTAAGCAAGTACAATAATTCTCAAACATATTCTACCATACATGAGTTTCTAAGTGAATTACCAATGAATTTCAACTACATCTCTTTCCTTGCTCCTAGCTTTATATATATATATTGTTGCTTTTATTCTTTGCCCTTAGCAGAAATAAATGCACCTTATTAACAATACAGGGTTAGACTTTAAAGTGAGTCGAGCACACCATTGTTTAACATTTTATTTCAAAATAATTATATGTTCACAGAAAGTTGCAGGAAAAAATATGTAGGAGTTCTCATGTACCTTTCACCCAGTTTCCCTTGAAAGCAACAGTTTGCAAAACTATAGTACGATATCAAAACCAGGGAAATGACAGTGAAATCATCTAGGGAGATTTTTCAGATTTCATGAGTTTTTACAGGCACTTCATGCACTCATTTATGTGTGTATATATGTGTGTATATATGTGTATCTGTGCACATATACATCTATTTATTCTATGCAATTTTATCACCTGTGTAGATTCATATAACCATCACTGTATATGAAGATACAGACTGCTCTTTCTCCAAAGGACCTTTGTGTTAACTCTTTACAGACACCCCCACCCCCACCCCCCATTTCTAACCCCTGTCAACCACCAGTCTCTTCTCTATCTTTATCCCTATAATTTTACAATTTCAAGAATATTGTATAAATGAAGTCATAAAATGTAGCATTTTAAAATTGGTTTTGTAAACTCAGCATAATTCCCTTAAGATGGATCCAAGTTTTTGCCTGTATCAATAGTTATTGCTGCACAGCATTCCTGGTATGGATGTCATAGCTTGTTTAACCATTCACCTGTTGAAGGACATTTGGTTTGTTTCCAGTTTTTAGCTATTAAGAATAAAGCTTTCATGAACGTTCATGTACAGGTTTTTGTGTGAACGTACATTTTCATTTCTCTGGGATAAATGCCCAAGACTACAATTGTTAAATTGTATGTAAGTGCATGTTGAGTTTTTAAAGAAATTGCCAAAGTGTTTTCCAAAGAGGCTGTACTATTTTCTTTTCCACCAGCAATGTGTGAGCAATCTAGCTTCTCTGCATCCTTGCCAGCATTTAGTATTGTCATTTTTTTATTTTAACCATTGATAGGCATGTAATGATATTTTGTGGTTTTAATTTGCACTTCTCTAATAATAACTAATGACGTTGAACATCTTTTCATGAGCTTATCTTCTGTATTGTAATACTTAAACAGATTACTAGTTAAATATTTAAGCTAGTTGCAATACTTGTCTAACCTTATGATAGGAAATGCTAACGGTTAAGCATACTTAGAAAATTGTTTTCCAACTCCCTATTGTTGACCCCAAACAAAGCAGATCTTCTAAACCATAATTCTAGTTCACTGTCTAGATGCTGGATATTAATACCAAAGAATTATAACCTGGTATACAAAAGAGATATCATAACAGGAAAAGGTCAATGCCATGGACATTCTGTGAAGTCTCTTTGGCTTCTTTAGTGCAAACAGTTTGTATTATGTAGACTGTCCCTTTTAAAACACCAACAATCCCTTGTGAAGCACGACCTTGCTGGAGGAGGGGTGAGGTAGCTCAGGAGAGTGTGCAAACACAAATTTTAGTTTTACAGCCATTTTAGACAGTTGAGAAGCATTTGGAGGAGTAATCTGGTTCAGTCCAAAGTGCCTTGTAAAAATGGGGTGAATGCAAGTTAACCATATGCAGTGTAGCTGATGTTTCTGTGTTGATGTTTCATCTATAAAAGAATGGAAAGCAAGGCAAGGAAACCCAAATCCGAAATAATAAAATATCTCTCTTAAAAAAATAACACCAGGGAATAAAAAAAGCTCTATTTCTCTTTAGGTGAGAGAGTAATATCTTTTTCTGGCTCATGTTTGAGAATTTAAAGGATTGCCCTTTCTTATAAAAGAACATCAAATATATTTTGGGGACATGAAGCTGCATGTTTAAAATAAGAACAATAACAACAATAATAAAAAGGCTATTCTGTTTCAAGTCTTTTTAACCCTTAGCTATGTTTTGAAATACATGAGCCCAAGTCTCAGGAATGCAGGTTACAGTTTAGATTGCTCAATCTCATTAGAAAAAGACATCTCTCAAGCAATTAAATCCAGCCTAAAGAAAACTACTATGAAACACTACCAGATTGGGCTTGGAGTCAGATGAAGGATAAGTAAGAAAACCAAACGTTAACACCCTGCGAGGTGTTTGGAAGATTACTTTTCATTTCTGTTTTTAATAGGGCCAGTCTCCAAATGTTGTATTACTTTTATGGGCCAGTAGCCATGAATTGGGGATGGGAGATGGGGTATTTAAATCACTAATATATGTGTGATTATACCAGCGTACAAATGAATTCTGTTCACCTTTCAAGTGCCTATTACCTAAGCATTTCAGCCAATAAGCACAAGCACTAGTTGTTCAAAATTTCCTACGAGTTTGTGCTCATCAAGGATGGGGCCTAATCAGACAAATGCCCAAAATGATTGTGGCAGATTATATTTTTCCAAAATTATGGCCACCATAAATATATTCCATTCTGCATCCTCTTCTTACAACTGGACTTTGATGTGGAGAGATGGGGTCTATGTCCCTTTCCCTAGAGACTGGACACAATGTGACTGAGTGGTGGTAGAGCTGCCATGTGACTTCCAGTGCTAGGTCATAAAAGGCATGTGAGGAAGCTTTTATACTGCTTGATACTCACTCCTGTAGCCTTTGGCAGCCACATCTATAGTCTGACTGTCCTGAGACCACTATGCTTTGAGGAAGCCCAATGGAACCTCTGTGGAAAGACCACATGGAGAGGCTCTGCGAATCCAGGAGAAGTGCCTGGCAAACCTCCAGCATCTTCAGCTTTCTTCACCACTGCTCTTCCAACTCCAGCCAACATCTGCCAGCTGCCACATGAGACACCTTGAGGCACAGCCACCTAGCCAAGTCTTTCCCACATTCCTGACCCACAGATACCATCAGAGATCATAAATATCTATTGTTGCTTTAAGCCACTAAATTTGGGGGAAATTTATTATATATCAATAAATAATCAGAGGCCAAGCACGGTGGCTCACTCCTGTAATCCCAGCACTTTGGGACGCCGAGGCGGGCGGATCACGAGGTCAGGAGATCGAGACCAACCTGGCTAACATGGTGAAACCCCGTCTCTACTAAAAATACAAAAAATATTAGCCGGGCGTGGTGGCAGGCACCTGTAGTCCCAGCTACTTGGGAAACTGAGGCAGGAGAATGGTGGGAACCCTGGAGGCAGAGCTTGCAGTGAGCCGAGATCGCACCACTGCCCTCCAGCCTGGGCGACAGAGCGAGACTCCATCTCAAATAAATAAATAAATAAATAATCAGAGTAGCCACTGACCTGTTAATCTAATTGAATAGCTTGTTAATTTGTTTTACAGAATATGCACAGAAAAATATTATAAATAATGTAGATTCAATCAGAGACATCAGGTCATTTTTCTAACTTTTTATTAAAACCGTGTGCTTCCTTACATTTCTAATATTGCTACAATTGCACTGTAAGGGGAATAAAGGCTTATTTTATGATTTTTTTCCTTTAGCATTTCCTTCTCCCTCTTCAATTATATTAATTGTTTTATCCTTTAAACTTCAATTCAAGTTTCTGGTCACCTTAGCCCTCTGGGACTGCTCCTTCTTTCGAACTTCTCTGCACTTCTGACTGCAACATTTACTTGGCATTTAGAAACTATCTTGTGTGTGTGTTTGTGTGTGTATGTGTGTGTACAAGTCCTTCTTAAGTAGATTATAAATTGATTGATGTCAAAAGCCACATTTCACACTTTTTATGCCATAATACCCCATTAAACTATAGCATAGCATTTTTCATAATTCCATGCTTAATTTACTGGATTTATCATTTGGATAGCCAGTTGTTTTTTTTTTTCAAGCATCATCATTAATGATCACCAGTCAACTTGATTCAGTCATTTGAAAAGCCAGATTTCTATGCATAAACCTGTGTATTTGTAAAGTCAAAATAATTCATTTAAAAGTTACAATTTAACTGCTAGTGATTGTCATTTTGGAGATGGGAAAATAAATAGTGTTTAACTAAAGCTAGTCCTTGAGTTTTTCTCACATATATGAAAGTCATTTTAACCAAAGGAACTAATGTAATTTATATTTATAGTCACAGTCTAATGTACAGCTGATTAAGAAAGTTAGTCTTCAATTGAGGCTATAAAAAATTTTTCTCTTGTTAAAGAATCTTACTGCTTAAGTAATCTTTTGTTTGTTTGTTTGTTTGTTTGTTTGTTTGTTTGTTTTTGTGACGGAGTCTCGCTCTGTCGCCCAGGCTGGAGTGCAGTGGCTCAATCTCGTCTCACTGCAAGCTCCGCCTCCCAGGTTCACGCCATTCTCCTGCCTCAGCCTCCCGAGTAGCTGGGACTACAGGCGCCTGCCACCACTCCCGCCTAATTTTTTTTGTATTTCTAGTAGAGACGGGGTTTCACCCTGTTAGCCAGGATGGTCTCCATCTCCTGACCACGTGATCCACCCGCCTCGGCCTCCCAAAGTGCTGGGATTACAGGCGTGAGCCACCGCGCCCAGCCTACTTACGTAATTCTTATCATCAATGAATCTCACTTAGGTTATGAACAACATCAAGATTAAATTGGATTCAAATCAGTCACAAAAAAGGTGAAGGTTATTTTCATTTAAGTCAATACAAAAAAATGCATTTTGTTTTCCATATGACTTTGTTAGCCAATCAAGCTAATCAAAGCAAGCATGCTGGGTTTTGTTACAGAATATATAGCTTCAATCCAAAGTAATCTTGAAAAAGCCATCACTCGCAATGGTTATTTGCTGATCTGCAGGCAGAAGGATCAGCTGACTGCCTGAATTTTTTACTTTTCAGCTAGCTGATTTTATAGAGTTTGTTCCACTCAAGATGGCTTTATAATAAAAGCAAATGTGAGAAAGTCCTCAGTTGACATGCTGGGGATATTGACTTGGTGCCTACAACAGCAGCAGTGACCTTTGGGCAGGCCTGCCCTCACGATCAGAACCTCCCACCCAGGACCCTTCACTGTGAACCCAGAGTCACCCTGGAAGTGGAAAGATGACCCCAGCTCCCAGGTGGAAAGCAAAAGGCAGTGACTAGGAGAACAGAAGGTCCTCAGTGAAAAGGCTTAGTCACACTCAATGTCAACAATATGGGAGCCAAAACAAAGTCATATTAGAAAATAAAAAAGGAAGTGAGCAGTAATAGAAAGTTATGAAAGTCCCACCAGTTTTGTCTTTTCTTCCATTGGAATCCATGTGATATCTAACTAGGGTGGTTATGATAGCCACTTATAGATTCTATTTAAAAGAATTATGTGTTGGCATACTCATATAAATAAATGTACAGTTATAATCACTTAGAATAAATATAGTCTTAACGTGAAACAGAGGATTGATACTTTCATCTCATGTTTGTAGTCTTTCATTAATCAGGGTATTGACAGTGATGTTTGAAAGAAAAGTTATATGACCACCCAGGATAAGAAATATCAATGTAAATAATCTTTGTCTTGTCAGTGAATTTTTCAAGTATCAGCTTGTAATCACCAATCCTATCTTCTACTTATGAAAGATTTCAGAATTGCTTTAAAGGTAAAACAGAGGCAAGTCATTGATTTTTATCAGCGCTCAACAGATTTACCTAAAAGATGCATAGATTGTCATGCAAAATCTGAAATATTGGCTCATATTTTTAGGCCTCTATAAGTGGAATAATTGTTGGAATGCAAAGTGGTTACCTTCCAGAAAAGAGCCTCACTGAGCACCTAATCCAGATGAATTAAACTGAAAAAATTGACTCAAACTGAATTGAATTGAATCCTATCGAAAACACCAGCAGAAAAAGAAAGAGTGAGACCACATCACAGCTGCTTATCAGAAAATAATGGCAAGTTGCAATGTCAACAAGATATTATTATTCAAAACCATCAACAAATCAACATTCACAGGGTAGGAGAGAGGGGCAACAGAAAAATAACCCACTCAAAAATATCTCCCTCAAAAATATCTTAAACCCTACTGTTAATTAATGAGTCAGGACTGTTGATTCCAAGTATCAAAAAAAACTTAAGTCGACCTAGTTCAAGCTCCACCCCAACTGCCAAAAAAGTAGGGTGGAAATTGGTGCCTTACAGTTCACCATAACTGAGATGCCTGCCTATCCCAATTCACACGTCTATTCCTGGCACTGATGGGAGAAATGTGGTTCTACATAAGGAAGGGATTATGTGAATAACACATACACACCACACACGTGAGTGCACACACACACACATGCACACATACACACACCATTTGCACAGTATGTTTAAATCTAATTTCAGTTGTAGTTAATTTGGCTTGAAGGAGTCATAATGTCAAACCAGAGCTGTCTCTCCATCTCACAGCTCTTCTCACTATGTGTTGACTTTATCATTATTGTTTTTTGACTGCAGAGGAGCTTCTTCTACAGGCCAACAATGATTGTCCAGGCACTTCATCCTCATAATTACCTGTTTTAGCAATCCCAACAGAAAGAACAATTCTTTTCCTCCATCCCTGTATTGATTCCAAGAAAGGACTTTGGGCTTAGATGGCTCAAGCACAGAAACCTTGAGCTAATTTTTATTGCCAAAGAGATGAAGCACCCATCATTAGCCCACCTGGCTCACATGCCTCTCCCTGGCATTCTGTAGAAGTACAGCTTCCCAAAGGGAGGAAATTTAAAGACACATACACTAACACTCAAAGCGTTTACCTGCTACAATCCATCATTTATACCTTTGAAATAATTATTGATCTTCTCCTTAGATTTTCTCTTTTAAGATAAAAAAAGATTTCTGGAAAGTGTATTATTAATTTAGTAATCTTGTAATATGAATGAATTTATTGAATACTTTTACCCTGGATAGAAGATGAAGAATTATGACACTGTTGGGCATTAGTAATAGAAATGAATTAAAAAGACTAAGAGTGGGAATCCAGACAGTTTAGGATGATGCCAAGGATAAACTTTACCTGTTTTACTGTTTTGCCCCTGGGCATAATTTTGTCCTTCGACTAGGGGAAGACTATCCAAAGTGGCTTTGAGCAGTATAAACTACAAGTTGCAAACTCTTTCAGCACTAAAATAAACAAAGCAGTGTTAGAACATGTAGATCAAGAAGAATGCAAAGAAAAAAAATCAAAACTGAAATGCTCAGGAGCTTTGCAGATTCAGAACTTCTAAAACTCCTGTCCAAATATTAGATCTTCCTGATATTCAAAAATGACATAGCTAAATATTTTTAACCTTTTCCCTCAAGGTCTCCTGAAAATCACATTTAGAACCTAAGAAAGACAATTAATTTGTCCAGTAAATGTAGCATATACCAGTGACTACCTTTTTTTTTTTTTAGCAGTGATTATATTTAATTCAGTTTTCAAACCTCTCTTCTACCAAGCAACTTAAAATTGAATGAGTAAATGAATGATTTAATGAGTGCTACATTTACTGGCAGTTCCTGGAATCACAGACTCACAAAGTAGCTTCTGAGCAGGACTGCATTCAAGGCATTCTTCCAAACTAGTTTTTATTTTTTATTATTATTATTTTTTAGAGACGGAGCCTCGCTCTGTCGCCCAGGCCGGAGTGTAGCGCCTTGATCTTGGCTCACTGCAACAACCTCCGCCTCCCAGGTTCTAGCGATTCTCCTGCCTCAGCCTCCTGAGTAGCTGGAATTACAGGCACACGCCGCCACGCCCGGCTAATTTTTTGTCTTTTAGTAGAGACTGGGTTTCACCGTGTTGCCCAGGCTGGTCTCGAGCTCCTGAGCTCAGGCAATCCCCCCGCCTTGGCCTCCCAAAGTGCTAGGATTACAGGCATGATCCACCACGCCCGGCCTAGTTTTACTTTTTAAAAACCTCCAGTGAAAGATTCCACAGCTCCTTCTAAATTCTCAGAAGTAAATAAGACATAGTGAAAGAAAATAGTAAGTAACAGCCACCTATACCACCAAGGTGGTAAAAAAAATCAAAAGATGTGGACAAGTGTAGACAAGCATGAACAGAATGTTGTAGTGGAAAACTGGGCTTTGGAGTGAGGCAGGACTGAGTTTAAACCTCACTTCTGCCAAACAGTAATTGTTTCACAATCTTGAATAATACACTTGAATTCTCTTTCAGTCCAGTTGGTAGATAGAGTTAAAATCTTCCTCATGAGAATGGCATGAATAAATTAAATTTGATAACATGTGAAACAGTACCTGACTTGTAGTTGATGTTCATGAAATGGACCTACACTACTACTGATAGTTTGTAGAATTGTCTCACACATCTCCTTGGGACTTCTACGGGCTTTGTGGGAGGCCAGAAATAGTGGGAAAACCAACATCATGTGTAATCCAACAAACTGAGACCTCAAAAGCAGGAATACGAGTTTTATCGGCAAATGCCCCACCTAGATAGAAAAGTTGTTTCCATATGAGTTGTAAAACAGTTTGGATGAGTGAGAGATTCTCATGAATTTTACTTACCACTAATTGCTTCTTCATGCAGAGTAGTTTTTGTTTAGGCCACCCTCTGTGCCTTGAAAAGGAGAGCTTCTTCTGAGTATGTGTTGTTAAACTCAGTAAGACTTACCCTCCTACCCCAACCCACAAAAGCACTAATTACTACAATATAAAGAACAATTCATTTCCAAAGTATTTTAAGAACCCTTTAGCCGAAACTATAACATGCAATTCTATTCAGAATAAAAGGGGAGGGTTTAATGACAATGATGATTAGGTAGCACTTTCAATTACTTTAATGATGATGCAAAGTTTGTTCGCATTAGATCTGCAACAATTTTATCTACCAGTCTCATAGCAGAGTGGTCAGGAAGCGTTTAAAACTAATTATTTGTGCTTACTTGTGTTGAAGGACTTACGACCTTGTTTTTGAATGCATTCAAAACTGTGGACTCATGACTCAGACAATATTTGATTCCCTATAACACAGACCTACCACTGCAGCCTAATAGTTTTCAGGGCAGTAAAAATACACACCATAAGCAGACACCTACGATTAAATGACCACCATATTTAATTTTGCCAACTCTGGACTCTATTTACCTGTCTCTATTTTCTCTCATTATTCTCTAAAAGGTTTCTCAAAAGTAATTGTTTGATTTAATATGTGAAAGCTAGAAAGTCCTCCAGCACAGTTTCAATAGTGCAACTATGTAGCGTGTAGGTTCCAACTACAGTGTTGAAGAAAGGTAGTCAAACTTATGGTTTAATCTCCTCAATATTTTAGAATATGAGAAAATGATGCTCAGGCAATTAGGCTTCTCCCCACCCCCTCCTTTATGCACAAGGTCAGTTTGACACTCTGAATGGTTAAATCATCCTTGGCAAAGAGTCTGAACTTGGCAGAAGTTCCATAAGGAGAAATTCAGATGACTGATATCATTTGTAAAGTGAGTGCCCCACACTTAATCTAGCAGTGGTTTGTTTTTGTAAGAAATAGCAATGACTTAAAAGCAGTCATTAGGGATGTTTAAGATTTTACCGCTTTGACACTAGATGTGGTCTTCACCTTTAATGGCACCTTTTAGCATTAAACTTCATACATAAATAAGCAGTGCAGGCCTTCTCAAGTCAGCTTTTTTTCTGCTGTGCAGTACCAAAAGGATTCTATCAACTTCTTGCTCTAGTTATACATATATATATATATATATATATATATATATATATATATATATATATATATATATATTTAAAAAATACAGAACTTTCACTGAGTATAGGCTGGTTTTCACGGAAGAAAGCAGAAAACCAAGCATTGAGGCTCACTCTACCTTATCCCTGTTGGATTTTCAACAATCACGTATATTAAGCTCCAGGAACAGTGCAGCTTTTCCAAGGACTAACATAAATATCAGATTGAGATTTCAGGACCATCAAGCAATTTATCTGCTGGGTCAATACAGACTAAAAATAATATTGTCAAAGCTCTCATAACCAGCCTTTATGTAATAAATCACTGGATTAACCCAGAACCGTATGACTCTAAACCTCAAGCTTTTACACACTATACTGTATGTATTTGTTTAAACAATTGTTGTCAATTCAGAGGGAGAAAAATGAAAACCAAAAAAACAGGTCAATTGGCATTTATTTTCCTGAGTTTATCAATATGTGAATATTCTTGTCAACGTAAACAAAATAGTAACCTCAATAATTCTAAGTAGACCCAGTCTTAATTAAATTCCTTTATTCTCCTTGCTCCTGTAACCTTTCTTAACAAGAATCAGAAGAATATAAAAAATTATATAAAGTGACAGGTAAATATTGTGATGTATTAAGAACGTTTTATAAATAGAACGTAACCTTGGTTTTCATTTTTTTAGGTACCAAACAAAATCAAAAGATGAACACAAGGAGTCTTAGTCTTAACTTTTCTACTATATAGGAGGAAAGTACTTTTTCTCTACCCTCCTAGTTTAGTGAATGAGGCCTGCGAATTAAACTGACGAGACAATTAAGAAGGGAAAAGGAATGTGTTTCTTTATTGATATAATTATTTTAACATGAACAAGGGCTTCACAGGAAGAAGTAAATGTCCAAAGAAGCAGTTAGACTCAGAAGCTTATATACCATTTTAACAAAGGGTGATAAATTATAGAGAAGCAACCAGATGAAAGAAAGAGGATGGGGAATTGAATTTCTAAGGCTGGCAGATGGTAAGAAGGTAAGTATATGGGGAAACTAATGGAAGATGAGGGTTATTTTCATAAGGTTTGCCTGTGCAAAGCCATCTCAGTGAGTTTACGGCCATAAAACTCCCCCACAGACAGGATTTATCACAGTTCTCATTTCTTGGAATTTTTCATTTTTAGTTAGATAAGGGAAGCTCCAAGAAGCTGTCTTTCTGCATCTGTTGGTTCTCAATTGCCTTCATTTTAAAATAAACCACATGCCAAAGCGGCATATTTTGGAGTGGCATATTCTCATTCTCTTCACCATTAATTTCTTCAGAGATATTTGGTATGTCCATTTATTTCCCTGGGACTCAGTTTTCTTGACAGTGAAGTGAAGAAGTTACAATAGATTTCTAAATTTCATCCATGCTCTAATATTCTGTGGTTCTTTTATATACTCATCATGGGTTTCATTTGCAAATGCTGCATAACTTAGAGTCACTCTAATCAGGTAACAATGTAAATATGATGCCAAATAAATTTGACTGATGCTTTCCCAAAGTTTATTGCTGTATTCAAGAAAATACTCAACACATGATATTCAGTGAGATAAATAAGCAAAATGCAGTCTGCTTGGGAAATGAGATTACCTAATTCTTATTGAAGAGATTCAATGAGGGTAAATAAGACACTGCCCGAAAGCAAATTAAAATATTAGAGGCTTTCTCAGGATCCCATGTAATGATTCTAGTTGCACTACCATGTTGCTTATTCCCACTGTACACTGACACTTCTGGGGATGGTAGTAAATTAAACGAAGTCATACTTTCATCTATATCCAAGAATTGCATCCTATGATCAATTCCAACCCAATTCCATTACCCAGAGAGTTTGACTTTTAACTGCTTAATAATCCCAAAGGGACTCAAAAGAGTCCCTTAAAAAGAATGGGTCTATAGTTACTCTACAGTTTCTTGTAGGCAAAATTGTGAAAAAGAAAATTTCCAGACTTAGCTGAAGGAGAGACATGCAGGTCCAAAAGCAGCAGAAGGAGGTGGGTATTTGGCAGGTTACTGTGGCTCTCTTAATCAGGAGCAATGACTTTGTAAAATGAGGACCACTATGATTCTTCAACCCAAATATCAACTGAATTGTGGATGCTTTTTTGTGAAAGAGCAGGGGAACTTATTTTCAAAGTACTGGCAACCCATCAGAGAGGAAAAATTAGCTGTAATGTCCTGTTATACAGGCATTCCCAGCTCTATTTATATTCCACAATGACAGAAAATGCATCTGTCTAGTGTTGGAAAGACACTAGAGGCCTTAATTATCTGAATCCCCTCTCCGGTGGTTGAATAAGAAGGGCGTATCCTCACATTACTACTCCCTGAACTCCAACAAAGACCTGGTCAGAAGGCAGTAGGTCTGTTCAAGGAGCCAACAGGAAGCTTTCCCCAACTTGAGCCAGTTGGATAGGGATGAAGCTTGCTTCAGCTGGAAGTCATTTGTACATTTCCTCAGACTAATCAAAATCAGTGGCTTATGAGAACACATGAAAGGTAATCTTGCTTACTCTGATCTAGGTGCTAAAGTCCAGCTGCTAAAGTATTTAAGGGAAGTACCTGAAGTTGTCTGGTTTGCTTTGATGGAGAACAGGGTCAGAAAGAAAAAACTGCTCACAGAATGGAAAAATAAGAATTTGAGGCGTGGTACATTTATGAAAGGTCATCAATGCTTTCCAAAATTCCACTAGGAAATTTGGGTAAGGATGGGTGGGGGCTCCACCACATCTGAAGATTTCCTTTGTGTTACCTAATCAAACAGGTTTCACCAAGGTTGTGTCTACACAGCAAATAAGTATAGAGGAGGAAAAAAAAAATTGAAACATCAGACAGCTACTTTTTCCAAGAACAATCATTCACATTTGATCATAAAACATCTAGAAAGTACCACATAGTCAAAATAAGTAATTGTTTGAGAAAACACATTTCTCAAAGTGTTTTGTGGAGGCCTTTGTTTTTCTAAATGTGTCTCAGAAAGGGGCATCCTCCTTGAATGTGTTTGAGTTGTTTGCACTTTTCCAGAGGTTGAAAGAAGAAGGAATTGCTAAGGATGACCTATCTTAGGAAAGCCTATCTCTGGTAATTCTGTCCAACAGGCCGACAACATGGAGATTTGCTCTGCCTTCTGGAAGAAAGTATCTATTGCTGTTTTTCAGCACAAGCAGAATTGGTCCTTTAAGTTTACCTGAAAGCAAACATTTGCATATGCTACTAGTGAATCTTACAGTAGGTAAGTGTCAAATTTCAGCTGCAAGCACCACCCTGGAGGACAGCAATATTGCCCAACAATATAATTGTCTCAGGAGGCACAAGTGACTGGAAAACACAAGATCATACACAGCACCTCCTTCCTAATCAAACACTACAGAATAGTAAGCTTAAGCTCATATAAACCTTTGCAAATTTTCAAAAAATTCTATACTCCATGATGCTGACTCAATACAATGTTTTCGTGACTTTGTTTTAAAAATGATAGGGTATCAGCTTTGTATTAGGTGAAATATACCTGCCAGGTATATATGTTAGGTAAATACACCTGTCATTGATGAGTTTGAGGAATGAAAAACACAGATCCTTGCTAAACAATGTGAAGAGTTCTGTAACTGAGATATGAATAGGGGATTATAAGAGTGAAAGAAGATAGCCAAAGAAAATTATCTGGAAGAAACAAAGCTTTTGGCCGGGCGCGGTGGCTCACGCCTGTAATCCCAGCACTTTGGGAGGCCGAGGCGGGCGGATCACGAGGTCAGGAGATCGAGACCATCCCGGCTAAAACGGTGAAACCCCGTCTCTACTAAAAATACAAAAAATTAGCCGGGCGTGGTGGCGGGTGCCTGTAGTCCCAGCTGCTTGGGAGGCTGAGGCAGGAGAATGGCGTGAACCCGGGAGGCGGAGCTTGCAGTGAGCCGAGATCCCGCCACTGCACTCCAGCCTGGGCGACAGAGCAAGACTCCGTCTCAAAAAAAAAAAAAAAAAAAAAAAAAGAAACAAAGCTTTTGCCTTTGCGGTCTTTAAATGCCTTGCTCCAAATACTGTGTGTTGCTTGCTGAAAAAAAAAAAAAAAAAAAAAAAAAATCAGTCCAATTCAGTCTTTACCAAGCTATTTTCTTTTTTTTTTCTTTAACTATATTGAGTCAGACCATGACACACCCCACTGGCCCTATGCTCAATGCCTTCCTGGGTCCATCCACTCACCCATGTCCCAGACCAAACTGTGCCCTGGCACAGAAACCTGAGTCTTTCAACCAACACTTCATATAACATGCAACATTCACCTAGGAGTTTAGTAAGAGGGGATCACCTTAGCCAGACAACCAGAATTGTGGCTGTGACTGGAAGGAGGAGGAGAGAAACAGGAAGAGGAAAAAGGTGGAGGAGATGGGGAAGGGGAAAGAGAGAGAGAGGAAGGAGGTCCAGGAGGAGGGGAGAAGAAGGGAGAAAGAGGGAAGGAGGAGAAGGGAAAAGAAAAGAAAAAGGAAGAAAGGAGAAAAAGAAGTTGGGGAGGAAGAGAAAAATGAAGCAGATGAAGAAGGAAAAAGGAGAGGAGAAGGAGAAGGGGGTAGGAGAGAGAAAGAGGAAAAAGGAGGAGAAGGAGAGGAAGAGAGAGAAGGCAGACTCTAGAATTAAAAAAATAAAATACATAGTGACCCTGGATGAAACACTGATTTGTGTTTATTTGCTTATTTGCTTTAACCACGGTGTTACACAACCAAAAAAAGAAATAAACAAAAGATCTATCTCCAGAAGGAAAAAACAAAAACAAAAAAAGCAGTTTCTGTCTTCTGAAAGGTGAATGTTTAAATTTACTTTTAGGAATGGTATTTTCATTTCTTTCTATTGGAAAGCTACCTGGTATACAGTAAAACACATGGACATCCACTGTTTCAGGACAAAACCCAAGTACCATGAAGTTCCCTGAATGCAGATTTTTCAGCCTAAGAAATTCTGCTATTATCATGCAAATTAATCTTTTTTTTTCCTTTGGTAAATTGATGTCTTTCCAGATGTTATTTCCTCTCAAAGAGAAATCCCTTCCTCCCCTATATAACAAATCAATACATAGACTGCTGACTATATTTTAATAGCAACTTTTGTGATATTGTGTGTGCTCTTCTTATTGTATAGGAAATATTAAATAACATTATTTTGAAATAGATTTATGTTTGAGTCCAGGACATTGGAGTTGTAGTAGAAACAATTCTAGTAACATTTCCTTGAATATAACATGAATGCATGTTCATTTTGACTTAATTTTAGCTAAGATTGTCTTTACTGAAGAAGAATTCACTTTCTAGTGATCTGTTTCTGAGGCTCACTCCTCTCATACACTAGGATACTTTTGAGTTTGGTCTCAGGAGGTGTCCTGCTTTTATTGGCCTACTCAGCCGTGGATACATAAAAGGTACAAATGTCATGAAAATATAAGTGGAGTTTTGATTTTTTTGGTTGCCTGATAACCATTATCAAGCCTGATTACCTTGTTGCTTTGGTGATGGTACCGAGACTTTCGTGGGAAGAACTGTGCTTAAATATACAACTTAATTTAGTGGGTCTTTTCACAAAATGAGCCTCTCTCCACATAGGCTGAAAGTACTTGGTTGAATTTTCCATTTTCAACATATTGGTTTGACTTCTCAATGTGCCACTAAAAATATATTAAAAACAAATCAGCTGATTGTTTGACATCAAAGACTACCTGCCCCATCAGTCCCACTCCTCTCCAACAAAACAATTATTTTGTTGAACGTTTCATTTTGGGATCAGCTATTTAGACTTCTGCTAGACATGTGCTTGACTTAGCATGCAATGTACGCAATGACAGAGACTGGTGTTAATGCTTTTGTGCACTAACACATATTTGTGTGTGTTTAGACATAAATACCTATCTAGGTGAGTATGAAATTGTATAAAACATTGAGGCACAAACTAACCCTTGACACCAGTGATTCAGAGCAATTTTCCAGCTGAAAAATTTCCAATTCCTTGATTTTAATTACCTTTCCTTTTAAGTCAAAACCTACTTTTACTCTCTGAAGGGGATCATAATTAATGATCTATGATTTGTGTCTCAAGAATTTCTTGGGCACTTCAAGGGAATAATTTTATTTGAACTTTTTACCATTAATGGCTTAATAATGAAAACAGTTTATTCATTTTCAGTGAATGAATTGTTAGATAGCAACTTAGTTCTCTACAGCAGGAAATCTCTTTCCACGTGCAGAGACTTGAGTATCCCCTCTACTAAACTTTGTGTCACTTGAACACATTCATTTCCTTGGGTGAATGTACTACAAGCTGGCCTCCTCAGTTACCTGCACCATACTATAGGGCAATGGCCAGCAGTAAGATTCAGTATACGAGTACATACTTAGCCAGGATACCACTCTTAATGCTACAGAAATTAAGACCATTTTCAGAGGAATGTGTGAGTTCTTATTGCACTGTCCTTTCCCTCTTCCATGAACCTACCATTGAAGGATGGATGAATGGATGGATAGGCAGATGACAGATAGATATTAATAGATGATAGATAGATAGATAGATACATAGATAATGTTTATATGTCATTGAAAGGACATAAATAGGAATAGATGATATAGATACAGATATAGATTCCTAGATCAATATGTGAAATAAACAAAAGGATTTTCCAAGTCCTCTCCCTACTGCCTTGAGTGTGCCTTAAGAATTCCCCAAGATTTTTCCCTGGTTCTTTTCTCTTCTTGTTCTACCTACTTTCCCTGGGCATTCGCATGGGTTTCACAATGGTTTCAACGACTACCTGTAGACTAATTGATCCCAAACACTCATCTCTTGCTCCACAACCTACCCTAAAGTATCATGCAGTCCCTACCTTCATGCTGCATAGGCACCACAACATCAGCATATCCAGAAATCACCTCCTTACCGCCTCCATTATCAGCACTTTCACCGCCCCATTATCACTTCTCATCACCTCCTCAAAAATTTCTCGTGCACTTTGAGGGGATAATTTTGTTTGACCTTGATAGTAGTGAAGGCTTCATCATAAAATATTTTATCATTAATCTTATCTATGTAGAAACCTCAGTGTCAACCTAGGGTCCTCAGCCTAGTCTACTTATCCCCTACATCAAATGTCTTCTCAATCCTGTTGATTGTCTACTTGATATGTCTCTCAGATCTGGCTTTTTTTTATTGCCATTCTTATTCTGAGAATTCAGCCTTCATCTCTTACCTGAATAGTTATGCTACAGGGGCAGGATACTGTGGCAAGGGACACAGGCATATAAAATCAGGGTTTAAATCCTAACTTGGCTGCTTTCTTGCTGGGTATCCTTGATTGAGATGCTTAAATCACTTATCTACATCTTCTCATGACATTATTTTGTGCAGTAAGTTTAATGTTTAATGATTCTAATGTTCTCAGGGTTTTGCCTCACACACAATGAGCCTTCAATAAATGGCCACCCCTCATCAAAAGTTTGCCTGATTTAAGCCTCTTCCTACTACAACCCACCAAAGAGGTATATTTCTAAAAATAAAGATGTCAATGTCGGTCTCCTAATTTTAAACCCCTTGTACATTACCTGTATCAAGATTTATCAACAATGTCACTTTGGACCTGATAATTTTGAACAAGATAATTTTGGACTAGATAATTCTTTGTTGTGGGGTCTTGTCTTGTACATTGAAGGATGTTTAACACTCTGACCTTTACCTACTAGATGCCAATAGTACCTCCTCCTTTGCAACAATTCAAAATGTCTCTAAACATTGCCAAATATCTCCTAGCAGGGAGGGGAGTAAAAGTCACTTCCAGATGAGAAGCACTGGCCTGCATGACAAAGTCCAAATTGTTAGCTTGAATTACAAGAACCCTCACAAGTTGATCCAATGCTCTCTCTCCTCCTTTGTTTCCTTCTATTCCAATCCATGCTTCCTATCCTCCACTCACATTCAGCCTCTCTCATAGGGCCAGCTCCTTTCACAATCTTTACCCTTCCATGAACTTAGTGTTTCCCACTCCTACAATGCCCTTTTCCAACTTCTCTTCCTAATGAACCCTTCCTTTTTATCTTATACCCAGCTCAAATGTCACCTTTTTCCAGGGGCTCCTGGTCAGAGATACTTTCACTTGACATATACTCTTATATTTTTGTCTTGCTGAGAACATCCTGCATCCTGTGTCTATTCAATTGTCCTTATTATATTGTGAATTTCTAGAAAACAGGGAGTAAAACTGATTTGTCTTTGTCCACCCATAGCTAATAGTATGGCATATAGCCCATCATAGATGATCAATAAGTATTTTAGACAAATTGAACTCTCATATATCCTCCTATTCACTGAGTTCCCTTTGAGTGTAAGTACATTATTCCACAAAATATTTTAAGCTTTTCTTTACCTACTGAAATATTCTCCTCTTGTCATTTGGTCAGAACCCTTTTTGATAACTAACAACCTAATCCACTTTGGGGCAGTGTATGTTAGTGACAGAGAAAGTTACCCTTCCAGGAAGCCCTCTGTCATGGCAGCAGGCTGTGCTGTGCTTAAGCACACCAGCGCCTGTAGGCAGCTTTGCTGGGTTCAAGTTTGTCTTTTTTTTTTTTTAATTGGCAAAATGAAGATTCTGATGGTGTTAACTTCAGAGTGTGATTTTAAGATTAAATGAGTGAATGATTCTAAAGCACATACAAGTATTCCATAAAAATTGACTGTCTTTGTTAAATTTATACACCTATGTAAGACTCTGTTGAAATAATGATTTTATGACAATAAGACACTCAGGGAAGTGTTGGTGACTGGAAGTGTTTTTAGGATCTAGAAAACATACCATATGAGCAACCTCATGTTTTAGATAGTCCTAGGGGAAGTCTCACATCCACCATAGCATCAGTGCCATGAAATGGTGCCCCCACTCCTTCCATATCTCCTTCATGTATAACTGCACACATGAAATATATCTATGCATATTTATAGGCTGACCTTGTTCACGTTTCAGTCATATGTATATACATATTTTTTAAATGTATGCACCCACATGTATATGTACAGTTGTTTTTAAGTGCTGACCTTATTCAAACATGCTGAAACACATTTTCCTTCCACTTATATATCAGAAAGAAATTGGCCTCTGGCAACAGTTGCTGTGAAAGTTCAACTGCCAAGGCACCCCAGGGTCAAAAGTTATCCTTGTTAACAGAGCTTTGAGAGCAGTGGATGTCTGTGCAGGCTTAGCTTTGTAAGCAAATCTTTAAAGATTAACCTACAAACTTGGAGGAGAATATATTGGTAGAGCATGTAAGGTGAGCTGACTGATATGTGTCCTATTTTTTTGATTGACAAATAAAATTGTATATATTTATGGTGTACACCATGATATTTTGAAATATGTATACATTGTGGAATGGCTAAGTAAAGCTTTGCATTACCTTACATACTAATTTTTTGTGTGATGGGGACACTTAAAATCTACCCTCTTAGCAATTTTTAAGTATACAATACATTGTTATTGTCACCATGTTGTACAACAGATCTCTTGAACTTATTTCTCCTGTCTAAATGAAATTTTGTATCCTTTGACCAACATCTTCCCAACCCTTTCCCCTGCTTAGCCCCTGGTAACCATTATTCTACTCTATTTTTTAGTTCAACTTTTTTAGAATCCACATTTTGTTGTAAAGAAATAACTGAGGCTGCATAATTTATACAGAAAAGCCAGGTGTGGTGGCTTACACCTGTAATCCTAGCACTTTGGGAGGCCGAGGTGGGTGGATCACTCGAGCTCAACAGTTCGATACCAGCCTGGACAACACGTTGAAACCTTGTCTCTACCAAAAATACAAAAAAATTAGCCAGGCATGCTCGTGCATGCCTGTGGTCTCAGCTACTTCAAGGCTGAGATGGAGAGGATTACTTGACCCCAGGAGGCAGAGGTTGCAGTTAGCTGAGATCGTCCCACTGTACTCCAGCCTGAGTGACAGAGTGAGACCTCATCTCAAAAGAAAAAAAAAAAAAAAGAAAAAAAATTAAAAAGAAAACAGGTTTACTTGAGTCACGGTTCTGGACGCTGTACAAGAAGCATGGCACCAACATCTGCTTCTGGTGAGGCTTCAGGAAGCTTCCAATCATGGTGTCAGAAGAAGGGGCACCAGCATGTCACATGGTGAGAGAAGGACCAAGATAGGGGAGGGAGGTGCTAGGCTCTTTTTAACAATCAGTATTCAAGTGAACTAATAAAGCAAGAACTCCACGAGGACAGGACCAATTCATTAATGAGAGATCTGTCCCATGACCCAAACACGTCCCCGCACTAGGCCCTAGTTCCAACACTGGGGATCAAATTTCAATATGAGATTTGGAAGGGACACGTACCCAAACCATATCATGCAGTATTTGTCTTTCTGTGCCCGGCTTATTTCACATAACATAATATCCTCCAGGTTCATCCATGTTGTCACAAATCATACAATTTTTTGCTTCTTTAAGGCTGAATAGTATTCCATTGTATATATATATACAGCATATTTTTTTCTTCATTCATTAATTGATGGACACTTTTGTTGATTCCGTATCTTGGCTCATGAATAGTGCTGCAATAAAGATGGAAGTGCAACTATCTCTTTGACACAATGATTTTATTTCCCTTGGGTATATACCCAGAAGTGGAACTGCAGGATCACATGGTAGTTCTATTTTTAATTTGTTGAAGAACCTCCATACTGTTTTCCATAATGGCTGCACTAATTTACATTCCAACCGACAGTTTGCAAGGGTTTCCTTTTCTCCACATCTTTGCTAGAACTTGTAATCTTTCATATTTTTTATGATATTCATTCTGACAAGTTGGCCATTTGTATGTCTTGAGAAATGTCTACTTATGACATTTGCCCATTTGTTTGAGTTCTTTATATGTTTTGGATATTAACCCTTTAGCAGATGCAAAGTCTTCACATGTTTTCTCCCATTCCATAAGGTGTCTCTTCACTCTTTTGATTGTTTCCTTTGCTACATAGAGCTTTTTAGTTTAAAACAATTCCATTTATATATTTCTGCTTTTGTTGTCTGTACTTTTGGGATCATGTCCAAAAAAAATCATTGCCTAGATTAATGTCATGGAACTATACTCTAAGTTTTCTTCTATTAGTTTTACAGTTTCAGGTCTTATGTTTAAGTCTTTAGTCCATTTTGAGTTGATTTTTGTATTTAGTGTGAGATAAGGGTCCAATTTCATTCTTCTGTATGTGTATACCAGTTTTCCCAACTGATATGTGTCATATTTCTACCATTGCTGCTCTGCTTCAAGAAAAAAATCCAGTTAACAAGGATATTCAGTGTACAACTTATTTTAATATATAACTTATTCCAATTACATTGTATATTGTCCCTAGAAGTATTGCCTTATATGAGATGTTTTTACTTCATAAATATTCTTTTTCTAATCTATCTTGGAAGGTTTCATTCTTTGATTAGGCAACCAAAAACTACTAGGATGGGCTTCAGTAAATCCTGAATTTTAGAGGTCTTATTGACTGTTTTAGAAAAATTACCTGATCAATTGCCATACAATCAATTACATATATGGCCCAAACAGAGGAACTTAATTGGAACTCAACACTGAGGGATTGATTAAGCCTATAAATATCTGTATCACCACATGCCAGTCATTTTTCTCCTCTGGATCAGTCTGTCATTTTTCAAATGGAAATAATAAGAATGTCCTCCCTATCCTTTGGGACTGCTTTTAACATTAAATAAGATACCATAGGGAAAGGCCCTAGCAGTTTTACAGTTTTCAATGTTAATGTAACATGCTTCTGAAACAATCTTGCAGCAGAAAAACAAACCAGCTAAAATTTTATGAGATACGATTTTTATCCTACAGAAGGTTTGAGAGAGTTGCTTTATTTTCTCAACATATAGACATGTTTACCATGTGTACTGAGTTATTCTGTGTGACAGACACCATGCTAAGCATTGGATTTACAAACAGTGAGGCAAATTGCCTTGTGGGACTTACAGTCTGGTAGGAAAACACGCAAACACAACAATTACAGTGGGCTATGTTGGGAATTATGATAGAAATAATGCAGAATGTGTAAAAGAAGCACAAAGAAAGTAAGGTCTAACATCCTGACTTAGTCATCCTTAGCAGTCCATGTTAATGTGCATGCTGGAAACTCCAGAGTCCAATTTCACAGGCTTTTATGCTGTATTCAAGGAGCTGGATAATAATATACACAAGTTTAGTTCAGTGTTCTGATGGAAGACATTTAGCAGCTCTCTCTCTCTCTCTCTGTCTATATATATGTATGTATGTATATATATATATTGATACAGAGTTTCACTCTTGTTGCCCAGGCTGGAGTGCAATGGCGTGATCTCGGCTCACTGCAACCTCCACCTCCCAGGTTCAAGCGATTCTCCTGCCTCAGCCTCCCAAGTAGCTGGGATTATAGGTATGCACCACAACACTGGGCTAATTTTTGTATTTTTAGTGGAGACAGGGTTTTGCCATGTTGGCCAGGCTGGTCTTGAACTCCTGACTTCAGGTGATCCGCCCACCTTGGCCTCCCAAAGTGCTGGAATTACAGGTGTGAGTCACTGCACCCAGCCTAGCAGCAATATTAATAATCAATATTGATCAGAGAAGATTTCATATAACAGCTTTTTATAAACATTTATGCCTTTAAAATCAAATTGGGCGACTTTATCTAAACTTCAATAGTTTCAGATTTTAGATTTATTTACTAAACATCTACTCTGTTCCAGGCACGAAACTGGATGTTTTCTCTCTGTTATCACATTGAAAATCTAAATAAGTATGGGGCTGCTGTAATTTAATTCCATTATATAAGCCACTGTTCTCTATCATGAAGCTATTTCTATATCCTGGCTCATAGCCCATACTCATACTACTTTGCTGGAATTCTGTTGAAAAAGTCTGTTCTAACCAAAATGTTCCAAATAATTTTGATTTAGCTGCCAGTCTTTAAATAAGATGTCTCTTTGGTAATGGATTTTCTCTACACAAATGATTTTGACTACCCATACAATATTAACTTTTCTTAATAAAAATTTACATGGTCTTCAAAGTCTTCTGCTAGTTTACTCAGCAAATATATAAGCAAGGGAAGAGGATTTGTTGCTGGTTTAGTTTTCTAGGGATTCCATAACAAACTACCACAAACCATGTGACTTAAATAATAGAAATGTATTGGTTTACAGTTCTGAAGACTAGATTTCTGAAATCTAGGACTCATCAGGGTTGGTTCTCTCCGAGGGCTGTGAGGAAGAATCTGTTTCATGTCTCTTTCCAAGTTCTGATGGGTTGCTGTCAACCTTTGACACCCCTTAGCTTATAGATGCATCACCCTGGTCTCTGCCTTTATCTTCACATGGCATTCTCTATGTGCATGCACACACACATGTGTATGTCCAAATTTCCTTATTTTATAAGGGAAATTATAAATTAATTCTATTGTATTAGGGCCTGCACTAATGACCTCATTTTAGCTTGATTACCTCTGTAAAGATACTATCTCCTAACACAGTCACATTCCGAAGTACTGGGGATTATGACTTCAACAAATGAATTTGCAGGGGACACAGTTCAACTCGTGGGAGGTGGTAAAGATGATGCTTTCTACATATTGATTCTGGAATATTATAAAATTGAAGGGCTCTAGGAAGTTCAAAATAGAGGTAAAATAAAGAGTTAGAAGGTGCTTCTTAGAAAGCTCTGATATAACTAGCTGAATTGCAAACTTCCTGAAGAAAATGTCAACCATTGCTAATTGCTTCTTTAGCTTCAGTTTACTGACTTATGTAATATTAGCTATAATAATTGAATTACCTTCACATTTCATAACTAATTAGTGACAGCAAGTGGCAGTCAATACCAGGAAACACCATCTGCATAGTTACTTACTGTATGTATGTGTGTGCCCGTACACGAGTGTGCAAGCTCGCAGGCATCCGAATAGGGAAGTCATCACATCTGTGAAGACATAAATTTGAGGTTAACAATTATTTTTAAACAAGGCTTAAACCTTGTTTAAAAATAATTGTTAACTTTCATAAGAAAATTATTACTTTGGACTATCACCTTTCCAAATGGGTCACCAAGTATTTATTTTTTTCACTGACATCTTTTCACTTTTTTTTTTTTTTTTTTTTGCATGTTCTTAAGAATGCTTTTTTGCAAATATAATCTGCACCCAGAATTAGATTTGGGTAAACTTAGGATGGGTTCCATTGTATTTTCACATCTTTTATTTTATACTGCTCCTGTGAGCTAGGATCATAGGATATTTTAGTCTTTATCTAAATGGTGAAGAAGCTCCGAGGAAAGTAAATAACATATCTAACATCACAGAATTTGTTGGGGGAGATGCCAAGACTAGAAGCCAAATCTCTTGACACTTAAAACAAAGAGAATATAGCAGGAAGCTTTCTTTGAGGTGCAGCTGTACACAAACACAAATGGTCTGTCACTTTGTTAAATTACACAATTCTTTCTAACACTGCAATTTTTGGATTATCCATTTGATTTCACCTTTACTTCTTCCTTACTCTGATCTGGGGAATTAGGAGTTAGGAGCAAACGAAACAGATGTCTTGTTGAAGATTTTGATGACAGGAATTTCTCCTACACCAGAATGAATTAGTTTCATAATAACAATACAGCTCAGTAATGAGATTTAGTGGATTTTGCTTTCTTATGCAGTAAAAAGCCTTCCCTATATGAAGCTAATCTCCAGGATATGATAACCCATCATAGGTCAGGTTATAAATATCTGAATCCAAAGTCAGTGCTTTTCACCACCCAAGAAGAAGAAACTCTGAGTTGGGCTGCCTAGAAATCTGATGGCACTTGTAAAATGGAATTTATGTACAATAAGGGATCTATCCCTTTATCAGCCATTAGTGACAGGAGGTAATTTTGTTCACAGACAATTAGTTTCAATTTGCATTGAGAGTTCTCCACAAAGTTTAAAATTACATATTCTGTGCCCAACCCTAACCTCTCTCCCATTTTTTCACTTGTCTGCTGAACATTAAACTATCTACCATTTTTTCAAATGTTACATTAAAAACCAAACACACTATCTTCCATCTTCTACCTAAAACCTACTTCCACTCCTAACTGCATTTCTGACAGAGCCTCCACAATTTTCTTGGCCCCTCCTGACTCAAAAATTGTAATCATTTTTTACTTTAACTTCTTTATTGACCTCTGCCTTCTAACAGTCCCCAAGTACTGGCAATTCTTTCTTAGTGGTGGCCCTTCCTTTCCACCATCCTGGACAGGGCCTCAGTCAGGCCTGATTCCTGAAGGAGCATAACAACCTCCTACCTGCTTGCCTGTGGGCTGGGCAAGTTCAGACTTGTCCAAGACTTACTTAAAATCACACCTCCTCCAACCTCTCCCAACTCTTCTCCCTGGAGGATAGGGCGTATTCAGTTCTCCATTACTCATTTAACCCAAAATCTGCTTTCTTTTCCATGATCTGATGAAGTGTTTTAGTCGGGCACATGTTTTGTCAGCCTCCTCAGGTTCCGTAAGAGGTGACCACTCTAACCATGGGCTTCTCAGATGGCTATAATGCAAGAGTCCATCTTATTTAACCTTACAGAATAACTGCCCACTAGCAGTTTTCCAGCAACACCACCTCCAACTCACGGCTTTTCCATAGACCTAGCAAAATCTCAACCCCTAGGTATGATATATTGATGTCGCCTTTGTTATTAGAGCTTATTATTAATTATAACAAAATATTCATCTGTAATGTAATGTGTTTAATTTCTAGTTATGAAATCAATGCCTGTTGCAAAAACTCAGAAAATACAGAAAGGCAAAGAAAAAAACATTTCAAACATTTTGCATTTTTTTCTTCTCTCCCACCACATCTTTACATCCCTTCCTGTATCTTAACTATTTTCCAATGTTAATAAACTACCTATATCATCTTCTGATATTTAAAATATATTGTAATTTAACCAATTGCCTGTTTTTGGAAATTTTATTTGTTTCTACAATTTTGCCCTTAGTAATAAGCCCATGATGAATATCCTCAAAAACAAAGTTGACACATAATTCTAAGAGTACCTATTTTACCACAGTTGTACTAGCACTGGAAGTCATGTCTGCTTTACAAATATCTTAACAGGTATTTGGCTAACAAACAAAGTGAATGCTTTCTTAATTATTTATTTATTTTGAGGCAGAGTCTTGCTCTGTCACTCAGGCTAGAGTGCAGTGGCATGATCTCAGCTCACTGCAACCTCTGCCTCCTGGATTCAAGTGATTCTCCCTGCCTCAGCCTCCCAAGTAGCTGGTATTACAGGCACCCACCTCCACACCCAGCTAATTTTTTTGTATTTTTAGTAGAGATGGGGTTTCAGCATGTTGGCTAGGCTGGCTGGTTTCAAACTCCTGACCCCAAGTGATCCGCCTACCTCAGCCTCCCAAGGTGCTGGGATTACAGGTGTGAGCCACCACACCCAGCCTCATATTTACTGTCAGGCCTCTGAGCCCAAGCCAAGCCATCGCATCCCCTGTGACTTGCACATATACGCCCAATGGCCTGAAGTAACTGAAGAATCACAAAAGAAGTGAAAAGGCCCTGCCCTGCCTTAACTGATGACATTCCACCATTGTGATTTGTTCCTGCCCCACCTTAACTGAGTGATTAACACTGTGAATTTCCTACTCCTGGCTCAGAAGCTCCCCTACTGAGCACCTTGTGACCCCTGCCCCTGCCCACCAGAGAACAACCCCCTTTGACTGTAATTTTCCATTACCTTCCCAAATCCTATAAAACGGCCCCACCCTTATCTCCCTTCGCGGACTCTCTTTTCGGACTCAGCCCACCTGCACCCAGGTGAAATAAACAGCTTTATTGCTCACACAAAGCCTGTTTGGTGGTCTCTTCACACGGACACGCATGAAATTTGGTGCCATGACTCGGATCGGGGGACCTCCCTTGGGAGATCAATCCTCCGTCCTCCTGCTCTTTGCTCCATGAGAAAGATCCACCTACGACCTCAGGTCCTCAGACCGACCAGCCCAAGAAACATCTCACCAATTTCAAATCCAGTAAGCGGCCTCTTTTTACTCTCTTCTCCAACCTTCCTCACTATCCCTCAACCTCTTTCTCCTTTCAATCTTGGCGCCACACTTCAATCTCTCCCTTCTCTTAATTTCAATTCCTTTCATTTTCCCATAGAGACAAAGGAGACACGTTTTATCTGTGGACCCAAAACTCCGGCGCCGGTCACGGACTGGGAAGGCAACCTTCCCTTAGTGTTTAATCATTGCAGGGACGCTTTTCTGATTATTCACCCACGTTTCAAAGGTGTCAGACCATGCAGGGACGCCTGCCTTGGTCCTTCACCCTTAGCAGCAAGTCCCACTTTTCTGGGGAAGGGGCAAGTACCTCAACCCCTTCTCTCCTTGTCTCTACCCCTTCTCTGCTTTTCTGGGGAAGAGGCAAGTACCCCAACCCCTTCTCTCCTTGTCTCTACCCCTTCTCTGCTTTTCTGGGGAAATGGCAAGTACCTCAACCCCTTCTCTCCTTGTCTCTACCCCTTCTCTGCTTTTCTGGGGAAGAGGCAAGTACCCCAACCCCTTCTCTCCTTGTCTCTACCCCTTCTCTGCTTTTCTGGGGAAGGAGCAAGTACCCCAACCCCTTCTCTCCTGGTCTCTACCCCTTCTCTGCTTTTCTGGGGAAGGGGCAAGTACCCCAACCCCTTCTCTCCTTGTCTCTACCCCTTCTCTGCTTTTCTGGGGAAGGGGCAAGTACCCCAACCCCTTCTCTCCTGGTCTCTACCCCTTCTCTGCTTTTCTGGGGAAGGGGCAAGTACCCCAACCCCTTCTCTCCTTGTCTCTACCCCTTCTCTGCTTTTCTAGGAGAGGGGCAAGTACCCCTCAACCCCTTCTCCTTCACCCTTAGTGGCAAGTCCAGCTTTCCTGGGGCAGGGGGAAGTACCCCTCAACCCCTTCTCCTTCACCCTTAGCGCCAAGTCCCGCTTTTCTGGGGGAGGGGCAAGTACCTCTCAACCCCTTCTCCTTCACCCTTAGCGACAAGTCCTGCTTTTCTAGGGGGCAAGAACCCCCAATCCCTTATTTCCACACCCTAACCTCTTATCTGTGCCCCAATCCCTTATTTCCATACCCCAACCTCTTATCTCTGTGCCCCAATCCCTTATTTCCGTGCCCCAACCCCCCTTCCCACTTTTCAGGAGGGTAAGAACCCCCGAACCCCTTCCCTCTATGTCTCTATGCTCTCTTTTCTCTGGGTTTGCCTCCTTCACTATGGGCAACCTTCCACCCTCCATTCCTCCTTCTTCTCCCTTAGCCTTTGTTCTCAAAAACTTAAAACCTCTTCAACTCACACCTGACCTAAAACCTAAATTCCTTTTCTTCTGCAATGCCACTTGACCCCAATACAAACTTGACAGTAGTTCCAAATAGCCAGAAAATGGCACTTTGAATTTTTCCATCCTGCAAGATCTAAATAATTCTTGTTGTGAAATAGGCAAATGGTCTGAGGTGCCTGACGTCCAGGCATTCTTTTACACATCAGTCCCTTCCTAGTCTCTGTGCCCAGTGCAACTCATCCCAAATCTTCCTTCTTTCCCTCCTGCCTGTCCCCTCAGTGCCAACCCCAAGCTTCGCTGAGTCTTTCTAATCTTCCTTTTCTACAGACCCATCTGACCTCTCCCTTCCTCCCCAGGCTGCTCCTCTCCAGACCAAGCTAGGTCCCAATTCTTCCTCAGCCTCTGCTCCTCCACCCTACAATCTTTTTATCACCTCCCCTCATCACACCTGGTCCAGCTTACAGTTTCGTTCCATGACTAGCCTTCCCCCACCTGCCCAGCAATTTACTCTTAAAAAGGTGGCTGGAGCCAAAGGCATAGTCAAGGTTAATGCTCCTTTTTCTTTATCCCAAATCAGAAGCGTTTAGGCTCTTTTTCATCAAATATAAAAATCCAGCCCAGTTCATGGCTCGTTTGGCAGCAACCCTGAGATGCTTTACAGCCCTAGACCCTAAAAAGTCAAAAGGCCGTCTTATTCTCAATATACATTTTATTACCCAATCTGCTCCCGACATTAAATAAAACTCCAAAAATTGGAATCTGGCCCTCAAACCCCACAACAGGACTTAATTAACCTCACCTTCAAGGTGTACAATAACAGAAAAAAGTTGCAATTCCTTGCCTCCACTGTGAGACAAACACCAGCCACATCTCCAGCACACAAGAACTTCCAAATGCCTGAACCCCAGCAGCCAGGCCTTCCTCCAGAACCTCCTCCCCCAGGAGCTTGCTACACGTGCCGGAAATCTGGCCACTGGGCCAAGGAATGCCTGCAGCCCGGGATTCCTCCTAAGCCGCATCCCATCTGTGTGGGACCCCACTGAAAATTGGACTGTTCAACTCACCTGGCAGCCACTCCCAGAGCCCTTGGAACTCTGGCCCAAGGCTCTCTGACTGACTCCTTCCCAGATCTTCTCAGCTTAGCAGCTGAAGACTGATACTGCCCAATTGCCTCAGAAGCCCCCTAGACCATCATGGACACCAAGCTTCAGGTAACTCTCACAGTGGAAGGTAAGCCCGTCCCCTTCTTAATCAATATGGAGGCTACCCACTCCACATTACCTTCTTTTCAAGGGCCTGTTTCCCTTGCCTCCATAACTGTTGTGGGTATTGACGGCCAGGCTTCTAAACCTCTTAAAACTCCCCAACTCTGGTGCCAACTTAGACAATACTCTTTTAAGCACTCCTTTTTAGTTATCCCCACCTGCCCAGTTCCGTTATTAGGCTGAGACACTTTAACTAAATTATCTGCTTCCCTGACTATTCCTGGACTACAGCTATATCTCATTGCCGCCCTTCTTCCCAATCCAAAGCCTCCTTTGCGTCCTCCTCTTGTATCCCCTCACCTTAACCCACAAGTATAAGATACCTCTACTCCCTCCTTGGTGACCGATCATGCACCCCTTACCATCTCATTAAAACCTAATCACCCTTACCCCACTCAACGCCAATATCCCATCCCGCAGCACTCTTTAAAAAGATTAAAGCCTGTTATCACTCGCCTGCTACAGCATGGCCTTTTAAAGCCTATAAACGCTCCTTACAATTCCCCCATTTTACCTGTCCTAAAACCAGACAAGCCTTACAGGATCTGCGCCTTATCAACCAAATTGTTTTGCCTATCCACCCCGTGGTGCCAAACCCATATACTCTCCTATCCTCAATACCTGCCTCTACAACCCATTATCGTGTTCTAGATCTCAAACATGCTTTCTTTACTATTCCTTTGCACCCTTCATCCCAGCCTGTCTTCGCTTTCACTTGGACTGACCCTGACACCCATCAAGCTCAGCAAATTACTTAGGCTGTACTGCCGCAAAGCTTCACAGACAGCCCCCATTACTTCAATCAAGCCCAAATTTCTTCCTCATCTGTTACCTATCTCGGCATAATTCTCATAAAAACACACGTGCTCTCCCTGCCAATCTTGTCCGACTGATCTCTCAAACCCCAGCACCTTCTACAACACAACAACTCCTTTCCTTCCTAGGCATGGTTAGTGCGGTCAGAATTCTTACACAAGAGCCAGGACCACACCCTGTAGCCTTTCTGTCCAAACAACTTGACCTTACTGTTTTAGCCTAGCCCTCATGTCTGCGTGCAGCGGCTGCCGCTGCTTTAATACTGTTAGAGGCCCTAAAAATCACAAACTATGCTCAAATCACTCTCTACATTTCTCATAACTTCCAAAATCTATTTTCTTCCTCATACCTGATGCATATACTTTCTGCTCCCCAGCTCCTTCAGCTGTACTCACTCTTTAAGTCCCACAATTACCATTGTTCCTGGCCCAGACTTCAATCCGGCCTCTCACATTATTCCTGATACCACACCTGACCCCCATGACTGTATCTCTCTGATCCACCTGATATTCACCCCATTTCCCCATATTTCCTTCTTTCCTGTTCCTCACCCTGATCACACTTGATTTATTGATGGCAGTTCCACCAGGCCTAATCGCCACACACCAGCAAAGACAGGCTATGCTATAGTACAAGCCACTAGCCTGCCTCTCAGAACCTCTCATTTCCTTTCCATCCTGGAAATCTATCCTCAAGGAAATAACTTCTCAGTGTTCCATCTGCTATTCTACTACTCCTCAGGGATTATTCAGGCCCCCTCCCTTCCCTACTCATCAAGCTCGAGGATTTGCCCCCACCCAGGACTGGCAAATTAGCTTTACTCAACATGCCCGAGTCAGGAAAGTAAAATACCTCTTAGTCTAAATAGACACTTTCAGTGAATAAGTAAAGGCCTTTCCTACAGGGTCTGAGAAGGCCACCGCAGTCATTTCTTCCCTTCTGTCAGTCATAATTCCTCAGTTTAGCCTTCCCACCTCTATACAGTCTGACAACAGACCAGCCTTTATTAGTCAAATCAGCCAAGCAGTTTTTCAGGCTCTTAGTATTCAGTGAAACCTTTATATCCCTTACGGTCCTCCGTCTTCAAGAAAAGTAGAACGGACTAAAGGTCTTTAAAAAACACAACTCACCAAGCTCAGCCACCAACTTAAAAAGGACTGGACAATACTTTTACCACTTTCACTTCTCAGAATTCAGGCCTGTCCTCAGAATGTTACAAGGTACAGCCCATTTGAGCTCCTGTATAGATGCTCCTTTTTATTAGGCCCCAGTCTCATTCGACACCAGACCAACTTAGACTGTGCCCCAAAAAAACTTGTCATCCCTACTATCTTTTGTCTAGTCATACTCCTATTCACCGTTCTCAACTACTCATACATGCCCTGCTCTTGTTTACACTGCCGGTTTATACTGTTTCTCCAAGCCATCACAGCTGATATCTCCTGGTGCTATCCCCAAACTGCCACTCTAAACTCTTGAAGTAAATAAATAATCTTTGCTGGCAGGACTATGCTGAATCTCCTTAGGCACTCTCTAATCAGATGTCCTAGGTCCTCCCAATTCTTAGACCTTTTATACCTGTTTTTCTCCTTCTCTTATTCCATTTAGTTTTTCAATTCATACAAAACCGTATCCAGGCCATCACCAATCATTCTATACGACAAATGTTTCTTCTAGCAACCCCACAATATCACCCCTTACCACAAGATCTTCCTTCAGCTTAATCTCTCCCACTCTACGTTCCCACGCCGCCCCTAATCCCGCTTGAAGCAGCCCTGAGAACCATCACCCATTCTCTCTCCATACCACCCCCAGAGAAGGGAGAGATTGAAGTGTGGCTCCAAGATTGAAAGGAGAAAGAGGTTGAGGGATAGTGAGGAAGGTTGGAGAAGAGAGTAAAAAGAGGCCGCTTACTGGATTTGAAATTGGTGAGATGTTTCTTGGGCTGGTCGGTCTGAGTACCTGAGGTCGTAGGTGGATCTTTCTCATGGAGCAAAGGGCAGGAGGACGGGGGATTGATCTCCCAAGGGAGGTCCCCCGATCCGAGTCATGGCACCAAATTTCATGCGCGTCCGTGTGAAGAGACCACCAAACAGGCTTTGTGTGAGCAATAAAGCTGTTTATTTCACCTGGGTGCAGGTGGGCTGAGTCCGAAAAGAGAGTCCGCGAAGGGAGATAAGGGTGGGGCTGTTTTATAGGATTTGGGAAGGTAATGAAAAATTACAGTCAAAGGGGGTTTGTTCTCTGGTGGGCAGGGGCAGGGGTCACAAGGTGCTCAGTGGGGGAGCTTCTGAGCCAGGAGAAGGAAATTCACAGTGTTAATCACTCAGTTAAGGTGGGGCAGGAACAAATCACAATGGTGGAATGTCATCAGTTAAGGCAGGGCAGGGCCTTTTCACTTCTTTTGTGATTCTTCAGTTACTTCAGGCCATCTGGGCATATACGTGCAAGTCACAGGGGATGCGATGGCTTGGCTTGGGCTCAGAGGTCTGACATTAACAAATTATAATTTTTTCTTAAATTATAATATTATATAAATTACTCTTTTAATAGTATTTCTGTAAGGGGCTTTTACAGATTAAATATGTCAATTCCTTGTAGTATGTTTTGCAACATTTTTTATACCTTGACATGTGCCTTTTAGTGCTTATTATATGTTCCGACATGGAATATTTAAACCTTAAGATATTCATGGGAGTTAGCAATCAACAGGTCATCTGTGACTTTCACAAAAACAACTTCAGTGGAGAGGTTTGTATGAGATTCAGGTTGCCAGAGTTGAAATGTGAATGAAAAGTGAAGAATTTTTTCAAATTTAATATTAAAGTCATATGGTTTGGATGTTTTGTCCCCTCTAAATCTCATGTTAAATGTGATCCCCAGTGTTGAAGGTGGAGCCTGGTGGGAGACAGATGTTGGATTGTGGGGGCAAATTCCTCATGAATGGTTTAGCTTCATCCCCTTGGTGATAAGTGAGTTCTCTCTCTATTAGTTTCTGAGAAAGCTGATTGTTTAAAAGGAAGCTGGTGCCCCATCCTCTCTCTCTTGCTCCCTCTTACCATGTGATATGCTGGCTCCCCCTTTGCCGTCCATCATGATTGTAAGCTTTGTAAGGTCCTCACCAGAAGCAGATGTTATCACCATGCTTCCTGTGCAGCCTACAGAACCATAAGCCAAAATAAACCTCTTTTCGGTATAAATTACTCAGTCTCAGGTATTTCTGTATAGCAATGTAAATAGATTAACACATAAGAGAGAAAATAAAAGGAAGAACAGAGAGAAAAAACAGGGTCCAATGAAATAACTTGGTGTTATGTGTTTGATAGTTTGCATTTTCAGATGTGGGAAGTAGATAAAAGGATTAACTGAGGGAACAAGATTCCAGAAGAATGAGACATATGTGAGATTGAAAATACAGGCAGAAAGAAATAGATTTAAAAAGGATGAGAGAGTTTCTTTCTCAGGAGTTACGGGTTCCTGAAGATAGAGATATGTAGGGATTGTGGGAAGACAAATGAAGAAAACAAATTACCATTTTCTTCTGCAGAGTATTTTTCTTTGTTTGCTAAGACCAGGACAAAAAGAAAAAAAATGGCCTCAGAAATGAAAAAAAGCAATACCTGATATTTGAGTAGTATAAGAAACACTTTTCCTTTGGAATCATGGAGTTTGTTTTTTGTAAACTTTTTCAGAAACATACAGGCTTTTGCCTCCGAGGTAAAGATTCAAAATTAATTTAAAGAGGCATTCTAAATATGCCTAAGGAGATAACCATAAAAAAGACAAAACTGATTTAAACAGGGATTTGGAAAAAAAGTTTAAAAAATTATTATTTTAAAAGAGAATAATGAGTATAAACAAAAGGCATGCCTGATATCTCATTAATATTCTCTACAGAAAAAGTGTTTAGGATCATGAAGTATAAAGTTTCAATTATTCAACAGGTGACAGCATTTCCTAAGAAATGACTAAGAGAAAAAAATTTCACCCTGAATACCAGATCTGAAACAAAATTAGTCCTTAAGGTAGTAGTGGCAGCACAATTGTATTCTGCTTAACAAATTACCACAAATGTAGCAGCTTTAAACAACACAAATTCATTATCTTAGGGTTCTGGAGGTGAGAAGTCCAAAATGGCTTCCCACTAGGCTAAAATCAAAGTGTTGGCAAGGTGATGTCCTTTCTGGGGGCTCTATAGAAAAACTCATATCCATGCCTTTTCCAGTGCCTGGTCGCCTCTTGAACCCCTTGGCTTGTGTTCCCCTTCCCTCATCAAAGCCAGCAGTGTAGCATCTTCAGAGCTCTCCCTCATGCACTCTCCTGACTGCCCCTTTAATTTATGAGGACCCTCACAATTACACAGAGCTCCCCTGGATAATCCAGTCTAGTCTTTCCATCACAGGAGCCTTACCTTAACCATATCTACAAAGTCCCTTTTCCATGCAAGTAACATACAGATTCCAGGGATTAGAACATGGACATCACTGGGGGGGCCGTGATTCTTCCTACCCCAGCAGCCTATGTGGTGTCAAACATAACTAAAAGGTTTGTTGAAGCCCCTCATTTGGTGATAAAAATACACAGCTAAGCAGGGCCTTCTTCTCCTATTTAAAAACAAACAAGAAAGCAAAAAACATTTGTATACTTGATGTATATAATGTATTTTTTTGAGACAGAGTCTGGCTCTATCACCCCGGCTAGAGTGCAGTGGCACGATCTTGGCTCACTGCACCTCCGCCTTCTGGGTTCAAGCAATTCTTGTGCCTCAGCCTCCCAAGTAGCTGGGATTTACAAGAGTGTGCCACCACGCCCAGCTAATTTTTGTATTTTTTAGTAGAGTCAGGGTTTCACCATGTTGATCAAGCTAGTCTCAAACTCCTAGCTTCACATAATCTGCCCTCCTTGGCCTCCCAAAATGCTGGGATTAAAGGTATAAGCCACCATACCCAGCCTGATATATAATTTAAATGCCAAACTGGTTTTCTTTAATCCATATGTACCTAATATGTTCAGATGGAAAGAAGCAAAAACAGACAGAGCCCTCTATAGCAAAATTGAGTTTGAAACCCCTGAATAAAGATTTTAAGTAGACTATGAATCCAAAGGTGTAACCAGCTCTGAACTTTCCAACAGCCAGACCAATCTTGTCTCATGATCAGCCCCTAATAAGCACAAGGTTTCAATGTATCTGTTTATAGCCCATTCCCTGGTCACTTTCACGTCTCAACTTACCTTTGGTGCTGACCATCTTGCTCTCCAATGTCTACAATCTTGAACTTGTGCTGATGTCTGACATGGTCTCTCCACCTCAGTTTCCTACCTGGTTATGAGTTTCCTGTGGGCACCAGGAGTTTATCAACCTCTGACCTACTCTGGGTATTGAGCTACGGAAGCTATTACCTGGTGTTTGTCCACCTGCCCAGCGTTCCTTCCAGGTTGACCCTGGCATCTATGGGAAGTCATCAGTCAGAAAGTCTTGTCAGTTCTGTCTGTGACTTTTAGTTGAAAACTGAATTCCACTCTGCTATGACAGTAGCCAGTTCAAGAAAATTTCAGATACAGGACAAACTCCAAGTAATCATTTTGACCAAAAAGTCCATGGGAATGCTTTTATCCCTGTTAGCTTTTGTTTAGCACACCTTCCCCTCACTCCATGAACCTTTATTGTTGACTATTGTATGTGTAGCACTGTTCCAAACACACCTGCCATGGAAGGTATAGAAGTGGTAGAGTGGTGCAAGTGATGATTCTTTAGGTAGTATAGGTATTACATATGAGGATTCTTGCTATGCAACTGTAGAAATTCTTCCTTGACTCCTGGAATGTTCCTCTCCTGAGTAGACATAGAATAATATTACAGGAGGGAGCCCAGAAGCTGAGGACAAACTAGACACGAAAGTCACCTAGAGTAGGACAGAGGAAGATGTAAAATCACATATAAAAAGTGTCAAAATCTAGGGAAAAGAGCCTAGAGTCAAAGTTCAAAAGGAAAATCTATCAATTTCTCACATTTTGTGGGTAAATCAAGACTGAAAATAGGATTCAGATCAACAACAATAATAACAACTAAAATTCAAGGTTTCTTTATCAGGTACTCAGCTAAATATCTTACATGCATTATTTCAAGTAATTTCCTTAAGAACATAATACAGAGGGATAATATTATCCCTGTTTTATAGGTAAGAAAACTGAAGCTTAGATAGATTTAAGTCACAGAGCTAGTAGGTGCCAAAGTCAGTTCTGTCGGCCTCCTGCATCTGAGCTCGTAACCTCCATATCATCCTCCTGGGAGGGCACAAGCACAAAACAGGGTGGGCAGCATCGAGCAGGAATGGGAGAACCCATTCCAGGAATTTCAACCATAAATAGGGACTAACTGGGTGCTGGTGGTTCAATTTAAAGAGATAAGAGCCTAGAGTCAAAGGTCAAAGTTCGATTCAAGTCAAAAGTCAAAAGCCAAGTTTCGATTTAAAGGCTTAAGGTAATGCTGGCTTACTTGACAATTCTCTACTAACATACAAATACCCCGAGGATTATCAATTATCAGTTAACAGTTTAGCAAGAAGGAGACAGCTAATTAGTAGAGTTCTGGTGAGATTAGTAATCAAGATATATGCCTATCTATTCTTAGAAAGTGTTCCTATTAAAGAAACTAGGATATTTCATGGAGTGTCCAGTTGCTAGGCTGAAAAACTCAGATTGGCAGCCATGTTATATTTGGTATAATTTGCCAGCTTCTCCTACGGGCCTAATTAGATACTTGTTAAACATGAAGAAAAGGAAGAGGAACCCCAGAGGAGAGAAAAGCTTGAGAAAATGAGAGTACTTATATTCAAAGAAGAGGATTATTATATTTGAATCGGGTTAAGGATGCAATCCTTAAGAACCTGAACATTGTTTTGAACCTTGAAGAAAGTGATGGATATGAATTTGTGGAAAAAGAGTGGGAGGATACGTCAGGTTGAAGAGCATATGAGTAAAGTTACAAGAGCAAAAATTAAAAATTGCAAGGAGCTTGTTGTAAGTTCAGCTTTGCCAAAATGAAGAAGTATCAGTCAAAAGCTCCAGGTCATGTCACTATTGTGAAATGATGAAGGCGGGTCTGCAGGTTTACGTTGACCCACACTAGGTTCCCGTTCTGGGAGCTGGTGCATTGACAAGTGATAGAGAAAGTGAGGCGGAAGAGTAGCTAATTCCAGGCTGGTGAGCATTGGCTGCTTTTGTTCACAGGAAGGGAAGTTTGCCTGTGTACCTCAGGAAGAGGAGATGGCTTGTTTGTTCATGAACTGCTCCATCGATCGTGGCTTGTGTCCTGATAGACATCAGGGTCTCGAGCGGCATTCTCTTAACACAAAGGACTGCTCCCTTATCTGAGCTCCATCCACACGACCACACGGTCTGTCCTGCCAGATGGAGTACATTTTTTACATAATGCACTTGGCAGTAAAATAAAATCTATTTTAAGCTGACCGTTCATTTTTCACAATGTGCGTTACAAAAGCACTGGTATAGCCCAATTTATTTATAAGTGGACTTAAAACATTTTAAAACACAAAGAAGCTATTCTGCTAAATGCTGACTCCTGGGAGTTGGGTTCCTGTATGGGAGTGTGAGATTTGGTCTCTTTATACCTATCTTTAAAAATGTATAAAACAGGCAGGATTCAGGTTGAAGTATAACAGACTTACAGGGTCCTAACCCATGGAATGGAAAGACCACACAACAGAAGGATTGGAACTTATTAGTGGGGATGGATGAGCCACTCTGTGGTTTAGGCTGAAACGCCTGGGATTGCTTTTCAAGTGTTTTAAATTTGATAATATATGTATACATATATAGGCACAGGCACACACATATATTAAAAAAGCAAATGTGTTTGCCAAAATTTTTCCCCTGTCTCTGTTCTCTAACCCATATGGATCTTAAATGTTTGTAATCCATATGTCTCTGATGTGTTCACAGAAAGCCCTCTGAGGACTGACTCATAAAAGATTGCCCTCTGAGAACGTTTCTACACAAACCTTTTCTCTAAAAGTTGCCACATTTTCCTCAAGCTCAGGCCCTAACCCTATGTCTCTCTTTCTCTGAGTAACAAGGAGAAAAAAATTGTGGACTTTGACGTCAAACCTTAATTCACTCCTAATTCTCTAATTTAAGGATGTGAGCCACATAACCTCTCTTTAGGTTTCTTTTTTCTCATTCAGTAAAGGCAGTAAGGAACTAAAGGCTCATTGGTGGCCCTTCTCGCTCTAGGTCTAGGATGCCTGTGCCCCATCACTTGCTCCTAACTCAAAGCTTCCTTTTCATGAAGGTGGGAAATTATGAAAGGAACAAAATAAGTAAACAGCCTTAGGTTTTAGTTAAGGGCAGTACTTATCTCCGGATAATGGGGGAGATTATGTCTGGTTACTGAGAGAAACAATAGGAAAAAGAGTTACCCAGGGATCCAGAAAGGACACATGACTTGACCCTCTAAGTCCTCTCTCTGAATCTCGAATTGTTTGAAATTTAAAGCACCAAAGAAGGAGTGTCAGAGGAAGAAAGACATAAACACGAATCCGGTGACGTTCTTTACCTGGCTGCACCAAGGAAGCCCCACACAGAGTAGGTGTACGCCAGAAATACAGAATTCAAATTCCCTCTGTTTTGCAGGTCTTGTAGTTAAGCGAGAGCAAGAACAATGCAGGGGTTAAGAGTCTGATATCAAATAGGTTTCACATCAAGTAGACTTGAATTCAAATCCATTTATTTATCTCCCAATTAGTTGGAAGAATTCCATATTTTAGCTAAGGATGCTTTGAAAATCATGAGTTAGAAAACTAAAACATGGAGGCCACTTTCGGTGTAGGAGATGAGTCTAATACATCCCCTAAGGCAGGGGTCCCAACACCCTGGCCACGTACTGGTACCAGTCCGTGTTATGTTAGGAAATGGGCCACACAGCAGAAGGTGAGTGGCAGACAAGCGAGCATTATTGCCTGAGCTCTACCTCCTGTCATATCAGCAGTGGCATTCAATTCTCATAGGAGTGCAAACCCTATTGTGAGCAGCACATGTAAGGGATCTAGATTGAGCAATTGTTTTGAGAATCTAACTGATGCCATTGATCTGAGGTGGAACGATTTCATCTGAAACCATTCCAACCCAGCAACCCCATCCATGAAAAAATTGTCTTCCATGAAACCGGTCCCTGGTGCCAAAAACGCTGGGGACCACTGCCATAGGGGGAGCAATAGATGCTGCCTGCACTTCCTAAAGCTACAGTGCTAAAGCTCAGTATGCATGCCTCCATATTTCCATGCCTGTCTAGGAATATCAGGTGGTAATGCATATTTAGGGCCAACTTGAAGTTACACAAAACAACACCAGAGAGAGGAGAAAATGCAAAAGAAGGAAAAGCAATGGTTAAGGTCTAATGTAATTAACGTGAAACACAAGTTGTTAGCACCAGTAGCCAATCCTCCTTTTCTACAATCTTCTCTAATCACTTCCCAGCCACCAGCTACATGGGCGTTTAAGCAAACAGAGGAGGGAAAAGAGAGAATATATAACCAATGTCTACAACAGATGCCTTGTCAGGAGGCTCTGTAAAGCCTAGAGCTGCAGCAATCGTTTCATTCAGGCTTTGTGGGTTTTATTGAGCATAAAATGGCAAGAAAATACATGCAAGGGCCTAGAGGAGTGTTTTCAATCTGTGCCTCATGGTGGCTTCTATCTGTTCCTCAATGAAGGGGAAGAGGCATGAAGCAGGGCGGTGGCCAGGAAGGAAGTTCCTGGGAGTCCTCCGTCCCCTTCCCTGTTTAAACCAAAGGAATGTTGCTTTTGTCAGCTTTAGATATTCTCCTAAAGTTGTATTTGAAGAAAGGATGCAGCTAATAATAATAATAATGTTTGAAGAAAATGCTCTGGGACTCATGTGGGCTGACAGACCTGAAGCAATGCTCCTGAGGGCTGATTCCTCTGGC
Organism: Homo sapiens; assembly: GCF_000001405.40. Taxonomy (NCBI): domain Eukaryota; kingdom Metazoa; phylum Chordata; class Mammalia; order Primates; family Hominidae; genus Homo; species Homo sapiens. The sequence goes on along the minus strand of NC_000001.11, from coordinate 218,586,157 downwards.
AGGGGCACGAGAGGAAATGACCTTACGCTAATGCTGCCGCTGCAGGGCAGTGATGTCTGCAGAAAAGGCCACAGCAGGCCCCGAGCCACAGCAGGAGGTGGGTCTGCCTGCCATCAGCAGTTAAGAGGGCAGTGGCTGCCCCAGCACAATCCAGAGGCCAGCCAAGCCTGAGAGGCGGAGTTACAGACAACAACTGCAGTGGAAAGATTTCTGACTGTCTGCAAAGCCTTGAGGGTGACCCTCCCAGAGGGTAGGGACAAGAACTCAATTATTCACCACCCTCTGCTTCTATGACTTATTTCTGCATTCATTTCTGATATTTAATTGATTATAAACTAACCAGAAATCCCAAAGGGACCCTCAGTCTCTGCCGAGGTAGCCGTTTAGTTGGGGCTCAGTCAGAATCTGAGGATTTTGTGGCTGAAATGTATAGTGAATGACCTGGGTCTGGCCGGCTGTGTGACGCATAACAGCATACATTGGATGACTCATAGAAGTCAGGGATGGAAAAGACCTATTAGGTCATTTTTTCCATCTTCCAGCTATTGCAGGTTTACTCTCTGCCAAGGTAGGATTATATTCAAATATTTAGCCCAGTCTAGTTCGAACTGATTCAAGTAATAGGGCTCCCACAACCTCCCCTGGGATCTTAATTCCACAGGATCATTGATTTCAATCTTCGGAAAATGTTCCTGATGTTCACTTTAAATTTTCCTTTGCTCAATTTCATCCCATTAATCCTACTTATTACCCCTTAGGCCACCCTAAATAATATCCCTTCTTCTTTCATGTTGACGTTCCTCCAACACTGGTAGGGAGGAGACAGGGGAATACAAAAATGTCTTCTTGGCTTGGCTCACAGTCTTAAGTATAAAACAAAGAATAGAAATGTTCCAAATAATAGCTTAAAATGTTGGGGAGACTATGTGTATCAGATGAGAAAGGGTTTTCCAGATTGCCCAAGAATAGTTCAGACAATCAATGGCAGGTGTTTCTGGGTTTAACTTTACATTCTAAATATTCTGAGTCAGAGAGTAGCAAAGATGAAATGCCACATAATCCACCATATTGCCACCTAAGGTGGATAATGGACTATGTCCTCATAGCCTTTGGGGGAGATAATTCTATATAATCCTCTGATTATTTTTCCCCAGAGGGCAGGGATCACTTCAAATAGCACAAAACCACATTAGTAAAACTCACAGTGAGTAATGTCCCTTCTCGGGGCCCTGGGCAGACCAGACCTGAGAACTGGTGAAGTCAGCCAGTACCAGAGTGTGAGGCCCTGGGGTGGGAGCCAACGTAGGATATCCTGAATACTCCTCAGTGTTTCAAGGGTGCTAGGGTGCTTACTAAAAATACAAATTGTTAGGGTTCATCTCAGACCAACTATGACTCAGGATCTGTGGCCAAAGCCTAGAAACCTGCATTCGTAACAAGCTTACTAACATTTTAAAAGCCTACTTCATAAGGGGACTCTAATCCAATACCATTTGCAAAAACCTTGGACTAAACTGCATTAAGTAAACTAGAGTCCAAAGAGCAAGAATTTGGCTGACAATGGGATAGAGATAAGGAATAAAGGAGAAGTAGGCTTAAGACTGAGAACAGAGCAGGGAAGGTAAGAAGTTATTGTTAGAAATAAATGTGCAATGTCCATAGCCTGCACTCACTAACTGTCAGAAGCATGGTGTGTGGATGTGGGGTCCCCCTGAAAAGATAAAATATTTGCTGGACCTTCATCCACTTGAACACAATTGCTAGCTTTTGAACTTACTGTTTGCATGTTGTGCAAATTAATGTATGAGAGAAACTTGTTTTGAGGAGGAAGAGGAAAGAAAAAATACTATATTTCAAATTTTTAAAAACACACACACTCAAACACATTTTCAAGGAGTCTCAAGCATGATTTTGGCCTTCAGTTATGGTAAAATAGTTGCAGCCCAGCTAGTTCTTCTGGACATTTCAGCTCAGAAGAACTAGCAAGGCCAGATAAAATAGAAAACAGTTTTGTTTAACTTAAAGTCATTGGTGATCTGCAAAGGCAATAAAAATTTGGGGAGTTAAGATCCTGAAGTCAAAGGAATCTCAGACAGATGAGTTGATATTCTTCAAGGTATATCCCCTAAGGAGCACTGGCTGATTCTCAGTATAGAACAAAAGCCTAAGAATTCAAGCAAAGGGGTGCTGCTAAGACACAGAGAAGACAGCAGTCTTGAGCAATATTACAGGACCAGGGAGACAAATACTACAGTTTGAGCCTACCAAGGAAACCAGGCATTGAGAGGCCAAAACCTAATGAGAAGGGAGACACGGGGAATGACACTCTGTTTTTTTTTTTTTTTTTTTTCCCCTCAAGACATTTGCTGAATCCTTATGCTACTCTGGGCTAGAAGCTAAGTAGCTAAACTGAAAAAGATGATAAAAAACAGTGTTTTCTAGAATCATATAATGAAAATGAGGCAAAAATTATACTTTTGGGTTTACCGAGAAAGAGCAGTTGTGACTCCTAGAAAACCATACTCTAGGAGCAGGGACAAATCACAAATAAATAGAGCTTTACAAAAGTTACAACTGAGTCAGCTGCAAGTCAGCTTACTCTCTGATTGGAATAAGGTGATCTACCACATTTAATTTTCCCAGCACTTGATCAATACTTAACAGGCATATGGAAACAGTATAAAGAAAAAAGAAAAAAAAAAACAAAAAATAAAAATATACCCATGTGACCCAATTTTTGGAGTTATCAAACATAGATAAGACTGTGAATTTCATCTTAGAACTCAAATCTATCTATCTACATGTATATTATACATATATACATACATATGAATCAAATGCAAACTCTAGCATCAAAAAATGCAATAATTAAAACTAAGAATTCAATATATGATTTTAAAACCTGATTTGACTTAGCGGCAGAGAGGAGAACTAACTAGAAGTTAGATCAGTAGAAAAGAAAATATCCAGGTAGAAGCAGAAAACCAAAAAAGAGAGAAAATACGAAAAAAGGAGCATAAGAAACACATAAGGCACAGTAAAGAAATCTAAAAATTTGAATCCCAGAAATAGAGAGGACAAACAACACCTAAGAAAAACCACATTAAAGGGGTAATCTCCATATAATTTCCTAAACCAAGGAAACATATCAAGCCACAGAATCAGGAAGTACTATGAGAACCATGCAAGATAAACACAAATAAAATCATATCTACATACAATATAATAAGGCTGCTTATAGTGAATCAGAAAGAGTAAAACCTATTTTAAAAGGCAGTGGGGTCAGGGTGTGTTGAGTAAAACCAAGAAAGGAACAAAAAGACTGACAGATGACTACTCAACAGAAATACATAAATAATGGAAGTCAGTTGACAATAGAATTAAATTCTTTACCTTGTGAAATTATTCTTCAAAAGTAAAGGTAGGACAAATGCATTTTCAGAAACACAATAATGGAGTTAGTTACCAGCAGACCCATCCTCTAATAAAAATGAAAGGGACATCTTAATGTAGAAGAAAGTAATCCCTGATGGATACATAGAAATACAGGAAGAAATAAAGGATCAAAGGAAGGTTAAACCAGTGAGTACCTCTAAATCGGTATCAATACACAATGATGATGTATGGTGAACCTTGACATATACATAGAACCAAATGTATAAAAATTATAATGCAGAACATAAGGCAAAACCAATGACATTAAAGTGTTTCAAACACTTTTGCTTTCCTGGAACTGGTAAAACTATAAGTCAAGGATGTGCTGTAATCCCTGCAGCAACCGCTAAAACAATAGTAAAATAATATGTAGCTAGAAAGATAGTAGGAATTAATATTGAATATAAAAATATACTATTGATCAAAAAAAGAATGCAAGAAAAAAAGAGAAAAGATCACAGTAAACAGATAGGACAAACAGCAAACAGATAAATATGAATATTAATGTAAATTCAAGTATATCAGTAATCAAATCAAAGTATGGAGTAAGTATACCTGAAGACTGAAAATGTTGGACTGAATTACCAAAGAAATACAGTCCAGCTATTTGTTGCTTATAAGAGACATACCTTAACTATAAAGACAGAGAACATTTGAAAGCACTAAGCAAAAGAAAGTATAGTTGTGCAAAATCAAAGTAGACTTCAAGATATAAAACATTATTAGAAATAAAAGACAGTATAGCATGACAATAAAAGTGTCAGTAAACCTGAAAAATCAAATGATTCTGAATTCGTATGGACTAGTAACTTAGCTAAACAAATGATACACTAGAGCTGAAATAACAGACAAGCTACAATCATAGTTTTAGACTTTAATGTAACTCTACCAATAATAATATAACAAGAAGTTTATACCAATTTTAAAAATGCATTCAAGCAGAAATTATTGGTAGGTTAATTATACATTTTATCTATGCATCAAAACAATTAAGGCCAGAAAAGGATGAAACATTTTTAAAGTGCTGAAAGAAAACAAACCTGTCAAGCCAAAATTCTACACCAAATGAAAAGATCCTTTATAATGAAGGCAAATTTAAAAGAAAAAGACATTCTCAAATAAAAGATTTTTTAAATTATAAATTCTTAGCTAAACAGATCAAGATAGAAAAGAGAACACAAATCACTAATATTAAGAATGAGGAAAATCCTATCAATAGCAAAAGAATAAGAGAATATCATGAACTTTATGTCAACAAATTTGACAGCTTAGATGAAATTTTTATAAATATATATACAAACACACATACATCTGTGTGTGTGATATTGTATTATAACAAGACATACATATTTGGTCTTCATGCCTGATTCCTGGCACAGAGCTATGGAAGTGAGAAGCATCTTTTGTTATCCATAATAAGCCCTTTTCAACTGTATTCAAGTTTATGCTAATGAGGTAATTTTTTGAAGATGAGGACTCGTTCCTGTGTGAACCAAGGATGTAATTAGAGAATTGGAACATTTTAGCCCCACCCCTGACCTCCTGGGAGAGGAAAGGGACTGAAGATTAACTTAATCTCCAATAGCCAATGATTTAATCAATCATGTCTATCTAGTAGAGCCTCCATAAAACCCTTTAACAATGGAGTTTGGAGAGCTTCTGGATGGATTTGCACATTAAGGTTCCAGAAGGAGGTGCATGGGAAAGGACACGGAAATGCCATACCCCTCTCCCCATACCTTGACCTATGCATCTGGCTATTAATGAATTGTATCTTTTATAATAAACCACTAATAGTAAGTAAAGTACCTTCCTGAGTTCACGGGATGGGGACAGTCTGTGAGACTGAGCCCTTATCCTGTGGGTTCTGTGCTAATTCCATATCATGTCAAAATTAATTTATAGGACTCTGAGTTGGTGTCCACAGAGAACTAGAGAATTGCTTGGTGTGAAAACTCCACACATTTGCTATCTGAAGTGTTGTAGGTGTAAAGAAACTTATGTGTGTGTGTATGGTGTGTGTGTGTGTATGTGCGTGTGTGTGAGCAGACATATTAACAGTGAGAAACTGGAAAATAAAATTAAGAAGCAATATTGTTTACAATAATGCCAAAAAACTTAAACTACTTAAGCATAACTTTAACAAAAAACATGAAAGATACCTTTACTGAAAACTACAGAACATTGCTAATAGAAATTCAAGACCTACATACATGGAGAAATATGCCATGCTCATAGACTGGAACACTGAATATTGGAAAATTATCAATTCTCCCCAAATTTATTTATAGATTTAATGCAATTCCATCAAAATTTTCGTACTTGTTTTGTAGAAATTGACAAGCCAATAGTAAAACTTATATGCAAAGAGCCAAAAATAGCCAAAGCAATATTGAAAAAGGAATTTGAAGAATTCACACTACCTGATTTCAGAATTTAATGCAAGGTTATAGTATGCAAGACACTGAGATATTGACAAAGGAATAAATATATATACCAAAGGCAGAGCATGGAAAGTCCAGAAGTATTACTACACATATATAGTCAATTGATTTTCAAAAAAGATCCTCAGGTAATTCAATGGGGGGAGACGCTGAAACAACTAGATATTTTATGCAAAAATACTGTACACCATGCTGAAAACTAAGTCAAAATGAGTCAGAGCCTTCACATAAAAGTTAAACTTGTAAAATTAGAAGAAAACATAGGGGAAGATCTTTGCAATCTTGGGATAATCAGACTTCTTAGGACACAAAAAATCACCAACCTTAAGGAAATAATTCATTAAAACTACAATGAAATGGCCAGGTGCGGTGGCTCACGCCTGTAATCTCAGCACTTTGGGAGGCCGAGGCGGGCGGATCATGAGGTCAGGAGATCGAGACCATCCTGGCTAACACGGTGAAACCCCATCTCTACTAAAAAAATACAAAAAAAATTAGCCAGACGTGGTGGCAGGTGCCTGTAGTCCCAGCTGCTCAAGAGGCTGAGGCAGGAGAATGGCGTGAACCTGGGAGGTGGAGCTTGCAGTGAGCCGAGATCACACCACTGCACTCCAGCCTGGGCAACAGAGCGAGACTCTGTCAAAAAATAAAAATAAAAACTACAACGGAATACCATTATACACCCACTATGAGGGCTAAAATTAAAAAGACTGACACTACCAACTCTGGGCAAAAATGTGAAGCACCTGAAACTCTCCTGCATTGCTGGTGGTGGCAGCATGTAAAATGGTACTAACACTTTGAAAACAGCATGGCAGTTTCTTACAAAGTTAAACACACATCTGTATGTGACACATAAATTCTACTTCAAGATATTTACCCAAGAGAAATAAAACATACGTCCACATGAATATGTGCTTATGTATATAAGAGTTCACATTACATATTTATTTATAATAGTAAAAAAACTGGAAACAAATTAAATGTCAAAAAAGCTAGTGGATACCATATATGATGGTATATTCATACAATTGAATAATACTTAACAGTAAAAAGAAATGAATTATTAATACACACTGCAACATGGATGAAGCTGCAAAACATTATGCTGTGAAAAAGAAGCCAGATAGAAAAAAGTACACACAATATGATTATGTTTATATGAAATTCTAGAATGGGGGGAAAATCTAATCTAACATTAGAGCCTAAATAGGATCAGTGGTTGTCTGGGTACAGGGATTGCCAGTGTTAACTGAGAAGAGACAATAGGAATCTTTGAGGAAATAGAAATGCTTTATACCTCATTTGGATTGGTAGTTACACTAGTGAATAAGTGTCAAGACATATCAAACTACAGGTTAACCATCCCCTATCTGAAATGCTTGGGATGAGAAGCATTTCCAGTTTTGGATTCCTTTCAGATTTTAGAATAGTTATATATACCTAACGAGACATCTTGGGGATGGGACCCAAGTCAAAACACAAGATTAGTTTTTTTATATACATAGCCTGAAAGTAATTTTTATAATATTTAAATAATTCTGTGCATGAAACAAAGTTTGTGTACACTGAACCATCAGAAAGCAAAGGTGTTGCCATCTCAGCCACCCATGAGGATGATCTGTGGTTGTTTCGCATCACCATTATTCCTGACTGAATTTATGTTACTGAGAAGCAATCATTTTCTTATACACAAAAGTACTTAACAGTAAAAAAAGTGACATACCATGAATACAGTGAAAAATGATATGTTCAGAGTAACTAAGCAGCACAGTAGCATCTTCAGAACACTTGTACACAGATTGAGCATCCCTAATCCAAAATCCAAAATGCCAGGTGTGGGATTTTCTACTTGTGGCATCACATCAGCACTCAGAACATTTCTATTTTGGAACATTTTGGATTTGGGATTTGGGGATTCGGGATGCTCAGCCTGTATTAATTTAAAAGGCTGAATTTTATTCTACATAAATTGTGTCTGAATAGTTGATTAAAAATTAAAAACTGTTATATTCTTTTTCTAATTTAAGCTGGACTTTCAAATCAGGTAGTTTGCCTGCTTATTTTTTCCCCGTTCTCCCCCAGCCTACTGATTACTATGACCTTATTAACAATTCAGCAAATACTTAGCACTTAAATTCCAAGCACTAATTGAGGCATGGGATAAATTTAGTGAACAAAATACACAAAACTCCCTACCTTGTGGAGCTTACCATTAATTGTCAGAAAAGGAAAATTTTCTGCAGATTATTCAGTCCTAGGGAATAGTAGTAGAACATCTTTCATTATATAAGTTTATGATTTTATTTTTATAGATGTCCTCATGTGGAAATACTTTATGAAGTTCCTCTGTGTTAAAAATATAGATTTACCAGCCAGGTGCAATGGCTCATGCCAGTAATCCCAGCATTTTGTGAGGCCAAGCCGGCCAGATCACTTGAGTTCACAAGTTCAAGGCCACCCTGGGCAACATGGCAAAACACAGTCTCTACAAAAAAATACAAAAATTAGCCAGGCGCGGTGGCATCTGCCTGTAGTCCCAGTTACTCAGGAGGTTAAGATATGAGAATCACTTGAGCCTGAGAGTTCAAGGCTGCAGTGAGCTATGATCATGCCACTGTACTCCAGCCTGAGTGACAGAGTGAAACCGTGTCTCAAAAATATATACATAGATAGATATAGAGTTATCACAATGATATACTGTGTTAGTTCATTTTGTGTTGCAAAAAAAAAAAATAATACCCAAGACTGGGTGATTTATAAAGAAAAGAGGTTTATTCGGCTCACAGTTCTGCAGGCTGTACAAGCATGGCATCAGCACTGCTTCTGGTGAAGACCTCAGGAAACTGACACTCATGGCAGAAGGCAAAGAGGGAGCTGGTGTGTCACTTGGTGAGAAAGAAAGCAAAAGAGAAGAGGAGGTGCCAGTCTCCTGTAAACAACCAGCTCTCACATGAGTGAGAGTTTGCTCATTGCCAAGGGGAAGTCACCACGCCATTCAGGAGGTCTCTGCCTCCATGACCCAAAAACCCCCCACTAGGCCCCACTTCCAACATTGGGGATTACATTTCAGCATGAGATTTGGAGGGGACAAACATCCAAACTATATCAGATACTGTTTATAAACAATTATTATTGAGTCTCAAATTGAATTCTTAATTGCTTCAATTTTCTCAGTATGACTGAGACAGTCAGATTTGAAGATTAAAGACACCAAAATGGAAGTGATTGACTGTGTGTCCTACCACTTTTCTATGTGATCCTGTACAAACCACACAGCTTTCCACCCCCAGCAACTCCTTATTTCCGGAGACCAGCTCGGTACCAAAGGGTTCACGTGATTCTATAATAAACTGTGCTCTCTTCAGGAAGTGCATTACGACAGGTGAGGAAGGGCCTTCTTATCCTTCTACTGGCTTCCGCATCCTTGAGGTGTCCACACTTCATACAGCGCAGGTCTTGTTTGCTAATTGCAGTCAAAGCTCTATTTTTTCTGATGCTGCAGGGACCCTTGCTCAGTTCCCACAGCATCCTTGTTCCCAATACGTGACTGCAGCTCTCATTTGCTTTTCAGCTTGAGTGGTCCACACGCAGCCCTCTGCTAGAGCACCAGCTCTTGCTTCCCTTGTGTCCTCTCTAGGGAAAACACCCTCTGGTTAATATCCAGTCATCTTCTTTGCCCCTTGTTGGAAACTTCTGAATCCCTTTTATTCCTTGTTCAGGCACTGGGGCGCCTGCAGCTCTATGTTGAGACCAACCACCTAGGCATTTCTCTCAGAAACATCTGCTCCCAGAGCCATGCCAGCTGTGACTCTCTCTCAGGGGGCGTGCATCTTTTGAGGCTGAGCTGGGAGAAGACTCCCATAAAATAGAGGGTTCCTACCTCTCAGAGCTCTTCTAATCCAATGTTAGATCACAAGATGAGATAAAAAGATAAGGATATGAATGCTTACAGGAAATAAACTAAATGTCCTAAAAGGAAAAAAAGTATATCAAGAAGTGATGTTGGATTTTGTCCCCTCTTCCCCATGCCCTCACCATCACACACATGCTCAAAGACACAGAGAAGGGCTGAACATCTGAACGTTAATGCAGCTTATTGAACAGAACAAAGGAATCTATTCTATAACACCACTGAGTAATACAGATTTTTCAGATGGAAAATTTTTTTCAGGTAGTATGATGTTCCAAGAATTACACAAGGTGGTTTCCCATACATCATCTCTTAGCAATCCATTGAGGTTGGAGTGACTCTCCCCATAGTAAAGATGAGGACACTGAGAGGCACAAGGATCAAAAGACTTGCCCAGAGGTGCCAAATTTAGCAAATGATAAAATCTGGCCTGAAAGTCTACCCTTCTTTCTGACTGTTAGGGATAATTGCCTCAACCTTGTCTTTCATCATAATGCAAGATAAGATGTTTGTGATCTTTTAGGAGGCAAATTATATTTTATAATTCACAGCGTATTATTTTTTGGATTCTGCTTACAGAATACTAAGATAATGTGTTTATTTGTTGCAGGGGAAACAGGAAACAGCAAAATGAGGAGGCAGAGGTGGGAACCTTATTTATCACATAAATGGAGCTATCCATCTCTTGTGGACCCCCTCAAGAATTAACCTCTTCTGTCATCCAGCTTCCTGGCTCAAAACACCACTGTCTGATAGGCAGCAGTTAGAAACCCCCCCCACAAAGTAGTCACTTGTGCCTAAGAGGGCTTTACTCAGGTGATGGTGGTGAGGAAAAGTACCCAACATATCCAAGCAGGAGGTGTGAAAGTAAAACACTGCTCAGCTTTCAGCCCAGACTTCTGCAATGAAGGTGGGGACTGGTAGGTGCTTGGTTTGACTTCCAAGACCCCAGGGGAAATTGGCACCTGTGTACACAAGCCCCTGTCTACCAGAGAATGTTCTTTTTAGCCTAGGTTCTCAGTATGACTGAGACAGACAGATTTAAAGATTGAAGACACAAAATGGAAGTGATTGACAGTGTGTTGTACCACCTTTCTACGTGATCCTGTATAAACCACACAGCTCCAGTTGCTACAGACTGAATTAGGAGGTAGGGTCTTTGAGAGGTGATTAGATCATGTGTGTGGATCCCTCAAAAATGGGATTAGTGCCCTTAAAAGTAGATACATATGAGAGATTCTCTCTCTCTCTCTGTCTCTCTCTCTCTGTTTCTCTCTCTCTGTCTCTGTGTGTCTCTCTCTCTGTCTGTCTCTCTGTCTCTCTCTGTCTGTCTCTCTGTCTCTCTCTCTGCTCTCTGTTGGGTGAGGACATAAGGAAGATTGCTATCTGTAAACCAGGAAGTGAGCCCTCACCAGACACTGGATCAGCCAGCATCTTAAATCTTGGACTCTCCAGTCTCCAGAACTGTGAGAAATAAATATTTGTTTTGTAAGCCACCTAGTCTATGGTATATTGGTTATAGCAGCCCAAACTGACTAAGACAGAGGTGGCTTGAGCCTATGGAAATAATGCTTGAACAAGTCAGAGATTTCATAATATTTCTATTTCTTTGGGAACACATTTCCCTTATAATATATAAGTCATTGTTTTGTTGGGTTTTGTTTGCCTTTCAGACATTTGAATTTCAAACACATTTTTCAGGAATAATTTGCTTAAAGGACTTTATGTATGACCCCATAAAGAATGTTACTAGCAATTGATCTATCATTAGTATGCTTCTGAAAACTTCTCTGGGAATCAGATTTAGAGAAATCTGAATCACAGCAATGAAGCATTAAAGAGTATATTATTAAGGGAGCCGGTGGTTATTCCACTAATAAAAACTCCTTTCTTAAAGAAAATTATATTCTACCAAATTCATCTTATTTGTAAATGCAAATTTCTTTTATAGATTGGGCCACCTTAAAATGAGGATGTCACAGATGCTGAACTGGTACCAAAAAGAAAACTGTACCAAATTCCTCTCAGTATTCTTTCTCATGGCCCATCATGAAGAAGTAGTGTGGATGATTTTGACTTGGCTAGCAACACAGAGATAGAAAACATGCGCAAGACCAGAGCTGAACATTCACTCACATGGGACAGGAGAAGGTACAAGTATTGAACACATGTACTAAGACCTGCCAACAGTTTTCACTAACAAGTTTCTGAAAGTATGGGATTTCATCCTGGACAGGGTAAAGAGAAAAAAGCCAAGCCAATTTTTTTTTTTTTTCTCTGATGTAAATCTGTGGCTTCCAGGAATTCCAACAGGAGCCACCCCTATGACTCCAAGGTCAAAATGCACAACTCTGGGAATTTTTGTTCAAGCGAAGCCAGTTGAGAGTGGGTGTTTTCTCCAGGGGCAAGTTCAATGTCCTGAAATTGTTAGAGATTTGAAAGTAAGGACCCTGTCAAAAGACAAAATTAAAACATAATTTAGATTAAATGACCTCAACTGATTTTACTGTGATTCTAGAATCAGGCAACACTTCATTCCATAAAATAGGATAAGTGTCTCGATGAGTGGAGCAGAGGAGGTTTGCTTTATAGGCAGAAAAAGGACTGAGGAAAGCAGAAACAAAACAAAACAAAACAAAATGGATTGGTCATTTCAAAGTTACTTTACTTATACGATGGGGACAGAGAGACAGAACAATAGAAAAATAACTGACTGGTTAACATCAGGTCACTTCAAGTTAAAGATGAAAACACAGGGAACTTCACATGACAATTGAAAGCTGAAACTGGCCTGTTTGGGAAATTGGCTGTTATCTTTTTCTTCTGATTCCTTGGAATGTTAGACAACAACTTAGTTTCAGTTTGATGACATGGAACTTTAGCATGGGTGACTCCATTTTTATTTTGTCTGGCCTGTTGAGGCTTAGTGCAGGAGTCTAGTCCAAAGCAATGGCCTCCTGTAATTTTTATTTAACAACAATCACAGACATATCTTAATATCCCGGAGGATACTGGAGATACTGAGACTCAAGAAGACAAGTCAAGCTTCTCAATAGAAGCTTCATCCCATTTTATCATATGAAATTGTTTCTAGAGACTTCTGCATCCCCCCACACACTCCGCCACACACACACCTCTTGCTACTTAAATATCCCAGGGTTCCAGAAGGTTCAGGAATTTCACTCAAGAATGAAGATTCTAGTCTCCCTCTTCCCTGGACTGTAGCCTGAAAGACAATTCCTTGTTCCATTCCCAATTGTCAGCTTCTTATGTCTCCCTGCAGGTTGTTGGTTAAGTAAACAAATATGACACTTGATTGCATGGCCTATTCAGTTTGACATCACTGTTTCCAATTGGCCTGCCTTAAGATCCAAGTCAGCAGACTGGGACCTGAAACATGCTCTCCTACAGGGCCTCTCCTTCTATTCCTGAATTTGACAAACCAGATCAACTGTGTGAGTACTAAGGTTTTCCTCTTCTCTGGAAAATGCAGAGAATCATAGAACTGGAGGCACCATTCCCCATGGACCCAGTGCAGGATTGTGCCTGTCAATGATAGAGTGGACTCACAGTGTTTGAACTGGGATTCACAGCATCTAACACATAGTGGGGAAGCATAGTCCAAATTCAATAGCTACAACTTATGGAAAGAAAGGGCTACTGGGAGGGTGGATGAGAAGACTGAGGCATCTAGGAATCTGAGCAGTGTTTGAGCTTTACCCTTTAACAAGGATCTGGTTTTCTAAAAACCTAACTCCCTCAAATTAGTTGGGTCATTGTTCCTTGGGAGTTTTATTCTTTATTGGGAGAATTTCCAACATGCAGCATTACTTCTTTTCATCCCTAATTGTGATGCTTCCTGCTAATTGAAAGCTAGGCCTTGTGGTTTTCAGAACACTGATTTGTGATGGTAAAACCTTTACCCATTGTTCAACAAAGATGTAAAATAATTAATTGGCTACTTGGCAGATAGGTTCAGCATTTTCAGGATCTGTTTTATAAGAAATTTTATTGATGAAAATGTGTCTAAAGCTTTAGCAATGCACTTGGCTTCAGCATTTGGCAGCAAGGAGACAAAATCTTAAGGCCAAAAACCTCCCCAGGGCATGAGGCAAAGTACGACTTTGCATCTATATTCCTGCTGTAGGTCATTAGGGGTCTCCTTTTACAGACAATTGGCAAAAGGTTTCAGTGGCTGTTTTATGATCCGTTTTGATTTTGTATATGAGCAAATCTCACATTTCTGCTGTGAGACATGCCCATGTTTTACCGCATTGCCCTTAAACGATTTTTCAAGAAGCTGCATTAACTCTTAAAATTGACAAGAATAAATAGAGGCACCATAAATTTTTAAAGTTGAAGTCATAGGCATCACATGCTAACTTACTTATTGTTAGGCTGTTGGGAATGAGGTTGTCTGCGGTATGTTTTGTTAGACAGAGAAAAAAATAAGTGCTCAAATTCATCATCAGCAAATATACTTGGTTGTCACTGAAGCCATGAATTTTAGGAAATTAAACCAGGTCTATGTGATACCAAACAAACAGTCCAATCCAGCAAAGCTCTGAGAAGAAAATCCCCGTAACATATTGTTTAGTCATGGATAAACCTGGTATTTAAGTTGACATTGGGCGAACCGACACCGACTGGCTTCTTTGTTGTAAACCTCTCTGAACCGTGTTCAAAGCCAGCTCACAGAGACACCATAAAAGTGCATGTTTACCAAGTTAGCACATTCAATACATATCCATTCTGTTTCAAACAGAAGATCAAGGAAGGCGAAAAATGATAAGAGAGTGCTTCCTTCTTGAATGTGGGCCATTTGCTGTAACAATGTGAGTTTATAATAAATGCTTCCAGATTAAAATGTCTCTTTCCACATTCAAACGTACTCTCCAAAATTAGCCTGTTTGGGGGAAAATGCTGCTAAAAAAGGAGCAGGCTATTCAAACAGTGCCAACAAGGAGATTACACAGTTGTGAGTCTAATTTCCATTGTAGTGTAACTAGCATCAGAAGAACAACTAGAAAAATTGGCTATCAGGCATATTATTGACACCTATTTCTTGCTATCACAGCAGAGTACTGGACACTTTTCCACATAATTCCTTCTTTTTGAGAATTCATGACCTGGCTTTAAGAAGTTACCCTAAGATCAAAGTTAACATATGAAGTGTCAGGCCAGAAAAATGATGACTATTTTTAAAATCTCAGGAAAAGCCAGGCACGGTGGCTCACGCCTGTAATCCCAGCACTTTGGGAGGCCAAGGCGGGCGGATCACAAGGTCAAGAGATCGAGACCATCCTGGCTAACACAGTGAAACCCCGTCTCTACTAAAAATACAAAAAATTAGCCGGGCATGGTGGCAGGCGCCTGTAGTCCCAGCTACTCGGGAAGCTGAGGCAGGAGAATGGCGTGGACCCGGGAGGCGGAGCTTGCAGTGAGCTGAGATCATGCCACTGCACTCCAGCCTGAGAGACAGCGAGACTCCATCTCAGAAAAAAAAAAAAAAAAATCTCATGAAAGTAAAAATCAATAAAGGAAAGCACTGCTATATTCTGTGCTTTGCATACATATACAGCGTCTTATATATAGTTGAAGATAACATCAAAAGTAAGGGCCTCAGCTCCCTCTGTTCTTACTACTCAAATATTATAATCCTTTGACTATTCTCATACCTAGGAGATGTTTCTGGGTCTTACTGTGTTCTACATTGTGAAATACAGCATTGTTTGTGTCCTTTTTACTCCCTTTATCAGGAATTTTATGAGCTTAAGAAAATCCTCCTTTGAGGATGAATCAGATATACTTTGTTTTTTAGGCTAATGCTGTGAAATAGGGAAATGGTGGTGGGCGGGGGGGAATCTATCAAAATATGAATGACTTCCCAGACCCAATCCAACAATTTTCATGTGGGTAGCTAAATCTAAACATCATACAAAAGATAAAGAAATACAATACACCATACAATAAATAAAGAAATTGTTTATTTTTAGGGTAGAATGGAATATCTTTTTGGAGGCCAAAACAAAGGTTTTTCTCTGCAAAAGAAAGGAGAGAAAGAGAGAGAAAGAGAGAAAAACAAAGAAAGAAGAGACAGAAAGAGAAAGAAAGAAGAGAGAGAGAGGGAGAGAGAGAAAGAATGAACCTGTAATAAGTTGTCTCAGCCAGTGTTCTCTGGATATATAAAACAAATAGCTTAGGTAGATAGATAGATAAATCAATTGATATAGATATATGGTTATATCTTTCTATCTCCCGCTATATAGAGAGAGAGGGAAAGAGAGAGAGAGAGATACAGAGATTTATTTTAGGGAATTGGTTCACACAATTTGAGAGGCAGTTATTTTTGAAATTTGTAGGGCAGGCCGGTAGGTGGAAAGTCAGGCAGGGTTTCAGGAAACCTCAATTTTTGCTCTTAAGGCCTTCATCTGATTGGATGAGGCCAACCCTCATTATAGAGGGTAATCTCTTCTACTTAAGGTCAACTGATTGTAAATGTTAATCACATGTACAAAATACCTTCAGCACAACATCTGGACTAGTGTTTGACCAAACAACTGGGCACCACAGCCTGGCCCAGTTGGCACTTAAAATCAACCATCATATGAGTATTGTGCAGGCTGCATAAGTGAAGCAGAAGACGGGGAAACAATATAAAAGGAGTACAAGCAATCTCCTGCCCTTCTTCCACAATTATAGAGTGTCAAGATTCAGGGACACTGGTGAACTATGTGGTAACCTTTATAGTCACCCTTGTTCAGGACATGGAAGGGAACAGATTTGAGGTAAAATTAACGTTTTCCTCCAGGAAATCCTCAGCCAAGATCTGTGGGTTCAGGCAATCACTCTTCTTATTTTCATCAATCTCAAAGAAAGATTGTCTTTCTTGTTGTTGTGTCTCTGAGAGAATTCTCTGGGGTGTATTGAGGGCCTCTGACCAATACTTCCCTTGCTTCATCTGAGAGACCGGAACGGCAGTGCTGTGGCTGCGCCCAGACCCACATACATTAATCATTTTAGTGAAGTGAAGCCAGGCATCTTGGTCAAATCAATGATCAATCAACTTCAAAATATCAGAACAAGGTGTTGGATGGAGTTAATAATATTTTGGTGAGTAAACTACTTCTTCATTCAGGAAAAAAGTTTGAAATGTGCTCAGTCTTAGTCATGGGTTGCTTAGGGTGTTTTCCTTTTAAACTGCTCCTCAGAGGGGACATCCTATTTCTAAAAGTGCAGGAGACGTGAGCAAAGTGATACCAGTCCATGAATAAATTGTTGTACTGACTTTCCTAAGTAAAATATTATAAATCAAATAACATCTTCAGAGCATTTAAGGCACAGGAAGTGAATCATAAACAAAAACTGCGGTCCTGAATTTTGAAAAAAAATTTTTTTAAAAAAACCTCATTAATTAGTGGGAAGGTGAACTTGAAAAATCTGAGTTCATATTATTTTTAAAAGAAATATTATTTATGACTTTCAAGTTCTTTTAAGTATAATGACTTCAAAGTATTGCTTAATCCAGTTCTTTTGTGAATGTGTTATTTTTTAAAAGTACATGAGAATAAAGTGAAATCATGTGTTTGGAGAGGAAAGCTACTACAGCAAAGTGATGTATAGTCATTTAATTACTTCATGTTTTGTTGCTGTTTGTTGCTCATTAGCAAAAGAGCGACTAGGAAATTTTCTACTAAAGCAAATATTAACATCTAAAAATGGATGTTTGTTGTATTATTCTCTCTTCTTTGTGCATGTTAGACTATACTTCATAATTTAAAATTCAATTACAATTTTAAATTAATTTTTCTCATGAGAAAGAAGGCTTGGTGTGCCTGAGCTCTAGGATTTTATCACCTAGGGTGCACTTGACAGACTTTAGTTTTGTGGGGACAGAGCCCATCCTGTAAACATCCCCTTTACCATCACCAGCACATGGACAAGCACACACCTATCCACACACACACACTCTCTCTCTTACTCTTTCTCTCTCTCTGTCACACACACACACATACATGACCTGGCAAAGAGGGGATGTTGGAGGCTGTGCTAAGGCAAGTGGCCCTGCCCTACAGGGGTCTTTCCTAAGAGGTGAAGACATATCAGAAAGTGGAGAGAAGTGTGGGTCATTTTCTTATTGTAGAACTTAAAACTTTACTTGCACCCAGGGACCCAGTCTTAGCAGAACCTCAGATGACAATGGTTCCAAGGGTCCTGTGGGCCTGAAAATGAGCCATTTCTATACGCCAAGAGCTACAACAAGCACCTGCTAACCAAGCCTCAAGGGGAAGCATTACTCTAAGCCCACCAGGCCTGACCAAATTTAGGAGATCAGCACACCACAGTATTTTGTGGCAGAAGGACCAACAGTAAGTCTATAAAAAATGGATAATCTGGACTATATAAACCACGTATTCTGCCACAATTCAAAGGAGAGAGAGGAAACCAGAAATGTTTTAAATGCTATTGTTAGACTTCCTAGAACTTTGGCAAATGACAGGCACCCTTGAAGGATTTATTTTAATTTAGAAAAAAAATCAATGTTTTGACATCTTGAATATTAATGTGTCATTTCATATGTGTTACACCTTCAACGTACTTTAATGTGTTTGCAAACAGTTGCTTTCTTCCACAATAATCTGGTTGCTAAGACAACACTTTTTCCCTCTACTATTAACCTACCAACAGACTTTATTGAGATTTCACCAGTTTTTCCACTCATGTCATTTTTTCTTTGACAGGATCCAACACAAGGTCCAGAATTGCATTTAGTTGTCATGTCTTCTTAGTTTCCTCCCATCTGTGACTCTTCCTTAGTCTTTCTTTATCTTTTAGGACATTTATACTCTTTGAAATGTATTGATCAGTTGTTTTTTAGAATGCCCTTCAATTTCAGTTTGCGTGATATTTTCTCATAATTAAATTGAAATTATGCCTTTTAACAAAAATACCACACAAGTGATGTTTTGTGCTTCCCAGTGAATCATTTTGGAGTATACCATGTCCATATGTCTTATTACTGGTCATGTTAAGTTTGGTCATTTGGTTGATGTGGTATCTGCCAAGTCTTCGGACTATAATGTCACTATTTTTTTCCCTTTGTAATTAGCAAATGTACTGGGAAGATAGTTTGAGGCTATACAAATATTCTGTTCCTCCCTAAACATTTACCCATTAATTTAAGGATCTATTGATGGTTCTTGCCTGCAACAATTATTACCGTGATGTTTACCCTGTGATATCTATTTCCCTCATTTCTTCTATGTTTACTAATTGGAATTCTTCTGTAAGGAAGAGCTGTGTCTTCTCCCCATGTATTTGTTTATTCAGTTAATTCGTATCAGTATGGATTTTTTGGTATGGATATCTTCCCCTATTCTTTGGACGACAATTCAATAATATTTATTTATTTTACTGGTTACATTTGTCTAGCTTTTTCCATTTGAATTTGAATTTCTTTTGCTTGATCCCTGTGTCCTTTCAACTCACCCCATTCTCTTTGGAGCCCATCCTTGCGTTCAGGTTCTGTGATATGTTCCAAGTTCATCTATTTTCCTGTCCCATTCCCAGAATCAACCACTTCTCCAAGAAGCCCTGGTTTCTCTTATTGGAGAATGATATTTACCAACTAAAAGGTGGGCATAGAGAATCCTTTTTGTTTGTTTGTTTGTTTTTTGAGACAAAGTCTCACAATGTTGCCTGGACTGGAGTGCAGTGGCACGATCTTGGCTCACTGCAACCTCTACCTCTCGGGTTCCTGCAATTTTTCTGCCTCAGCCTCATGAGTAGCTGGGACTAAAGGCGCACGTCGCCACGCCCAGTTAATTTTTGTATTTTTAGTAGAGACGGGGTTTCACCATACTAGCTAGGCTGGTCTAGAACTCCTGACCTCGTGATCGACCCGCCTCGGCCTCCCAAAGCACTGGGATTACAGGCGTGAGCCACCACGCCCGGTCGACAATCCTTTTTAAATAGAAAGTTGAGAAATGTTCTTACTCCTCAGCCTTTAAATATTATGATTTGCTCTACTTGAAATATTTACTGTTCTGTAAAATGCCTCTTTTTCTCCCCCCGCTGCAACTACATTGTCCGTTCATTCCATCAAAACATTGATTGAATTTCTGCCTTGTCCCCAGCACTGAGGCGGACAGTAACAAAACAGTGAAGAAGACAAATTTGGCTCCCGCCCTTGTGAGACTTACAGACAACTAGGGGAACTAGACTTTAAACAAGGAATTACAATGCAGTATGAGAAGCACTGAGCTGGGCATGGCAGATTCATACAGAGCACCTAACTTGGGCTTGGGTGAGGTCCAGGTGGAGGGACAAGAAAAAGTTTTAGGAATAAAACCTATCTAAGCTAAAACCTGAAGTGTGAATAGGATTTTGTCTCAAAAAGAGAGTAGTTGAGTAGAAAGTATAGAAACAGCAAATATTCCAGGCGTAGGTAAAAAGCTGGTGCAGAACAGAACATACCTCAATCTGGTAACTGAAAGAAGTAGCACATTTGGAGAACATGGTATTGGCAGTGGAGGCTGTCAAAGCATACAGCTAGAGGGTGAAGTGGGGGGCCAGATCAGAATGGGCTTTGTTAAACAGATTTAAGAGGCTGCATTCATTCTAAGAGCCACTGAAAGGCAGAGAAACCTTTTAAGCAGGAAAGTGGCATGATCAGATTTATACTGTAGACAGATCACTCAGGCTAACCTGTGAACCATGGATTCAAGGGGAACACAGCCAGCAACTGTTTTAGCAATTAGGTGACATGATGTAACTGAGAGGATGGAGAGAAGTGAATGGATTCTAGTAATATTTAGGAGGTGAAGTCAACAGGACGAGATGATTTATTGGATGGGAGAGATGAGGAGACAGAATTCACAGGAGAGTACAGTCTAATTGTGTTATTGAATGTCCTTCTATTTGCCTTTGTGTGATTGTTTCCCCTTGATTGGTTTCAGGTTATGCATTTTCTCCAGGACTATGACATAAGCGATCTGTGTCCTTTAGTAAGAGGCACATGAGTTCAATTGGTCCCATTTTTAGTGAGATTAACTTTAATCTTTCAGTTAAGGTGGTGTTTGCCACACTTCTCCCTTTTTCCAAAGGTACCTTTTATAACTTTCTGATTAATAAGTAATCTGTGGGAAGATACTCTGAGACTCAGTATATGACTATCCAACAAACTTTCAATAGTTTTAGTTTCCATTGATGAGTTTTGCCCAAATCAATTGTTTTTATGATGGTGGCAAAATGGTGGCTCTCAAATTCTGTCATTTATTCTATTAGTTTTTATCTAACGGTGAATAGAATATAAACAAATGAACAAAAATACAGTTTCTCCCTTCCTTTGTTTACTTATTTATATTTATTATTTATTTATATTTTCAGTATCATTATGGACTCTCAATTGTCTTATTCAGTGCACTGTAATTCATTACTGTCAGTCATCCTTCTGATGCTCAAATTTTCCCTGATTTAACTAGTGGAAACCGCTCTGAGCTGGCTTCAGTGTCCTGTTCATATAAACCATTTTCTAATTTTCTCACACAAGAAAGGACTTGTTTACTTTCTTTTCTCCAGGCCTGAGATTAATCCTTTCTCTAAGTAGTAAATATCCTAACATGATATATTTAGTAATCTATTACTCCCTGATTTTTTTTTAAATTACCTCTGTCATTTATTGAGTTGTTACATATATTGAGGTCTGTTGGTCTGTCTATACTTTTATATATATCACACTGTTTTAGTTATTTTACTTTTATAATGTTTTAAAATCTAAAGTTGTCATATTATGAATGCTTAAAATTATTTTAGTTGTTTTTATTAATTTATCTTTCCAGGTGAACTTTAGAATTCTTTTTCTCACTCATAAAATTCCAATATAATTTTGATTATAATGACATAACCAATAAGTTAATTTGGAAAAGCCAACACTTTGCAATATCCAGTCCTCTCATAGAAGAATGTAATGTCTTTTTATTAATTTAAATCATTGTTTAAAGCACTCAGAGAATTAGAAAAAAATAAAGTCTGGTATATTTATTGGTAAAGTTACTCTTAAGTATTTATTTCATTGTTTTCTTTTTGGGGACGGGGGGGAATGGAGTTTTGCTCTGTCACCCAGGCTGGAGTGCTATGGCACAATCTCAGCTCATTGCAACTTCTGCCTCCTGGGTTCAAGCAATTCTCCTGCCTCAGCCTCCTGAGTAGCTGGGATTACAGACGCGTGCCACCACACCCAGCTAATTTTTGTGTTTTCAGTAAAGATGGGGTTTCACCATGTTGCCAGGCTGGTCTTGAACTCCGGACCTCAAGTGATCTGCCTGCCTTGGTCTCCCAAAGTGCTGGGATTACAGGCACAAGCCACGGCGCACAGCCTGTTTTGTTTTTTGATTGCTAATATGAATAAGATTTTTCCACTATAATAGATGATTATGTCAATTATACAGAAAACTACTAATATTTGTAACTGAGTTCACCTTATGAATTCTTATAAATTTTATAGCTTTTCATTTGTTCTCTTGGGATGTGAGCTGTGAAATCAAACTATCTACAATGATTATTTTCTGCTCTTCCTGCTGCCATTATCTTTAAAGACAAACTATAGCTCATTATCATTTTATTTATAATGTTGAGTGCAGAATTGAGGTATCTTGCATATAATTGAGATCTCAAATCCATTTATTTAAAATAGCCAAAAAAGTTACATGATTTTATTTTATTATTATTATTATTATACTTTAAGTTTTAGGGTACATGTGCGCAACGTGCAGGTTTGTTACATATGTATACATGTGCCATGTTGGTGTGCTGCTTATTTGAATTATGTGGGTTATTTAATGTGGTCCCCAGCAATACGGTTTCCACGTGCAGATACAGACTCCAGCTTCTCACAGAGCAAGTCCTTCAGGTACATTTTCCTTAATGAAAATGAAGAAGGTAGCTGGGAATTATTTTCATGGAAATCTAATTTTTCAAGAGCTTTGGTGTGCATTATCCATGTTGTCCAAGCATCTGCAACAAAAATTTAAGGTCGAACTGTCCTTCTTGGGACCCTTTCTCTTGCCAAAAACTGTATGTATGTGTTTGGGGTATAGAGCCCAATTTAATGTCAGCCAGAGTCAAATTTAATTAGGAGAACAGACTAACTGGAAACAAAGTATCAACTACTCCAGGATCAAGTATACATATTTTAAATGTCTAATATTGTAGAGTGAAGAGCCTTTTACTTACAAGGTTAGTATAACACTATAGCAATGCATTTGTGCCCTTTCTGATTAGGCAAACCAGGGTTTGAATCTTAGCTTTGCTGCTCATTAGCTGTATTTTTTTAGCCAATATACTCATATTAGTTAAGATTGAGTTTGATTCTGACCCAAAATATCTGTATCATAAACTAGATAACTTCATTTCTCTTTCATGTAAAAGCCTGGACTTAGTTATTAAGAGAGTAGCATAAAGACTCAGTCTCATAGTGACCTTAGGGACAGTTTTGCCATCCAGAGGGTGAGGTCCTCCTCCTCATGGTTCAAGATGGCATCCAGAGCCTCAAGCATGGTATCTGCATTTCAGATAGGAGAAAGAAAAAAAAAGAAGAAGAAGAAGAAAGAGAACACAGGCAGACTTTGTCTGTTGAAGTTTTCTAAAGCTGCCACACAACAACACAACTATTGACCATAGTATAGCTATATGACAACACCTAATCGCAGGGAAAGCTGGGAAGGGTAGTTTTTTTTTGTTTTTTTGTTTTTTTGGTTTTTTTTTGTGAGATGGAGTCTCGCTCTGTCTTGCAGGCTGGAGTGCAGTGGCGCAATCTCTGCTTACTGCAAGCTCCGCCTTCCAGGTTCACGCCATTCTCCTGCCTCAGCCTCCCGAGTAGCTGGGACTACAGGCGCCCGACACCATGCCAGCTAATTTTTTGTATTTTTAGTAGAGACGGGGTTTCAC
Organism: Homo sapiens; assembly: GCF_000001405.40. NCBI lineage: Eukaryota > Metazoa > Chordata > Mammalia > Primates > Hominidae > Homo > Homo sapiens. The sequence continues at coordinate 218,562,418 of NC_000001.11, read as the reverse complement.
CGTGTTAGCCAGGATGGTCTCGATCTCCTGAGCTAGTGATCCGCCCGCCTCGGCCTCCCAAAGTGATGGAATTACAGGAGTGAGCCACCGCGCCCGGCCTGGGAAGGGTAGTTTTTATTCTAGGTGTTCAGCTAAAAATCAGAGATTTTATTTAGGAAGAAAGAAGTAATGGATATTAGTAGATATATATATATATGTTTGCTTTTGTCATTATGTTTAACTTCTATTTGCCCCAGTTCTTTGCCTGCAACCTGAGTATAATAATAGTAATCTCACAGTATTATTATTGTAAAGATTACCTTAACCTACACAATATTTACAAGATGCTTAATCTTTTTATGTTGTTGTTGTTGTTTTGATACGGAGTCTCGCTCTGTCGCCTAGGCTGGAGTGCAGTGACGAGATCTCGGCTCACTGCAAGCTCCGCCTCCTGGGTTCACACCATTCTCCTGCCTCAGCCTCCCGAGTAGCTGGGACTACAGGCGCCTGCCACCACGCCCACCTAATTTTTTGTATTTTTAGTAGAGATGGGGTTTCACCATGTTAGCCAGGATGGTCTCGATCTCCTGACCTTGTGATCCGCCCACCTCGGCCTCCCAAAGTGCTGGGATTAAAGGTGTGAGCCACCACGCCTGGCCTAAGATGCTTAATCTAATATCTTAAAACAATAAGCATTCAATACATTTTGGCTATAATGACCCAAAATATCACCTCAGTAATACATTCTTATTGGCCTCTACTACAAATATGTTTTTTATAATAGAAACAAAATATCTGAAGAAGCACTATGAATATCAGAACTCTACAGCTAAAAGTGATGGTTTGTGATGCCCAAATTGACAATAACATACAGTGAGTAAACTAAAAATCTGGGAGGGTAAGGGTAGAGCCTCTGCATTTGGTCACACAAATTTGCCAGGTGATTGGCAAAACGAAGCTAGAACCCCATGCATCCACATTCATTTTTCAAACCTCTTTATCCTTGACTCAGCTCCCTTTCCTTCCACTGTGGCAGATATTTGAGTACTGGCCAAAAACCTGGAACACTTTGAAATGTAAAACTTTCTCACTGAAATATTAAACTCAGCGAAGGTACCAGGAAATTCTGCATGTATAGTATACAATGTCAGGATATTGGTTAAGATATTCTTGCTGTTTCATTTAAATTTAGGGAGGCAATTATTGAGTTTACCAGGTTTAAATTTTAAACTTTGTCTTTATAGCATGATTTATAGTCCTTTGGGTATATACCCAGTAATGGGATGGCTGGGTCAAATGGTATTTCTAGTTCTAGATCCCTGAGGAATCACCACACTGACTTCCACAAGGGTTGAACTAGTTTACAGTCCCACCAACAGTGTAAAAGTGTTCCTATTTCTCCACATCCTCTCCAGCACCTGTTGTTTCCTGACTTTTTAATGATTGCCATTCTAACTGGTGTGAGATGGTATCTCATTGTGGTTTTGATTTGCAATTCTCTGATGGCCAGTGATGATGAGCATTTTTTCATGTGTCTTTTGGCTGCATAAATGTCTTCTTTTGAGAAGTGTCTGTTCATATCCTTTGCCCACTTTTTGATGGGGTTGTTCGTTTTTTTCTTGTAAATTTGTTTGAGTTCATTGTAGATTCTGGATATTAGCCCTTTGTCAGATGAGTAGGATGCGAAAATTTTCTCCCATTCTATAGGTTTCCTGTTCACTCTGATGGTAGTTTCTTTTGCTGTGCAGAAGCTCTTTAGTTTAATTAGATCACATTTGTCAATTTTGGCTTTTGTTGCTATTGCTTTTGGTGTTTTAGACATGAAGTCCTTGCCCATGCCTATGTCCTGAATGGTAATGCCTAGGTTTTCTTCTAGGGTTTTTATGGTTCTAGGTCTAATGTTTAAGTCTTTAATCCATCTTGAATTAATTTTTGTATAAGGTGTAAGGAAGGGATCCAGTTTCAGCTTTCTACATATGGCTAGCCAGTTTTCCCACATGCACAAGTATGTTTATTGCATCACTATTCACAATAGCAAAGACTTGGAACCAACCCAAATGTCCAACAATGATAGACTGGATTAAGAAAATGTGGCACATATACACCATGGAATACTATGCAGCCATAAAAAATGATGAGTTCATGTCCTTTGTAGGGACATGGATGAAATTGGAAATCATCATTCTCAGTAAACTATCGCAACGACAAAAAACCAAACACCGCATGTTCTCACTCATAGATGGGAATTGAACAATGAGAACACACGGACACAGGAAAGGGAACATCACACTCTGGGGACTGTTGTGGGGTGGGGGGAGGGGGGAGGGATAGCATTAGGAGATATACCTAATGCTAAATGAAGAGTTAATGGGTGCAGCGCACCAGCATGGCACATGTATACATATGTAACTAACCTGCACATTGTGCACATGTACCCTAAAACTTAAAGTATAATAATAATATAAATAGATAAATAAATAAAAATAAAAATAAAAAATAATTAAATGACAATTAAAATAGTAACTTCAAAATGAGATTAATGGAATAAAAAAACAAAGAGAATAAAAAAAAATTTAAACTTTGTCTTATCTCCACAGGTTATTTGTTCAGTCTTCATACTATTTCCATAAAAATAGTGCAAGAAAACAACCAGTGTGATCAAGTTAAATATATGCATATTTAATTTGAACATTCTATTGTAGGAAAAAAGGTTAGTTTTACTGACCAAGAGAAAGGGATTTTAAATATAACCAATTTATTGAATCTAAAACATAATTACTAAGAGTTTCTATAAAATACATTCCTTTTATAGAATCACAGGTTAAATTCTCTCCAAAAGAGGAATGAGCTTGCTTTGCCATAGAGGCCTAAATTTGAATGAGTCTCCTGTTCTGGTCCAATAGCAACTACTATGCTGACTGGATCCCTCAAACAGAGGGGACCAAGAGATTCTCAGAATAGCAAGATATACTTAGTCTCTAGAGAGGTTTAGGAACAATAGACAAGAGGAAGAAGGAACTGATGGGGAAAAAAAAGCTGCATTCTGATGACTAGGAATTGTGGACCTTCTATTAGGAAGAAACTATATTCTTAGTTTCATCATCTCATTCTTTTAACCCATCTACATTTCTCCTTACAAATTTCATTTGAGATTCACTGCTTCCTGGAAGATTTCATCATTTAATGTAATGATGATAGTGGTAATGGTAGCAGCAGTAGTAGCACCTACCATTTACTGAATGCTGTTATATTCCTGATATTTATCAAGGTATTTTTCACACATAAACTTACTCATTTCATCTTCAGAGCAATCCCACAAGATAGGCCTGATTTTGATGCTCATTTTGCAGATATGCCGATTGAGGCACAGAGAGATTTAGTGACTTGCCCAATGCCACACAGCAGGTTAATGACAGACCCCAAATTTAAACCTTGGGTTTAATTGGGGTCTAGGTGCTCTTATTTATTGGTTCTAGGTGCTCTTATTTATTACATTACATTATCTTCTTATATTATTTACTTTTTTCTCTGTTGTTCTTACCAATTAAATGTATTTTCCTGGTATCACAATAATTTTCACTTACTGATTATTTGCTCTAATTTTTAATACATATATTATTTCTATTATTCATTACTGGTTTTGATTCAAGGGAAAAGACAAAACACAGTAGCACCTAGTATAGTACATTGTTTTGCACATCGTACATACCAAAATATTTGATTGCATGATGGACAAACATCTGAAATGGAATATTTTCCATTTGAATTTTCTGCCTAACAGGAAACAGGATTGAAATCTGCCTCATTCATATGAGGATATTTAGGAATTTTGTGGGGGGTGAGGGGGGTGACCTGAACTGCTTAGATTTAAATGGCCCTAGAGCTAATATTCATGGTTAACAGCCAAGGCTTTGGTCCTTTCTCTTCAGTTTACAGAAACCCTCAAGCAGTGAAAGTCAGTTTCTACCCAGGAAGTCAGTTCTTTGTTATTTTGCATCTCCGTAGCTCACACTAAAGAATTTGCTGGACCGTTTCATTCTGCTTTCTGTAATCATAAACACAGGCCTTTTGGGGAGACCTTTGATAAACAACAGTAAAATACACACACACACACACACACACACACACATATGTCTATATGTATACATACATAAATGTATGTATGTATTCTAAAGAAAACAATTCTGAAAGACAAAAGAATTTTAGGGATAATTAGTTCATTAGTAGCATATAGAACAGTAAGAATAATTTTAACAAGTAAATGTGTATTTTATTGTTTTTATAAGAGATTTCACAGATGTATATTATACCAGAATGTTGACTTGATTATTCATGAATAAAGTATCCAAAATACAGCTCCATTGTTCTCATCAGCCCAGGCCTGGAGGAAACAATATGAAATGATGCCAATTGGCTGTGAGCCAACACATGACCGAGGCCTGTGAGCACTCAGAGTGAACCCAGAGGCAGGTGCACGCGAGTGTCCTGCTGGCCCCTCACTCTGATCCTGTCCTGCCCTATGGCCATTGATCAGCCTCTGGCGTCTGTCCTGTCTGCTAGTCCCCTCTGCCACAGAACCTTGCACATAATAACATCTTTACTGCACCGAGACTGCTGTCCACAAATGCCTCTGTGGAGATAGCAAATGATCACACAAAAGAGAAAGAAACAGAATGGGTTTCAGTCCCTAGGCGGCATAGCAGTGCTGACAAAACTTTAAACTATATTTCATGGAAGTGACACCCCAAAATATATTTATCTACTGCCTCTTTGTAGCCTTACAGGTGCCAAGTACTGGACATCTGAAGACTTGCAAAGACTCCATAGCAAGCAAAGAAGGAAAATCTGATTGTTCTAGAAGCATATGCACAGCCGACCTGGCCGGAGTCCTCCCAACCACAGACCTCTTGAGAAACTTGCATAAGCCACAGAGCAAAATGTGTGTGACATAGAAGTATGGTTTTTTCTAAAAAAAAAAAAAAAAAAAAGAAAGAAAGAAAAGAAAAGAAAAAAAAAACCTTCTGTTTTCAGTAATATACTTATCAATCATAAATCACAACATATAACGGAAGTAAGTGGTGCCTTTTAAAAAAATCAGATATAGTATGTAAAATTCTCAAAAATGTTTAGATGCCCATGCCTCTCCATAAACACAGGTTTGATGAAGATGATTTTCTGGCAAACACATATTTGTTTGCTGCACACAAATAATTGTCCCATAGAGAATTTTAAGACTTTGTGCATTTACAACTCCAAGTATCAGTTCTTTCACATCAAATGGAACTGGCCCAGAAAGTGACTGACACATGACTACTTTTTCATGGAGAGATGATCTTCTTGATTGCTCTATCCCAGAAAACCTTTCTTTCAAATCAATGGAATCCCTGATGAAAAATAAGCATTTGTTTCCATTCTGAAGCTACTTAAGGTGTGCATTCTACAAGTACCACTCATAACAAAATGCAGTTTTTAGTGAAGGTCTCTAAGTTATATTAGGGGACAGTATGTGGTCCGCCAGAAGATTATAGCACATAAATTAAACTAGAGCCAAAGACAGAAAAATGTAGCAAAAAAATAAAATAAAGTGTGCAGAATGTAAAAGCAAGGAAAGAGCAGAAAATTACAATGTTGGTAAATGCTTAGACTAAAGGTAAAATAAATATAGGAACTAGTTTATTCACTTGAAGATGAAGTACTCTTTTAAATCTCCCTGTTTTAAGTTAAAGCAGCTAGAAGAACGAGCAACAGTCTGGATGATTCTTGTATAAGAGGATATAATAAACACATAAGGAAAATAAGGTAGAAAAGTAAAATATGTAGTGTATCAGGATTTGCAGTGAGGTCAACAAAGTTTCATAAAAAGATCCTCATAGTGAGTATTGCGGCTCCCTAAAGGAATCTGAAAGCCTATATGACATCCATTAACCAGTAAGAGAAGGGGGAAAGGAATGGGGGGAAGGCAAAGAAAAAAATGCAGAATGTGGGGTGAATTAGTAAATTCAGAACTCAAAAGGTGGATAAATGAATAGGTGAATCTATCAATCAATTAGGTAGGCAACCAGTAAGACACTGATCTAGCCAGTTCTGACTGCAGAACTATTTTCAGCTTCCTGTATGGTAAGTAACTGGCAGTCAAAGGTAAACCCATATTTTCAGGGTATGCATGCAGCTAGTTATTGTGTTTGTTTTAACTGTTCACATTCAGTTAATAATTTATGCATTCTGTGACTAAGCTGTTTTTAAAAGTTTTTTTATTTGAAGGTAATAAGACATCTAATGTTGATTATGATAGAAAAAAATTCCAATTCAGAGGTGTAGTATGGGCAAAAGCCTAACTGTGGTGGGCTTAAAAGAGGGTAGGGAGGGAGAAATCAAAGACTTTGGTGTAGATAACTATTTTAAGGAGCTTGCTTTGAAATGAGCAGAGAACTAGGACGAATGAGGAAGAGGCTTTTATTTTTTTAAGTGGAAAAAAAAAGTATGCTTGGGGCCGGGCACGATGGCTCATGCCTGTAATCCCACGACTTTAGGAGGCTGAGGTGGGTGGATCACTTGCAGTCAGGAGTTCGAGTCCAGTCTGGCCAACATGGTGAAACCCTGTCTCTACTAAAAGTACAAAAATTGGCCGGTGTGGTGGTGCACACCTGTAGTCCCAGCACTCGGGAGGCTGAGGCAGGAGAATCACTTGTACCTGGGAGGCAGAGGTTGCAGTGAGCCGAGATGGCACCACTGCACTCCAGCCTGGTGACAGAGTGAGAATTTATCTAAAAAAAAAAAGAAAAAAGCCAGATGGATAACAAACTATAGAAATGATCCCTGAAAGTATATCCATCTGACAAAGAGCTACAAGGAACTTAAACAAATTTACAAGAAAAATACAAACAACCCCATCAAAAAGTGGGCAAAGGATATGAACAGACACTTTTCAAAAGAAGGCATTTATGCAGCCAACAAACATATGAAAAAAGCTCATCATCATTGGTCATTAGAGAAATGCAAATAAAAACCACAATGAGATACAATCTCATGCCAGTTAGAATGGCGATCATTAAAAAGTCTGGAAACAACAGATCTTGAAAAGGATGTGGAGAAACAGGAACGCTTTTACACTGTTGGTGGAAGTGTAAATTAGTCCAACCATTCTGGAAAACAGTGTGGTGATTCCTCAAGGATCTAGAACCAGAAATACCATTTGACCCAGCAATTCCATTACTGGGTATACACCCTAAGGATTATAAATCATTCTACTATAAAGACACATGCACATGTATGTTTATTGCAGCACTATTCACAATAGCAAAGACTTGGAACCAACCCAAATGCCCATCAATGATAGACTGGACAAAGAAAATGTGGCACATATATACCATGGAATACTATGCAGCCATAAAAAAGGATGAGTTCATGTCCTTTGCAGGGACGTGGATGAAGCTGGAAACTATCATTCTCAGCAAACTAACACAGGAACAGAAAACCAAACACCACATGTTCTCACTCATAAGTGGGAGTCGAACAATGAAAACACATGGACACAGGGAGGGGAACATCACACACTGGGGCCTGTTGGGGGTGAGGGGTTAGGGGAAAGATAACATTAGGGGAAATACCTAATGTAGATGACAGGTTGATGGGTGCAGCAAACCACCATGGCAGGTGTATACCTATGTAACAAACCTGCACGTTCTGCACATGTATCCCAGAACTTATAGTAATTTTTAAAAAGTATGCTTTATGCTGAAAGGAAGATGCAGTGCATTAGAGAGGAAGATATAATGCAGGAAGAGAAGGAGACAATTTCTAGAGGCATGGCATTGAGTAGGTAAGAGAGGTAGAGTTCTAAGGAGGAATGCCTGAGTGTATGTTAGGGTGGGAGCTTGTGAAGTCTTCTTGTCATTCTTGCTTTCTCCATAAAATAATAAGTGAGATCTTCAACTGAGAGTGAGGAATGAGGAGGAGGTATTGGAGATTTGAGGAAGGAGAAGACACAAAATTGCTATCTGGAAGAGTGCAAGAGAGAAAATGGGATAGGGATAGTGTGATTGACAGATGGCATTCCACTTCCACTTGAGGTTTGTGCTCATAAATTTAACATGAGACTCATGGTCCAATAGGACTGCAACCTTTTCCTTGTCTTCATTTAGGAGCATGGGTGCAAATGTGTAGTAGGCAGAGCATTGTAATTAGCCAGGTTTGAGATTTTTGTCAAGTGAGTATGATGAAGAAAGAAGGGGCGAGGAAGTTGGCCACGTATACAAGAGAGTGATTATAATCAACTGCCATGGACTCTAAACTGGGTAAAGTTAAGAGTGAACATGAATAGAATGAGGGAGGTGGAGAAACTGTAAGTTTGAGTGGATGAGGGAAGTTCAAGACTTGTTTGTGTTTGGGGAATAGAATCAGTGAGCAGGAAAGATAAGAGGTGATGGAGAATTAGATGCTGAAAATTAAGATCATGAAAGGGTTGCCAGTTTGGGTAATAACAAGGTGTAGAGGAGGGAATGTCTGAGATAGAAACAAGTTTACTGGAGGAGAGAAGGCTAATGATCTGAAGTACAGGGTGCTGGGAGGATTGTCTCTATAGGGATTGAAATCCTCCCCTCAAAAAGATAGTAGTACTGTTGGGAAAGTGACAGTGATCTAGAACTTTACTACTTGAAGAGTGGTCCAGCAGCTTCCATATTACTGGGTTCTTGTCAGATAAGCAGAATCTGAGGCTCCAATGCAGAACTACTGAGTCAGAATCTATAGTTCAGCAAGATCCCCCTAGACACTCATGTGTTCACTGAAGTTTGAGAAGCATTAGCCTAGAAACTAAATGTCTTTGTGAAATGAGGGGTAACCTAGGTTTAGAATGACTGTTACAAGGAGGAGTTGTGGATAGAGTCAATGACAGGAGACTCAAAGGGAAGAGGGATGGTGAATGGTTTGGAGACTGCAATGAGAAGCAAGGAGGCCAACCATCCCACCTCCAAGATGAGTGAAGAGAACAGCCACTAAGTAAAAGGACACAGAGGAGGCAGTGACCGCAAGAGGGAGCCTGGGTTTAATTTAGAACCAAGAACTGAACATCTGGAGGAAATATGGAGTATGAATCCTTGAAAACTCAAGAAAAGGGCAGTGGGTTCCAAAGGGCAAAGTGGAAGGAGTGCAGAGGCTGGGAATGTGTAGGAGAGAGGACCTCACGCTAGTTAAAGAGTATGGGAGTCTGGAGCTTACCACAGTGACTGACATAGCCATAAAGGACATAATGACTTCTTCCAGGTGGATAATGGTGGAGAATCTGAGTATTATGGGACAGAGAAATGTGGGTGTCTAAGGTTGGGGCGGGGTCCTCCCTCTTTACTTCTACTGAGGGAGGTTTGGAGACAAAAAAAAAAAAAGAAAAGAAACAGTTCAACTTCCTTCCACAGGGGAATTGGTGAATGACATTAAATTTATATATAATGAACATTACGGTTCAGTTAAAGGAATGAACCAGGATTGTTTTTCAACACAGCGCATAATGTTGAGTGAAAAAAGCAAGTTGCATAAAACAGGTTAGTTTTGAGACCAAAAATGCAGTTCGATAACACTTATGTAAAAAATTGAAATATAAAGAATAATAGTGAATATTAGTAATGAATATATGAGATATAATGAATACATACTCTTTTTTTAAAACCTGAAAGTGATATTCACTATTTTAGGAAATTGGTTACCTCTGGAAGAGAAACAAGGGGAAGGGGAAGATAGAGTTTTAGCTCTATTTGTAGGACTTTTTTTTTTTTTCCCCACCCCTCGAGACGGAGTCTCGCTCTGTCGCCCAGGCTGGAGTCCAGTGGCGTGATCTCAGGTCACTGCAAGCTCCGCCTCCAGGGTTAAAGCGATTCTCCTGCCTCAGCCTCCCAAGTAGCTGGGATTACAGGCACACGCTACCACACCCAGCTAATTTTTTTTTGTATTTTTAGTAGAGACAGGGTTTCACCGTGTTAGTCAAGCTGGTCTCAAACTCCTGACCTCGTGATCCACTTGCCTCAGCCTCCCAAAATACTGGGGTTACAGGCGTGATGTAGGGCTTTTTAAAAAATAAAAAGAGGGCTGGGCGCGGTGGCTCACACCTTTAATCCCAGCACTTTGGGAGGCCGAGGTGGGCGGATCACGAGGTCAGGAGATCGAGACTATCCTGGATAACACGGTGAAACCCCGTCTCTACTAAAAATACAAAAAAAATATTATCCGGGCGTGGTGGAGGGCGCCTGTAGTCCCAGCTACTCCAGAGGCTGAGTCAGGAGAATGGCGTGAACCCAGGAGGCGGAGCTTGCAGTGAGCCAAGATCGGGCCACAGGATTCCAGCCTGGGTGACAGAGCGAGACTTCGTCTCAAAATAAATAAATAAATAAATAAAATTTTAAAAAACAGATCTGAAACAAAAGTATAAAATATTAACATCTGTTCTTAGTGCACACATGAGTGTCTGTTATAATTATTTGAAGTGTTTTTCATTTTAAAATATTACACTAAAATGATAGATAATGAAGGAGGGATTATATTTTACCACTGGGCCTTGGAAGATAGACATTGAGGTTCTTTCAAAATAATGTCATGGCCATTTTATCCAGCTGCCGCTTCCTTAAGTTATAGCCATACAGCCCATCTCAATCCTACCATATTTGTCTCTCTTCCTCTCCTGCTTCAGAAGTGTTAAACAGGGTAAATGCTTCATATTTTCTTATGCAGAGCAATTTAGTTTTTAAGGTGTTCTGCCCTCTCCTTCCAAACTCTTCCTGGGACATATTATTTTGCAACTGTATGGTATTTTAGTATGTAAATGGTGTTTTGCCTTACCTAGACAGTTTCCTTCCTGAAAAGGGATTTGATGTCATTTGTTAAGTGGTAAGGGGAGGGGGAAGGTAATAACTATATAACCACAAAAAAATCACAAATACATATGTAAAAGCCAAATGTTCCATCCTTTGCAAACAAACATACTGAAACCACTTCTTCCGTCTCAATAGGGTGTGAGATTTTGAGCTTATTTTTGGTGATGGTGATGATAGAGTTGAGAAATATTTGGGAGACCTTTTGCTGGAACTAGTCATGGCCACGGGATTTACATTTTTTCTCAGTACAGCATCAAGGATGAAATACATGGGCTTATAAGTCAAAAACCAAAATCAAGTGAATTTATTCATCTGCCTTTGCAGGCATTCACACAGAGCACAGTTTATAAGCTGAAAGCCCCACATCTGCTGAACAAAATTCCCCCCTTTGCCTAGCTGAAACTGTCCTCCATGTATCAATCAATGGAAGAGCAAATGCCAGCCATTGAGATTTATCGACATGTCACAATGCAGAATCAATTACTTTAGTTTGAAAACATTTTTGTCTGTTTCATCACAACCCAATAATCAAATTTCTTTTATAAAACCTTTGAACTTTATTTAAACCCAAAATGTGAGCAGTATGACTGCCAAAATAACAAATGCAATTTTGAACTGCATTAATATGGTGTCCAGATCAAGGGGCAATGTCATATAGCAGTGTTTCTCAATTCTTTTGTCATTATCACTCTCTAAGGGGCCTATTTATACATGTCTTTATAATTATCACTTGCCCCATGAAATGTTTTGTGTATATGTCTGGGATTTATATTTTAAAAGTATGTTTTTTTGCCCACCAAGAACCAATTTTTACCCCCTTGGGAATGATAGCTCCCCTCTTGAGAATACATGCTGAATGGCAAGGCCTCCGATTATATTAAACTTACACATTGATTTTAGAACCTATCTTTATCCCCCTTCTTGTTTAATTCTCATGCAACACAAATAATTAATATATATTATAGAGCTTAATATTTAATCACAATGAAGTAATATTTCAGGCAAATAGAACCAATTGAGTATTTTCTATCCATGCTTCATTCATCACTGGTGATTTGATTATTACCTTAAAGACAGAATGTTTTAAATGTGCAGGTGTCTGTATATCAACTTTCTTTGTTTTGCATTCTTTAGTCAACATAGTGGTTCTCAAATTTTAATGAGCAGAAGAATTTCTGGACAGAATTATATACAATATCTTATGTAATCTCTATTATGAGTCAGTTAAGGGCTTTTTCAGAGGTAATTTTGGTTATTCTCAATTCTCACCTTCCAGCCTAATTTTAGAACCTAACAATTACATGATTCCACACAATTCTATACATTCTTCAGAACTTAGTGGAGCCTGGGTTCAGTTCTGAGCACTGGTTTTAAGAGAGACAATCACAAACTAAATTATGCTTTCCTAGAAGATCACAATCATAGCATGAAAAAAAAAAAAGATTGTATTAACTAGGGAACAGTTAGCCTGAGAAAAGAATGCTTAGGGAAGCCCTAATAACTGTCCTCAAATATTTGAATAACTAGCAAGAGGTATTAAACATTAGAGTGAACAAGTGAAAGATAGCGCAATATGCTTGCTACTTTGGCATAAGGATTATTAAGAAGCAGATATAAGAAAAGCTCTTGCCCTCATCAGAGACAGTGCTAGACCCTTCTCAGTCCAAAGGTGGGCACCAGAAAAATTTACATAACAAAACTTTGCTAACATTAGCCCTTACTTACCATTAGTTTCCCCCATATGTTTGCCTTCTCACAATTTGTTACCTCGACAAACTCAAAGTCCTTTTCCTTTGTCTTGTCACTTCCCTCAAAAAACTTGTATTGTGTTTTGTTAAGATGCTATATAAACCCAAGTTCTAACTACCCCTTTGAGTTGCTCATCACTGGGTGCTCCCACATATATGCACAATGCACATGCTAATAAACTTCTGTTTATTTTTTTCTTGTTAATCTGTCTTTTTGTTTTTGGATTTTGTTGTTGTTGTTGTTGTTGTTGTTGAGACAGAGTTTTGCTCCTGTTGCCCAGGCTGGAGTGCAATGGTGCGATCTTGGCTCACCACAACCTCCACCTCCCAGGTTCAAGCTATTCTCCTGCCTCAGCCTCCTGAGTAGCTGGTATTACAGGCATGCGCCACCATGCCCGGCTAATTTTGTATTTTTAATAGAGACGAAGTTTCTCCACTTTGGTCAGGCTGGTCTCAAACTCCCGACCTCAGGTCATCCGCCCGCCTCGGCCTCCCAAAGAACTGGGATTACAGGCGTGAGCCACCATGTCTGCCCTAATCTGTCTTTTAGTAGTATAACTTATAGGATACAGTCAATGAGCCTGAAATGGGTAGAAGAAAAACAGTTGTTCCTTCTCTACACTAGTTATGAGCTGACACTGGAGTAAGACCACCATGGTTTGAATCCTTTGGCCTTACGAAGGTTACATAACCAACTCATGCCTTAATTTCCTCATCTAAAAAAATGTGGGTATTAATAGAATTTACTTTGTTAGGTGGACATTTTATCCATGGAGTTAAAGTGAAGATTAAATGGGTGAATATCTCTAAAGTGCCAAGAACACTGGCTAGTAGATATTATGCACTATCCCAGGAAATTGCAACAGCTGTAAGATACAGATTACTAATTTCAGGATAAACTTCCTTGCAATGTAGTGAACGCCCCTTTGCTGGAAGCTGTCAAGGAGAAACTGGTTGACAATCTTTTCAATAATAGAGTGAAACAGAATAGATCATAGGCCGAGGGCCAGGATACATGATCTCTCAGAACCCATCGAGTCTAGGACTCAAGGCATATGCAGAACCACCTCCCTAATTTTCTCCAAGCTTAAACTACTTCAATATTTGGTCTGAGGGAAGTTGTTTGCAAACCTGACCAATAAACAAAATCCCACACGGCAGTGGCCTGAAAATCTTCCCTATGCAGTTAGTGATGTGTCCCCATTCCTGTTCAACCACATCGCTGAGCACATTGGCTACCTGAACGGTGGAGCTGAGTGACTACGCCCCTTCGTCCTTACACTGAAAATTCTTTGTTAGCCACCCAATGACTGAACAACTGCCAGTTCCTGCTGAAAATATGCCTCGACCTTAGATGGACTATGTTTCCCTTGGTGCTAACAATGAAGAGCCTTCACTACTAGAAAAGAAACTATATCGAAATCCTTCTTGTGATACAGCTACCCAGCGTCCATACAGCATATTAAAAACAACAAACCAAACAACTTTATTTTAAAATATATACATAGCTCCAACTAACTGGGGGCAGGCAATTATTTCCACTTAATTTCTAAAACTGATCTGACTAGTTATTAATATGTCACCTATTCATGACCGCAGACACAAATTTTATAAATCCAGTTTGAAAATGATTAATCTAATGGACTTTTCTTGTTTGTTTTCTTTTTTATCTTTTTTAGTACTTGACAATTCTTTCATTACCTACCTATTGAAAACTCTCTTTCCCCTTGACTTAGTGACTCACAAGTCTTACATTCTCCATCCTTTAAATGCACCATCTCTGTTTCCAGCCCTCCCTGCACTCCTCCTGGCGTGGTCATTAGGCTTCTGCTCTTTGCACTCTTCTCCCTGTGAAGTTATCCCTTTGTCTTAACTCCAAATACCATCAGTCTCAAGCAATCTAAAAAGGCTCCTTAGGGAGTGATAGTGACAAAAGGTTTGAGAAGCAATGCTATGCAACATTGCTCCTTTCTTCGGACACCATATTAATGCAGTTCAAAATTGCATATTGTTGTTTTAGCAGTCATATTGCAAGCATGTTGGGTTTAAATAAAACTCATTAGTTTTGCAAAAGAAATTTGATGATTGAGATATGATAAAACAGACAAAAATGCTTTTTTTTAACCTAAAGTAATTGATTTTGCATTGTGACATGTCAATCCATCTTAATGGCTGACATGTGTACTTCCAACGATTGATGAATTGAGGCACTTTTAGCTCTGGCTTTGACCCAGACACCAGTTGGAGAGTTGTGGTTTCAGGATGTCTCCATGCAAAGGCTTCTCCCATGACCCCAACCAAACATGCCTAAAAATAATGCCATTCCTACTCACTTTCCACTACTTGAATACTCTTTCTACTCAGATCTCAAAACCCAACTGTCTTTGACTCTTTTCTTCTCATTCATCTTAATAGTTTCCCTGTAGCCAATGAGCTACAATGTCTCACTGACATTTCCCATAAGCCACCACTTCCCTGCCTTTTCCTTGTATTCTCATTTAAACTTTCACAGTCTAAGGTCTGGATTACAACAAAAGTTCAACTGTTCTTGTTGCCTCTGGCCTTCTTCCTCTCAAATCCAGCACATTAGCCTCCTAAAACACAAGTTTTTACTAATTCATTAATTCTTCATCTAATAAATGTTTATTGAGCACCAACCTATATGCCAGGAAGACACTCCAGAGTGGTAGCCACACAAGAGGTACCCAATAAATCTTTGTGGAAAGTTTGTAAAATTCTTATATTTATTTAGATTTAGTGAAGATTCTTTGAGCAACTTGACACTGCTGATGCTTATTAGAGGGGAGTTGAATCAAATGACCTGGTTTGCAAACTTTCTTAGCATAACAGTGTAACATATTGAAAATTGTTCCTCAGGGGCCACTGTGAGAGCCTCACACTCCATATTAATTCTTCAATGTCCCCTTCCAGTTTGCCATGGTACAAAGGACAAAGTCAAGGGAATGTGAGAGGAATAAAGGTGTTCTTATTCTTGTTATTTATTTGCCTAGCCCATACCTCCACATGGGGTCAGGCTTACAAATGAAAGAAGTATGGAGTTGTTATTTCTTAAGGTTCATCAAAAAAGCCTTTGACCAAAAATATATCACCTTCTGGGCCAACTTCATAGTGAAATTTCACAAGTTATTTTTTGGAATTAAAACATCAAGAGCGCAGCCTAAAATGTTATTAGGGAAACTACATATTAAACCATGGTCTGCCTTTAATTTCTTACTACCCAATAAGCTATGTTCAACAACACTTCAATTATTTGTAGTCTCTTGCACATCTTCACTTTCTTTTCATTCCTGCTGCTGCCATGTGAGGTCAGGCTCCACAAGGACTAGCATGCAGATTTGTGCAGGTTGAACACTGAACATCTCCAGGGAGTACCATTACCATAGACTACAAAACAACCTATACTTCTCAATCAGCCTTTTCTTCTTTCATTTCTATTGTAGTTTAAACAAAATTTACTTATCTAGCATAATGTATATACAGTATTTGTATAAAGTATAAGGCCCTTCTTTTCCAAACAGAATTTCCATAATATAAAACTTCAGTCCTCTTATTCCATATAGCTCCACTTGCTGTTCACCTACTGGTCTCATGTTGAACATGATGACATTTGATCAATCAGTTCCTCTAACCCAAATATTCTTTCCTTCTCTTTGTTCTCTCCCAATTCACATCTGTCCTCTAAGTCCTAGTCTAAATCCTGTCTCTTCCTATAAAACCTTCCCAAACTATTCCAGCTCAATGTTCTCTCTCTGCTGTACTCTTCCAACAAATGCCATACAGTCTACTTATTTCACATGTCTTTTGCAGAATTAATTTTTATGTATGTATTTTCTTTTAAAGAAATTGCAAACTGATCAATGACAGAAGCATGATTTGCTATTATTTATATGTTTTTTATTAAAAACCAGACAATGTTGATATTGAGAAAATTCAGTGAGCTGCACATTTAAAAGCATCTTTCTGTGTGCATAATATAATTCAATAATTTAGGCCGGGCATGGTGGCTCACACCTCTAATACCAGCACTTTGGGAGGCAGAGGCGGGTGGATCACTTGAGGTCAGGAGTTTGAGACCACCCTGGCCAAAACAGCAAAACCCTATCTCTATTTAAAAAAAATAGAAAAAGAATTAGCTGGGTGTCGTGGCACATGCCTGTGGTCCAAGATACTTGGAAGGCTGAGGCAGGAGAATTGCTTGAACCCAGGAGGCAGAGGCTGCAGTGAGCTGAGATCATGCCACTGCACTCTAGCCTGGGCAACAGAGTAAGATGTCTCAAAAAAAAATCAACAATTTAACAAATAGAACAATGTTCTCTTATCATGTGATGGTGTCTCCCAAGAGTTAATGTGTTGGAGAGAATATTTCTGCCTTCATGAATGAACTAATATCACTATCACCAGAGGTTTTATTATCACAAAAGTGGCTTCGTTATAAAAGTGAGCTCTCTTTGGCTCTCTTGCTTTTGCCTTCTTCACCACAATATGCCCTCTGCCTTACTATGACACAGTAAAAGGCCTTCACCAGATGCCAGCACAGTGCTCTTGGATTTTCCATCCTCTAGAACCATGAGCTAAATAAACTTATTTTCCTTATAAATTACCCAGTCTATGGGATACTATTGTAGTAACAGAAAACAGACTAAGACAAATACATATAACTGATACCAAGTAACTGATTGTTAGTTCAAGTCAATGGAATAAATATGAAGGCATATAACACAGAATTGAGAACATTCAATTGAAGTGGATATGAGACTCATGAATTGAACATAAAAACTTTTTGAATATTAATTATTGCTAGGAGGACAATATCACTTGAACTGCTAAATTGGAAAAGTTAGATAGATAATGGGAAAATTTATTGCAAAAATATTTGTTGAGTATCTACTATGTACAAGTTCTGTTCTAGGCCCGGAACAAAATATCCATAATTAATGGCCCTCATGGAACTCACGGCTAATGGAGCCTTGTGACACTATATGTTACAGAGTTTCAATCAATAACTGTCTTTGAGTTCAGCCAAATTGTGTATTCAGACATTCACAGTTATCATTGAGAAAGTTAGAAGTTTTAAGCCAGTTTTATAAAATTTGTAAGGGTTTAAACTAAAATTTGCAGTATAACAACATAAGGAACAAAAAGTAACAACTTGATTGCTATTCAGAACTGTTCTAATTTATGAGAACTGAAGGAAACCATTGGCTTCCAAGGACAGATTTGAAGCTGCCAAATATGGAAGAACCTAGATTCTCATTGCACCTCAGACTCAAACTGGCTGTGAGACCCTGGGGAAGTCACCCAATCTCTCTGAGCCATATTTCTCTCTACGTAAAATGAGGATACTGGACTACATAATCTCAAAGAGAACTTCTATTTCTAGTGTTCTAGGAGTCTTTATTTGCTGTGGGCTGACATTTACTATAAGACTGCTCTGTCTTGGATCTCACTCATTAGAAGTTAATAGGGAGCCAAAAAATCATCCACCTTGAAGATGAGATTTCCCAGGCAGTCAGGCAATGTGTGTCCATCAAGGGCAAAAGACTGTGCTTTCTCCTCTACAACATGCTTCTCTCTATCAAATTTGATAGACAACGTTTGACAGAGATAGTTTTGAATGCCTAAAAGTAAGAATATGCACATCTTATTTCTACAGTCTCCTGAGGTGGTTCCAAGGTGCCCCTATGGCTACGGTTTGAAGAAGACCAAAAAGTGCTTATAACACTTGTAGCATCATTTTCAGGGGTTTTCTGTGCACCCTCAGCAGCAAAGACATGGCAGGGCCCATCTTCAGTGGTGGACATGCTGGTGCCAGGGCTGTCACAAATGCCCAAGTACACAGTTCTACAGAGACACTTTGAACTAAGGGGAAGCACAGGGCCTGACAAGGCTATGGGGAATGCCCCCATATAACTCCCCTGTATTTGAAAAACAGAGATGCAAAAATTGAAACTTCTGCTCATAAGTTGGCAGCAGACCTGTGGGAAAAGTTTTGGATGGAAGGAAAGCCAGTGAATATTGATCTTTTGGCTCTGCCTTTTCATAAAAGGCAAAAATGACTCTTCTCTTAATGAAGGATGGCTGGGAGAAGCTTAGAAGATGCACTGATTTGGTTTCATTCTAGTCAGTTTATCTAAACCAGATCCAAATGATCTAAGACTTTCTGGGTTATAAAATGGGACTGGAATTCTTAGGGCAGACATGTACAATTTCCAAGGCTCCCTATTTCTTGTCATCCTTTCAGCAGTGTGGTGCCAGCAAAAACCAGCTAATAGACTCTTATGATCCAAAATTAATTTGGAAAAAAAAATAACCGGCCAGAATTTTTTAACCTAAAAAACAGGGCGGCAATTTAGGTTGGATTTGCATTTTCGGCAAAGGTTCACATTAGTCTTATTTTTATGTTTGTGGATTCACTCAGGTCTAATCTTAATAAGAACAGTTTTAGAGGCCTGGGCAGATTTTGAATGACTGATGGGCACCAATAAAGCTGGAAGAGTGCTAGGGTCCACTGGTAGTTCCGGGAGACTCATTTTAATCACTTCCTTAAACACCCAGGTTTCTACCTAAAAGTGGGTACCTTCCTCCTTAATTACCCTCCTCTTTGGAAAACGTGAAACTGAAAGAATAGGCTTTTGTTAATAAGATTTTTACTAACCCTGAAAAGGTTTAACTTATACTGTGGAGCCTACCCTGACTCTAATTCATTTTATTCTTTTGCTTCTCTGAACTACAATATTTACCACACACTTTACTTTTAAAATTGGTAATATCACTCTTTTTGTGCCCTTATAGTCACATAAGAGACAGGCTAATAGAAACAAATTGATCCAAGTTTGTGTTTAGTAAGATAAAAGTTAGATAGCAAGATGAAGCTTAGGTAGTTAAGATGAAGATAGGTAGTTTGCTTCTTTCAGCTATAATATTTGCCAGAAATTTTACTTTTAAAATTGGTAATATCACTTTTTGTAGCTTATAGTGACATGAGAGATAGGCTAATAGAAATGAATAATCCAAGTTTGTAGTTTAGCAAAATGAAGCTTAGGTAGTTAAAATTAACATTCAATTTGAAATTCATGTTCAATTGACATACAACTCATTTCATTACATTTACTAATCATGATTTTCATAAAAGTTAAATCAGTTAACTTTTAAATTATGTTCAAACAATAATCTACTAATTAAGTTGTTAATGTTTTAAAGAGAGGCATGGATTTATTTTTGATTTTTAAAATAACATCTTTAAGCCAATACTTATGTTAATTCCCAGTTCAGTTTCTTCTAAAATATTTCCACTCTGATAACAAATTGGGGCATACAAATTTGGTAAGATTATTTTTTATTTTTAAAAACTTAAATGTGAAATGGTGTGATTTATATTAATAAAGAAATACCAGTTAAAATGTAATTTTTCATTGGTACACATAGTAGCTAGTTTATTTTATTTTTGTTTTTTTCAAGACGGATTCTTGCTCTGTCATACAGGCTGGAGAGCAGTGGCACAATCTTAGCTCACTGCAACCTCCGCCTCCTGGGTTCAAGCAATTCTCCTACCTCAGCCTCCTGAGTAGCTGGGATTACAGGTGCCCAACACCATACCTGGTTAATTCTTGTATTTTTAGTAGAGATGGGGTTTCACCATGTTGGTCAGGCTGGTCTCAAACTCCTGACCTTGTGATCCGCCCACCTCGGCCTCCCAAAGTGCTGGGATTACAGGTGTGAGCCACTGTGTCCGGCCCAGTAGCTAGTTTATTTTTAATCACATTAAAATAGCATTTAAATGATATATATTTAAATTAATCTTAAAACAACCATCCTGATATACCTAGGACCTACCTACATTTTAGTTACATCTTAATTATCAACCAGATCAAATATAAGTTATCTGTCTTTGTGGAATCAATAAAACTATGCTAAGACTATACTTTCAGGGATTATTTCAGATAAACTTCTAGAGTTTCTCTGAACCTGTAGAGCACCAGAAACCATGAAAAGAGGGTGTAGCATTCTCTCCTGCGTGTGAGGCCGGCTCTTGGTGCTACCTCACTGAAACTGCCATTGCCACGGATGATCATTCTTCTCTTACTCTGAGAGAGAAAGAGAGAGAGAATACAGTCTGAGTGGTTCTCATTTTTTTTTTTTTTATTTGAGACGGAGTCTCGCTCTGTTGCCCAGGCTGGAGTGCAGTGGCATAATCTTGGCTCACTGCAAGCTCCATCTCCCAGGTTCACGCCATTCTCCTGCCTCAGCCTCCCGAGTAGATGGGACTACAGGCGCCCACGACCACGCCCAGCTAATTTTTTGTAGTTTTAGTAGAGACGGCATTTCACCGTGTTAGCCAGGATGGTCTCAATCTCCTGACCACGTGATCCACCTGCCTCAGCCTCCCAAAGTGCTGGGATTACTGGTGTGAGCCACCGCGCCCTGCCTGAGTGGTTTTTATTTTAAAAATAAAATTAAATAAGTAAATAAATAAAACTTTTTGTCTACTTTATAGAAAATCTAGTTCTATTGACAAATTCATACCTATATCTTTAATATACATACACATATCCACATATGCATACACACACACGCACACACACACACCCCACACACACCAATTAGTAAAACTCAAGAGACTGTTGCTTTCTCAATGGTTTATACTCAATATTCCCTAATCAAGTGAGGCTTTGGCATAAAGCACGAATCTCAAGATATCATTCCAAAATATGCAGGAAAACAATAAGAAAATAGGTATGTAAATATTTATTTACCTAAATATGTAAATATTTATATTTATTATAAAGCTGCTTAAATATTGAAACCTCAGAATTTTGTGCTATAAAGTACAGAAAAGGTAGTTAACCATGTATTCTTGTTGTTTATTTTAACGCATTCCTTCATTCTCTGGACTATATTTTTGAGCAGTTTTTGTGGTTGTCAACTGATAAATTGTATTAAACTTCATAGGTATCAGAATGTCAACTTAGCCATTTCCAGAATTTTTAGATCAGCTCACTTTTTGAAAAGGCTCTGTAGCTATTGCCCCATAATTGGTTGTTTCGAAAGGATTCCAGAAGTCACTCTCTTAGTTTGCTTGGACTGCTGTAACAAAATATATTAGACTGGGTAATTTATAAATAATTATAAATTTGTTGCTTACAGTTCTGGGAGCTGCAAAATCCAACATTAAGGCACCAGCAGATTTGGTGTCTGGTGAAAACTCATTCCTCACTGTTGGAGCACAACAGGGCAGAAGGGTGAAAGGGTAAATAAGCTCCCACAGGCCTCTTTATAAAGGCATTAATTTCATTCATGAGGGCTCATGACCTAGTCACCTCTCAAAGCCTCCACCTCTTAATAACAACACATTGTGGAGTAGATTTGAACATACAAATTTTGAAGAGACACAAGCATTCAGACCATAGCTTCCCACCCCTGGGCCCCCAAAATTTATGTCCTTCTCACATACAAAATACATTAATTCCATCCCAATAGCCTTAAATGTCTAATTTGTTCCAGCATCAGCTCGGAAATCTAAAGTCCAGAGTCTTATCTGAATATCATCTAAATATGATATGTGTGAGACTCAAGGTACAATGCATTCTGAGGCGAATTGCTTTCCAGCTGTGAACATGTGAAATTAAACAAGTTATGTGCTTCCAAAATACAATGGTGGGACTGGCATAGGATAGACATTCCCACTCCTAAAGGGACAAACAGGGAGGAAGAAAGGGATAGCTGGTCCTAAGCAAGTTCAAACCTCAACAGGGCAAACAACATTGAATACTGAAGTCTTGAGAAACGTCTTCTCTGACTCCTTGCCCTGCCTTCTGGACACATTGGGGTAGGAGTTGGGCCTCCAAGGCTCCAGGTGGCCCCACCTCCATTACTTTACTAGGCAAAGCCCACACTGCAGCTCTCACAGGTTGGAGTTCAGTGCCTGCAGCTCTCTGAGGCTAGAATTGCATGGTTGTGGCTTTATAAGAATGGGGTTATGGGGGAAGCCCTGCATTCCCAGTTCCACTAGGCATTGTCCTAGTAAGGGCTCTCTGCAGTTGCCCTACCCTCATGGCTCCACTAGGCATTGGAGCCTGGTGAAGGCTGTCTGTGGTGGCCACACTCCTGTGGCAGTTCTCTGCCTGTACCATCAAGCTCTCTGGGTCATTCTTTGAAATCTTGATGGCTCCAAGTGGCCCCACCTCCATGACTTTACTAAGCAAAGCCCACAGCCACACGCCCACAACCAGTGTGCTCTGTGACTGGTGGAGATGACACTGCATGGACACCACCAAGATTACCACTTGGAGGAGCAGCCAAGACTGCACCTGTGCCCACTACAGCTGAACCTGAGGTGACCGAGGAGAAATCCAAGGAGCAGCACCTTGGGGCAGTGCAAGGCAGTGAACCGCAAATGTCCATAGATACCCTGGGACCCTTTTTTGAAACTGTTCTGCTCCAAAGGCCTTGGCGTTCTAGGCCTATAATGAGCAGGGCAGTTCTGACAATCTCTGAAATGCCTTTGGGATTATTCTCTGATTGTGTTGATGAATAACAGCTGGCTTCCTTATATCTATAGTAATCCTCTTATCAAATGTCTGCTTGATCATACCTTTGGTGTTCTCTCCTGAACACACTTTATCATTTTTTATAGGCTGAGAATTTTTCAAAGTTTTAATTTCTGCTTCCCTATTAATTATAAATTCCATCTTTAATTCATTTCTCTCTTCTCACATTTTACTGTCAAGAGAAGCCATGCTATACCCTCAACACTTTGCTTAGCTATTTCTTCTGCCAAATATTGTATTTCATCACTTGGAAGTTTTACCTTCCACAAAGCACTAAGACATGGACAAAATTTAGCCAAGTTCATTGCCACTTTATACCAAGGATCACCTTTCCTCCAGTTTTCAGTAACATGGTCTTTATTTCTGTCTGAGACCTCATCAGAATGGCCTTTAGGGTCCATATTGTTTATGACCACTTGGGTAATTTCTAAGGGGACTGAAGTCTCTTCTACAACTCTCTTATTCTGAGCCTCCACCAGAACTGTCCTTAATCCTCCATTCACAGAAATCTAGGTTTTTTCTAGTATGCACCTCCAAACTCTTTCAAACCCTTTTCATTACCCAGTTCCAAAGCCACTTCCACATTTTTAGGTATTTGTTACAGCAGCACCTCACTTCTGTCTCAGTCTGTTCAGGCTATTATAACAAAATATTCCAGCTGGGGAATTTATAAACAACAGAAATGTGTTGCTCACAGTTCTTACCATGGGAAGTCTACATCAAGAGCAAAGTGCCAGCAGATTCGATGTCTGCAGAGGGCCTGTTCCTCGTACATAGTGCCTTCTGTGTGCTTACATTGTGAAGGAGTAAACAAGTTCCTTCAGGTCTGTTTTATAAGGGCACTAATCTCATTCATGAGGGCAGAGCCTCACAAGGGCCCCACCTCCCAAAGGCCCCATCTCTTAATATCAACACTTTAGGGATTTGATTTCAATATGTAAATGTTGGAGGAACACAAACATTCAGATCATATCAGTCACCTAAGACCACTGTAGATTTTTTAATAGTAAGCATTGTTTCCTCTTTAGGGCGGTTAGAATCTTCCTTTATACTTGAAGCTTCTGAATATGTATTTACACACATTTTATTATGTGAATCTCTGTTTACTAATACAGGCCAAGAAGGTAAACCTATTAGTATCACATAATATCTTATATCTAGGAAGGTTTCTTTGTGTTTTTTATGTCTTTGTTTCTGAATAAAAATACTTATTATTCAGGAGTTGGATCTCCATGAATTGTCCTTCATATGTGCTAACAGTTCTCTCATATTTTTATCTTTATGCTGATTTATTCTGATTTCTGAGATTGTTTCTAAGTTTATTGTTTAATTCATTCTTTAAATTTTCTGTTGTGTTGAGTCTGTTTTTTCCTATTTTAGACATATTTTACTTTCATTAGTGTTTTTGTTTTGAAAAAATTCTTATCTCAGCCCGTTTCAAAATACATGTCCTCATTGAGAACAAGATGTTTTCTAAATACTTCTTATACCTCATTAAATAAACCTATTTAGGAGGAAGCAGACTTCTGAGTAACTAATGCTTTGCTCTTCTCTCTTGTTGCAAAATATTTTCAATGTCTCATATTTTTCTGTTTACTCATTCTTGAGTAACGTAATGAACATGCTCTGAAATGCTGGTTTAAAACCCTCATTCGATATTGTTTTCATATATAGAAAAATACTTAGGCCTGGTGTTGAAAAACAATACATTTAAAGGACTTTACTCTCACCAATGCCTACCTGTTGGCCATTGACCTCCATGCCAATCTATAGCTGGAGAGCAAATTGTTGCCCAGTGGGTTCCAAACAAACGCAAAATCCTTCACCAGAGCAGAGGTCTTTATTCTCATCTTTTAAGCCATGCAAATAGATTCAGCCTGAATTCCAAAAGTAGTAAAAGAAAGATAGGAGAAGCATGCAAGTGTCAAGCTCCTGTTGCCATAGGAGAGAGTTCTATGCTTTTCATTGTCCCCTATGCCTTACTACAAAGACGATTTATGATGAAGTTTGTAAGGCTTAAACTTCAAGGTCTCTCACTTGCACGAGGCCCTTGCAATGTCTGTGAGAGTCTCTAACAAAGTGATTAACATGGTCAAATATTTTTGTAAAATTTGTAAAACTTAGATACTTTATCCACTCAATCTTCCTGTACATCAGGTGACTATGAAGTAGCCATAGTCACCTGAGATCCTAATAAAAAATTAAGTTTGAGATAAATTTAGTTTGCTTTTGGTGGAATATATTTGTGTGGCTCACAGACACTTTCCTAAACAGTTAAATCATTGCTAGCCATGCACCAAGACGGTGAATGACTTGGAAATAAACCCCACATCACTCCTAAACAGAGGTCAAACCTTTGTTAGCTCTCAAATTACTATATCACAGGAAAGGTGGAGTTCCTTCTATAGCTTACAGTTGGTAACCTCCTCAAACTCTTAGGGATTTAGAGGAGCTCACACTCACTTTTGCTATTGGTTCTTCCTGAATATTAACAATCTCTGTTTACTTTAAAGAAAATGTACTCCATATGTTTCAGAATCATTTGTGCTTAAATCACCACATGGGAGACATAAATATTCAATATACACATGTAGAAATGTTTTTAGATGTGGAAGAGACTACTTTTATTTTTAAAATGAATAGTTCTTGTCTTGATCTCTGATGGGGAAAAAAGAAAAAAAGATTCTTTCCCAGGTGTGGCTGTTCATTCTACAGGTGATTCAGGCTCTGGGAAGGTGTCCTCCCATTGACCTTGAGTCATTATAGCAACTATTCTAGCTACAGCTGTACAACAAGTTAATTTAGCAGGAAGGAGTTCAGCCTCTTCCATGCTCTTTAGCCCCATTCAAGACCAAGGCATCATGTCTTCTGTGTCTTAATCCAAGGCCAGGAACCATACAGTTGGCCTAAAAGTAGTGAGACTCTGTTCTTCTCCTGACTCTTATACTAGGCAGCCATTCGACTTTGAAGAAGCAATCTACTGAGATTCAGCCTGTTCAATCACATAGGAATGATGTAGATACTTCCATCTTAATCTTTTTAATGTATATATTGAGAAAATAAAATAAACTTTTTTTTGGGAGGGGGCGGGGTAACGGAGTCTCGCTCTGTGCCCAGGCTGGAGTGCAGTGGCGTGATCTCGGCTCACTGCAAGCTCCGCCTCCCGGGTTCACGTCATTCTCCTGCCTTAGCCTCCTGAGTAGCTGGGACTATAGGCACCTGCCACCACGCCGGGCTATTTTTTTGTATTTTTAGTAGAGATGGGGTTCACCATGTTAGCCAGGATGGTCTCCATCTCCTGACATCATGATTCGCCTGCCTCAGCCTCCCAAAGTACTGGGATTACAGGCGTGAGCCACTGCACCCAGCCCCCAGAAAATAAACATTTTTTAAAAAGAGCAAGGCCAGGTGTGATGGCTCACACCTGTAATCCTAGCACTTTGGGAGGCTGAGGCAAGAGGTTCACTTGAGCCCAGGAGTTTGAGACCAGCCTGGGAAACATGGTGATACTCCATCTCTACAAAAAATACAAAAATTAGCCGGGCTTGGTGGCATGCAACTGTAGTTCCAGCTACTCAGGGGCCTGAGGGTGGGAGACTCGCTTGAGTCCAGGAGGTTGAGGCGGCTGTGAGCCGTGATCAAGCCACTTTACTACAGCCTGGGTGACAGAGTGAGACCCTGTTTCAAAAATAAAGGGGCAAAAGGCAAAACAATTTCTATCTCCCTTATATGGTTTTCTAGTACATT
Organism: Homo sapiens; assembly: GCF_000001405.40. Taxonomy (NCBI): domain Eukaryota; kingdom Metazoa; phylum Chordata; class Mammalia; order Primates; family Hominidae; genus Homo; species Homo sapiens. The sequence goes on along the minus strand of NC_000001.11, from coordinate 218,535,517 downwards.
TCAATAACGATAATAATAAGGCTTAATAAGGGTTTATGGATGGAATGCCACTTCAAGGAGAAGCTAACACTCAAACTTGCAAGAGAATAGTTCTGATACACAAACAACAGCATAAAGGTCCTAGCAGTCATAGAATGAAGCCCCAGGAGACCCACTGCTCACACCCAGCTGTCTTTACCCCCACCTTGGATTAGTCTTATTCTCATTTAGTGCTGTGACACTCCACAGGACATAAATGGATCTGGCCCTTGGTGAGGTTTCATCTTTCTCCTAACACCTAGCACAGCCTCATTTATTCATGCTTGCCAAGCAGAAAGGTGGTGTAGCCCTCTGTGCCTTTTAGTGCTAGGGATATAACCACATGGAGATAAATTCTGCTTGACATCACTTAAATTTCTCAAAGGCACCAAAAATCAATATATCAAAAATAAACTCTTGATCCTCCCCTAAATTCTAGCTTTCTCCCAGTGTTTTCTATCCCAGAATATGTGACCCCCCATCTATCACCTTGAGAGAAAGCCACAATCATATAGATCTCCTTTCCTTCAAAACCCATACTTCATCACCAGATCCTGTTGGCTTTGCCCCATATATAATTCTAAAATAGTCTTTCCCCAAACATTTTCAGGGTCCAGAGCAAGGGAACACATACCATAAGTAGAAATAATTTAAAGGTATAAATAAAGTGAACAAGTTGTTAGGAAAGATAGTTCTATTTTTCCACCTTGACAAACCCATCTTCATAATGATGAGGAAAGCAGGGTTCAAATAAAAATTCTCCATCTACTTGGAGTTCTGTGCCCTTAATTAGTGACTGGGGATTGCTGGACCACATGTCATAGATGGCAGATGACAGGATACCCCTTATTGTCCCATCCTAGCTCCAAGAGACCTACTGTGAGGGATCTTGTGGACACACACATGGGCACTCAGGCTACATGTCCAAGTTCTTCAAGCTCTCTTCATAGCCTCTGTACATAGCTGCTGCTGGTTGCCTACTAAGTCTGTTCAAGCTGCTATAATAAAATTCCATAAACTAAGTGGCTTATAACAACAGAAATGCATTTCTCACAGTTCTGGAACCTGAAAGGTCTAAGATCAAGGTGCCAGCAGATTCAGGGTCTGGCGAGACCTGCTTTCTGGTTCTTACAAGGTATCTCATTATGTCTTCACATGATGAAAGGGACAAAACAGTTTTCTGGGGGCCTCTTTTATAAAGGCACTAATCTCATTAATGAGGGCTCCACCCCTGTGATCTAAATATATCCCAAAGGCCCCACTTCCTAATAATATTATGTTGTGATTAGATTTTCAACATGTGAATTTGGAGGATGTAGACATTCAGACCATAGCAGACACTCTGGAGGCTAGGGCCAAATACATACTGGGGACCAGAGAGTGTTCTAGAAGCAGGGCGGGGAGGGTGGCTTTCTGTGAGTTAATTCTGTTGGGAGTGGTAACAGGCAGAAATAGACCAGAATGAGGCCCTGTGAAGTGAAAGGGCCAGGTAGGGCTCCCTTTCCTGTCTAGGGATATTCCTCAGTTCTATTCATTGTCCTTTCCTTCCACTGCCACCATCTTGGGCTCTTGCCTAAACTACTTCCATAGCCTCCTAATTAATCTCTGAACATCAACTTTGTCTCTGCAGTACATTCTTCACATTATAGCCAGAATGACTTCTTGTTTTAGTGACTCAAACATCCTAGGCTTAGACTTTGGAAAGTCTAATTACTCTTGAAGTTTAGGTAAATTCTTTAATATGGTCTACAAAGATACCCCATGTTCTGGCACCTACCTACTTGTCCACTCCACTTGTCCTGGCTTTCTCTCAGTCCCTTATACTCATCTTCCTCCCACCACAGTTTGTCTGTCCTCTTCCTTCTGAGTGAAATGTGCTTCTCAGTTCCCCATTGCATCAAATTACTCCTGTTTGGCCTTCAGATTTCAGCCTCCACAGAAAAACCCTCACCTGTTGGCTCTGCCCATCTCATATCACCATGCATCTCTCCTGCACTTTCATAGTTTTACCTTCACAGTGAATGTTGTCGAGTGTAAGTGCAGGGTGCTCTTGGGTCACTCTGCTGCACATTGTATCTACTGGACCACTCTCTAGCCAGGACTTCTAAAGGAAGCGTCTAAATTCTCACTGCCAACAAGACCAGCCACATTTCTAAAGTGGGGATGATAATATCACTACACTACCTCAAAAAGTTGGAAAGGGGGCTGGGCGTGGTGGCTCACACCTGTAATCCCAGCACTGGGAGGCTGAGGTGGGCGGGTCACAAGGTCGGGAGATCGAGACCATCCTGGCCAACATGGTGAAACCCCATCTCTACTAAAAATACAAAAAATTAGCCGAGCATGGTGGTGGGCGCCTGTAGTCCCAGCTACTCAGGAGGCTGAGGCAGGAGAATGGCGTGAACCCGGGGGGCAGAGCTTGCAGTGAGCCAAGATCACACCACTGCACTCCAGCCTGGGCCACAAAGCGAGCTTCTGTCTCAAAAAAAAAAAAAAAAAATTGGAAAGGGGATTAAATAAAATAATACATGTAAATCACTTCTGATGATGCTTGGTACATTTTAAGAACTAAATAAAATTTGTTATGCAATTCCCCTTACTCAATCTTAACACACATACAAGACTGTATGCAGGAGCCAGGGCCGGGCGCGGTGGCTCACGCCTGTAATCCCAGCACTTTGGGAGGCCAAGGCGGGCGGATCACGAGGTCAGGAGATCGAGACCATCCTGGCTATGGTGAAACCCCGTCTCTACAAAAAATTAGCCAGGTGTGGTGGCGGGCACCTATAGTCCCAGCTACTCAGGAGGCTGAGGCAGGAGAATGGTGTGAACCCGGGAGACGGAGTTTACAGTGAGCCAAGATCGCAGCACTGCACTTCAGCCTGGGCGACAGAGCGATACTTCATCTGAAAAAAAAAAAAAGAAAAAAAAACAAAAAAAAAAAAACCAGCACTGGCCAGATCAGCTGATTCATAATAGATGAATGAATGGATGAAGAGTCCCTGGCCCAGGTTTAAATGCCCTTAAAGCGAAACGAGATACTGATTTATAGATGATTAAGAAGCCCAATATCTAGCACATGCCTGAATTTTACTGGGTGTTTCATTAGTATTTGATAAAAGAATACATCATTAAACTAATGAAATTTCATCTTTTCGTCAACCCACAGTCAAACTGGCATGCCTTGGCCCATTGGAGGGAACAGTGCAATCCTGCTGGCAAAGAATGAAACACACTCAGTCCTAGGCCCTGTCCTGTTGTACCTTTCACAGAATGATTTGAATAGAAGCAAAGGGAATGTGTTTGTTGCATTTAAAGATGATACAAAGCCAAAAGGTATGGGAGGAGCTAGTAGAGTGTGTGCCAGAAAAATGATTCACCATCGTCCGCAACGATGACGTAAAATGATTACACAAAACCGAGAAGGGGCTTCATTTAAATGACCACTGGCTCCACTTTTGTGTGAATCCTTCCAAGATTTTTTTGTTCATATTTATCTCTCTCTCTCCCCTTATATAAATATATTTATATAGAAAGACAAATATGCACTTTTATTTTTTAGAGGATAGACATCACATGCAATTGTAAAACTTACTTTTTTTCTGACTAATGACACGTTATTAAATATTCTTCTGTAATGTCACCTTTCAATACCACAGTAGGCATTCTGTAATTTATTTAACCATTGTATGATTGGTTTCAATTTTGTTATTTTGGACATTGGTGCCATGAACTCTTATAACTGAATGTTTGCGCATAACCATTAATTCCTTAAGATAATTTTTGAAATATGATTGCTGACATGTAATATGATGCTAACTTGCTTTCCAAAAAAGCCATATAGATTTACTCTCCCACAGCGGTATGTGAGGGTCCTTGTTTTCCTGCTCCTTTGCCAAAATTCTTGGTTTCATCTTCTGTTAATCTTTACTCATGTGTAGGTTATAAGTGATATCTGATTGTTTTAACTTACTCTTTTTATTGCTACTGAGATGGAATTATTTTTAAAATTTTATCAGCTATTTGTATTTCTCCTGACAAAATGAAATTTAACAAACACAAATATGAAGTTCTACATTTGTTTTCCAAAAACAATCATATAATTGTAAAATGGGGAAACTTGGCTTGACTGAAGTGTACATGAAAAGGAAAATTAACGGAAAAAAAAGCAAAGGGAATGTGATAACTGTTTTTAAATGTTTGAACAGTTACCATATAGAAAAGAAATCATGTTTAGTTTAGATTTTTCCAAGAGGAAAAAGTAAGGCAAGCAGATGGAAAGTTATAGTTTGGCAGATTTTAGCTCATCTTAAGAAAGAACTTTTTAACTGTCTCGGCTAGCCAAAGATGGAGTGGGTTGCCTCATGTAGTGAGATCCCCACCGCTGGAAGAGATCAAGAGTATAACTGGTCTACTGTGTGGAAGTTGTAGAAGGAAGGGCTTTCTGAATTGGGTTAAATGGATGACTTTGAATGTCACTGGAAACTCCAGATTCTCTGCTTCTATGAATATGAGCTTACTGTAATTCTTTTAAAAATGCATTATTATTCACTTATTTGCTGTCAATTCCTATGTAAATGGGAATAAAAATACCTTTAAAAGTACTTATATCACCTAATCAAAAGATTATGAAAGTTTGTGTTTTTTCGGTTGTTTTGTTTTTTTTTTTTTTCATTCTTGTCTGAGCACAAAAACTGAAACTCACTTATTACACTTTCAAATCTAGTCAACTTAGAGTATGTTTATATTATACTATAAACAAGACTACTATGGTATTGCACTTTAAAGTTAATCATTTTATAGAGCATAAACAGTTTAATAACAGACTAACTGAAATGAAAGAATTGCCTAGTTAGCAGGCCTGCTAGAATTTGGGAGCTTTTCATTGATAATTAGTTTAAGTAACATATGCTCTTAAAAGTAATAAACTTGTGTTAAATGAATCTATAGATTTTCACTGTATTAGATGTGTCCCCAACAGAGTTCAAAATGTCTAGTTATGGAGCGTTGGCTTTATTTGAAAAATACAGGTGATTCGATCAAAATCATGAAACATTTGCATCTTTTCTTTAGCTATGTTCCCTCTCCTTTCCACTCTTGATTCACTTAGTAAAGTAACACCTATATTTCTTTCACTGTTTCCAAGTTCTAAAGAAAGAGGACTGTACTGAACACCTCTCATGCCAACCCAGAAGAGTATAGTCATTCCACAGGGCAGCCCACTTTGCTGCATTAAGCTGTAGAAATCAGTCTTCATGTTTGGTTTTATGAGAGAGGGCATCACATTGCAGAGCCCAGGGATTCAGAGTCAATTAGTCAGATCTAAAGCTTTAATTCATCATAATACAGTAAGAAGCTAGACATGCAGTGGTATGCATTAGCGCCTCTTTCCAATACTATGCCATGGGTTTAAAAAAAAAAAACAACCCAGCTTGTTAAGTGATACCAGCCTACGTTGTGTCATATGATCTTGCTGATACTGCAGATAAAATATAGCTGCTATTTATTTTAGTAATTTAATATGGTAGAAGGAGTTTGAGAAAGTTGTGGTGTTCACATGCTATTTCAGGATAACAGTGACCCACCCTGATCCAGAGAAATCGAGTTAAACAGGGCCTGGTGTTTTCCACTCTGTTTTGTAGCAACGTGTTTCTGGGCTATGTATAACCCCAAGAAAGCTTTGAAAACACTACACTGACCAGGTCAGGGAGGAAAGCCCACAGCTTTACTGTGATGTAAGAGTAAGCCTGACTTCCGCATCAGTGCAGCAGATATTTTTGGGAAGTCGTTTATGGTGTTCCCACTCCCATTTCCAATTTAGGCAACTAATAGTTTCTTTTAGGAATGCTTTCTTTCTAAAATTATGTGGCAGAAAGGAGACTGTCTCTAGCTTCTTCATTTGGCTAATAATGGGAGTGCACACACCCACTCTAAAGGAATTTCAGGTGATAGAGAAAATTAGATGTCACCCAGACCTTTTCTGCCTTGTTCTGACAGTCCATTAGAGGAATGTAACTAAGAGTTCAGGAGGAAAAACTGTCAAAAATCCAGGCAACTCAAAATACTATACTTTCTCAAAATGAAGTTTATCTGTTTTCCCAAAATGCTATACTTCCTCACTTTCATGCCTTTGGATATTCTGTTCTCTTTACTAGGATGTGAATCCAAATCTTTTGGGGGTGGGTTGGTGTGTCACATTTGTTGTGATTTGTGTGGAGAAAAGAAGGGTATCTCATAATTACCTGGAGAATTTTCCAAATACATGTTGCTTTTTCCTCTATACTTCCTGCCCACCCACCATGGGAACTCTGGTTTATTGCCAAGTAAATACTGACTTGGTTGAGGTTTGTATGCATTCGATGAAAAGGAAGATAAGTGAAATAATGAATATTTTTCAGTCATTCAAACTAACTCTGCTTTTTGCTTTTTTTCCATCTACCCTTCCCTTCATTCTGATATTTTGTGAAGGAATGTTATATGTCAAGACCTCTGGTGAGTGCTGGAGATGGAGAAATAAATCCTACTTTGTTCTTGCCACTGCGGAGCTCATGAAGATCTAATTAGACAAACAAATATCTGTCTATCTATCTATATACATAAACAATTCATATAGTGGAAAAAATAGACATAGTGTTTCACTGGAATGGCCTAATTAAGACTAAAGTGAAATGTAGTCTAAGTGCCAAGAGATGCAAAAAGAAGGAGCAAATTCATAGAGTTGGTTGGTGTGTTGGATAAAAACCTTGTGTGTCTTTGCAGTTGCTCCACTGTCTCCTTCATTTATTCTTTGTCAGTATCCCATGCATGCCAAGCTGTTCCTCCCTTTCCAAACTTGGTTGGAATGCCACATTAGGGAGCATGGGCTCTGGCTTCCTGAGAGGCTTCAAGGAGGCAGAGGCTGCAGCTAAAACTTCAGGAAATTAACTCCCCAGAGACTGAACCTTGACCAATGGGAAACGAGAGACTGGAGGGAACATAGCTCACAATTTCTCTCTCAGTTACCCTCTCCATGAACTGCTCTGAGGTATGGTTCTCCTTGCAAACCTACCAGAAATGTCTTCTCCATGAGATGAGTGAACATACATTTTGAGTGACCTGCTACATATGTTTGCAACTTGTTGTGAAGCAGTGGTCACTAAAGTTATCCATCACATCACATTGATTCTCATCTTTCCTTTTTCTCAGGGTGCCATTCTCCCTCACTCCCATTGTCGTATGCTTGCACCTCCAAAGTAACTTTTTGATATAAGCAACAAAAAATCATTGCCTCAGGCTCTGTTTTCTAAAAGATCCAGAATATAACAGCTGGATCTGAGAATATCCAGTGATCCTTCTTCAACTTTGATTTAAAAAAAATTTAAAAAGAAAAGAAAGAAAACTAATTCCTCTTTGAAATCTTGTCTGCTTATTTATACATTAAAGCAAAAATAAATACTGACAAACCATTTGTTAGTGGTTACACAACCTCAAATGAGCAAATGTTTAGGCATTTTCTGGTAAGGGGGATTAGTCTATTCTTGGTGTATTTATGGACCCGTCCTAGCTGTGCAGATTATATAAGTCACCGCTGCTATTTGTCTTTTCTTCCATAGTTGATCTTCCTGTGTGGATTCAAGGGTTGTGTAACACAAAAAACTTGAAAGTTACTTGCAATGCATCAAGAGACTAATTCGCACATTCTCAAGTGGCCATTAGGAGAATTTTTCTTCTAAATCTAACCTTCTGCTTCCTAATCTAACCCCATACACTTCATATTTCTTCTGCCTTGCATCAAGCACTACAAATGATGCAAGCCATTCATTCCTATTGCTTTAATTCTTGTTCTTTACCTCTGGTAGAAGCTAAAGTTTCTTAACCACTATCATCTTCCTTTCTCCTAATTTATTGACAGATTGTACACAATCCATGTGATTTTTTCTAATTGTTTCTTTAGGAAATTTAAATACTTCTATAATTTTTGCTTGAAGTTTTATTTGTGCATACTTGAACTTTATCTCAGCATTTTCCCTGACACCTACTCTAAAATCTTCTAAGAAGTTCAAACTGATTAGTTGGAAAAACAACCTTGCTCCATTTGCAGCAAATACCAGTAGTCTAAAGTCAACAAATGTTTGAAGAAAATAAAATGTTCAAATACCACCACCCCACCCTAACAAAATGTCAACTTGATGGAGAATATTTGACTGTTTGGTTCAATGCTCCACCCCCAGAACCTAGAATACCTGCAGTAGCATTAACATTTATTAAATGAGCAAATGCGTCAATAAATGTGCAGTGTTCTATTGAAAATTTATGCAAACCTATTGAAGATCATGTCTCAATCCTGTCAAATCTTAATGGTGCATTGTAAATGCTATCTCTTTAAGAAGACTCTGTTGGACCTCATCCTGTCTAAATCATCCCTCCGTCCTTCGAACTCTCATAATATTTTATCTGCCCATACCCGTGATATTTACCCCTTTCTTTTTTTTTTTTTTTTTTTTTTGAGACAGAGTCTCGCTCTGTCACCCAGGCTGGAGTGCAGTGGTGTGATCTCGGCTCACTGCAAGCTCTGCCTCCTGGGTTCACACCATTCTCCTGAGTAGCTGGGACTACAGGCGCCTGCCACCATGCCCGGCTAATTTTTTGTATTTTTAGTAGAGATGGGGTTTCACTGTGTTAGCCATGATGGTCTTGATCTCCCGACCTCGTGATCCACCCACCTCGGCCTCCCAAAGTGCTGGGATTACAGGCATGAGCTACCTCGCCCGGCCGACATTTATCACTTTCTACCTTGAATTATTTTTGCATTTGTATTTATGTCTTTGAATTCTATTTCATCTTTTTCCTATTCTCCACCGCACTTAGCACAAGGCCTGGCCAACTTTCATGTTGTTGAATAGGTTGTGTGTGTGTGTGTGTGTGTATGTGTGTGTATGTTTAGACCATGGATTATGAAATCAATTCAAACCATTACCTTTGGGAATGCCATAATTATCACAGTCAGAATAATCTGCATAGATAAGAGGAAATTAATCCTGATAATATGTGGTCTAAGCAACCAAACAAGTTTTTCCTCGTATACTCAGCAATGGTTTACTAAGTCATATAATCTATCCTAGCAGTTGAAGGGGAAGAAAAAAAACAAAGCAAAAATTACATGACTATCACATTTCCCCATAGTAAGTGCCTCAGGCATTCATCTGCTGATTTATCTTCTACCATGCACATAGTTAAAACTAATTGTATTATCATTATTACTTATTAAAGGAAAACTTAGGATTTCCCCCTTATACATTTCTTTGGGTTGACCCCAAATTTGTTTTGAGTTCTTTGCTATAATATGCACTCTAATTTTCCTCTAAACTTCTGGATCATAATTTACCCAGATCATTAGCAATTTTCTTTCCTTATTGTATGATTTCTGTCCGCCTCTGGGTGGCTTTATTTTAATTAGAAAAAAATAGAATGGAAAAGTTTCAATTGTAAACACACAAAGGTTCTGTTGGTAAGTAGGAGTTTGGCAGAAGAAAGACCCATGGTGAGCTTAGCTGAAGTTTATTGGCTCAAAAACAAGAACAATTTTGAAGGAAATTAGGATAGTTTTTTTAAAGTGACAATTTTCTCCATCAGGTAGATTACACTATTTCCTGTTATTTTATGATACCGATATTTCACTTACACATTTTCTCCAGAGCCCATAAAATTTTCCATCTGGGGTACAGTTTTCTAATCCCTTTGTAAGCCTTGGATTCAGTTTCTCCTTTTCTTTTTTTCCTCACTTTCTTTTTTTTTTTTTTTTTAAAGTGTCAGTCTCCAGGAACCTTTATCAGATAGCAGGGAACATGTTTACATCTTAGCTAAAGAGCTTATCCACTCACAGAAAGCTTCCCATATAGCCCTGGAGGACAGAGGGTGGAAGTAAAAATCAGGCTTAACTACTAAAATTACCTCTGCCTGAAACTTTAGCTTATGCCTTAAACAGCTTACAACTAAAATCCTTGAAAATGAAGACTCAGGGCTTCCAGCCGATAGATGTTTTCCACACAGGAGATGAAAGAGCAGGTACAGCCTGGGTTTCTTTCAATGGGAAGGAAGAGCAATTGGTTGCGGTCTGTAGGAAAAGAAAAAAAGCAAATGTCCTTTAAAAGCTTAATAGTACCAAGAAGATCTTTTTCTCCCTTTCTCTCCCAGTGGAACCATAAAGTCCTCCCAGGCAAAGACCGGGCCGACAAAAAGAAAAAGAGAGAACAAAAGCTGAAGCATCATGTGGATAGAGTTACAGACTGATCACAACTCACGTGATGACATTTTATGACTGATGGAACAAAACGGGAAACAGTTATTTCTTAATGGACATTATTTCCTGTTTCTGGAATACAGTGGTTTGTTTCATTCATTCGTGCCACATAGCAGGTCAGTTGGCTTCCCAGCACTCACCTTTGTTTATTGGCATGCAATGGTTTAACTTTTCTCCCACTGGACATATCCTTGCTCTGCCGCCTTCCTGTACCAACAGTTTTTGTCATCCCTTTCAGAATTTTAACAACATTCTGAGAAAGTTTGTTTAGAGAAAATATGGGAAGGATAACAAACGAATTTTCAAGTAGGAAAGCTGGGAGTGAATATTGGGTTCTAAAAGGTGAAGAACTTCCTCTGTTCAAATGAAGGGGAGGATAGCCAGGCTGCTAGCTGTGGGATCACATCAGTGACCAGCAGCGAGTTTGGCACTCAGGCAGAGCACACATGGAGAGGGCTTGAGAATATCCCCATGAGTGTGCAATGAGACAGAGAAATGTAAGCTATGCCCAAGAGCCTCTTGTGGGCAGGATGCCGTGGCATTTAAGCATCGGTAACATTGCTTTCTTCCTTCTCAATGTACTGGAGTATCATTTCAGTGTTAGGACTCAGACTATCTGCTTCAATATACAGCCAAAGTTAATATGAAGGTTTACACAATTATCTAGATAATTCATACAAAAAAGAAAACTACCAGGGAAACAAAAGCTTCACAGTATCTCCACTCAAAAGGCCTGACTGCTCATCCACCAAAATCAAACTCAAAATACTACCTGACCTAGTAAATCCTTGATTCATATTTGCCCAGTGAATCAATGAATGGGATGAATGAGTAAACTGAGTAAATCACTGACTCTATTTTATTCTCCACTTTACTTAAATCAGTAGCACCTCAGCTTATGAACTGAGATATTTTATACTGAATATTTCACATTTCTTCCCTAAATATTTTACACAAAAATCCAAAAGTTGCCAGCTGTTTGAAGACTCCAGGTTACTTTTACAAAAGAAAAACCACTTCTTAAAATTATGGTGTCAGCCAAAAAACCGCCCAGTCTTTTGGCTGCAAAAGTGTCAAAATGTAGGCTTCTTCCTGGGGACTAAAATTGTCTCTTGGAGAAAAATATCAGGTGGGAATTACCTGGAGAACAATTTACTAAAAGAGAGTCATTAACATCATGTTAAAGACATTGTTTAAGGAAGTAGCATGTAATAAATGATTTATTCATTAATTTGAAATATCATTTTATCATTGCTCTAAATGGTTATATTTGGAGTCTGACTATTCTCATTTATTTCTGTCCCCCATTTAGAAGTTAAATATTCTTATGACTTCATATAGCAAGAACAACACGTGTAGGTAAAATCAGGAAATACAAAAGGAACGAAAAAGGAAATTGCATTTTGTGCAGCTCCTACTGAGATAGCTAGTGACATTTGTTTTCCCCAGTGCCAGTGCTGTCAGAAATCCTTATCCACACATCTCCCTTATTACTCTAATTTGTCAAAATGATGGGTAAGTAAGAAAATAAACCTTTTTTCTCAATCTGTAATCAAATTATTAAAGCAACATGTTTGTAGTTATTGAAGCTCCCTCCGGCCTTCCTCACACTTCATGTTCTCAGCAAACCGAAATTCTCTGAATTAAAGTTCCCTGCTCGCAGCTCTCTTGTCTCCCTGTCTAAAACACTTGTTCCTCGAATATTTATTTAACCTCTGCAGACTCAGTTTATTTTTGTCTTTATTTTTAGCAGGGGGTGGTGGCACGCACCTGTAGTCCCAGCTACTTGGGAGGCTGAGGCAGGAGAATCATTTGAACCCAGGAGGCGGAGGTTGCAGTGAGCCAAGATTGCACCATTGCACTCCAGCCTGGCAACAGAATGAGACTCCGTCTTAAAAAATAAATAATAAATAAATAAATACAATAAAAAACTCACACCATTAAACAACTCTCCATTTCTCCCCTCCCCCTAGCCCCTGGCAACCACCATTTTACTTTCTGTCTTTATGAATTTAACTATTCTAGGTACCTTTCTTTTATAAGCATCTAGAATATACCTTATCATATATATATATGGAATCATGTGATATTTGTCCTCTTGTAATTGACTTATTTCACTTAGTATAATGTCCTCAAGGTTTATCCATGCCATGGCATGTATCAGAATCCCCTTTCTTTTGATGGCTGAATATTATTCATTCTATCATCTATCTATCTATCTATCTATCTATCTATCTATCTATCTATCTATTTATCTTTCGATGTATCTATCTATCTGGATATGTGGAGCTGTCCCATTGATGGACTTTTGGGAAGTTGTTTGTTTTTATTGACAGACGTTTGTGGATCTGTTCACTAAACTGTTGCCACCATGCAGACACAATGTCCCTTCCCCCTAAAATGAATTACATTTTTACATCCAAAAAAAAAAAAAGGGAAATAGGTCGGGTGCGGTGGCTCACGCCTGTTATCCCAGCACTTTGGGAGGCTGAGGCAGGCGGATCACAAGGTCAGGAGATCGAGACCATCCTGGCTAACACGATGAAATCCCGTCTCTACTAAAAATACAAAAATTAGCTAGGCGTGGTGGCGGGCGCCTGTAGTCCCAACTACTCGGGAGGCTGAGGCAGGAGAATGGCATGAACCCTGGAGACAGAGCTTGCAGTGAGCCGAGATAATGCCACTGCACTCCAGCCTGGGCGACAGAGCGAGACTCTGTCTCAAAAAAAAAAAAAAAAAAAAAAGAAAATAATTGCTCACATTACATTTCCCATAAAATGACCTTGTATGACCCAATCAATATACAAATATTTTGACTTTTCACAATTCAGATGTCTGAATCATTAGATTCTACTACTCATTTGATGTAAATAAAAAGTTATTCAATTCCTAAAGATTTATTCGCAAGCCAAATTCAATGTCCACGCTTTTGGAAATTCAAACTATAATACTATGGAGCTAGCTTTTGGATATTAAACTTTAAGGAAACCATGCTTCTTAAAAAGCATATTAACTTAGCCCTGGTCCACAGCTGCATTGCTCAGAGTACTTGTATACTAAAATTTGCTTTAAAAAGGAGCCAATTTCTTTCTTTTCCATATGCGATCTGTTACACTAGCAATATTCTAAGTGTAACGAGGGGCTTGGAAATGGGAAGATCACTAATTTGAATCTAGTATTTATTGATAAAATACAGGACACCCAATTCAATTTGAATTTTAGATAACCAATGAAGAATGTTTTAGTATAAGTATGTCCCATGTGACATTTGAGACATACTTATGTTAAAAAATTCTTCATTATTTATCTGAAACTCAAATTTAACTGGACATTCTCTATCTTTATTTGCTAAATAGGACAATCCTATGTGATTCCTACCCTGATCTGTAGGAACTTGAGCCAAGAGACAGATGGAAAAGATAACTGAATGAAAGTGTGCTAACACTAGGGGGCGCTGCAAGAAACAGAGTGAGGCCATACTGGGAATTGAAGAAAGAACAGTAAGGTTCTCCTGGCTCCACTGTGAAGAGCACTTGAGGAACACATAGGAGAGGAGTGACTTCGGCATGTATAACCATCAGAGCCACATAAACCAGCCCCAGCAGGGACAGGGCGCAGCCGCGCAAGCCAAGTCACTAGCAACCAGGAAGCCTCCAAGTCCAGCAGCCAGGGCAACAGAAGCAGCAGCTATGGCTACTGAGCAGCTGATCAGATGCTGGCCTCCACAACCACCAACAAAGAATTTTACTGGCTTCCAAGAAGGACAACTGAGCCTCCCAGGGATCCTGCCAAAGAGGGTTGAGTGGATATCTGGGAACTAAGTTTCTAACAATTCTGGTGGAGTGGTGGGGGTACAATTCAAAGCCTCTTTATAATCCCACTGGTGTGGCCTCCTTCTTGCCCCCACACACAGACATATGCACATTCCCAGAGTGACGCTCTCAAAAGCCAAAGCTAACCGGACTTCTCAACAGCAGAAAATATATCATTTGCACCCCCACAACTTCCCAAAGTAGCCTTCTCCATGTTCTGCGTTGCTCTTCCCAACTTGCCTTCCAACATAGACATCTCCACCAACTCAGATACCTCACTGAACCACCCGCCCCGTCTTCCAGATATAAGGGAAAACACTTCAAAGTTAAAAAGACAATTGTGATTCCAAAAATGATTAAAAAAAAAAAAAGGTCTGTGCCAAAAATAACAGCAACAAAAAGTGTGTTAAGATAAGTCTTACTGGCCAGGTGCAGTGGCTCACTCCTGTAATCCCAGCACTTTGGGAGGCCAAGACGGGTGGATCACCTGAAATCACGAGTTTGAGACTAGTCTGACCAATGTGGAGAAATCCGTCTCTACTAAAAATACAAAAATTAGCCGGGCATGGTGGCCCATGTCTGAAGTCCCAGCTACTCCAGAGGCTGACTCAGGAGAATCACTTGAACTGGGGAGGCAGAGGTTGCAGTGAGCCAAGATCATGCCACTGCACTCCATCCTGGGCAACAGAGCAAGACTCCATCTAAAAAAATAAAAAACAAGAGAAGTAAGTATTACCAAATGCCAAAGTATCAGTTCTAAGCAAAATGTTCTTTTTTTCAGACACTTCCTTTTCTGGATCCTTAAGAGAAATACAGGAATTGTAAATAACAGAGTTGAAAAGCTAATAATCTCTTCGCATCTTCCCTCTGGCTTCAAATTTCACTCACGTTCTCTGTTCAAGAAACTTGGCAGCTTGGAAACCAGGTACTGAAATTACGCGAAACTATAGTGTTATAAGTGTTCACACATACTATAAGTGTGTACACATACTATAGCTATCCGCCAGCTACACATACCTTTCCTTAGAAAATGACAAATCCATTTGAAATCAGGGTGAAACATTTAGATAGGCTTAACACTTATGTGTCCCGAGTCTCTCTTATCAGAGGAAGAAAATATAAAAATAACGAGTCCTAGGCTTACACAGTGACCTGAGCCACAAGCTGGGTGCAAAAACCCAGGTTTTGGGTTTAACCAACAGAGGAGAAATACTGGCTGGCTCTTCTGAAGAAAATTACTCACAATGCATTGCTAAAATTTATTCTTGAGAACAAAACCAGAAAGAAGGGATGAATTGGGACATAGAAAAAAAAACTTAAGCTTGATTCAGCTATCAACCGAGAGACCCTAGAATTGATGGTGACAGAGCAAACAGCAATTGTCCAGGGAGTACTTAAAACCACCTCTGTGTGTGATCATTGCCTCTATGATATGATTTCAGGGTTCTGGGAAATGTTTCTCATGTTGGTTGGCCATATATACCAGGCATTGCCAATAGTAACTAATAAAGACATCTATAAAAAATGTATAAGGAAATAGAAAACAAATACACAAATACACCATATTATTGCAATTTATGTTTTCACAAAAAACTCCTGTCACATTGCAACGTTGGTCAAAAAGATCTTCAGAGCATAACTCTGGGCAGAACTGTTCCTGCTCCTGGAAAAGTGAACCACAGTTTACAGCCAACACCCCAGTCAGAATGTCTTCTTGCCTTTGTCTAGTGCTTTGTAGATTACAAAACTGTTCTGTGAACATTTTCTCCTTTGATTCTCAGAATTTGTGTGTGTAGTGGACATTATTATTACTATTTTGTGTTTAAAGGAACCAAAGATCTTACCTACTTCTTCCAGCTTACTTCCCACCACATTCCTCTTATCTCTCTCCCCCAACCTCTCCAGGCTCCCTCTGGCCTTCCTCACACTTCGTGTTCTCAGCAAACTGAAATTCTCTGAATTCAAGTTCCCTGCTTGCAGCTCTCTTTTCTCCCTGTCTAAAACGCAGTTCCTTTCTTTCAAAGCACTTGCTCCTCGGATATTTATTTAACCTCTTCAGACTCAGCTTAAACCATGAGAAAGCTCTCTCTGACCCTTTAAGACAGACGTGTCTCCTCTGCACTGCCATAGGCTCCTTCCTGTAGGTCCCCTAAAATAGCTCTTATGGCACTTGGTTTTAATGACCTGCTTAATGGTCTGTCTTCCTCACTCAGCTTAGAGTCCATGAAGGCAGAAATCATCTCCAGTGCTGAAAAGATGTAGGTACCTAAAAAATATTTGTTGAAAGAATGAATAAAGTTACTTCCTCAGGCTCACAGAAAGGTGAGTGTCAGACCTGGGATGAAAATTCTGATCTGCTTCCAGTAAAGGGCCAGTTGTTATGTGGTTGACTGACACATGTGTTTTCAAGATGAAAGAGAGTATAACCATGTCAAAGAATGTTCAGAATAACTAGATCAGGTGAAGAACTCTCAGTAAATGTTAATCAACAAAATGTTAAAATTCACTAGACAAATCTGGGATATATCACCAAACTATTCACAATATGCCAAAGTCACACTCTTGACCTTCTTCTAGTGGAAATCATAGCTCCAAGAGGAAAAACACAGTATGTAATCTAAATGTTGGCCACAATGTCCCTCAAAAAGCATCAAACTGGAGCTTGACCATCATCTTGTCCCTCAATTAAGCAACTTTGTGTTAAATGCAAAGATGGTGCTGCTGACTCACACAAAGTTCTTTGCAATTTGAACACACAAGGTCATCCCTGAACAAGGTGAAAGTTGCTTCTGATGTTGTCTCAGCATCAAAAACTTGACAAAATTAGTCAGCATTCTTCACCAGTATCAAAGTCATCTTTAACTTGCGTATTTGTCTGCAGCTGTTATATCATCTTTCTATGTCTTTCTCCTTGGCTGTTCCTTTGTTCATGTAAATTTGCATTCAGGCCCTCCTTCTCCACCAAATGTTCTGACTGCTTTCTTTTCTCCCCTTGGAACAGAAGCATATGGCTTGCATCTGAAATCTATCCCTCTCATTTCTTTTTTGGCCAATCCGGTTAAACAATTGGCTCCACTGCTTTTCTCCACCAAAATGACTGGGTGTTTCACTTGCTTACCCAAAGGGTAGAGTTATCTGACTTTAAGCAGATGAGCCAACATTAATTTTGCAATTTGGAAGCTAAAGTATTGTCTCTGATCACAAAGTTTATAGGCATTAAAATCAACTCAGCTCAACTAGAAACAATTTCAAATCTTTCCTGCGAATTCAAAACAGAAACTTCTAAAAAGATAGTTTCATTACTTTTAGGGAGACATTTAAACACTACCTCTTCATATTTCCTTGGAAGGGAAAAAAAATACATTTCATTCCAAAGAGGAAAAAAATGGGAAAGGCGTTTTTGTCCTTTCTATCTGTTCTTTACTTCCTAAGAGCAGAAGAGTAAATTATCAGATTGGCAAGAATGGAAGAAGGAACTGAACACTGGCAAGAATGGAGGAAAGGGCAGTGTAACCAGCCCCTTCCAACAGATTCCAACATGTCCCAATTTCACTCCTTCCCTGGGCAAGAAAGCTAGGGCAGGGGGAAAGCCTGCAGTATTCTTACTGGGCTGTCTGCAGCTTGGTGAGTACATTGGTTCAACTCATGGGGAAGCAATTAGGTAACCTAATTATAGCCTCTCCTCCAAGCCATGTTTCCGAATCTGCTATTTCCAGTACAAAAAAAAGACTGATATTCATTTATCTTATCCCACTATCTATCTGGTTTAGAATTTAGAGGGAGACAGGAGAATGATTCATTACCAAATTTCAACACGTGTCTAATTTTCTGTTCCTTGGCTGATTATGTTGCCTACATCTCACGGCCACCAGAGAAATGCAGGCGTTTATAATCTTACGTACCATAGTCTGAATCCTGCTGCTTACAAGATTTGTGAGCATGGGCTAAACAAATTAACTTCTTTATGCCTCAATTCTGTCACTTCAAAACAGGACCAAAAATAGCTACCACATTCTGTTTCTACAAGAATGTAGTGAGTGAATTATATACAGTTTCTATCTAGCTTGGTACCCGATACAAATAGGTCTTGGTAGCTCTGTCACTTACAAAGTATAAGATGCTTTCCCAAAGTACCCATAATGATCAAACTAAGCAGAGAATAGAGGATGTTATCGGCATATAATGTGGAACATTTTTTTTTTTCTGAAGAGAGGGTGTATTATCGAAAAGAAACATCCCAGGTGGTTCAGATTTACTAAATACTGTTCAGCTCCCTCTGTCTTTCCTTCTGGGGATCTCTTGCCATAGTACTGCTGAGAAAAGAGTGGGTAAGAAGCTCCTTTTTATTGTAAAGCTAAAAGAAATGGCATAGCACCTGGTCACCCATTCTAGTGGTAACGAAACAAAAAGCTATGATCTTCCCCTCAAGCCTGCAACAGGGTCTTTCGAGAACCTCAGGAAAAAAGCCTCTGAGATTTTCAGCTCACGTGAGCAAATCCAAAGAGTTAGATAACTGAGATAAAGAACTCTGGTAGACTAAGTGGAGGCCATTGCATTTGAACAAATACCTTTGAAAGGTAGGAATATTCTTTGAATTTTTTCCCCTCCTAGAAACTGAAACTAGGGGTATTTAGGATCTCTTTATCCTGCCCTCTTGTGCAATTTCCTTTTCACTCTCAAATTCTTTTTGCTGTGCTTGTCATCACTTCATATTCTATGGACTGTATAAGCTGTCCTTTGTTCCTGCTATTTTAAGCTTCCTCCTTATCGCAGGACTGATGGTCTTAGCATCAGGTTTGAAACCCCTAGACATGCTGGAGCCACACTGCAGAATCCCAGCAGAGCTGAAGGGGTCCTTTTTCTTTCCCGAGGTGTTTTCAGTTTCTGAGGTTCAAATCATGAAAACAAAAGAGTTATTTCCTTTAACAGAGGCTCTAAGAGCATTTTTATTCTAACAAAACGCTATGTTTTAGTAAAAGAATCTGGTTGGAGATTGCCCCTGTAGTAGTTTCCTACAATGAGAAAAACTGGCTTCAAATGGCAGTTGTGTGTACCATGTATGTATTTTGATTTTTCTGATGCTACGTGTCCATATTAGAAGGACATAACATAGTTAGCTTCAGTTTGAACACAGGGTCAATCTTATCTACATGTAGAAGCTATCTAAGGCACTTTAGTCTTTCTTACCTGCTTGCTGGTATCTGAGATTCCCTCAGTAGAAGAGAGAGCCCTTCAATTCCCAGTTAGCAATAAGGATTAACACTGAAAATGCAAAAACAGTGGTTCTCCACCTGGTCTATTTCCACCTGAGTACACCTGAAGGATATGACACACGTAATAGGAGCTTATGGTAACAGTCAATCTCACCAGGTTGAGATTAGGAGAGCAAAGAGCTTTCAGAGAGTAAGATTTGATAGGGAGATAGACACTGGGAGAAAGGAGCCATAGAATGGAGAGGTCAGGACCATTAAGACAAATTTGAAGGACTCCCAATTCCTGTCCAAGGCTTACCCTGTCAACAGTAAAAAGCAAAAAAACACTTACATGAGCCATAGTTTCTGTATCATGGAGACTCTCATCTAGTACTTATATACCAATTGTTCAAATCACTAGCCTCCCTATATCTGCTTTTAAGTGGGTCTGACAAAATCCACAGTTTGCAGCCACCCCTGCCTTCTCAGAGGCATAACTCATCCAGCTATCTCTGCAGAGCAGATAGGGACCCCATGACAAAGTTATAAAGATAGGAACTTAGTCACTGTTTATTAGGAAATATTGGGTGTTCCATACAAAAAGAGGGATCTTATACATTTTTAATTCTTATACCTTCTTCATGAAGTATTAATATACTGCTTTTTTTGTTGTTGTTTGAGATGGAGTCTTGCTCTGTTGCCCAGGCTGGACTGCAGTGGTGTGATCCCGACTCACTGCAACCTCCACCTCCCGGGTTCAAGCAATTCTTCTGCCTCAGCCTCCCGGGTAAGCTGGGATTACAGGTGCATACCACCAAGCCCGACTAATTTTTGTATTTTTAGTAGAGGCGGGATTTCACCAGGTTGGCCAGACTGCTCTCGAACTCCTGACCTCATGATCCGCCTGCCTCGGCCTCCCAAAGTGCTGGGATTACAGGCATGAGCTACCATGCCTGGCCAATATACTGCTTTTAAGAAGAGAAAAATGAGTCTTAGAGTGCTTAAATACCATGATTGCATGGCTGCTGACTCCAGAAGTCTTTAGTCTTTCTCTAACATCCTCCTCTCCTCTGCCTGTATATCCTGCAAAAATGTTCAAGACCCACAGGTAATAGTCCAAGTACTAAAGAGATGGGCAATCCTAACCCTGCTGCCTGGGTTGGTACTTTTCAATGGTGACATTTTGGAAGTATCCCTAGAGCTTTGAGCATAATGTTTCTGTCCTAACATTGTAATCAAGTATGTTAAACATGACTCAGAGACGAACTAATAAAAGTGTTCATGAAACAGACAGAGCAGCTTGTTCACTCCCATGGACATATGAGAGGAAGGTTGGACTACCACTCTCTAGTCATAAATTATGGTCAGGCTGTCAGACACTTGCAACTCAACAAGATCCTGCTCTGCCCGCCAATCTCCCAAAAGACAAGCTAAATTCCTGGTACAGTTGTGGGCAGTGATTCTTAAAGTGTGATCCCTGGAGCAGCAGCAGCAGCATCACCTAAGGACTTGTTAGAAATGCAAATCTGGCCGGGCGCAGTGGCTCACGTCTGTAATCCCAGCACTTTGGGAGGTGAAGCAGGCAGATCACGAGGTCAGGAGATCGAGACCATCCTGGCCAACATGGTGAAACCCCATCTGTACTAAAATACAAAAATTAGCCGGGTGTGGTGGCGCACACCTGTAGTCCCAGCTACTTGGGAGGCTGAGTCAGGGGAATCGCTTCAACCAGGGAGGCAGAGGTTGCAGTGAGCCAAGGATTGTACCACTGTACCCCAGCCTGGCAACAGAGCAAGACTCCGTCTCAAAAACAACAACAACAAAAAGAAATGCAAATCCTCCCACCAATCCCAGGTCTACTGCATCAAAAGTTCTGAATCAAAAGTTTTCCAGGTGATTCTAAGCATATCAAAGCTTGAGGACCACTCAGCATCACCTCCTGTACCTTGATAATTTCAGCTCTCATTGGTCCAGTCGATCAGCTAAGCCACAAAAATTGAGCCATTACCAGCTGTACCAGTCTTGGTAGCTGTACCATTCTATCTCTAGAGAGATACAATCTTCTCTATCCTCAAGAAGTTACATATAGACTTAAAACAAGTTAAAAAAAAAAAGTACATAACACCATGCTGCACTGTGATTAGGCCAGACTCATACAAAGAACCATGTGACTATTACATATGGTTAGCAGAGATCAGTCAATTCCAATTTAGGTGTGCAGGGAAAATGCATATTTTCTTTCTTTTCTTTTCTTTTTTTTTTTTTGAGACAGAGTCTCACTCTGTGGGCCAGGCTGGAGTGTAGTGGCACTATCTTGGCTCACTGCAACCTCTGTCTCCTGGGCTCAAGCAATTCTCCTGCCTCAGCCTCCCGAGTAGCTGGGATGACAGATGTGTGCCACTATGCCCAGCTAATTTTTGTATTTTTAGTAGAGATAGGGTTTCACCATGTTGGCCAGGCTGGTCTCAAACTCCTGACCTGCTTCAGCCTCCCAAAGTGCTGGGATTACAGGCTTGAGCCACCACGCCCTGCCGGAAAATGCATATTTTCAAATTATGCAAAAGATCTATGGATCACTAAACATCTATGGCAGCCAATGGCTGCCCTGATGCTAATTCCTTGAAAATAGGGTGGCTCTTGGAGAAAGCATTGAAGACATGAAACTCAGAATTAGAAATAGCTTCAGATTGTACACATAATTGCCTTTGGCTGCCAACCAAAGGCTTGTGTGTTCAGTGAGGGGAGTATTTTTGATCATCATCAAGCCATATTCATGTCTGCAGATAGAGATCTCCACATTAAAGAATTTCAGTCTCAGGGTTTAGACAGATGGCTATGCAGGCCAGTCACTATAGTAGATAAGAGAGTTATATCTCGGACTTGGCTCAGGCAGAAAAGATTTAAGTATTGTACTTGTTCAACAGAAAACTGGATATTAATTAGCCATTTATTGTGTGCTTTATGTATACAGAACACTTACTGGTTATAAGAGGTAGTTAAAACAGCACTCACTTTTGAGTAGCTCAAAAATTCCACTAAGATGTCAAAAACAACAAATAAGCAATTAAAAAGTACAAAGGAAGACGTGAGTACAGAATGAACTGTCTGAATTGAGTAGCATTATCTAAGGAGTGACTGGAAATAAATTATGTTAGTGAAGGAGAATGCAACTAAAATATAAAAAGTTAACAATAAGGAAAGGAAAATAGAAAGGATGATGATTGAAGACAGGAGGAACAAATGATATAAAGAATATGGAGAAGCCAGGCACAGTGGCTCACATCTGTAATCCCAGCCCTTTGGGAGGCCAAGGTGGGTGGTTCACTTGAGGTTAGGAGTTCGAGGCCAGCCTGGCCAACATGGTGAAACCCCATCTCTACTAAAAACAAAACAACAACAAAAAAAATTAGACCAGTGTGGTGGCAGGCACCTGTAAATCCCAGCTACTAGAGAGGCTGAGGCAGGAGAGTTGCTTGAACCTGGGAGGCAGAGGTTGCGGTGAGCCGAGATCGTGCCACTGCGCTCCAGCCTGAAAGACAGAGTGAGACTCTGTCTCAAAAAAAAAAAAGAAAAGAAAAGAAAAGGAGATGGAGAGTATCAATCTACTTGAAATCTACAGAAAACGGATCAATTTCTAAAGAGAAATGGAAAAGGACCTGGAAAGGTCAATGAGTTGGTAACCTTGAGTTCTGTTATCTTAATTATTTAAAGTAGACATTCAGAATTCAATACAGAATTCTGGATAGCATAATGCCTTGATAGAAAGTATGCTTGAAGACAACTTCCTGTTGTGTATCAACTAAATAGAGCTATAGGAGAAAAACAGCCCAACTCTGTAAAAGGTTCTACACAAATGTTGAGAGCAAGAGGGTCGCCATCTTGCTTTGTGGTTGTGGAGTGCAGGCAAAGGAGAGAGGACTGAAGAAATGCACAGAGAACAGTGAACAAACCATGCAGAAGAGCAGCCAAAACCCAGGGCTTAGTTAGGTTGTCTTAACCCTAGCTGCACAATAAAATCACCAAATAGACCAGGTGGGGTGACTCACACCAGTAACCCCAGCACTGGGAGGCTGAGGCGGGCGGATCACGAAATCAGATCGAGACCATCCTGGCTAACACGGTGAAACCCGTCTCTACTAAAAATACAAAAAAAAAAAAAAAACAAACAAAAAACAAAACAAAAAAAAAAACTGGCCAGGCATGGTGGCAGGCGCCTGTAGTCCCAGCCACTTGGGAGGCTGAGGCAGGAGAACGGTGTGAACTGGGAAGGTGGAGCTTGCAGTGAGCCAAGATCGCACCACTGCACTCCAGCCTGGGCGACAGAGCGAGACTCTGTCAAAAAAAAAAAAAAAAAAAAATCACCAAATAACCGACCCAGACCAATCAAATTCTAGTCTCTCCAAGCTGAGATGATATTAGTCTTTTTTTAAAAAAACTCCTCACACATTTCTACCATGCAGCCAGAGTTAAGAAGCACCAGCCTAGTGCCCAGGAACACCGCAGCGGCAAAGATTATTAGGAGTCAATGATTTTATTAAACTGACCTGTTTAGTGAGATGGTGGCAAATTCTTTCAAGGTAGATTATCTGTAGGGAGAAGGAAGTATGGGCGTTCAAGGCAAGAGATAGAAAGTGGAAGTCATTAACTTACAGGGGATTTTTCTTTTTTTTTTTTTTTTTTTGAGATGGAGTCTTGCTCTGTCACCCAGGCGTGATCTCTGCTTACTGCAACCTCCACCTCTCGGGTTCAAGCAATTCTCCTGCCTCAGCCTCCCAAGTAGCTGGGACTATGGGCATGTGCCACCAAGCATAGCTAATTTTGACTTACAGGGGATCTTTAAAGCTGTGTTAGCAGGTACCTCTAAAAGACTGCAGAGAGAACAGAGAAACTAACACAGATTTGTGGACCACTGCTTCCATGGTTTATCAGAGTAATGAGTGGATTATGGGTAAATAAAATGGGAAATCAGCAAACAGGAATCAAAAAGCAGGGGCAAACCGTCAGTCATCAATCACATGCAATGAAAAGATCCCTTGTCAATACTGAACTCTGACTTTTTGCATTATTTTCTTCCTTCCCTCCCCTTCTAAATGGGCTTAGCTTTACCAGGTAGTCTCCTAGCTTTGTAGAATTTTTCCTATAAAATGCTTGCCAAAAGAAAGAGAAACACTTGCCTACCTTTTCATGTCTGCCCTTAAACATGTGAGTGGCACTCCAAGTGGTATTTTCCTCCGTCTCTGCTCTATTTTAGCTGACTGTTTCCTGCTGCCTGAAATTAGCCTGCCCCTAACTGTATAGATTACTTAGGTATGGCTTGCCTAGAGTAATAGATCCTAGTATTAAAAACTTTTGAATAATTCCTATCCACTAAAGTTATTTGATTTTAATTGAACTGAGCAGAATAAACTGACCTCTTCCAAATATTAATAAGTCAGATTGAATGAATCTTTCTGGGTTTTATTCTGCCTCTTAGCATCAAAGCAGAATTTTCCAACTTGAAAATCTTAAAAAGAGACCCTCAGTTATAGTCCGCTTTTAATGCCTGCTTAACTCATTCTGAAATAAATAAGTGGTAAAAGGAACAGGACTACCATCATCTGCTTAGGTTAATCATTGGTAGTGGAAAAAAATTGCTGAGTCAGCCACAGTGATGCTGTGCTGGTTAAAGTCTCACAGATCCTCACAGTTAATGACCATGATTGGTGAAGCAGTTCTCCAATATCACCTTTATTGTCTGTATGAAATCCTTCATATTTTGTAAGAGATGTAATTTCACTCTGTGTTCACATGGTATTGTCAACCACCAACAGTCAATGAGAGACAGATAACATAAGATGGACAGAGGTGGAACAGAGACGATAGAAACAGAAACCAGGGCCACGTTGTGGGAGAAAGTACAGCATGGGTTAGTTCCATAAGTGGTCAGTTCAATCGTGAATATTTTTACTTTATGATCACTCGTTCTTCTCGGTGTAATCTTGTAACTTCTGGGACTCACACAATTCATTTTTTAATGAAAATGTACTTACATTGTCTTATATATTGTAGTATTTGCATTTTTGAGTATATACTTCTTGATTCTGTAGTTAATTTCATCAAACATATCTTTCTGATATGACCCCTGTTTAAAAAAAAAAAAAAGTGAACCTTTTGAAACTCAAGCCTGATCAAGCTACTTCTTGCTTAAAATACTTCAGTGGTTTTCCACTGGTTTTTAGGAGAAACACCAAAATCCCTAATAGGGCCTACAAGCCAAGCAGTGTGTGGCCACTGCCTGCCTTGGAACATACTCTACCTTGTCCTTTATATTCCAGAATTTGTAAAATGGCTGAGTAACAAGTTTAATCACATTATTACATGATGTTCTCTCTTGTTCTCCCAAATTTTCATGTAAAAATTCCTTATACAGTTATAATGCACCCTAAACACAAGGTATTAGTTAAATTCTTATATATTCCATATTTTTATATAAGACTTTTAAAAAACTTTCTCAAAAAGAACTTTTCAATTAAAAATCATTTTCTCACACAGTAGATTAGTCCTTAGGCAGACTGTTCGTGTTGCTATTTAAAATGCCATCTTTTTCTTTGCCAATTTTGTTTTGTTTTGTCTCCCTCACCATCTTTTCACTTCTCGTTATCTCCTGCAGCACTCAAACTTGTTGCTAAAATTTGGTGAAAATGTTTGACAAACTCTATCGTGAATAACAAGTAGATCTTATTAAATTTGAATTCTGAAGTCTGATCTTGGGTGACCTCCTTTCTCTAAGCGTTCATTTTTCAATTATGCCAGACTGGGGCAGGGGAGAGGGTAAGAGGTAGTATTTATTTCCTATGATTACACAAGTAATTTATTCTTTGTAGAACATGTGCAAAGACTAAAAATACACAAAGAAGCAGAAAAATAGTCCATAATCTTAACACTCAGAGACAACCAATGATAATACCCTGGTGTATTGACTGCTCCCACTCTGGTGCCAGTCACCAGCACCTCACACTGAAACCAACCCAATAGTCCCATAGATCAGCAGTCCCCCAACCTTTTTGGCACTAGGGACTGGTTTTGTGGAAGACAATTTTTCCACAAACCATAGGGGGTGGGCAGGGGGAGTGCCGGCAGGTGATGGTTTCAGCATGATTCAAGCACATTACATTTATTGTGCACTTTATTATGCTGGGGAACTGTTGGCATAATTGTGTTTTGAAATGTGAGAAAGGTGAGATTTGGGAGGGACCAGGGGCAGAATGATATGGTCTGGATCTGTGTCCCCACTGAAATCCCATCTTGAATTGTAATCTGAATTGTAATCCCCACCTGTTGGGGAGGGAACTCATGGGAGGTGATTAGATTATGGGATGGTTCTCTCATGCTCTTCTAATGATAGCAAGTGAGTTCTCACAAGATCTGATGGTTTTATCAAGTGTTTTTCCACCTTTGTTTGGCACTTCTCTCTCGCCACCATGTGAAGAAGGACACATTTGCCTCCCCTTCTGCCATGATTGTAAGTTTCCTGAGCCCCTGTGGAATTATGAGTCAATTAAACCTTTTTCCTTTATAAATTACCCAGTCACAGGCAGTTCTTTATTGCAACATGAGAACAGACACAATTATGCCAACAGTTCACCAAAGTCTTAACTCATTTCAGCATTAACCCAAAAGTCTTAAGTTCACAGTCTCATTGAGACCAGGCAAGTCCCTTCTGCCTATGAGCCTAGTAGGATGTGGGTGGGGCCAGATAAAAGAAAAAAAGCAGGCTACCCGAGCCAGCAGTGGCAACCTGCTTGGGTCCACTTCCACACTGTGGAAGCTTTGTTCTTTTGCTCCTTGCAATAAATCTTGCTGCTGCTCACTCTTTGGGTCCACACTGCCTTTATGAGCTGTAACACTCGCCGCGAATGTCTGCAGCTTCACTCCTGAAGCCAGCGAGAGACCACGAACCCACCAGGAGGAATGAACAACTCCAGACACGCCGCCTTAAGAGCTGTAACACTCACCACGAAGGTCTGCAGCTTCACTCCTGAGCCAGCAAGACCACAAACCCACCAGAAGGAAGAAACTCCGAACACATTCGAACATCAGAAGGAACAAACTCTGGACATGCCACCTTTAAGAACTGTAACACTCACCGTGAGGGTCTGCGGCTTCATTCTTGAAGTCAGTGAGACCAAGAACCCACCAATTCCGGACACACTTTCATGGGCTGGCATTGTCTATGGCTTTTCCAGGCTCACCATGCAAGCTGTTGGTGGATCTACTGTTCTGGGGTCTGGAGGATGGGAGGATGAGGGCCCTCTTCTCATAGCTCCACTAGGCAGTACCCCAGTGGGGACTCTGTGTGGGGGCTGTGACCCCACATTTCCCTCCCACACTGCCCTAGCAGAAGTTCTCCATGAGGGCTCCTTCCCTGCGGCAAACTTCTGACTGGACATCCAGGCATTTCCATATATCCTCTGAAATTTAGGTGGAAGTTCCCAAACCTCAGTTCTTGATTTCTGTGCACTTTCAGGCCCAACACCTTGTGCAAACCACCCAGGCTTGTGGCTTGCACCCTCTGAAGCAATAGCCTGAGTTGTACCTTGGCCTCTTATAGCCACAGCTGATGCTAAAGCACCTAGGACACAGGGACCATGTCACAAGGCTGCATACAGCAGGGGGGCCCTGGGTCCAACCCAGGAATGCGTTTTTTCCTCCTAGGCCTCTGGACCTGTGATGGGAGGAGCTACCATCAAAGTCTCTGACATGCCCTGGATACATCTTCCCATTGTCTTGGTGATTAACATTTGGCTCCTCCTCATTACTTATGCAAATTTCTGCAGTTGGGTTGAATTTCTCCCCATACAATGGAGTTTTCTTTTCTATTGCATCCACAAGCTGCAGATTTTCCAAACTTTTTTTGCTCTACTTCCTCTTGAACACTTTGCTGCTTAGAAATTTATTCTGCCAGATACCCTAAATCATCTCTCTCAAGTTCAAAGTTCCACAGATCTCTAGGGCAGGGGCAAAATGCCACCAGTCTCTTTGCATAACAAGAGTGACATTTACTCCAGTTCCCAACAAGTTCCTCATCTCCATCTGAGACCTCCTCACCCTGGAATTCATTGTCCATATCACTATCAGCATTTTGGTCAAAACCATTCAACAAGTCTCTAGGAAGTTCCAAAGTTTCCCACATTTACCTGTCTTCTTCTGAGCCCATCAAACTGTTCCAATCTCTGTCTGTTACCCAGTTCCATAGTTGCCTCAACATTTTCGGGTATCTTTACAGCAGCACCCACTCTCTGTGGTATCAATTTACTGTATTAGTCCATTCTCACACTACTATAAAGAACTTCCTGAGACTGGTTAATTTATAAATGAAAGAGGTTAAATTGACTCAGGGAAATTTACAATCTGCAGGGAAATTTACAGTCATGGTGGAAGGGGAAGCAAACACATCCTCCTTCACATGGTGGCAGGAGAGAGAAGTGCCAAGAAAAGGGGGAAAAGCCCCTGATAAAACTATCAGCTCTCATGAGAGCTCACTCACTATCATGAGAACAGCATGAGGGGACCACCCCCATGACCTAATCACCTGCCATGAGATCCCTCCCCAACATGTGGGGATCACAATTCAAGATGAGAGTTTAGTGGGGACACAGAGCCAGACCATATTACACACATATGTTTATTACAGCACTATTCACAATAGCAAAGACATGAAATCAACCTAAATACCCACTAATAATAGACTGGATAAAGAAAAATGTGGTACTTATCCACCATGAAATACTATGCAGCCATAAAAAAAGAATAAGATCATGTCCTTTGCAGGGACATGGATGGACCTGGGGGTCATTATCCTTAACAAACTAACAGGAACAGAAAATCAAATACTGCAGGTTCTTACAGGGATGCAGAAGGGAACAACACACACTGGGGTTTATTGGAGGTTAGAGGGTGGGAGGAGGGAGAGGATAAAGAAAAACAACTAACGGATACTAGGCTTAATACCTAGGTGATTAACTAATCTGTACAACCAACCCCCATGACAGAAGTTTACCTATGTAACAAACCAGCAATGGTAACTCCAAACTTAAGAAAGTTAAAAAAAAAAAAAAAAAAAAAAAGAAGAAGAAAGAAAGAAATTGACCTTTCTGGTCTTAAAGCTTGAAACATATTTGTTTTGTCTTAGCTCCTTCCTCAGGAAAGGGCCTTCAGGTCTCTACAAAAAAAGTATCAAAAAACTGAAGCTCACCAGATCACCACATCAAAACAATGAGATGCTGTACCCCTCATTCATCATGATTGCTTCTTGCCCTTCCCCAGTTCCTGTTTTCTTGCACAATGTTACATTTCTTCCCTGCTATAGAAAGCCCTAGTTTTAGTCCATCATGGAGATGGATTTGAGACTGAATTCCCATTTCCTCAGCTGCAGCACCCAATTAAAGCTTTCTTCCTTGGCAATAATTGACGTCTCAGTGATTTGCTATGTGGCAAGGCGAGAAGTAGGACCTAGATCAAACCCCTAATGTTTCAAAAACAACACCTGGAGTATTGCACCAGGCCTCTGAACTACCCTGTCTCATTTTTTCATCCACGGAATCTTCCACATGCTGTTTCTCTAACAAGCCATGCAGCTCCTGTCTCTTTTGCCTTCTACTACAGAAGCTTCTTTCTCCAGAGAGACATATTTTACTCCCTTATCTCCAGGTTTCTGTCCTAATGTTCCCTTATCAGACCTTTTCTAACTAACCTATCTGAAATAGCACCCTCCCTATAAGCACTTAGCACTACCTGATTTTGTGTGTGTTTTTATGTACATGCCTTTTTACTTATTTATTTATTTGCTAATTGTCTGGCTCCTCTCACCGTAATGGACGCTTCATGAGAGCAGGAACTTAGTTTTTGTTCACTGCTATATTCACAGCATTTAACATAGTGCCAGACAAGTCACAGACCCTCAATAAATATTTGTTAATGATTGAATGAAACAATTGATATTTTTATTACCATGTCTTCTTCCAAAACATGTTGAAATTTCAGTTCTCCTTGAAGGATCTCAAGTGCAACTCTAAATTTGGGCTTGGTTTACACAGCTATTCAGGCTGAGGTGCATCTATCTGCAAATGGGCAGGTTTCTAGATGGGCTATAACAAATGCAGTTGACTTTTTTTTTCCTGAGATGGAGTCTCACTCTGTTGCCCAGGCTGGAGTGCAGTGTCATGGTCTCAGCTCACTGCAAGCTCTGCCTCCCGGGTTCATGGCATTCTCCTGCCTCAGCCTCCCGAGTAGCTGGGACTACAGGCGTCTGTCACCACGCCCAGCTAATTTTTTGTATTTTTAGTAGAGGTGGGGTTTCACCATGTTAGCAATCAGCAATAAAAGTGGCAGCACCACAATGTCTGGAAGATCTTCATTAGATCCTTTGTGGATGGTAGGCTTATTTCCACTTCTCTTTTGCAGGACTCCTGACCAGCTCAGAACTTTTATTCTTTTCTCTGAACAATCCCAGATTACACCTACTTCACTTTTTTTTTTTTTTTTTTTCCTGAGGCGGAGTCTCGCTCTGTCACCCAGGCCGGAGTGCAGTGGCGTGATCTTGGCTCACTGCAACCTCCACCTCCCGGTTCAAGCAATTCTCCTGCCTCAGCCTCTCGAGTATCTGGGACTACAGGAGTGTGCCACCACGCCTGGCTTATTTTTTGTACTTTTAGTAGAGATGGGGTTTAACTGTGTTAGCCAGGATGGTCTCGATCTCCTGACCTCGTGATCCACCTGCCTCGGCCTCCCAAAGTGCTGGGATTACAAGCATGAGCCACCACGCTCAGCTGGCAACTTCACTTTAAAACTGGCATTCTGTAATTTCCCATTAGTAAAGACTGTGATGATGATGATGATGATAGGTGAAATTACATTCTATTACAAAATTACATATTTGTGTCCCCACCCAAATCTCATCTTGAATTATAGCTCCATAATCCCCATGTGTCATAGGAAGGACTGGATGGGAGGTAATTGAATCATGGAGGCGGGTTTTTCCCATGCCGTTCTAGTGATAGTGAATAAGTCTCATGAGATCTAATGGTTTTATAAAGGGCAGTTCCCCTGCACACATTCTCTTGCCTGCTGCCACGTAAGATACACCTTTGCTCCTCCTTCACCTTCTGCCATGATTGTGAGCCCTCCTCAGCCATGTGGAGCTGTGAGTCCATTAAACCTCTTTTTCTTTATCAATTACCCAGTCTCAGGTATTTCTTCATAGCAGTATTAAAATGGACTAATACATTTATCTAACTATTTAAATCTTCTGGCAGATGCAATTTTGTCAGTCATAGCATTTATTGACCATCATGTGCCAGTATGCCAGGTGCTGAGGGAAATCATAAAGGTTTGTGTTATAATGTAATTGTCTTAGCCATGAAAGATGTTCAATAAATATGTGTTGATTGATTCATTATTAAATCCTTTGGTTTCTTTGTTCATAATCCTATCGGTTTTTTTCTGTTAATTTTTATTCCAAATTCAAGGCATATTTTACAAAATCTCTGGTTACAACCCAAGGAAAATACCTAATGGCACAAATTAGGAAATTAAAAAAACAAATAATAAAAGAAGTATGGTAATATTTCATTTGAAAGCATAAAATAACTGGGAAACTAGTTCACTGTCACCAAAAAAGAACATTTTGTGACTGTAGCAATACAAAAAAAAGGTAAAAAAAAAAAAAAAGTATCTGTTCCCCTTGTGCAGTCAAATTCTGTAACTTACACTCAACTTATTTAGACTATGTGATAATTCAAACAAAGCCTGAATTGAAGTGTATTTTTGCCCCATATATATTTTAATCTATTCTATGAGAGTGAGTGGTATAAACATGAGTTTAAGTGAATATTTAAGCTACTTAGGAGAATGTGGCAGACAGTGCTGGCTGCATATTCAATATGCATTCTTCCAGTCTTCATTACTAACAGAGCCCAGATTTTGTTTAGGGCAGCAGTTTAGCCCAGTAAAAGAATTCAGCTTTCCAGACTCTTTGCAGCTCAAGGTGGTTTTCTTACCCAGCACAGGACATTGAAATTAAAGTGCAAGGTGATAGGGTTGTTTTCCTAATAAAAAGACCAAGCTCAGCTGGCAGGCATCTTTTACTCTTAGCTCTGCTCCCTTTTTCTCCATCCTGAATAGAGATGCAATAGCTGGAAGTGAAGTAGTCATCTATGTAAGGATGCAAAGCACATGGTTAGAATGATGGGACAGGAAGTTTGAAAAAGCCTGTGCCCTTGGCTGGGCATGGTGGCTAACACCTGTAATCCCAACGCTTTGGGAGGCCAAGATGGGAGGATTGTTTGCGCCCAGGAGTTTGAGACAAACCTGGGCAACATGGCGGAGCCCTGTCTCTTCAAAAAGAAAAAAATTAGCCGGGCATTGTGTCATGCACCTGTAGTCCCAGCTACTTGAGAGGCTGAAGCAGGAGGATTACTTGAGCTCAGTTTGAGGTTATGGCGAGCTATGATCATACTCCTACACTCCAGCCTGGGCAGTAGAGTAAGACCTCAATTCAAAAAAAAAAAAAAAAGAGGCTGTGCCCCTGATGGCTTCCTTGAGTGATTGCCAGCTCTGAACTGTCAAATTTCTGTTACACGTAGCCAAACACAATTCTAACAGATAGGATAATCTCCTGATCTCCTGAAGGTTTCATTTATGTGCAATTGGATATAGACATGACAGACACATTATAAATAATTCATATTTTCTTTCTGGTTGTATGTGTTAGGCTCTACCACTCTATTAGTCTGCTTCCAGTCACTATTATTATCTATAAAATTTTCTTTCTATTTTTTAAGACAGAGTCTTGTTCTGTCACCCAGGCTGGAGTGCAGTGGCTTGATCTCAACTCACTGCATGCTCTGCCTCTTGGGTTCACGCCATTCTCCTCCCTCAGCCTCTTGAGTAACTGGGACTACAGGCACCTGCCACCACGCCTGGCTAATTTTTTTGCATTTTTAGTAGAGACGGGGTTTCACCGTGTTAGCCAGTATGGTCTCGATCTCCTGACCTTGTGATCTGCCCGCCTCGGCCTCCCAAAGTGCTGGGATTACAGGCTAAAATTTTCGTTCTTAAAAATAATGCATAATTTCACATTTTCCACTGAAATGGCCCACATGAGTATGATCATGGTATTATTTTATCTCTGAATCTAAGTATTATTTACTAATTATTCAAAGTCAGTGACGTGGGCAACTGAGGAGTCATCAATCTTAGTGTATACATGCACAGATTTCATAGTCATAGACACTGAGATTGAATCCTGCCTCTACCCCACAAGCTCTGTGACCCAGAATACATAACCTCTCCTTTCTCTGCCCACCATCCCTTAAACCCTGTGCTACCACAATCATCACAGCACTTACTACACTACATTGAAATCACTCACTTACTTCTCTTTTTCCTCAACTGCACTGTGAGTACTTTGAAGGTCAGGAAGGTGTCTTTAGCAACTCTCTTCTAGTATTCATCCCAGTACCTACCACCTAGATGGTATTCAATAAATATTTGTTGAATGAATCAATAATTAATTCTGAACCCATAATTAAGTAATTTGGCTTTCCAAATATGACATTCCCTACAAAGGAAATTTAGAAAACACAAAAATTGAAGATATGAAAGGTGGCTAGAAAGTGACTGCCATGATCAACCAGAGAGAATTTATCCCACAGGAAAGCATTTAAACAAACCAGCATGGTAATGTATCTCAAGTGGGAAGGGCCATGTGCCTTCTAAGTCTCTGTCTTACAGAGTCTTAGTGGAACACGTGGGAACTTAAGAGGCCACTCGATGGTATTTAAAGTCTGTATGAAACAAAATGATCCCCTGGAACTAAAAGCCCATTGCATTCCTTAGATTTGGCTTCTTTCCTCTCCATCTGTAGAGGACTTTCTGTGCTCTGGGCCACATGGTGTGGAGGGAGGGAGAATCCCTCCCTCCACATACAGGACTCCGGTGTTAGTTCCACAGAATTGTGTGTCGTGTGCACCCATAGCCTTACGTGGGAAGCTATACAAGCAGAACCAGGAGTGACAGTGCTTCTCTGGATGGCTGTGAGAGACGGCTCTCTGAAACGAAAATCCTCACACTGCTGTGAGTCAGACTATCAGCTACATACATGAAACATCCACCTGAAAGAAAGAAGGAAAAGAGAGGGGAAGAGAGAGGAGGGGAGGGGAGAGGAAAATTGCTCTTGGATCTGTGGAGGGAGGAGATTGCCGATTAATGATATCTAAGATCTCACTATTGAGAACTGCTTATATCAAGCACTGTGCAAATCACTTCTCACATACCCTCTCATAGCAGCAATCTTAATAAGATGGGTGTTACTATCATCACCATTTACAGGTGAAGAAACGGAGGCCAAGACAGATTAAGCAGCATGTCTGCAGTCAGTCATGCAGCTAGAGAATGATGGCACCTCGATTTAACCCTTGTTCTATAATTCCAAAGTCTATGCCTTTAAATATTCTGATAAACTGCCTGAAAGAGCCTAGAGTCTTATAGAAAATACAGTCACATATAGAGGTACACTGATATACACCCATATACTCACATACACATACACATGTACATATACACATAAACACACACACATTCACGTATATATGCATATATGTATATACTCACATACGCATATTCACACATATACCCACATGCATAACATATTCACACACACACAAACACATACACATATACACACACATCACTAGGGCTGCCCACCCATAGAAACTCTCCCAATGCATGCTAATTTTTTATTTTATTTTATTTTATTTTATTTATTTTTTGAGACAGAGTCTCGCTCTGTTGCCCAGGCTGGAGTGCAATGGCGTGATCTCAGCTCACTGTAACTTCCACTTCCCTGGTTCAAGGGATTCTCCGGCCTCAGCCTTCTGAGTAGCTGGGATTACAGGCGCCCACCACCACTCCTAGCTAATTTTTGTTTTTTTAGTAGAGACGGGGTTTCACCACGTTGACCAGGCAGGTCTGGAACTCCTTACCTCAGGTGATCCGCCCCCCTCGGCCTCCCAAAGTGCTGGAATTACAGGCGTGAGCCACCATGCCCGGCCTCATGCTGATTTGAGAGAGCACTTTGCTGCATCCAATCCACATCCTCCCCTTTCTCTCCCACTCCTCATAAAGGTCCTTGGAGTTAGCCAAGGACTCTCTCTTACAATTTGTTTAAGGTTCTGCAAATAGCAGAGGGCTAAAAAGACATTCAGACCATGAGGGGATGTTCCTGTGTGGGGATTTTTAAATAATCAATTAGAACATGTTATGGACTTCCTGAAAACACTTTTTAACTCAAGAGAATAGCTTGACTGTGATTGGTTTTGTTAGAAGTCAAAAGGAAGAGTGCAAAGGACTGACCTCCTATTTCAGGCTTAAAAAAGAAAAATAGCCTCATCTCATTTTGTGGATTTTTCCCCTTATCTTTTTGACACCGGGGGAACTTATTTCTTTTTTTTGGTTACACATATCACAGACAGTGAGGAGGCAATCCTTAGAGAGCTTCTATCTGAAGTGGTTTAACTAAAAGATGAGTCGCATTCTCAGTGCTGTTTCCCAGGTTCTGAGATATTTTTCACTCTTTTTCTTTCCCACAGCCAACACAAGGAAAATGGACTGTGGGTCAGGTAATGTAAGCAACAGACCACAAGATTATTGCCAAAAATGTAACCATCCAATCAACTTCAAAGGAAAATATTCATTAAAGTGACACATGTTAACAGTATTGAATTCAAAACACTTGTTTGGACACCCAGATGCCGGAAAGTGCCATATCCTGATTAGCTGAAATATTCTCAATTCTCTCAGATCTTCCTTCCTTATTTTGATTGCAAGTCAGGTTTCAGGGAAATTCTTTCCCACTACTGTCTACTGATCACATCACTAAAGCATTTAAAAATCTTACTTGTTTCCTATAAGAAGAAATGGAAAGCACAACCACAAATATTTGTGTAAATGTCACCATTTATTATTGGAGTCTTTGTTCATGCTGTTAGAGAATTATTGCAGCAAGTTCTTGTAGCTGGACTTCTCTTCAGACACTTCCTACACTGAACACGCACACTCAGACACGCCCATATGCTCACTCACTCTCTGTTTTTCTTCTTTATGCAGATGATTTTCCATTTCTTTTACCTTCTATATGTTGTCTTCAGATAGAAGGTATATGTTCTACTATGAGTGTTTTCAAGCCCAGGGGAAGTGGAAAGGCAAGAGAGCTGTTCTCTCCCATAGAAGGCAGAAAATAAAATCCACAGAAAGAAAGAGAAAGCACTTCCAGAAGGCAGCAAGTTCACGTCCTAGCCTATCATTCACCAAAAAGGAAGAACAGAGTGAGGCAGCAATATTGGGCTTTAACTCTTTCCTGGAATGCTCTGAACCAGATGCCCGGGATTTCATTTTTATAGAATTAGATCATAAATGGGACCAAGCTCCCGGTTCAGTCATTTGTCACCAAATAGCAAGAATGTGGTGTCCTAACATGGAAAGAATGTTATGTCCTAAACATTTATTTCTGGCCATGTCTTTCCCAGCCTTGAGATCAAAACTTCACCTAATAGATAAGCATGGGGCCTGGACCCCTTGTCCTACCCACTCCTCGGTAGATAGCACCCCACTTGCCCAGCCTCGCATGGTCATCTTCTCCATGTTTTAGCCTGGCTGGGGCTGCAGCGATCTTTAGCCTCAGTTATGTTTATGCAATGAGTCTCCCTCACATTTTCTCACACCCATTCATCTCTCTGGTAGGAGCAGGATTCCTCTCTCTGTTTCCCTTTGCCTTGCTGGTGTTTCTAGGAAAACAACTCTGTATTTTATTAACTGAATAAATATTGGTCATTTGTCCAACTCTATCGCTCAATCTCATGCTTGTTGCTATACAAGGAGTGTATATGCAGGATGAGCATGTGAGAGTCAAGGAGGGATCCAGTGGATTTCCAAACAATCCAGGTGCTAGACTGAATTATCTTTGGGCAGCATCATGAAATGCTGTAATTTGTCCCATCCCCATTAAGAGCTGTGTATGACGGATGATTCACTACAGCAATGTCAACAGTTTCTTGTCCAATAGTCAAAGGCTTTAGTCTCTGCATTCTCTACCAAGGGAACTATACTTTCTTACACAGAGGAAAAAATCTAGATTCACAGTTTTTCCTCATTCTGTCTTTGCTTACTGTGCCTGTCTTTCCATGCCCGGGACTAGCATTTACCACATGGTTATGCAGAAAGAATGCAATGAATTTATTTGATATCAGATTTTCCCAAACTTAAAAAAAAAAAAAGCAGAATTCTTAATGATGGAAAGGAAAACATTGGCTAAAATGAATGACATTTGGATCCAAGCCAAGGGTTAATATTTTTATTTCTATTTACACCTTTGTTACATGATTGATTGCTTTGGCCCAAGCTATTTGTACAGATGAGTTGCTTTGCATAAGAGTCATGGTATCCCAAAATATAGAAATACTGTTGAGAAGAGGGAGGTACAGGCTATGGGGTCAGAATCCCAGCTACATCTCTTATTAAGGTGTGACTCTGGGAGAGTTATGAAATTTTCTAAACCTCAAGGGTTTGTTTGTTTGTTTGCTTTTCAACTAGGCTGAATATCTTTTTAAAATTTTTTTAATTTTTATTTTATTTCAATAGATTTTTGGGAACAGGTGTAAACCTCAAGTTTTCAAATGCAGAGGATAATGATGTTACCTTACATCCTAGCGTGACTGGGAGACAGAAATGAGGTAGTTCACATAAAGCCCTCAGCTCAGTACTTGGCACAAAAGGTTTAAAAATGTTAATTTTATTATTATTATAATAAATACTAATATAGCAAATCCTATTTTAAGAGACATGTGGAAGTTTATTAGTTCATTCATTTATAATCTTGTGAGGAATCATTTTGTGAAGGAAAAAAATGTTTTGCAAAGTGAAAAATTATGCCCTTATTAATTGTTATATATATATGAACTGTTTTCAGCCCAAAGATATTTACATCAACTTCATATTTCATTAATAAGTTTTACCAAAAGATGTTTACACATACACAAAGCATACATAAACATGCATATACATATGATATACATGCATAGGTATTATATGTGTGTGTATATATAAATCTATACTTTCTTTTTCTTGAATCAATTATCAGCGCCCTATAAATCAGAGGACTTACTGAAGACACACACTAGTGTTTTCTTCTTAAGGTTCCAAGAGGGAAAAATCATTTGATAATCAACAGCTTCCTATACTGCAACACTCCAGGCTCCTCTCAGAGGACAAAGTTTAGTAACATTTGTATCATCATTACTCCATCTACATTCTCAGCCTCTAACTGCCTTAAGGGATACAGTCACTGTGAGCACAAGCCTTCTGAGGTTACCAGCAGGATGGTCTGGAATTCCACCCTCCCCTAAATGCCCAGAACATAAGTCATCACTGATGTTGACTTGAACTGATTCACACTGCCCAGGACTTCTTCCTTACTGAGTAGCAGTCCTTCACAGGATCGAATGAGATCATCTCCCTCTCGCTCCCTCTCTCTCTCTCTCTTTTTTTTTTTTTTTTTTATAGGGATGGGGAAAAAAGTGCTTTTAAAACTGCTGGGTCTTGCAATGTTTTCCAATATCCTAATGCCCTCTGCTTCTCCATTCCTCTCTATTCTAACAAGACCTCATCAAGTTGTGTTCTAAGAAGTATCTGATCTCATCCAAAGAAAAAAAAAATAAAACAATTTATAGACAGAACAAGGTAATATTCCATTCTAATGCACCTTTACTTCTTTGGCCAAGATTACAGCTTGACCACTCTGGATGATAAAGACACTATCTTCTAAGATTTTTGTTTTTATTTTGTTATACTTTTAGCTTTTTTGTTGGTTGAATACCAACAAAAAATACAGATAGTTTTTTGCCTCTCCTTTGACTTCATTACATATCTAACTCTTCTAACTTACTTGTGTCTAACTTTCCTATTGAGTTCACATTTTCTTACAAAAATGTGTCCCCAAGAAAGAATGCATAAGAGAAGATAGACAGTATTTTTAGAATTCTTAAATGACCTGTCATTGGAATTTTCACGTGAAAAGCATTTTCAGTTGACACATGTTATCTACTGAAATCTGTATAGATGTTGGGCCTCAAGAAAGAATACCCCAAAACGACAGCCTCAGCAACAGCCTCAGAAAGCAGACGTTTTTCTCTGACCTTCTCCTGCCCTCCTGTCTCACTCTTATTCTCTCCTAAGGCTAGCATAGAAACTGGAATCCCTCTTTTCTAGCGGGTCTCCAGGACAAAACCCCTTTGCCCCAAAGCCAGCCATAAGACCTAAAAATATTATTCTCATTTTCCCTCTCCCTTTCTGTGTAAAACCTGGCCATAAAGAAATGATCTGACCTACCTTGTTTGACTGTAGGTCATAAGACCCCCATTCCAGAAAGGGCCCCACCCCACCTTTTTAAAAGGAAAGAAGGGATGATCAGAGAGGCCGAGAAGAATCTAGGCAGACAGGCCTTGCTGGATTTCCCCACTCAGTCTATTAGCGTTAGACCATAACCCTTTTGCCTAATCATATTTCTACACGGCTGTCCATATTTTGTTTAACCCAAGCATAAAAATGGACGATTTCCTCTGTATCCTTGGGTGTTCATTCTGAAGACCCTCCATGTATGCATGTTAAATAAATTTGTATACCTTTTCTCCTATCAGTCTGCCTTTCAAGAGTTGATTTTTCAGCAAACCTTCAGAGGGCCCTTTGACCCTACATAGATTGTGTCTGGTCAGTGAGGAAGTATTTTGTTTGGGAACTACCATCATTACATTTATGCAGGACTTGAAGTGGGGGAACAATGGACACTTCAGTAGTTGCTGTTTATTCCCCAACTCGGGCTCTGCTTAAGCTTTAGGAGGAGAAGAGGATGCGAGAGGAATGGAAGGAAAGGGAAGAAAGAAGAAGCCCGGAGAAGCAGCTCCCTCATCTATATAATGAGAAAAAGTAAAGATACTAAAAGAGTCAAAGCCCCACCTAGCCCCAAGTTCAAATCCTAATTTAAAACAGTGTTTAAATCACCCACTTTGACTGGATTACTGACCACACTCACACACTGTCTGATCTGGCCAATATTAGTTAAAACAGAGAATGTTTCTTCTCAGATATAAATGTATTTATTCCTTGTTCATTCTTTGAATAAATTGCTCTCTTTCTTTAAGTTCAGGAAGTTACCTTAACTTTTCCAGTATCTTGAATTTTCCTTCCCGTGGATGACGGTTCATGGACTTCCAAATAACAATTAAAAAGCCGTTAATTTAATTGTTAAAATAACGGTTAAAAGCACGCAGGTCTTGTTATTTTGGCCCTTAGCAACAGCCATCCTCTAGTTTGTTTAAGGGTGGGAAAGGAGAAGAGAGAGCAGAAACCTGCTGGGCATTATTCTAATCAGGGTTCTCCATTTGGCAGCCAGCACAGACCAGCTCCTGTTCTGCAAAGCAGTTATCCCCAGGGTGCTGGAGGGGAGAATACAAAGGCAGAGCAGGTGCTGGGCTTTCCCGACTTACCATTCAGGAAGGCATTCTTTTGTTTTGTGCCAGAAAGTTGTTGGTAAGCCACTAACGAAACTCAGAAGTTGCAACTGGGCATGTTCAAGTAGTATAGCAAAAGCATTCTTAGTGCCTCCAGACCAAGCTGAGGGTAGCAACCTGAGAAAAAGCTCAGAGAAACAATATCATCTTGGTTTCAAGAATATAATGGCTATTTAGTCAACAGGCTGGGCTGAGAAATGTCTTTCTTTCCCTTGGCCAACCTTGTGTGTTTGGAGGCATGTCTCCAAATGCATGATGTCATAGAGCAGAGATATGTAAGCAGAAATTGATATCCATCAATCACCATATACCACGCAATCAACAGTTCCACTGAGGGTCTTATTCTCACAGAGAAATGATCCCTAAATGCCACAAAGGAGCAACCTGCAATGCAATCTCCTTTCTCTAAACGATGTGAAAAAGGCCTTGTGGCACAAAAGCACAGAGGGAGGTTTTAACAGCACTTCTCTTTTTCAGCTTTTTGGTCAAAGGTCTACTCTTGCTAGTAAGGGGAAATCTCTCACTTCATAAAGATTTGAAAAGTAGTATGAAGAATAGAATGAAATATCAAAAGCACATGGAATGGGAATCAGGAGAACCTGGGATTTTGTCCCAGATTCAAAAGACATGTTATCTAATCTCAATGGATCTCTGTTTTCTCATCTGCAAAATAAGGGAACCAGATAGATTGTCCCCAAGTATCTTGTCATTATGGGATTCTGTGACTTATGACACCTTATTATCAGATATTGGTGCTTTTATACAATGGAGCTGTACTGGACATTGTGCTTAAAGGAATACATGTAAGTCCAGATTCAGTGAAGTTTCTATCCTTCACCTGTAACGCTAGTCAGTGCAATAAAACAAACAGGCAAACAGAAATGGAAACTAGATTAATTACCCTAATAGCTTGTAGTATGACTGCCTTGTACATGTTTTAACACAATGGTCATTTGAGAGGAAAAAAATAAGAATACTACGTATGCAAATTTGAACAGAAAGGATTAAACAAAACTCATAATTAGCAGTGTATGAGGGCAAATAATTAGTAAAGTATGGATAATAGAAAAAGCAGCACAATTGCTGGTGTTTAATATTAGATGGATTGGAATGTGGAGAGAAGAAAGATATAAGCCAATTAGAAAATGTCCTTCTTGCATAAAAAGCTCTTAATTGGCCATAGTGACTTTGAGGGGTACCTGGTATAAAGCCTCAGTTTTGCAGACTTAATACCTTCTCACTAATGACCATATTGGGAAACCATGACAGAAAATTCTAGACAAAATAGTTGCTTTCTCTACACCTGGGAAGCCAAGCCAGGCTCACTAAGAGAGAAACCCTCGCTGTCCACTGGACTAAGCACAGATATAAAGTGGAAAGTTGTGCATTTGCATCTCACCTCTTCCCACCCCTACTTTGTTCTGTGCTGCATCCCCAACACCCAGCGCAGCACTGGCACATGGAAGAGAGTCAGCAAAATTTTATGGAATACATTTTCCCACTATGCAAGAGTGTAATAATCCCCTTATCTTTGTCAGCTACTCACTGCTCATTCATTCAAAAACTATGAGTCAATCACTACACTAGATCTTGGAGATAAAATGTCATTTAAGCAAACGTTGTTCTTCATCATGGAGAGCTCACTCTAGTAGAAGAGATAGACATTCACCAGATAACCACATAAAAATTCAGTCTATAACTATGGATATGATGGTACCATGAAGGAAAAGGCAGAGCAGTCTGAGGAGAGGCCCCAACATGGTCTTGGTCTACAGTGAGAAAACCTGTTCCAGAAGCTTCCTTGAAGCAGTGACTGTTGAACTCATATCTGAAAGATGACTGGCAGTTGACAATGTGAAGATGAGGAGAGGGCAATTCAGACATAGGGACTAGCATGAGGAGGACGTGAGCATGGAAGGTTGGAGCGTGATAGCCAGAGCACAGAACGTGAGAACAAGATGCAGGAGGCAGAAGACATTGGCAGGTGCTGCACCCCAGAAACCACATTAAGAACTACTGTCAATTAGCTGGGCATAGTGGTTCATGCCTGTTAAACCAAGCACTTTTAGAGGATCCCTTGAGGCCAGTAGTTCATGAGGGCCGTGAGCTATGATGATGCCACTGTACTCCACCCTGGGCGACAGAGTGAGACTATGTCTCAAAAACAAACAAACAAAAAAAGAATTTCCATTGATAGATCGATGGTAGCCAATTCCAAGCAGATGCTTTGTGTAG
Organism: Homo sapiens; assembly: GCF_000001405.40. Lineage (NCBI taxonomy): Eukaryota > Metazoa > Chordata > Mammalia > Primates > Hominidae > Homo > Homo sapiens. The sequence goes on along the minus strand of NC_000001.11, from coordinate 218,492,382 downwards.
GGCACTCTTCTTACGTGCTGAGCATACCAAGGAGGAAGGTTCAATCCCTTACCTCAATCAAATAGAACTCTAGTTAGTGAAAATAGGATGTTTTTTAGAAGATTAAAAATTAAAAAGTTAACAAGTGCCTTCAGCTAGGGGACAAGTGAATGGGTCACAGGCATTGACAGAATGGAGAGCTCACTGGAAGCCATCCCAGAAGAGGAAGAACTTGACCTGGACACTGAAGAGCAGACAGGACAAATCACACCAGAGATTCCAAGTGTGAAGACCAAGACCAGAGGAGGAAATTTACGAGGATGCTTGGGGAGTCATCCTAGGATGCCTTTGACACTGTCCACCTAACAGGGTAAAATCCAGTGAAAAGGGGACCACCAGACAAATCGTCATAGAGACTCCCACACAGTGCCTGTCTGTCTGATTTCAGCTGAGTTTTTTCCCAAATTCCATCAAAACAGACAGTAGATGACACACCGATTATTTGCTTTTTGTATGTATCCCGCAAAAATTAGTTAAGGAAAAACACAGTCTACGTGTAAATTTTTCCATCTGCAACAGAAGGAAAATGTATCTGTTCATACCAACTAACCCAAGATCCAACAGAATGAACCAGTGAAGGAGGGAAATGAACTTAGTCGTTTGTAATATGTCTGTCAGGATAAATTAAATGCACATAGCTACACTTTGATATACCTGCCCTCAATTCTTTCAAACCAGTTTCAATTACTTTCTCACCATACAGTAATATTCATGAGTATATTTCTGGAAGATTTTAAGTATTTCACAAGTATTAACTCATTTTATCTTCACAACCACCCAGTGTGGTTAGTATTGGTGTTATCTCCATTTAATGGTTGAGAAAACTGAGACAGAATGAGGAGAGGTGACTTAACTAAGGCTGCAGCAGGGCAAAGGAGGAAATGGCATTTGAACCTAGGACATCTGGCTCCAGAGCTATACTCTTAACCTTTACATTTTACTGCCTACCTAATGTGTATAATAAACCAGGGGCCAACAAACTTTTTCTGGAAAGTCCCAGGTAGTAAGTATTTTTGGCTTTGTGGGCCATACATTATCTCTGCCTTTACTACTCTATTGTGTCACTGCAATGGGAAAGCAGTCACAGACAATATGTAAAAGAAATGTGTAGGCCAGGCACGGTGGCTCATACCTGTAATCCCAGCACTTTGAGAGGCTGAGGTGGGTGGATAACTTGAGGTCAGGAGTTAGAGACCAGCCTGGCCAACATGGTGAAACCCTGTCTCTACTAAAAATACAAAAATTTAGCCAGGCATGGTGGCATGCTCCTGTAGTCCCAGCTATTCCGGAGGCTGAGGCAGGACAATCGCTCGAACCTGGGAGGCAGAGGTTGCAATGAGCTGAGATCGCACCACTGCACGCCAGCCTGGGCGACAGAGTGAAACGCTGTCTCAAAAAAAAAAGAAAAGAAAAGAAAAGAAAAGAAAGAAGGAAGGAAGGAAGGAAGGAAGGAAGGAAGGAAGGAAGGAAGGAAGGAAGGAAGGAAAGAAAAAGCAAGCAAGCAAGCAAGCAAGCAAGCAAGCAAGCAAGCAAGCAAGCAAGCATGGCTGGATTTGACCCATGGCAGACCTGACCAAGCCCTTCCATAATTTGCCATTGCAAATTAAAATAAGGTCACTTTTCATAAATTTACATAGCGTGAAAAAGATCTTGCTTGTTAGCCTTTTAGTCCCCATTTGTGAACATTCATTTATTTACTCAGCAAGTATTTAGTGAGTCCATACTCTGGGACAGGCACTTTTTTCAGGTATTAAAATAACATCAGTAAACAAGATAGTTTCTATCCTCTGGAGCTGTATTCTGGCAGAGGAGACAGACAATAGGCAAACAATAGAGATAAGCTAGATAGATCATAGAACAGTAGGTAGTAATAAGTGCTATGAAGAAAAACAAATCAGAGCAAGAGACTAAAGACAGGCAATGGTTGCTACTGCAGGGTGCGTGGTCAAGGAAGGCCTCCCTGTTGGGGAGGTTTCTGTAGAAGTAGTCACTGAAGTCTGGGAGTTGGATGAGATCTCCAAGAGTGTACATGTCATTCAAAACTGAAAAGTGAAGGATTCAGCAAAGAAGGCTAAGAAGAATGCTTCAATAAGGAGAGTGAAACCAACTGCAACTGCATTGAATACTGCAAACATTCACACGGAGGAGGTCTGAGAGGTGCCCATTGATTTGGCAATGAGCATGACCCTGGTAACTTTAATGAGAGCATTTTCAGAAGAGGGAGGAAAGCCCAATTAAAGGAGATTCAGGAGCAAGTAAAAGAAAGAGAAAGGAAGACAGTGAGTGTGAAAAAATTATTTCCAGAAATTCTGCTATAAGGAAAAGAAGTAGAACAGAGTAGACAGAGGATAGTATAGTATAAAGGAAATATTTTGCTTTGGGCTTTTTTTTGTGTTTTTTTAACTAGGAAGACATAATATACAATATGCTTTTATATTAATAGAAATAGTCTAGTAGAGAAGATGAAATGGATGAAGTTGGGACAAAGAATAAATATTCTTGTGTTTGATGTTGTTATTCACCTGTATAATGGGCATTAAATGTAATTTAGATGTTTTATGTGTTGATCTTCACCTGTAAGAGATATATAGTGTGATTTTCATGTAACACAAATCAGTGAGCTCAGCACAGAAGCAGGGCTGGTATTAATATGCACCAGTACAAACATAGCAGTTGTCTATGGTCAGTATCTGTTCTGACTGTTGAATGCATTTCTAGTGAAATATTTTATTTATCATCCCTGCTCAGTGTGCTTCACTATATAATCTTAATTTTTACACAGTCATTGTATAATATAATAAAATTTCTTTGAATTTGAAAAGAATCTTTGCTTTTCAATAGAATTCACCAAGAACAATGAAATAAAAACAACAACAACATTGGATTAGAACATCAGACATGGGTTACCAGTTTTCTGTTTATTGGTTGATTTTAGCTAGAACACATCTCCCTATTACTCTATCTACATTTTGGGTAGTCATCCTGAGTTGCTTGCTGTGGGCATTTTTAGAAATCTTAGGCCACTCTAAGTAGAATGGTATCTTATACCCAAGCCATTGTGTTTTTGGGTTTGCTTAACTGATCTGAGGTTAATGCAAGTGCAGAGCAAACAAGCTTTTGCCCATGTAAGGACTGATTGCGAGTCCTGAATGTGCAGAACCACAGACAGGATTCCTGCAGAGTTTATGACATTAGACCTGGTTGGTGGCGGGGGTGGGGGGGGGGGGAGCAGCTGCCACTAACTACATTCCTGAGATGTACAAATGCCTTTGGAGGAAAGGTATCTTGTTTGAAGGAAATTCCAGAATCATTTGTGAATTCCCAGGTCTGGGGACAAAATCACGAATTAAGTGGGCATCCTTAAATTCCTATTGACAACACATAAAGAATAGTATCAAACTCCCTTAAAATGTTGTCTTTTTAGTATTTTCTCATTTTATTTTATGCTATAGAACATACACATTTAGAGTGGGGGTGGAGAGGGAAGTCGCTGAATATATTTGGAGTAGATACATGGTGAGCTCCTTAAAAGTAGTCACCTTGTCAGTTTTGTATCGAACCAAATGGCACTTATGCAGGTGTTGTATGAATGAATGAATAAATAAATAATTGGGCAAATATATACCCAGGAGTCCAGCTTTGGGTAGATTGTATCTGGTCTCTCACTCACTGTTTGTGTGGTCAATACTGTGTAGTTTACTCATCTTTCCCTCGTATTTCATATCTAAGTGATTGAAGTACAATTTCCCAAGCCAGATTTACTTAACAAAGCCTTAATGAGACACTATATGTTTATAACTCAGTATCAAAAATATATTTGAGTTTTGGTTTTTGCTATTTATTTATTTTTTCTCTCTCTCTTCCTTTCTTTTCTTAATTACAAAGCCATACTTGTTTAGTCACCTCTCTCTCATCAGACCCTTCATTCATTCGAAACACATTCACTAATGTGAGCTAGACAGTGTTCCAAATGCTGGAGATACCAAATGGAAGAAAGTGCCAGACCTCTGTGAGCTCACTGACTGAAGGCTGTGGCCATGACAAGGCAAGGGGTTGTTTTAATAACAGCTTGCATCTCCATCATCACCCTACTTGATGTCTCTTAACACTCATCTTTGAATCATCCAGGTCGTATCAATGTCTGAATCTGGCTTGTTTTCCATTGGAAATATCTCTACTATGCTTGTTAACTAATGAGGTGGCCAATAACTATCACATTGTTATATAACCCTCATAAGGGCAAAGCCTTCCTTCATTTTCCTCTGACTTTACCCAAAGATGATGATAACTGAGTGTTATCTTGGAAAGACTTCTGTTCCTGCTCCTGACTGCTATGGGAGCCTTCAGAAAGCCATTACCTCTTTAAAATTCAGTTCCCTGAATATAAAATAAGATCACAGAGATCAATAGTCTTAAGATCCTTTCTAACTTCCAGTGACTGTGATTATTTAATACTCAGAAACATTCATTACTCAGCTAGAAGGAATTTCTGGCACCTAAACATGGTTTTTTTTTTTTTTTTTTTTTTTTTTTTTTTTTTTTTTTGAGATGGAGTCTCACTCTGTCACCCAGGCTGGAGTGCAGTGGTGCGATCTCAGCTCACTGCAACCTCCACTTCCCGGGTTCAAGTGATTCTCCTGCCTCAGCCTCCTGAGTAGCTGGGACTACAGGCATGCACCACCACACCTAGCTAATTTTTGTATTTTCAGTAGAGAAGGGGTTTCACCATGTTGGCCAGGATGGTCTCGATCTCCTGACCTCGTGATCCGTGATCCGCCACCTTGGCCTCCCATAGTGCTGCGATTATAGGCGTGACCCACCGCACCTGGCCTAAACATGTATTTTGAGGGAAATGTAGCTTAATAGTGAAATTTGACCTTTGAAGTGTCCCGAAGAATCAGGTACCTGCTTTCAAATGCAAATACCTAGTCTAATAGGAGTAACACAAAATTAAGAGCCATGAATAATCACAATTAAATTGAAAAGAAACTACACGTTCTGAGTATTGGCCCCATTTTCCCAAGCCAGACACAAACGGTAACTTAAATTTGATTAGATAAGTTTTGTTTTTTTGAAGATGATCTTCCTTTTAATTATAAAGGATCAAAACAGGGACTGCCCTGAGAAAATCAAGACAGTAAGTTGCAGCAATTGAGCCCTGGACCAGAAGCACAGACTTTCGACCCATGCCTCGCTCTAACAGTGATGGCTGATGGCATCAGGCACCTCCCTGGCCCCGTTTTCTTATCAAAAAAATTAAATAGTCAAATCCAGAGACTGCAAAGTTCCCATACAGTTCCATCATAACATGGTTTTAGGAAGTCTGTAACATTAGCATAGTTATGTACTTCAGTAAATATCCTAATATTTCAGAAGTCCTTCATAGCATCAATTTAGCAACCTTAGATAATCAATAATCCAAGAACTTGTAGTTCCAATTTCAGCCTATATAGCTACAAATTCCTGTAGTTTCCTGGGCTCAAGCCAAGCAGCACAGATTAATTTATTTGAAAATTAAGGACCTATATATGCATGGACCTTGGTAGACACTGTAGCCAACATGGATAAATATATCTTAGGCCTTGTCCTCAGGTAACGTGGTAGGTACGTATATAAAACACACACAATTCATTCACTTCTATAATAACATTTTGAGCCAACGGTTCCAGACACACAAATACAACAATGAAACATAAAATCAAGCATGACAGTCTGAGTTCAGAGAAACAGAGGAGTGAGGAGGCACAGCAACTTAATATGGTTAGAAAGAGCTGAAAGAGAAAATGAAATTTGGAATGAGGATTGGTCATTGGGCAGAAGTTTCACAGATAGGCATGGAGAGAAGAGCATTTTAGGTAGAAGGAATGGCATGAACAGTTATGCAGAATTGCAAGTGCATGTGGCTTTTCCCAAGCTGTGAGTATGACTGGAGTTTAGAATACAGGAGAGGTCAAAGATGAGACTTGGAAGGTAGACTGAATCAGCGTATGAAGTATATTGGATGCCAGGCTAAGGCATTTAAATTTGTTTTGCTGATGTTGCGGATTTGCATCAAGGCAAGGCACATGTTTTAGGAAAGTTGCTTGGTAGCTGCCATTATGGTTGTGAGTAGGGAAACATAGAAAAGAGGAAGAGAGAAGAGGATGTTGGCACAAAGATTCTCATTATTAAATTATTTATATTAGGTAGAAAGTAAGAAATTACTGGCCAGGCGTGGTGGCTCACGCCTGTAATCCCAGCACTTTGGGAGGCTGAGGCAGGTGGATCACGAGGTCAGGAGATTGAGACCATCCTGGCTAACACAGTGAAACCCTGTCTCTACTAAAAAATACAGAAATACACACAAAAATATTACTATAAGGACTGATATAAGAATAAGTTGGATTATTACTCAACCATTAAAATATGATTACTAGGAGTTTGTAATTACATGGAAAAAATGACTATTTTATAAAGTTAAACTTAAAATTTTGTGAGACAAATTATATATATATATACACACATATATATGTATGTACATTCATGCATCATTTACAACAAGATATTCTCTGAGAAATGTCACTGTTAGGTGACTTTGTCATTGTGTAAACATCCTTCACATACTTCACAAACCTGGAAGGTATAGCCTACTACACAGCTACAGCTATCTACACAGCAACAGCTACGACTATCCTAGCTACACAGCTAGGATATACGGTATAGTTTATTGCTCCTAGTCTACAAATTTGTACAACACATTACTGTACTGAATACTGTAGACAACTGTAACACAATGGAATTTGTTTATTTAAATTTAGCATAGAAAAGGTACAGCAAAAATATGGTATAAAAGACAAAAATTGGTACACCTGTATAGGTCACTTACCATGACTGCAGCTTGCAGAACTGGAGGTTGCTCTGGGTGAGTCAGTGAGTGAATGTGAAGGCCTAGGACATTACTGTACACTACTGTAGGCTTCATGAGCACTGTACACTTAGGCTACACTAAATTTATTTTTAACATTTTCTTTGTTTAATAATAAATTAACCTTAGTTTACTGTAACTTTTTTAACTCTATAAACTTTTTAAGTTTTTTAACTTTTTGTTTTGTATTATCAGTGAGCTTAAAACACAAACACATTGTACTGCTGTACAAAAATAATTTCTTTATATCCTTGTTCTAAAAGCTTTTTTATGTTTTTAAATTTTTTTTTAACTTTTTAAACTTTTTTGTTAAAAAACAAATCACAAACATACACAGTAGCCTAGGCCTACCTGTGACAGGGACAGGACTATCCGTATCGCTGTCTTCCACCTCCACATCTTGTCCCAGCGGAAGGTCTTCAGGGGCAATAACACGCATGGAGCTGTCATCTCCTATGATGACAATGCCTTCCTCTGGATAACTCCTAAAGGACCTGCCTGAGCCTGTTTTACAGTTAACTTTTTTTAATAAGTAGAAGGAGTACACTCAAAAATAATGATAAGAAATCATAGTAAATACATAAACCCCTAACATAGTTTCGTATTATGATTATCAACTAGTATGCATTGTACATTATTGTATGTACTATACTTTTCTATGAGTAGCAATGCAGTAGGTTTGTTTACACCAGCATCACAACAAACGTGAATAATGCATTGCGCTACAGCATCAGGGTCACCATAACAGAACTAGGCAGTAGAAATTTTTCATCCCCGTTACAATCTTATGAGACCACCATCATATATGCCTTTCATTACTGACTGAAACATCATTATGCGGTGCATGACTATACATATGTGTGTGTATAACTCTGAAATATAATTGGAAAAATAGCTAAAAGAAAATATAACTGCTATTCCTAATTAGTGAACTTGTAGGTGAAGCTTCTTTTGATGCCAATTTTTCCGTATTTTCCATAATTTTGACAAAATGTAATAATATTAAGTAGTAAGAAATAACATTTTTCAAGGAAGTTCGAGTAAGAAGTAATGGCAACCTGAGCTCTGATATTAGCAATAGGAATGAAAAGCAAAAACTTAGTGATGTAATATGGAAGATACGCATTTGGAATCCACAGATTATATTTATTTATTTATTTATTTATTTATTTATTTATTTATTGAGATGGAGTCTTGCTCTCTCACCCAGGCTAGAGAGCAGTGGTGTGATCTCGGCTTACTGCAACCTCCTCTTCCCAGGTTCAAGCAATTCTCCCACCTCAGCCTCCCGAGTAGCTGGAATTACAGGCACGTGCCATCACTCCTGGATAATTTTTGTATTTTTTAGTAGAGATGTGGTCTCAACATGTTAGCCAAGCTGACCTTGAACTCCTGGTCTCAAGTGATACATCTGCCTCGGCCTCCCAAAATGTTGGGATTATAGGCATGAGCCAACCGTGACAGGCCTGGAATCCACAGATTATTCAAATTCTTTCTGCATTTTGGCCAATGACATCAGTCTTCTCTGGTATCAAACCTTTCAAAATTCATATGCAAGGGACTATAAAGAATAGTGTTCAAGAGCATCAGCTCTGGAGTCAGATTGCTTGAGTTTGAATCCCTTTCTGCCACTGACTAGCTTGGTGACTTTAGGCAAGTCACTCTCTAAGCCTCAGTTTCTTCATCTTTAAAATGGGAGTGATAATACAAATTCATAAGGCTGTTGAAAGGACTGAATGAAGTCATACATTAAATCATTTAGTAAAATGTTATCCACATAGTGAAGACTCAGGAAAGGTTAACTGCTATTTTTATTATTATTATTATTTGTCTTGTTCAACCTCCAAACAAAGATCAAGTGAAAATGGGATCATCAGAGAGAAAGAAGAAATATCCATGGAAGTGGATAATAAAAACCACTGGGAGGCAGAGTCGCATTCATACACAGTCAATAAACTGAACCTCCTTTCTTGTCTCCAACACTAATCTGGTTATTCTCTTTTGTCCTTGACTGAACTTCAATTCTCTAACAGCTCCTGAAAGTTGATGATTATGCTGTTATCCACCTCGCCAGCCCATCCTCCTAAGTTACAAAGTACATTTTATTTCTTTATTCCTGTTTTTTTTTGAGATGGAGTCCTGCTCTGTTGCCCAGGTTGGAGTGCAATGGCTCACTGCAATCTCCACCTCCTGAGTTCAAGCACTTCTCCTGCCTCGGCCTCCCGAGTAGCTGGGATTACAGGCATGCGCCACCATGCCCAGCTAATTGTTGTATTGTTAGTGGAGACGGGGTTTCACCATGTTGGCCAGGCTGGTCTCGGACTCCTGACCCCAAGTGATCAGCCCACCTCAGCCTCCCAAAATGCTAGGATTACAGGCGTGAGCCACCGCACCTGGCCAACAAAGTACATTTGATTTCTGACTGTGTATATGGAACACTGACTAGAGGTCCTTGGACACTTGTTCTCACTCAGCCTTATGCCACAAAGTATTACGTGGATCTACAGATGTTCACCATGAAATAATAGAGTTGCATCACTGCGTTAAAGAATTTCCAAAAGATGCCAAAAGGAAGCAGAATTTCTTCCTCTTGGGGCCTTCTTGCATCACAGTGTGTACTTCAGGAATTAAAATAGAAGCTTTGTTGATTGAAAACTAAAAACCAGCCAAAAGGAAATAGTGCCTTTGTACTGTGACTTTTCTGGATCATAAAATACTCTTCGTTACTCATTACTATAAAACAGAGGCATTTCTGTTGTTAGTGTTGAAGAATTATGTACCTATCATCCAAAATATATTATTGACCTTCATTTATTCAATGGAAAAAGTGCCTTTCTTTTTTCTGCTGCTTTAAATTCTACCTTCCATTATCCCATACTTCCACTCTTCCTCCTCTCTGTGTTAATATATACAGCATAGACAGAAATGACTATCAAATAGAGTATAAAGTGATAAAATAAATTTGGGGCCGGGTGCAGTGGCTCACACCTGTAATCCCAGCACTTTGGAAGGCTGAGTCAGGTGGATCACAAGGTCAGGAAATCAAGACCATCTTGGCCAACATAGTGAAACCCCATCTTTACTAAAATACAAAAAAAAAAAAAAAAAAAATAGCTGGGCGTGGTGTCACGTGCCTGTAATCCCAGCTACTTGGGAGGCTGAGGCAGGGGAATCGCTTGAACCCCAGAGGCGGAAGTTGCAGTGAGCTGAGATCATGCCACTGCATTCCAGCCAGGTGAAAGAGCAAGACTCCATCTCAAAAAATAAAATAAATAAATAAATAAATTCGGACTAGGCACAGTGGCTCACACCTGTCATCCCAGCATTTTGGGAGGACAAGGCAAGCAGATCATGAGGTCAGGAGTTCGAAACCAGCCTGGCCAATGTGGTGAAACCCCATTTCTACTAAAAATACAAACATTAGCCCAGCGTGGTGGTGTGCACCTGTAGTCCCAGCTACTTGGGAGGCTGAGGCAGAAGAATCGCTTGAACCCAGAAGGCAGAAGTTGCAGTGAGCCGAGATCGCACCACTGCACTTCAGCCTGGGGGACAGAGCAAGACTCCATCTCAAAATAAATAATAGATAAATAAATAAATAAATAAATACATAAATACATAAATAAAATAAATTCATTTAAAAGTGTTTAAATGAGATCCACATATCTGCATATAAACCCATGTAGGCAAATACTCAAGCTAATTATGTAGTCTCATGGTTAAATTCTTCTTCCTTTAGTCATTAGATAAAGAAACTTATTTAGAGAGAAACCAGAAAAACTAACAATGGTACAGTAGCAGCTAGGCAGTTGAAGAGCCAGGAAAGGAATACGGGAGCCCTCCCTGCTTATCCTATTTAATTATTTCCCCACACTGTCCCCTTCAGAGCAATGATAACACCCAACCTTTCTTGGAAAGCACCACATTTTTCGGGCTATGTTTCTTTTGGAATTGTTCTGGAGACAACAACATGATTAAAATTTGAGGCAAGGGACAGACACAATATCTATCTGGTTGCTATTAGTGTTTTGGAAACTCCAAATGAAATACCGCTAGTTAGCAACTAGAGATGTTGATCAAACAATAGTTCCCCAGCCAACATAAAAACTAGTTGTATCCAGATGACTTTGCTCTCAAGCATTGGAATTTTGGGGCATGTGGGTAAAGCTTGGCTAATTATGATACTGACCACAGTAAAGCACACATATGTATGGCAAAACACTCATATATTGAATTTATGGCATGCCAGAGATAGCCATTCCATATGACACTACCAGCTTTATAAACCAAAACAACTTTGTCCCAATGTAGTAAACTGTTAGAGTTCGTGATAAATCATTGAACAATTAATCTATCTCACAGCCTGTCTTGCACTCCATTTTACAAACTGAGAATATACTTCAGGACTGAAAATATGGGAAAGCATTCAGATATGAATTGCTGAAATAACTACAAGGAAATCTCATTGCACACCATACAAGTTATGTTGACATGGAAGAATATCTCCCCATCAGTCTGAGTAAACTATTACATAACAGCTAAGCTATAATAAAATCCTGATTCCAAATCAAATAAGTCTCCCAGACTTCTAAAATGAGTCACCAACAGCTTTATAAACATACAAAATACTTGACAAGGAAGTCTCTGATAATTTTTCAGTAATTATGTCTGCAAATTGTTCCTTGCTGACATCATCATTAGAAATGGTTTCCCATAAGCTTGTATTGCCTCTTCACATCTGTTCATTAATCACTAATGCTTTGAATATTTCTATCATTATTAGGTAATTCACAGGGTTTACATGATTCCGCAGCACTCTTCTCAGTGGAATTTTTAATTAGTGGAATCAGTGTGATCAAAGCTGATATAATTATGGTCTCATGTTCCTTGCAGTATTTTTAGTGCAGATTCATGATGCTGACAAACCTTAATCCTAAAACAATATTTCAGAAACAAAGATGACACAGTTTCTAAACATCTTGAAAAAAAGTGCAAGGGAGAGAGAGGGGACAGAGTTGAGGGGTCACTAAGTTGACATATTTCGTGTTTAAAGACATTTCAAAGCACTGGCGTCATCTTTCTTTGTGTTGGACATGAGATTTGAAGTCCTGCTCTGACATGTGATTCACAAACCAGCCCTGAGCCAAGTATGAGTGTCAGATGCTGGGTTCTGCATACTGTATTGTCTGGCAATGAGTGTAGGAGAGAGGAAGAGCTAGCTACGCAAAGCAGTCCTGCTGCTCTAGAATAAAGAAAGAGCAGTCCCAGCCTGGCCACATGGGTTTATCCCTCAAAGGAGGGCAACACAGCAGAAAATGTAAGTCTTAGACCTGGGAAAGTTGTTGGGGACAAGAGGATTCCTTGGCCTAAACTATGCCATTATAATGGATGTGACCCAGAATAAACTAAGTCCTTGATCTCTCTGTAACTGTATTCATCCAGTGATAAACACTGGCTCCCTGGAAGCCTGAGAAAGCACAATATTTAGAGGAGTTCAAAATGTGTCTAAATGGAATTTGGATTTCTCCCTAAATGACCTGCGTGGTGGGCATGCCAGAAGCTTGCCACTGGAATGCCACTGGAATGAAGATGGTTGAACAAGCAAAGGAATAAGCACAGTACTTCCTGTTGAAAACAAAATTGCTATCTTTGTCAGGCCTGAAGCCTTCAGTTTAATACATAAAATAAATACTTGGGAAAGAGAAGATGTTTTCTATGGGAAAATGGAAGTTCTGAGGGTAAGATTTAGGTTAATACAAAATAAAAGCTTTCTATCATTAGAGCTATCCAACATTGTTGGATAGGGTTGACAAGCAAAGTAACAAGTATTTCACAACAGGAAGCTTTCCAGTGGAAACTGTGTGTGTGTGTCAAATAAGCAATTCATTTATTAATTTATTCACTCATAACACATTATTTATGAAGTGCTTATTAAGTAATCATAGGGTACAGAGAATGCAAAGATTGATAAAAATATAGCCCCTAACATAACATAGCCCAGGAGTTCACAAAACAATAGATGAGACACACACCAAAGCAGAATATTAAAACAATATAGTCAATAATAAGCTAACAAAATGACCCAGCTTTGGGACACACATAAGACCTGACTTCAAAAGGAGCTAGAGAAATAGACTGTATTCTTCCACTGGGCTTCTGAGTGGTTGATTTTCTGTGCTTCCAAAAAGACAGAGCTTCAGACCCATTGGTCATGTTAGTAGAAACTGATGCCCATCTCTTTAACTTGAAGAGAATCAGCAAGTTGGAATAATAGAAAGAGAATAGTAGAACAACCAGTGCTGCCAATAAAAGTGAATTGGTAGGGGAGAAAAAGATAAAGAAAATAGAAAGTGGTATTGGTAGACTCTTGGAAATCATGGTTTCCATAGCAAAAAGTTTGCTTTCTCTCTGCCTCTGACCCAGGAAATAAACACTTTCTCATGACCCTAATTACAGGATACTTCGAACTGTAGAAATTTGCAATGACAGGAAAATACACACACACACACCTGTTTCCATAAACTAACCATGGAAACTATTTAAAAACTGATAGTCATATAACCTATACCAGAATGTGTGACAATAACTTTTATACCCAAAGCATAGAATAAATATCAATAGAAAATAATTTATGCTGAAATAGAGTGAAAACTATTTATTTTATATAAGATCCCTGAGATAAGAAACCAAAAGCTGAGAACCATGAACCATTAGCAATTGTTTTGAGGAACTATGAAGAATATGAAAGGTGACAGAACACTGGAGAAGAAAAAATGTGGTTCCAGACCAAGCCCACCATGAGGTTCACGAATTAAGCAAGAAATAGGAACTTATTTCCTGTTCTGACAACTGAGAACTTTGACTGTTTGGGAAGGACAGTTGACAAGGTGAGTCATGATGTCCTTGTGGAGAAGATGAAGAAATGTGGGCTGAGATGACCAGTCCATGGGTGACTTTGTAACTGGTCGAATGACTGTATCCTAAGTGGGATGACTATGGAGGGCATTTAACATAGAAGAATTCTCAGAGTGAGCCATGGATGGCTCTTCCTCTGTCTTATGCCTTATCTCAGTCAACGTGTTTACCACTGAATTAAACGAGAATCCTGACAGTGTGTTGACTACATAGATACATAGAAAACAATAAGCTGAGAGGGATACCTGATTAGTTAGTTGAAAGAATTCTGTTCCAAAAGAAGCTTTGTCACTCTGGAGCAATGGGTATAATAGCTCTGAGTAGAAAATTCTGTAGCTGATCTAAAAATTCCAATTTCAAAAGTAAGCCAGGGTGAAATGAGATTCAAGAAGAGAATACTTGAAAGTAACGAGAGTTATATCACAATATACTGCCACTACTGAAAGCTATTATAATATGACATTTTCTGTAGTATTAAAAATATGATTGAGAAAGTAGAACAAAGACTAAGGTAGAAATGGAAAGTATGGTATGCAGGCTTTAGTGCAACACAAGGAAGAACTTTCCGATATTGAGAACTGTTTAACACCGTAATGGGTTTCTGGAGGAAAATCAGAGAGTACTGGAGTGAATTCTTCCTCTGTGACTATATAAAACTGTCTTGTCCAGTACAGTGTCCACTAACCACATATGGCTAGTTAGCACCTGAATTATGGCTGGTACCAATTGAGATGTACTTTAGTTGTAAAATACACTCTGAATTTTGAAGACTTGGTATGAAAAAGAGAAATATAAGGTATCTCACCGATGGCTGGGCACAGTGGCTCACGCCTGTAATCCCAGCACTTTGGGAGTCCAAGGCGGGCAGATCACGATGTCAGGAGATCGAGACCATCCTGGCCAACATGGTGAAACCCCGTCTCTACTAAAAATACAAATATTAGCTGGGCGTGGTGGCACGTGCCTGTAATCCCAGCTACTCAGGAGGCTGAGGCAGGAGAATCACTTGAACCCAGTTGGCAGAGGTTGCAGTGAGCCAAGATCGCACCACTGCACTCCAGCCTGGTGACAGAGTGAGACTCCATCTCAAAAAAAAAAAAAAAAAAAAAAAAAAAAGTGTCTTTGCTGATATGGTTTGGCTCTATGTCCCCAACCAAATCTCATCTGGAATTGTAATCCCCATGTGTCAGGGGCGAGACCTGGTGGGAGGTGATTGGATTATGGGGGCAGTTTCCCCCATGCTGTTCTTGTGACAGTGAGTTCGTTCTCAGGAGATCTGATGGTTTAAAAGTATGCAGTGGCTCCCCCTTATCTCTCTCTCTCTCCTGCTCTGCCATAGTAAAGAACTGTTTGCTTCCCCTTCTGCTATGATTATGTTTCCCGAGGCCTTCCAACCATGCTTCCTATTAGGCCTGCAGAAATGCCAGTCAATTAAACCTCTTTTCTTCATAAAATTACCCAGTCTCAGGTAGTTCTTTATAGCAACGTGAGAACAAAATAATACACTCATTAATTCTTATAATGATCACATGCTGAAGTAGTAATCGTTTGAACATATTGAGGTAAATATAGTATTAAAATCAATTTCACCTATGTCTGATTACTTATTTAACATGACTACTAGAAAATTTAAAATTACATATGTGGTTTGCTTTTTTGGCTCACATTCTATCTCTAGTGAACAGTTAGTAAAAGAGGCTAGACAATTCTAGATAGTTTGGGATGGGAGTTACATGCTGGATAAGGACTTGTCTCAGTCTCTAAGTCCCCTTCAGATTTCAAATTTTATGCTGTAGGTTAAAGAACTGCTAATAGAAGCTGCAAAACAATTAATATCTTCTTTGTTAAATCCAAATGCCTTTCTAGCAACTAACATTTGTTGGTTTAAGAGTCCTGCTCAAGTTAAGACCATTTGTGGAAGAAGCTAAATAGCAATGACTCATTACAAAAGTGTCTCTGGACTCATGGTATTTTCTAACAGGATCATCATGTTGATCAGCCGTCACGTTGATATCTGTTGACACAGAATCTCAAACTAACAAATGACTAGCCTTTAAAATAGACACCAATAATAATCGTATTCAAGAATTTTCTAATTTTTGTTTCCTACAGTATCTTATAAAGATGATATTTAGGAGTTTAATAAATAATTTTAAAAGTTGCTGAAAATACCAAAATAACTCAATATCAAATATTTATTCTATGTGTTAAGGAAAATTGAGAAGGCAAGTACAGTCTATGTTCCTAAAATCTTTTTAATGGGTGTTCTTCACATTTCAAGACTGAATTGTTTATCTCCTTAACCAGGTTATTATAATCACCTTCAACTTAGTGTGTAAGTTCCTCATATATGAAGTGTGAGCTTTGTACAATAAGAGATCTGTTAGGCACCAGATAGATGCTTGCTATGTATAGAGATTATAATAAAGTTAAGTATTTGGGAATAAGAAGTTCATTTTCAGAGACAAGTGGAATTTTCAGATAAGCCCTGGAAGACATATAGGAAGTTATCCTAGTTCAGATCACTGCAAATTCTAACCCCACCTTCCTCCCTCCAGAAATCAACAAGCCCTTCAAGGAGTTTATAATCTAGCTAAAAAGTTCACAGTCACATATCATGGGATGTTAGGGCTGAATGAGCCAGCTCTGAAACTCTCCTGACTCCAGTCTTGATCTCTTAAGTTCCACTTGCGTTTGTTACTACCTAGGCATCTTGTGTAATTATAGGAGTTTAGTATTTTATGGGACAGGGGAGAGGGTCAGGAGCAGAAGAAGTGGTTAATATTGATAATAATCCTCAACCAGAAATGTTCTGCTTTTTGCTTATCTTGATCAGGGATCCAGAAATTCTGACAAAATGTCAGTATTCCAAAGCTCCGCAAAGACTGCCTATATAATTATTATCCCTATTGTTTCATAGGCATTTGGCTTGATAGAAAGCTAATGATGGGCACTTAAAAGTCAAATGACATGAGTAATTAAGAATAGCCATGAAGGATGATGTAAAGGCATCTCCATTTCAGACTGGGGAAAGCACAGAAATGTTCTACCTAGTGGATCATAGATAAAAATAGCTGCCATCTGCTGGTGCCAGGTACTTTTCATGATTCTCTCATTGAATACTCACAGCCAATTTATGAGATGGGTGCTATATTATTCCTATGTAAGACATGAGGAATCCAAGGCAAGGAGAGGTTTTGCCACTTGTCAAAGGTTACAGTCACTGGGGCTGGAACTCAGTCCCACATTGATCTGATTTCAAAGCCTCATCTCTTAACCACTTAACCAGTGCTGAGATGAGACTGTCTCAGATGAGTCCCTGCTTAGATCTGGATAAACTTGTAAGAGTTGTTTCCTCTGAAGGAAAAATGGGTGCTTTTCACTTTTTCCTTCTATAAAGCAGGAGAGAGAGAGGGTGAACTGCCAAGACAGAGCTGGATGTGCTCCTGGGTTCCACTGTAGGCCCTCAGGGAAATCTATGCCTAGCAAGTTTTTGATGATACAGGACCTTGCTCTAAAGAATTCCGTACATCTCATAGCTGTACGCCTCACTCAGGACAGCAACTAAGAAAAAAAATTACCTAAAATTCGGGTTAAGTATTATTGGCAGCACAATTTCTGTAACAATTCACTCCCTAACTCCCACTAGCAAGAGGTAAATCAATGCCTCTTATTTCTCATTGAAACCCGTCTCTTTTGTACCCTTAATCATTTTGCTGCTCCAATGGAACTGTGTGCAAATTAAAACCCTAATGAACTTGCTATCTTTGTATTCTGATCTGAATTCAGTCACAAAATGAAGGACTCCAGCCACAATCACGAGCCAAGAGAAAACAAATGTATGTAATGCATTACCATTAAAACCTTAGAATCTTTACACTAATGATGTTGGGTAAGAAATGTTATCTTTGGGTAAGAGAAACAGAAAAAAAAAAGTGACGGCATGTCTCTCAAAGAGACAAGCAGGAAACATTCTGGAAAAGTGGGTCATATTAGAAAATCTCTGCGGTTGTTACAAAGCCAAAAAGATATTGCCTGTTTTGTGCAGAGCACAGTTCTAGCCACTATGAAGGGAAAGTGCAAGAAAAGAAGGCGGAAAGAAAATAGGGAAGGATTAAAGGCAAGAATCCTGAACAGATGGCTAGTTGAAAGGAAATAAAACACACTTCCTGCTTTTAAAGCATTTATCTTTGCGCAGGCTTCCCTATCTGACTTATTTGCAACCACCAGATAATCAAAGCTGTAATAAAAGCGAAACTATTCTCCATCGCTAAATTAGCTAGTGGTTAAAAGGGAGACAAGATGAAAGAGTGTGGATTACCCACTCAAATTTATCATCAGTAAAATAATAACTCAAACCACAGGACCTAGAAGAGGATGACTTAAATAAGGACAGGCATTTGCTTCAAAGAAAGAACAAAGTAGTTAGGGCATTCAATGAATAGCGCAATGCAAGTGGCAGATACCTTAATTACCTAATCTTAGCTGAGTTAAATTGTGTGCCTGCCCTTGCCAGTAAAAAATAGCAATCTAACAACATGGCCAGTTGTTAATAAAGTATTATTTAGAAAAAGAAAACAATTCCAGATTTAATATCATATAAAGGTAATGGCCTCATTAGATGTGCATCAAAATGATGCCTAATCAGTACCATTATTATTATTTATTAATAATGGCGGTATGGAACCCGATTTCACAGTGGCTGAGGTCAGCCTCACATGGATGACTCACACACATGGCTGATCTACATAAATAGCATGTGCTAAGATTACCATCTGGTATAACAATCTACATCACAAGACTCCACATTTCCTGTTACCCAGGGTAAGTAAATTTCAAGCATGAGGGAAAATTTTAGCAAGTTTCTCCAAGTACCTTTGCTGAGAGACTAATGTGGCTTACACAGAGAGGAGGGGAAAGGAAATTATGAGGTAAAGGTTATTCTCCCTTTCATCTCCCCCTGACTTCCTCTTCACATAAGAGGAGAAACACCACCTTTGCAATTCTGGCTCATATCATCTATAAAATCAAATTTGTCCAATTAATCTCTAACAAAGGCACACCAGGCATACTGTAAGACACATATCTGAACAACATTCAAAGCAGGTGGCATACATTTGAAAATCTCTTATTCCTTTCCTTGTACCTTCCCTCTTTTTTGATCCCTATTCTTCTTTTTTCTTTTCCTATGTGAAGACATCAGCATGTATCATGAAATGACACAAGAGAAACCGTGGCCTCTGAAGATTACTTTGATATTTTGGATTTCTAATAAAGACACCCACATTTGAAACCATTTTCATACAAAACTAATTTTGTCTCATGCTTAAGATTGTACTACCCATCAGGGTGTTATTACTGCCATAACTACCATCAGAGATGGGTGAGGGACCTCCTGTAGTTGTACCTGCTTGCATGAGGCCCTCTGGTGCATGATCTAAACATCCCTCTCTCTCTCTGAGAACTCCCCAGGGTGTACCAGGCTCAGAAGCCCTCAGATGGTCTTTCAGAGCATGGGGCAGGCCAACATCTCTACTCTGTGTTTAGTTCTTCGGATTCTGTTTATGTTTTAATTTAATTTAATTTTTTTCTTCAGATTTACACAAATCTAGAATTTTGCAATTCAGTTTATGAAAACAAAGATTACAAAATTCAGATTATAATTAGGCAAGTAACAGATATCTCTCTCTCTCATTTTTTTTTTGCTGTTTGTAAGAAAGAATATTGTATTATAGTAATTAAAGGTATAAACAAACAGATTTAATATAACTAGGAGGAAAAGCAAACAAATAGTTTACAGCAACCTTTGCTTGTGAACAATGACTATATTTATTACTAATAATACAAATCCCTTTTAAGCACAACACTTTATAGCAGAGATCAACACATTTTTTCTGTAAAAGATAAGATAGTAAATATTTTGGTCTTTGTGAACCAAGAGGTAAAATAGAGGATATTAAATAGAAGCTTATACAAGGGAGAATACAAATATCTACAAAATTTTTACTAATGAAATGCAAAATATAATAACAGTAATTTAGCACAATTTTTTGTAATACCAATCTACTAATGAGAAGAAAGAAATTCTTTAAAGGGGGCCTGGAGGAAGTGATATTTTTTATAGTTGGGGTTTAAATGTAATGTTTCCCATTAGCAAACTGGTGCAAATGTTCATCTGCACCATTCTTAGCTCAGGGGCTATACAAAGGCAGATGACAGGCTGGATTTGGCCTATGGGCCATAGTTTGCCAACCCCTGTTTTAGAGTCTTGAGTACTTTCAAAGGAGCAAAGTGTTCTTACATTTACTGTGTCATTTACGTCTCACCATAACTCTATGAGAAGCCTGGCTAGATACCTTATTCCCACCCTATGGATGAAGTTCCTAAAACTTCCACAAATGAAGTGGCTTCCTGAGAGAATACACCAAGTAAATGTTGGAACCAGGACTTGAATTTAGACTTCTTAACTGTTAAGTAGATTCCAATTTAGGGCATATACTAAGTCTCCTCTTCCTCTGATTTACCGAGGTAAATATTAAATTAAACTCTAATGATATTTCAAGTATTGATACCACCCAAAAGATTTTTGGAACCTCATTTTTGGTAATGTTTATCAGAACATTTGTAATGATGGTCCATCTTCATCCTTAGATGTTTAGAAACAGCCCCAAGTCTTCTCATGCCATCTCATAATGTAAACTGCATTTAAGTCACAAACAAGATTTAGCGATAATGAAATGAGATACTTATTCTGGATGGGCCTCAAAAACCAATTCTGAAGACGATGTTTAAGCAGAAACACCCCAAAAATATCTTTAAAGCAAAGACATCTTTATTAGATGAATAAATAGCCTTTCAGTTAATCTTTACAGAATTTTAGAATTTACAGTTTAGGAACTTTGAAAATAAATTTTTCCAATGTCCTTATTTATAGAAGAAGAAGGAAACAAATTTAGAAAAGTTACTTTGAAGAACAACATTCAAATTGTAAAATCTAATGTTTGTTTTAAAACCTCTCTCTCAGTGGTAATAAACAATAATGAATTGCGCTCCAGTACACATCTTGTAAATTACATTGAGTATAGTGACTTTAAGCCAGGAAGGGTAAGATCTGGGAAGTTTGGACTTTTTAGGCCAAGCTACCGGTTCAGATGACTTCTCAAAATCTCTTCCAGTCCAAAACTCCATGATGCTATGTAAAATCAGCTGGAGTCAAAGCCAAGTTTTGTAAATAGTGGTAACTACTTACTGAGTGCTTCCTATATGCCTTGCAGAGTTCTCAGCCCTTAGCTCATAAAATCTTCACAACAATCCTATATGGTAGTTAATGTTATTCCTATCTTATAAATGAGGAAACCTAGGCTTAGAGATGTTCGCCTAAGTTCACATGTATAGTTAGAGGCAGATATTGGATTCCCAATTGATTGGTTAGTTAAGATTCAATCAGAGAAAATTATTAAGAGTGATATATATTTGACATCATACAGTTAGAGGAACGGGCTAGACTATTTACTGCTGTTGCTTTTGCATTTGGTGCTGGGCTTAAAGTCCACAGAGCAGGCTGACAAGAAAGAAAGACAGACATAAAGTAGGGAAGAGCAAAGACAAACTAAATCCATGAGAATAAGCTGGAATCTATGAGGATGAACTGGAACCTGTGTTATCCTCTCACCCCCAAACCTCAACTTCAGTGATATGTGTATAACCTGCAGAAGAACTGGCTTACTTTGCCACAGTGCTCCATATGAAACTGCTCAGGTAGCATTCTCAACTTCCAGTTTACTGAAATCATTACTGTGCTCACTCCTTTGGAAACTAAAACCTCTAGACTAACGGAGCAGGAACAGGAAACAAAAATTCCACTAGTTTATGTCTAGGAGAATAACTATTATTCCCATAGAGAGGATTTGCCATTCCAGGATTCGAGAGGTGCATTTGCCTAAATAGGTAAATCTTATCTCTGGCAGAAAGAGCATTATATATTAGTCAGTAATTAGAGCAAATAAAACATCCTGGAGGATATTACTTTTGTCTTCCAAGTTATTTACATCCAGTTGGCACGGTATCCGAGTCTTCAAAAGGCCATCCCACTGTTCTACCATGCCGACTGCTTTATAGTGATTGGGAACATAGAAAGACCACTAAATTCCATGAGTATGAGCCCCACGTTGCACTTAATTTGCTGTAAACTGAATTGCTTTGTCAGCAGCAATGTGTAGTGATAGCAGCATTCTGTGAGTTCATAGATGGTAGTATTGGCACTACAGGAAGTTAAGGCAAATCTAAATCTAGAGTAAATGTCTGTTCTAGTAACAACAAAGTGCTGGTGCTGTCTGTAACCTGATGGAATTGATCCAATATAATCAGCCTCCAACCAGGTGCCTTCTTAAACCCACCAGGTAGTGGTGCCATACAAGTGTTGTTCTTGCTGTTGGTAGGACAGACCCTTAGCAGTGGCTGAAGCCAAGTCAGCCTTAATGAGTAGAAATCTATGTTGCTGAGCCCATGCATAACTTCTACCCTTTCTTTTATGCCTACTTTCTTCATAGAGCCCCTTGGGCAAGGATGGGGGTAGCTGGAGAGAGAAACTGACTGATGTCCATAAGACAGGTTATCTCATACACCTGATCATTGAGATCCTCCTCTGCTTAGACTGCTCTTTGGTGCAAATTCAAAGAGGTCCATCGACAAATCTTTTCCCCAGACCTCTTTTTCACTAATTTTCTAATAGGGCTTCTTCAAAGTCCCTAACCTTCCAGATATACTCATAGATACAGTCAATGAGTCACTGTACATCCATACTTTTTGCCCTTTCTCCTTTCAAGCAAAATGAGCAACTAGGTGCACTTGTTGAAGTTCTGCCTGCTGGTAGGTTTTTTCCTTACCACAGTCTTTAGGGCCACCCCAGAGTGGGGCTATAGGGATATAGCTATCTACTTTTGGGCATTGACCACACATCATCAAGAGCGATCTATAAACCAGGCTGAAATCGTTTCTTCTTTAGTCAACATCTGTGCCTTTGCATGTGCAATTTACCTTTGCCTTCAATACCTGCTTCAAGCTGATCTCATTTATACCATTTTCCTTTAATAATGGAGCACTTCTATACACATATGACTTTTCTTTTTAAGAGATGGAATCTCATTCTGTTGCCCAGCCCAGGCTGGAGTGCAGTGGTACAATCATAGCTCACTGTAACCTCAAACTCCTGAACTCAAGTGATCCTCCTGCCCCAGCCTCCCAAGTAGTGAATAGCTAGAACTACAGGCATGTGCCACCAAGCCTGGCTAATTTTTTATTTTTAGTTTTTTGTAGAGTCGAGGTCTTGCTGTGTTGCCCAGGCTGATCTCAGACTCTTTGCCTCAAGCAATCCTCCAGCCTCAACCTCCCAAAAAGCTGGGGTTACAGGTGTGAGCCACTGTACCCAGCCGCACACACATGACTTTATGAGAAAAATATGTGTGTCTCCATAACCCATAATCTTAACTATTGTGCTACACTTCTGTCATAACAAACAGGAACTAGCATATTTAACATAGAAGAAAAGGTCAGGTGACCATCATTCTTTTCAACATCACTGTAGACATTTATCGTGTTAGCACTTCTAATTACGAGTATAAAGCGGAATTAAAGGAAGAGCTATGACTTAAGCAGCTTCTGAGAAAATAACAATAGAGGAAGTCTGATTTACACTCTTGGAGATAATGACCTGTGACTAGTAACTAACTACACAGGAGAAAAGATCTCCCAGATTATATATAATTTAAATTCTAAGTATCTTTTAAAGTAAATAAGTGTTTCACAATTTTTTTTCTGTTAATGACACATTCCCATAGTAAAAGAATAAAGGATTTGGTCTCTTCTTGACCTTTTAATTTTCTTCTTAGGCTTTCTAAAATAAAACTTTATACAGATGATGGTAATTGCTCAAAAAACATAACATTTATTCCATCACCAACCTCAAAACATTCTGCATCATATTATGACACTTATAAACTATGGGTATCTGATAAGCTTGGTTGTCCTTTTGGGAGGTTCTAATTTATTTCAGGCAGGTTTGACCCCTGAACTTATATACAGAAAATAAAAGGAGAGAGAAGAAATTCCTTCATGAAGTACAAAAAACGAAACAAAACAAAACAAAACAAAACATGTTGCAGGAAACAGAGTGCAAAGACGACACTGGAAAAAGCACAGCTGTAATGTCCATGTTGCTACTTCACCCATCATGGACCAAAGGAAGGCTCCCTATAAGTGGAAAGGTTGTACACCTATGAATTAAGAGACAGTAGCCTCATCAACATTATATACGTAAGAATAACAAGACGTCATTTTCTTCTAAAAAGTTCTAGCATTGCATTTACAAAGATTAAAATATTAAAAATGGAGTCAGCTATCCCTTGAATTTTCCTTCTAGTCTTCTGGGTGACTTTTACACTCTGGGCTTCATGATGGTGGCTGTGACCTGCAAATCTTGGCTCTATTCCCTAAGCTTCTAGTATCTTGGGATTTCTCTAGGTTTTTTATTTGTATTTTTTTCTTTTTTCCTGTATGATTGTCCTACTCTGGCTACCAGTTGACATAAATGAGAAATGAAGATAAAAATGCAGTCACTGTCAAGGGTATAAAAAAAAGGAAGTGATAACAAGCATAATCCAAGAATTGCAGTTACTGTCAAATGCAAGGAGAATCTAAGAATTGCAGTTAAGCGAGGGCATTAATGCTTAGCTTTGGAATGGATCATCAAATTTAGATAGCCTTCTTGCTGAACTCTAACAAATATTAAAATAAGTCTGAGCCCTGGGGATACCCACCAAGTTATAGTTCTGAGAGGCCAGCCTGCATTTCACATTTTTCTTCAGTTGAGGTACAAAGTGGACAATCCACATAAATTAATGGGAAATCAATTGTATATGTTGAGTGTTGAGAAATGCCAGTGGGATGAGAAAAGGGAAGAAGAGATGAAGCAAGGAGGCACATTTCACATGTAGCCAGGCGTACAGGGCCTCCAATCAGATCCGTCATTCTATCTCCCACACTTTAGATGATGCTTACAATAGTCACGGGTCACAACACGAAATCCTTTATTCCCATGGCAAATAGCATTTGAAAATGAAGCTCCGTGCAATTAAGGTTTGTTGGGAATTTTTTCCCTTTTCACATATGGCAATATTTATCTTCAAAGTCCTTCTCTTGGGCTCACAGTCTCCTTTATAAAGCAGCTGGTCTTGTGTGGCCTAATTGTGAGATGATTTGTTGTGTGATTCAGTAGCATTGTTTATTTGTACAGCGGTTCGGTGGAATTTATAAACTGCATAATATTGTTCTAGACTGTTTTCCTTTTAGTAAGAAGCCACATTTTCTCCAGCATTCATGACTGGGATTATAATTAGGTGGAGCACTCAAGATATTTTCATCCCAACTTCCTCTGTTAATTAATGACATTAAACAAGAAACTCTTGCAATTAAATGAAAAGATGTGAGCAGAACATGGAAAGAGAACTAGAGTGATGAATCAAGTTGAACTCAATCTTTGTTTTGCATATGAGAGCTTGTAACAAATGCTCACATGTAACTAATACAAGCTGTAAGTTATTTCTAATTAGTCCTAGCTGTTCTCAGGAAAACCGAATCAAATCATGGAGTGTTTTAGAAAAGATCTCTTTTGCTATTCTTGGTCTGTCCCCGAGAAACCCTCAGCAAATGGTCCCAGTTACTTGTCACACGTTCTTCAATGATGAAATGTCTCCAGTGCTGCCAGGCCTATAAAAAGTTCTAAAAGCAATTTGACCTTCCCATTTCGTTTCCTTTATTAAAAAGAAGCTGCATGTGGGCATTTTGGTTTTTTTCCGATAGAATATTTCCAAATCAAGTATGAATGGAATTTTCAAAGTACTTAGGAGATTAAAAAACAAAGTGATAATTTCAGGATCTGGGATGAAATCATTAAGATTTGTTGAAGCTCAGAAGAATGGCTTGGGGCAAAACAGGGATGTCACAGGGGAACAGCCAGTTAGCCATTGGTCAAGCAGTTTTCAACATGGCATTGCTTTAGTGAATGAGTCACAAGCCAGGATCTGGCCCTCAGACTTTGCAGCCCAGCAAACGGACCTTATCAATAATCCCAGACATGGTCAGAATCTTGGGGAGCCACTCACACACTAGTCCACAGGAGATTAATATATAAGCCAAAAGACCAATTTACTAATTTATTATGGGTGATATCTCTGTCCAGAGTCTTGAATGTTTGCCCCTCCTAGCTAAGGTATCCCTTTGCACACGCTGATGGAAACGTTCCCATCTTCCCAGCTGGGAAACTGGGTTATTAATCTGAATGTTGTTTGGTTGGCATGGAACTGAAACAAATGGAAGGGAAATGTCTCAAGGATCATGTCATCTAAGTGAAGACATGGTTCAATAAAATTTCCATCATATCACAGAGAACAATCCTCCACATATGTGTCCCCCAAATTCAGCCATCTCAATCCTCTAAGATTGAAGGTAAATTATTAATTCTGTTATTCCTTTCTTCTTGTGCTGCATGTCTTTATTTAAAAGTTTAAGATTATAGTTAACTAACATCTAATTACTATTTCTATAAACCCCAGAAGACACGCTATTTCTGTTATATGCTTATTTAATTTCTTTAGATTTCTAACAGCAACCTTTCTTACCCCTTGTCTAAGTTTCTTGGGAAAGCCTTGCCATCACCCCAATGTATCGTCTTTAAACTTTAGGATTCAACCATTCACTGAAGATATATTCATTTATCTGAAACATATTGAGTATATGCTAAGTGCAGAGCACTGGGGTGGGCATAGTTCAAAGCACAAAAAGAAAAGAGGAGATAAGCCCTGCTGCCAGGAAATCTCAAATTCATTTAGGGAGACGAACTATACACACACACATCCAAAAAAATAATATAGAGCAGTACATCATTTAGTGACAAATACGCAGTAGAGTTCAAAGGAAGGAATAACTAGAATTGTTCAGAGAAGGTTTTTGTTTTGTTTTGAGACCGGATCTCTCTCTGTCACCCAGGCTGGAGTGCATGGAGTGCAGTGGTACAATCATTGCTCATGGCAGGCTTGACTTCCCTGGCTCCAGTGACCCTCCCACCTCACCTCAGCCTCCTGCTTAGCTGGGACTACAGGCGTGCACCACCACACAAGGCTAATTTATTTTTATTTTTATTATTATTATTTTTTTTTTGTAGAGAGAGGGTTTCACCATGTTGCCCAGATGATCTTGAACTCCTGGGCTCAAGTAACCCACCCACCTCGGCCTCCCAAAGTGCTGGGATGACAGGCATGAGCCACTGCTCCCCACTCAGAAAAAAATGTTTAATGGAAAAAGTGGGATTTAGGAGAAAAACTGAATAAATTTCTTCTTAGATTAAGGCAAGATTTCTCAATCTAGGCACTATGGATATTGTGAGTCAGAGAATTCCTTGTCATGAGGGCCTTTCTCATGCATTCTAGGGTATCTAGCAACAGCCCTGGCCTCTACCCACCATGCTAATAGCACCTTTCCCTTAAGTTTCCACAACCAAAAAACCTCCAGAAATTGTCAAATATCCCCTGAGGGGCAAAATCACCTCAGGTGAGAACCGTAAGGTTTAGGTGACTGGTCATGTAAGTGAATTATTCAACTGACCCTTAGAGATGGGTGAACAATGCTCAGGGGAGAGGTTAGGGCTAAAGATTCAGAGTGGTGAGCTGGCAGCACTGGATGTGAATAAATAATTCCAAGGACTGGGCAAGAGGAGGATCTAAGAGAAGAGGTGGGCCTGGGACTGGATATAGCATAACTGTTGTTATAACATTTATTTTTTGCATGAACACTAATGTTTTATAAGTACTTAAAAGGTTCCCATCTTTATCTAAATTGGTGACATTTTAAAATAGATCTGTCTTTGAAAATACTACAAATAAAGAGGAGGGGTGGGAACATACAACTAATTATCTCAGGAGACATCTAAATAATATCTCAGGGCCGGGTGTAGTGGCTCAGGCCTGTAATCTTAGCATTTTGGGAGGCCGAGGCGGGCGGATCACTTGAGGTCAGGAGTTCCAGACCAGCCTGGCCAAAGTGGTGAAACCCTATCTCTACTAAAATACAAAAATTAGCAGGGTGTGGTGGCTCTTGTCTGTAATCCTAGCTACTCGGGAGGCTGAGGCAGCAGAATTGCTTGAACCCGGGAGGCGGAGGTTGCAGTGAGCCGAGATAGCGCCACTGCACGCCAGCCTGAAGGACAGAGCAAGACTCCCTCTAAAAATAATAATAATAATAATAATAATATCTCAGAAGACACATAAATTTGTCCTATAAGAAAAAAAATAGAATTATGAGAATACCACCAACAAAAATTTGCAAGGGGAGCAGAAAGTTTCCTCCTTACTGTATATAATTTTGCTTGAGAACTTGAAATTTAAACTGAGTGCCTGAAATATTATTACAAAGCACATTTCAAAATAGCAGTCGTCATAAGAAATGTCATTCACAGCTATCATCCAATACCTTTCCAGAGTGGTGTTTTTCCCGCCCTTTAGGGCTGCACATGAGCAAAATCTCAATCATCATCAATAGCCATTTGGTTTTCCCAAAATGCTTAATGGAACAAGCCAGCTTGGGAGAAGTAATTGTTATCTGTGGCCAGTCTGTGTCTTTGCTAGTGACCCTGGAGAGGGGACCAAGAAAGAGGGCAGCTGGCCAAGGGGCGCCTGATACCACAGCAGGCCTGTGTGTAGTCCGTGAAGGGAAGTCATCAGCGGGCTCACTGTCTTCCAGATATATTTTGTAATAATTCTAGCAGGAAGTGAGAAGGCCCAGTGAGTCATGCAGAAATACATCCTTAAAAAAAAAAAATCCATTTGACCTTTCCAACTTGTCCAGATGTACACCGTTTTTAAATTTTGCTTGTTTTTAACTCACCATACAAACAGGTACTGTGAGGAAACCTGGTTAGGTGTTGGTCCCAGGAGACTCTTTCGCCTAGAGTGTGGTGCCCAGAAGCATAAAGGGGCACAGAGGAGAACAACGGATTCAGAGAGGAAACTGGGCTGTATCTGAAACCTTTAGCAGCCTTGCGGAATTAGTTTCAATTCTTTGTATTTTGCTCTTTGCCTGGCCTCCAGCGTGTCGGGAGCAGCGGTGCAGAAACAACGCTGATTCAGAAAGTCTGGTTGCCAGACATTCTGTTGGAAACAGAAATCCGAAAGGGATTCTGACCTGTGTTGAGGGGGCAAGCTGGACATGGCTAGGGCCTGTTATCCTTGCATGCAGAGGAAAGAATCAGAATCCCTTGAGTCAAAAAAATCACAGTGCAAAGCAGCCTTAAAAAAGAAAGAAATAAAATAAAAGTGCTCACTTTCCTTGGATTTTCAGAGTTTTGGGTTAGGCTCCAATGGGAAATGCCACAGCGGGGAAAATATTCTCAGACAACTTCTCCCCCCACAACCCCTCCCCAGATAAAACCTTTTCTATGCAGTGATTCTTTCAAGCCACAGAGACATGTTTAGGGTAAATTTTATTTTATCCAAACCCTTTTATCCATTTTTTTTTACCGTTTATTCCTTTTCTTCCCCAACCATTACCATTTGCTTCCTTTAAAAAAAGAAGAAACTGCTCACATGATGGCACACACTTGAATAGCTCCAAGACCTATTCTTAGACTGATATATAAGGAATTTACTCACCACTCCCTTCGGATTAATGGGCATTAACCTTTGGAATACAGTCTTTTTATGTATGTCAGGGTATTTTTAAGAATGGGAAAACCCAGGATACAGATAAACAACAATGGTTCCAAAGGAGAGTTATTTTTAGACCTGACATCCCCAAGTACATAAAGCTACAGACACCAAAATGGTTCTCACTCATGTGCCCCTCCTGTCACTTTTACAAATCACTCTCCACCCACCTGCTTGGTCTGGTATGTTCGTGCATGTGCACAAACATGCACACACATGTGCATATACACCTCAGACCTCTGCATAAAATCCCACTGTCACAATCTCTAGTTTTGATCAAAACCCAAATCATGCTGAAGAGTAAAATTGTAACAGTTTCCCCCAGATAAAAGATCATTCTTGATAAGGCTTTCTCCTAAAACTTTTGTAAAAATTGCTGGGGTGGTTGAAAGTTTTTCTATACACATTTAAATGTTGGATGTTTCTCCAAACCAGTCTTGAACTCTTGAGGGCGTCATGGTAAAATGCTGGCGATGTTCCTGCTGTTACTACCAACAACCAGCCTCTGAAAAAATGGACAGAGACTCCGTTGAAGAGAATGGAAAAAGCTCACTTATGTGATACTGCATATAAAATCTGCAACGGAAAAGAAAGTAATAGCACCTGAAAGTTTAATACATTTATGCTGATCTAGAGCACTCTGTTGAGGTTCACTTGGGACATGCAAAATTACATGTTTATTTCCCAAATGTAAGTCTATCTAAAATACGGAGGAGTACACTTTAGAGGATCTCTTGCTTTCCACTTATGTAGGGTATATTTCATACTCTAAAGAACTAATAGAAGAACTAATAGGGTCTGAGGATAATGTGAACTGTCAGCCATATATAGTGAACGGTTAGCCACATATATATATGGCTATATATATATATATAGCCATATATATATACAGCAACCATTTGGCTGCTGTTTATATATACACATATGTATGTGTATATACATATATATACGTATATACACACACACATATATGTGTATATGTGTATATACATATATACATATACACATATATGTGTGTGTGTATATACATATATATACGTATACACACACACACACACTCATATATATATATATACACACACACACAGCAGCTGAATAGTTCTAACAACCAGAGGGAATCAGTTTCTTTGGATGGTTTTACCAAAATTGTCTAAGCATGTTTATGTTCCAGGAGCAGAAATATCATTGTGTTAACAATTTTAAAGATCTTAGTCAATTGAGTCACTATCTGGGATTTCTTTCCAAATAATCCAGTGGAGGAAAAGGGAAAGTGAAGAATAATGTAAATAAAGCAGTTGTAGATGAATAAAGGATACATGAGGCTTCTGTATTCTTCTTGCTACTTTTGTATATGTTTGAAATTTTCCATGATAATAAACTTTTAAAATTTCCACATAGCCATTCATTTATTTCCAGTATTAACTCTTTGAGTGACTTTCAAAACAGCACATTTTTCCAGTTGAATTCACATGATTAAAGCATACATATAGGTAGCAGTCTAGTTTGGGGGCTTTACGGAGCAGTGTAAGCAATAAGACACCCAGAGACCCAAATCCTGGCTTCGCCACTTCCTAACAGAGATCTCAGGCAAAATTACTTACACTCCCTGAACATGGTGATTTTATATGTAATTTGATGAGGATGATAATAATATCTACTTTATCATAAAGTCATTTTGAAGGGTAAAGAAGTTAATAGAGCTAAAAAGGTCTCGATGCAATTGGTGATTAATAAATATGCGGTGTATTTTCCATCAAAATCATTATTGGAATGTTAAAAGCCAAAATTATTTCAAACTAAAAAAAGAGAAAAACCAGAGTAAGTGCTTATTTAGGTATGAATTTGACCTACATATATCAAGCACCATTTGTGTGCTTTGAACTGTGCCAGGCACAACACAGAATAATATATAATCATTGTTTTAGAGAATCCTATAGCCTTGTGGTGGACAGATAGACAAATTTATATACCAGTGAAGAAGAGCCAAAACAGGGGTATGGATGTGGAACTCCTGGAGTCCTAGAGAGGACACTGTGAGCCCAGCCCAGAAGGGGTCATTGAGTCGTTAATCAGGCACTCAATTAGGGCATCCTACTGACCACTAAGCCCTGCTCCACAGCCTCCCAGGGAATCCATCCAAGCTCCTGGCCAATCCTTTGCCTCCCCTGGCCATATCCTAGGTAACCAACAGACAGCCACGGAAACGGAGCATACACAGTGGAAGGAAACCAGAACAAATAACCTCTGGCATTTCCACTCATTTCAAGACAGTACATCTGAATTGTTAATAAACAGAGAACAGAACTGTTGGAAGGAGCATAGCAGATTGGAGGGTCTAGCTGGAGGGGCTAGGGTGGGGATTTGGGACAGAGGGGGATATAATGGGAACATTTGAAAGGTTGTTTATTGCCAGTACATGGGGTCAGCTGCAGAGCCCCTTGGCCATCAGAAGGCTGTCTCTTGCAGGCTTTGCCTTCAGGCAGGGGACAAAGAAGATGTGAAAACTGAAAAAGAGAAATAGCTGGCAGGGAGGAGAGTGTGCAGAAAAAGGCAATGCTCCAAATAACTTGCCCCTCCTATTTTCTATTGGCACTATAAATACCATTCTAAAATGTTACCGTAACTTAAGGAGTCTCTTTTAGGAAGCATTTGGTAGTGAGTCATCCCACAACTATGTATAAAGCTGAACACCCTGCTGTGACTCTGTGAAACTCCTCAACTGGCTTTTACCGGGTCTGTTTTGGAATCCCATCTCTGTGGCAAGGAAGGACATGTGCAATTTGCAGACAAGGTCACCTTTGCTGCCATGATCTCGACCACTGCACTTACTCCTGTCTTGCCCAGGGGACTTCCAGGAGAGGAGGGGGAGCGTCAGAAACCTGGACAACACAGATCCACTTTTAGGAGAGGAAGGCAGGGGCTAAATTTAATGAATAAAATGTTTTTGGAACACGACACTTTTCAGATGACAGGCTACAGACAAAAGAGAAATAGACCCAGGGTTCAAGGCAATGGACTCGAGACAATTGAATCTTATTCCCAAATATCCTAGATGCACTTTTGCCCGGTGTCTTTCTGCTGCAGAGGCCAAGCCGCCATTTTGGCCACCTGCCTAAGTAAGCTCCACGCACTTCCCTTTCAGGCCTCATCCCCTCCACCCCGTGGCTCTTCAGAAAGTCAGCAAGAACAATCAAGGGCCCGCACTGTGCTGACACAATGCTAGCAAAATTGTCACATTACCTTACACAGAGAGGGCCTTTCCGTTTATATGGAATCCTTACCAAACCCCTTGACATAGGCAGTGCTTATTAGCTTTGGGTTATTGATGTGGTTTAATGATTCTATCTTTTGAATAAAATATATCTGTCAGTATAATAATGTGTGTTTACTATGTGAAGATAGTAAAGCAAAAAATAATACTAACCCAAAGAGATAAGAACTAGTCTCGCATCACACAGAGATAAGAACGGTGAGCCTTTTGGTCCGTTTCTCTGCTGCATTGCATAGCAGCAGGTCAGCGCGTAGGCTCTGGAGCTCATTGCCTGCTTTTGTATTCTTAGCTCCTCCTTTTAAGACCTGTATGACTTTGGCCCATCTACTTCTCTGGTTATCTCACATTACTCACCTGAGAAATGGAGACTGTAATAGACTCTGTCTCATAGGGTTGTTGTAAAGACTACGTGTATTAATAAATGCGAAGCACTTAATAGTGCTGATAATCAGTGCCTGATAAAGTAAGCAGTATGGAAGTGTTTGCTCTTCTCAAGGTTCAGCTATTCTCTGCATGCACTTTTCTATACTGCTTGCCACTTCAAATCGAACTAGATATATTTTTTGTATGATATCAGCAATTCTTCATGAACAATTTTGTAACATTTCTGCTTTCTAATGATAAACTATTAAATATTTGTATAGAAAATCTAGAAAGTATAGAAAAGCACAAAAAAGAAAATGACAGTGTCACCAAATCTTACTGCTCTTAGGTAACAACTGTTACAAATTTACTATGTGTCTCATTATTTTTCTATATAGAGATTTT
Organism: Homo sapiens; assembly: GCF_000001405.40. Classification (NCBI taxonomy): domain Eukaryota; kingdom Metazoa; phylum Chordata; class Mammalia; order Primates; family Hominidae; genus Homo; species Homo sapiens. The sequence goes on along the minus strand of NC_000001.11, from coordinate 218,458,736 downwards.
GGCAAAATTTAACCAACAATTGTGAGCATTTTACATTTTGCTAAATATTCTGCTATAGCATTTTAATAGCTCGATTGAGGCATATAATTTACATACTATAACATTCACTCAATCATAAGAGTATAGTTTGACAAATGTTAACGTATTCATTCTGCTGTGCAACTATCACCAAAACATAGCTTGAAAATACTTCCATCTCTCTAATGCAAAGTGATCTTAACCACTATGTAATATTACCCTGTAGGGTTATACTGTGCTATATATATTACATAAGTAATACATCTAACTAAATCCATATATTTGGGAGTCTGGATTATCTTAATTTTCTGTAACTATAATTAATACTGTAATGAATATCTTTGTGCCTGGAGCTATTGTGATTATTTTGTTAAGATAATTTCCCACAAACAGCATTACTGGATGTGTATAGTTATGTATAACCATCTTTTTCTATTTTTAATTTTTGTGGATACATAATAAGTGTATATATTTATGGGGTACATGAGATGTTTTAATACAGGCATTAAATAAGCACGTTATGGAGATTATGCATTTACACTTTGAGTTATGGACAATCCAATGCACTCTTTAGGTGATTTCAAAATATACAGTTAAGTTATATCTACGCTCTTGTACTATCAAACAGTAGGTCTTATTCATTCTTTTTAACCACTTTTTTTGTACCCATTAACCATCCCCACCTGCCCCTCACCCTCCCACTCTCCTTCTTAGCTTTTGGTAACCATCCTTCTACTCTTTATGTCCATGAGTTGAGTTGTTTTGATTTTTAGATCCCACATATAAGTGAAAACATGCAATATTTGTCTTTCTGTGCCTGACTTATTTCATTTAACATAATGATCTCCAGTTCCATCTACGTTGTTGCAGATGACTGGATCTCATTCTTTTTATGGCTGAATAGTACTCCATTGTGTATATGTACCACATTTTCTTTATCAGTTCATCTGTTGATGGACACTTAGGTTCCTTCCAAATCTTAGCTATTGTAAACAGTGCTGCAATAAACATAGAAGTGCAGATATCTCTTTGATATACTGATTTCCTTTCTTTTGGGTATATACCCAGCAGTGTGATTGCTAGATCATATGTTAGCTCCATTTTTAACTTTTTGAGGAAACTCCAAACTGTTTTCTATAGTGATTGTACTAATTTACATTCCAACCAACATTGTAGAAGGATTCTCTTTTCTCCACATCCTCGCCAGCATTTGTTACTGTCTGTCTTTTGGACATAAGCCATTTTAACTGGGATGATGTATCTCATTGTAGTTTTGATTTGCGTTTCTCTGATGATCAGTGATGTTGAGCACCTTTTCACATGCTTGTTTGCCATTTGCATGTCTTCTTTTGAGAAATGTCTATTCAAATATTTTGCCTATTTTTTTATTGGATTATTAGTTTTTTTTCTATAGAGTGGTTGAGCTCCTTATGTATTCTGGTTACTAATCCCTTGTCAGATGGGTTTACAACAATCTTGATAGTCAAAATTGGTTCTAAAAGAGTTAAGCATGTTTATGAATTAACTTCATTGCAGAAAGATGTTCATTTCACACATCTTCGCCAGTATTGTTAACAATTATTTCTATTTCTTAATAGTGGAAACAAGTTTTAATTCTGTGCTATCTAGTACTGTAGCCACTAGCCACATGTGGCTACTGAGCACATAAAGTGTGGCTTATTCAAATTGAGATGTATGGTTAAGTGTAAGATACACACTAGATACTGAAGACTTTTGATTAAAAAATAATAACATAAAATGTATTAGTAATAAGGTTATACATTAATTACACGTTGGAATTATAATGTTTTGGCTGTACTGTGTTAAAATATATTGTTAAAAATAATTTCACTTCTTTTCACATTTTTAATATAAATTGGTCTTAGTTCGTTTTCCATTGCTATACTTGAATACCACAGACTGAGTAATTTATAGTGAAAAGAAATTTTATTTCTCAGTTCTGGACGCTGAGAAGTCTAAGATCAAGGTGCTAGCACCTGGGTAGGGCTTTCTTGCTGCACTGTAAAATGGCAGAGGGCATCACATGGTGTGAGGGCAAGAGCATGCCAACTCAGGTTTCACTTCCTCTTCTTATAAAGCCACCAGTCCCATCATGGGACACCACTTTGATGACTCTATCTAATCTGACTTAGCTCCCAAAAGCCCCACCTCCAAATGCCATCGATAAGCAAATTTGGGAATTAAGTTTTCAACACATGAAATCTGGAGGACACATTCAAACCATAGCAGGATTCTAGAATATTTAAACTATATATGCAGTTTTCATTCTACTCCTAGTGGAGAGTACTTTCTCTGAGACTAAATGGTGTATCCATAGTATTTATGTATCTGGTGAGCAACAAAACTAAAACCGGACTAATAATGTCTTACAGCTTTGAGTCCAGAACTTTCCTACTATATCACTGGAAGAAAGTTAGAGCACTTTCTTTGTATAAAAGCTACTATTTATTGAGATGCTTTTCTACCACATGCCAGAAACTGTCTTAGCTATTTTATAGACAGAATCTGTAATTCTTAAAGATATGTTCTCTTGGCTGGGCGCGGTGGCTCACGCCTGTAATCCCAGCACTTTGGGAGGCCCAGGCGGGCGGATCACGAGGTCAAGAGATCGACACCATCCTGGCTAACATGGTGAAACCCCGTCTCTACTAAAAATACAAAAAGATTAGCCAAGCATGGTGGCATGCACCTGTAGTCCCAGCTACGTGAGAGGCTGAGGCAGGAGAATTGCTTGAACCCAGGAGGCAGAGGTTGCAGTGAGCCGAGATCGCGCCACTGCACTCCAGCCTGGGCAACAGAGCAAGACTCCGTCTCAAAAAAAAAAAAAAAAAATTCTCTTTTCCTTATTTTACAGCTGAAGAAAAAAGAAGTTCAATGTTGCCTTTCTACATAAAGAAACTATCTCACAGCCCTCAAATTGCTGATTTCTATGATTGTGTTACTCACTGACTATGATCCCAAGGGGGAAAAAAATTAGATTATGAAGACGGGAAATACAGATAAAATACAAAAACAACATACAAATATGTAAAAATGAAGCAAAACTCTATTAGTAAAGAACACACTAGGTTGGGCACGGTGGCTCATGCCTGTAATCCCAGCACTTTGGGAGGCTGAGGCGGGCAGATCACAAGGTCAGGAGATTGAGACCATCCTGGCTAACACAGTGAAACCCTGTCTCTACTGAAAATACTACAAAAAAATTAGCTGGGCATGGTGGCGGGCACCTGTAGTCCCAGCTACTCAGGAGGCTGAGGCAGGAGAATGGCGTGAACCCAGGAGGCAGAGCTTGCAGTGAGCCGAGATCATGCCACTGCACTCCAGCCTGGGCAACAAAGCGAGACTCTGTCTCAAAACAAACAAACAAACAAAAAACACCACTAATTTAGAAATTGTAATTATACATATGGAGACTGAGCTTGGCACGGTCTTCATTTTCATTAATGTTAATTTTTCCTTTTATTGGTATTACCCATTCCTTCCTATCTCCAGAAAAATATGAGTTGCAGCAAAAGAGAGGTAACAGAATGGGGGTTAAGTAATAGAAAGCAGAGAACGAAAAAGGAGAAAATTCTACCTGACAACCTAGGCTAGGCTAAGGAAATGCCTGTGGTAAGCTATAAAATTTAGCTCTGAGCTCACTGGCAGCCAAGATAAAAACAGATAATCTATGCATTTTATTCTTATAATCTCATTTAAGAAAGTTTCCTGTGACATCAGGAAAGATTTATATTTTATTAACAGTTGACTATAAGAGAAATTATTATGTGGTATTTTATGTGTGGAACCATAAGGAACATAATAGAGATCATATTTTAAATTTTTACCCAAAACAGAGATGTTTCTCTGGCAACCATTTCTCATCTTCTCTCAATGCTGTCCAAGTGCATAATGATTTGCTTTTAAAATTGAATAATATTTGTAAAAACAAACTTAAGTCACCCCCACATACAATAGATCATCCTTGATTTAGTAATCTATTGTTGCTTTATCATAAGTCTATGTGGGTTTTTGGATTTATATATTAAATTTCTGTGGATAGTCTATGTGGTTTAATGTAGTATTTTATTTTGCTGCTATATATAATCATGATGTATGCTGTTTCTTTTTTGTTTGTTTTTCGAGATGGAGTCTCGCTCTGTCGCCCAGGCTGGAGTGCAGTGGCGTGATCTCGGCTCACTGCAAGCTCCGCCTCCTGGGTTCATGCCATTCTCCTGCCTCAGCCTTCCTAGTAGCTGGGACTACAGGCACCCGCCACCACGTCTGGCTAATTTTTTGTATTTTTAGTAGAGATGGGGGTTTCACCGTGTTAGCCAGGATGGTCTCGATCTCCTGACTTCATGATCTGCCCGCCTCGGCCTCCCAAAGTGCTGGGATTACAGGCGTGAGACACCGCGCCTGGCCTGTTTTTTTTTGTTTTTGTTTTTTTTGAGATGGAGTCTTGCCAGGCTGAAGTGCAGTGGCATGATCTCAGCTCACTGCAACCTCCCAGGTTCAAGTGATTCTCCTGCCTCAGCCTCTGAAGTAGCTGGGACTACAGGTGTGTGCCACCCTGCCCAGCTAATTTTTGTATTTTTAGTAGAGATGGGATTTCGCCATGCTGGCCAGGCTGGTCTGCAACTCCTGACCTCAAGTGATCCACCTGCCTCGGCCTCACAAAGTGCTAGGATTACAGGCGTGAGCCACTGTGCCTGGCCCAACAATGTGTACTGTTTCTCGGTAGAGAGAGTGTATAAATTCATTCTGCTTAAGGAGAGAACATGAATTTTTAAAATAGTGCCAAGACAGTATGTTGACTGTGGTATCAGAAATAATTTTTTTTAACAAAGCTTGAAAAGATTGCACTGAACTTATTAAACATATGTGATAATAATTTAAAACTCTTCAAAAGCTGTTTACATACCAAAAGCTGACAATTAAAAATAGTTCTTCTGCGTCTTATCTACATCATTTGTGTGATTTCCCAAAGCTTCTATTATATAACACTTTGTTCTAGAGTCACTGCACACTGAATACTTGAAAACATTGACATTGCATTCTTAAATGATAGCTTGCATTTAGACTTCCTATTAATTCAAATGGTTCAATGAATACATCCTATAATTATACTTGCATAGATACTCAGGGGATAAAAATAGGTCAGTGATCAGAGAATCAGGCCCCTAGAACTATGGAAATTTCCACAACCATCCATGGAATAGGCTTCCTTTTTGAACTCCTGGTTGATTTTTCCAAAGATCATAGAAACCTTGAAATAGCATTTTGTTTGTGTGAGAGACTTAGGTAAAAGTTAATGGTATTTGTAATTAGAAAATGATGTCACAGCACCTTCTCCAGAAGGGATTTTGGTTCACTACATAATTTGTGCACGTTGTACATCGGATGATTAGTAGATTGTCATGGAGGTGGGGGCAGACAGATTCTTTCCATGCACCTCTGTTGCACTTTATAGTGTAAGGGCTGCTTTCAGGCTTTGATGTCACTGGATGTGACTTGAGGTTTTGAACTATATTTGTCAGAAATGGTTCCTGAGTTTTGCAAGTTCCAGCTCAGGTGGTCCATGTTCAAGTGTTGTACCACGAAGATCAACCACATTTAGCCACACTGCACAGCATCCAACACACCACCATGTCCCACCTAGACTTGTGGAGGTTTTAGGCAGAAGACATAGTAAGACAGTACAAGACAAGAGAAGTTGAGGAAGAAACTTCTGTTTGAAGGCTTCATGCACAACTCCAATTGGTTCCCTTTATTGGTAAAGTTTTCCTTTGTTGTTTTCTTTCTGGTCTCTTGAGGGCTTGACCAATAACTCATGGAATGTGTCAGCTCTAATTGCCGGTCTGGATTGGCACAAGTCATGCCTCAAAATTGGAATGTTGTCACATATAACATAGTCCTGCAGGGGGATAAATGTGGCCTGGAAAATGTTTTATCCAAACATTCCTTAAAAACAACTGTGTTCTGCCATGGCAAGAGACAGACAACCTTTAAGAACCAGCTGAGTGAACTCCCAGGATGCCAAAGTTTCAACAGGTGTCAGGACACCACTGTCTTCCCCTTCCCTTAAAAATGCAGATGCCTTCCTTCCTCCAAGGACATCAGACAATGGCCAATTCCCCTCTGGGGTGCTCTGGCACAGTTGTAGCCAGGGCAGCTTTCCAAAAGAAGTGGGTAATTGGTGAGTTGTGAGTATAGAAGAGGGATCTATGAACCTGGGCTGGCTTTGGTGAGTGCCTCCTAATTGATGAGCAACTTACACAAGTGTTGCCTGATGGCCAGGTAATAGCTGTCAAGCAAGCATCATTGGAATGGGTTTGAAGAAAGCATAGAAGCTATCTGTAGGGGGAGATTTGCCACTAAGAAAGATGTCATGAGGTAAGCATATAACATGATTAGGGAGAAGAAGAATGGACACGGACATCTGTGGAGCACCTATTGTGTGCTAGGCACTATGAGTTGACATTTTCACACATTTTATCGCACGACTCCAGAGGTCAAGTACTTACATTCTCATTGCAACGTCTGTTTTCTTCAGAAATAAACTGTGGCAATCTGGTCCCTGGCAACCAATTAAGTAGTAAATACTGGGCTACGCAGACAAATCAGTTCTTTGCTTATTCATTCTCCTTTCCTCTGCACCAGGCAGACAGGTGCTGGGGAGGAAAACAGATGCTTGAACCAAACACTACAACATAGTAGGGAAAACATTCATTTCAAATGTAGTAAGCTCAGATAATGTTCCTCTTACCTCAGAAACATTCCTCATTAAAGGTGCATATGCAGATACCAAAACAGTTGTTGAACATGTAAAAATAATAATTATTATTTTGGCTACCTAAAACTAATCAACTCATTAATTTAATTTTTGGAAAAGAAAATTGCAGAATTGAATTGCTCTTTTTAACTGAAGAGACTGAGTTGGCTGGGGACTACTAGCAAAGCCAAAACCATTAGTTGGGGAAGTAAAATCAAAAGCTGCCACCAGGGAAGGGCTCTCTACAAGAGAAACATTCAAAAAAGTTCCCATAGAAAGCTTCAAGCCCACAGGAAATGTCTAGTTGAGATGATGGATCACAGACTGCCCCAATCGCCAGACTTCCATGGCAACCTTTTGCAGGCACCATCATGTGAAGGAACAATTCTCCTTTTTGTCCTAGGATACGTCTTTTTTGGGAAATGACAAACCGTGATCTTCTAAACATTTCATGTTTGATATTTGACATTTTCCCAAGGCCTCCAACCCTGACCTTGCCATGCAATAGAATGGGGAGAAAGATGCTTCTTTTTTTAGAGATGGGCAACATTGCTTTTAGAGATCTGGGCAGATATACAACCATCTCTTAACAGAGCATGGAGTTGATATGATTGAGATTCCTGGAGAAGTGAGTATGAGTCTGTTACCAGACCACATCATAGATCCTCATCTTCTGATAGTAGTTCAAATATTTGCAGTTATCATGAAAATATCTTTCATTGAAATGGCCTCATTTTTGCGAAGATTTCCTCATACATTTATATCCCACTTGGTTAGTAATTGACAAATGCTAGCATTGTACTGCATCAGATTTACCTGGAATATATTTCTCCTTTACTATAAAATTCCCTTTCTATTCCCCCAAATGGTCTGACCCAGTAGGTTTGGGATAGACCTGAAAATCTGTAATTTTAGAAGCTGTCAAGGTGACTGTTGTGTGCCCTGGTTTGGGATCAGTGAGTACAGGGGGAAGTGCCCATCCATACAGAAATGTGCGAGGTTTGCTCTGAAAGTCTACAACTCTAGACTTTTTCAAAGTGTCTTACAAAGAAGACCGGGTTACAGAGATTGATCTAATTGACTCAAATTTTTCCCCATTACTGGCAGAAATATCTGGCCTTTAGCAGGTTGGTAAAGCCCATTTTTCATTCAGTTTATTATTCCTTGAATTTCCCCAGAAATAACTATTAATAGTCACTCTCTTCTGCAGTTCAGAGTTAAATTGTTATAGGTCAAATTGTGTCCTCTCTAGAAAGGATAGATTGGAGTCCTGACCCCTAGTACCTCAGAATATGACCTTATTTGGAAATAGGGTCTTTATGGAGGAGACTAAATTAAAATGCAGTTATTAGGGTGGGCCCTAATCCAATATGACTGACGTCTTTATAAAAGGGAAATTTGGACACAAGATCAGACACATATCGAGGGAAGACAGTGTGAAGAAATTCAGGGAAAAGATGGCCATCTACAAACCAAGAAAAGAGGCCCTGAAACAGATCTTCCCTCACAGCCCTCAGATGACACCACCCATGTCAACACCTTAATTTTAGACTTCTAGCCTCCAGAACCGACACAATGAAATCCTGTTGTTTAAACCACCCAGTTTGTGGTACTTAGTTCCAGCAGTTCCAGCAAACTAATACCTAAACATTGTGGCCCAGCCTCCATATTTCTTCCTAACAAACTTAACTTTTCTTGTGTAACCATTTTCTCTTTATGTAGGCAGTCTTGCTGGGAGAGTAACTACTCCCTGTTTCTCTTCCTACCACAGAAGCCAAGGAACTCAGATTCTTTCCCTAAAATCCCATGTTCTAGCAAAGGAACTGGCTCATGACCTAAGTTCAGCCAACTGATTTCTTTCTTCTGGAACTTTCCATCTTGAATGAGGGAAGCACTGAGTAAGGAAGTATTAGGAGGCCATGCTCATAGCCTCCACAGAGTGGTGGTGTCTGTCTCAGCAGTGACTCCCCTGACGCTATGGTCTGAATGCTTGTCCCCGAAAAATTCTTACGTTGAGATTCTAAACCCCAAGGTAATGGTGGTAGAAGGTGGGGCCTTTGGGAAGTAATTAGTTCATGGAGGCAGAGCCTTTATGGATGTAATTAATGCCCTTATAAAAGTGGCCTGAGATGCGCCCCTTGGCCCTGCTACCATGTGAGGATGCAGTGAAAAGATAACCATCCATGAACCAAAAAGCAGGGTCTTATCAGACACTGAATCTGCTGGTTCCTTGATCTTAGACTTCATAGTCTTCAAAACTGTGAGGAATAAGTTTCCATTGTTTATAAGCCACCCAGTCTAGATGACAGCAGCCTGAATGTACCAAGACACCCTCTATTCCTGCAACAGTCAATTGGGTTTCCTCTTTTCTGCCTCTAGTCCCTCCAGGGCTTCCTTGATCTCTGCTAATCCCCAGGTCTGTTTTCCCTGTGTCCTATTCTCTGTGAACCTCATGTGAAATAATCAATAGTCAGCCTTTTTTTTTTTCAGTTTTGGCCCACCAAAAAAACAAAAACAAAAACAAAAACCCAGTTCATGTGGTTCAACCTAATGATTTAGCCAGTCATTTTTTCTTGTTACTAGTAACCTCAATATTTTCAATGCACCTCACACATATGTTACAACCTAATAGTATAATTCACATGTATCTGTCTTCCCAACACCACTGTATTCTCAATACCTGTAAAGTCATTTGTAATTTTTGTTTCTGATTCTTTGGTTGCCCTGATGTGTTTTTCTGTGATTGTACCAATGAACAGGAAGCAAGCGTCTATTCATTAATTCAACAAATAATTACTGAACATATTCTATATGTCAGACTTTGTTTAGATTTTAGGTTCTAGGTTTGCCAAGTAAACAAAACAGGACTTTACAGGTCATCCAATCCAATGCTTTTGTCTTATTGACAAAGAAAGCTCTGAGAAAGTTAGGTGATTTTACTGACTTCCATAGTATCAGTGGCAGAACTGGAGCTATAGTCCCATCTATGCCCTTTTTCAATTTAGCAAACATTTTTCAAATTGCCATAAGCTCAGTTGCGTACTAGAGGCTGGAAACAGGATAAATAAGGAGTTGTATTAGTTTGTTCTCACACTGCTATGAAGGAATACCCGCGACTGGGTAATTTATAAAGGAAAGAGTTTTAATTGACACAGTTCCATATGGCTGGGGAGGCCTCAGAAAATGTGCAATCATGGTGGAAGGCACCTCTTCACAGGGCGGCAGGAGAGAGAATGAGTGCCAGCAGGGGAAATGCCAGATGCTTATAAACCATTGGATCTTGTGAGAACTCTAACTATCACGAGAACAGCATGGGGGAAATAGCCCCCATGATTCAATTACCTCCCATCATGTCCCTCCCACAACACATGGGGATTATGGGATTACAATTCGAGATGAGATTTGGGTGGGAACACAGGGCCAAATCATATCAGGAATGGCCTCATGTAAGAAGCACAGGACTGGGAACACTCACTGATTTTAGGGAGGACCCTGGGAATGGGGTCTGACAATCCCAAAAACCCAGCACAACAGGGTGGATACTGAGAACAAGGAGAGATGTTTTCCCATCACATCATTTCTACAACTAGCACTTTGGCTTTTAAAGACTCCTGTTGAAAGACAATGGCACAGTGAGACTCCTCAACTGAATCTTTTGCTTGAAGTTAAGCTCAGTTGACCAATTTGTTTTGTTTTTCTCTCTACACTTGCTGTAATGGTATATACAGGACATCAAACTCGACTAAATGTGTGGCACACATAATGTCAGTGCTCAGGGTTCCCAACTCCCTTTCTGGCTCAACTCCATTTGTCCCTCCTGCCTTTCTACTTCTATCTTGCCCTGAGGTATTCAATGGTGGTCTCACTTTTCCAGGTCCTGGATAGAGATTAAATAAATCAAAATCCATTCTAGCACGTTTCGGTTGAAATTGTTTCCTGTGCTGCCCCATTGATGATTTTCATATTTAAAACTATATATATATATATATATATATATATATATATATATATATATGAATGTATGTATATGCTTGTGGAAAAAATCCTACAAGAATAATTCCTCATGGATAACTCTCAGAGCTTGTAACAAAGGGGTAATATTAAGGGGGTTGCTGGACTTCCTTGGGGCTCCTTGGTGCCTCTCCCACCAGTTTCTGCCTAAATTTCACCTTTCAGAAATTTGAATGGAGTCAGTGATTTCTTGGAGGGCCAGGTTATGGGCAAGGGGAAGATGTGCACACGTGGTGATGTGAAATTTGATACTTTACTAAATGAACAACTGCCACTTGATTTAACATTCTCCCAGTTTTCGGTAGAGTTTAATTTTGGTTCAAATGAAGAAATTAGTGTTACGCCCATGCTTGAGGACAAGCCAAACTGCATGACTTCACATCGCTTTTAGAGCAGTATTGAATTACATAACTTCTTAGCTTGTTTGCTCCCAACAGCCTGAGATTCGGGATTTTCAGAATTGAGATTTGGGCCTGAGGAGAGGGTTTCCAACTCCAGGGCTGGCCAGACCTCGGTGATGTCACCTGAGGAACACATGTGTGTTCTTTCAGTTGGGTTGGCATCTATAGGAGAGAAAATCCCATGTTGGAGGGAAAGCCTAAGAGATTATATTGGGCCTCTTACCACTAATTTTTTGCTTTTCTGTTTAATTATGTCTGTTCTCTTAGGCTGAATGATTTTCCTAGTTCTGATCACACAGCACAAAGTCTCTCTCAGTACATTCTGTTCCCTTTACAAGGTCTCTGCCCAATTACAGGAACACACTCATCTCTTCTCCAAATGACCATTACGTGCTGAAATAAAGAAACTAGCTACAAAGTATTTCAGGGAAATAAAGACTCAATCAGGGAAAAACCTGAAGCAACTCTTTCATTTAAAAAAGGCAATTAAAAAGCATTACCTTTGCAACGTTGAGTAAAATTATTCATATATATTGATACAATTACCTCATATTTACATTAATTATTTCTCGAATCTCATCAGATCTAGTTATTATGCTCCAAAAGAGGCACAAAAATAACATTTCCTCTACTATCTCTGACCTGACCTGGAATGTTAGTAAAATCAGGGTCCTGGTTTTCTTTGTTCAGTACAGAGGATGCGGTTGCAGAGACAAGGGAAGGACTAGAGAATAGAGTGATGATTTAGTAGATTAGCAAAAAGAGATGCAATCTAGTTTTTGCTAGAATTACAAGGTAATAGACTTTGATAGAAACAAAGGCATGTATTAGCTAACGTTCAGAGACAGGTTTGCCATGATGCGCTTGAAGTCCTGGTCTTTCGCTTTTACGGGCCCTAAGACTTTCAATCTAATTTTGTATTTGAAATTTTGCTTCTTTTTTTTTTTAAAAAAGCAGTCCTCCTCCCACACACGTTATATGTGTTTCAGGAAGACAAAGCATAGGTCCAACCATAGTCTAAGGCTTATTAGCAAAAGGAGCACAGCTCAGCTTATTCCCAGATAGAAAAGTAATGCCATCTCAAGGCTAGTGACTGCAAGGAACAGTGAGTTTTTGGCTTCTTCTTTTTATTCTCCCCTAAAAATGGTAGAAAATGTTGTCACAGGTACATTAATGAAGATTTCTAAGGGCAGAAATCATTTCATACAATAGCCCAACTTGCTTAGGGGTAGGTTGTGCTGTTCCACTTAGTGGTGCTTTGCTTGTACGTAACCATCAGTTTCATCAAGGGCTTTGCCAGTGGGGCTTAGGTAATATTTGTATTTTCATTACCACATTTTTCAGTCAGCATCACCTTTTATGTTGAACTCTACAGAATGTGAATATTCAACAAATTCTGACCTACAAAAACTGCACTTTCATAAGATATGACCTAATATTGTTCAATCATATGTAAATTACAAAAACAAAGGCTGGTAATATTATAGCTTATGGGAATCATGTAACCATGGTTTGTAAACAGAGCTGCTTTCAAATTATTTGCCAGAGCTGTCTACTAGAAACACAAGAACACAAGACACAAATGTGAGCCACATAAGTAATTTTAAATTTTCTGGTAACTGTATTAAATAAGTGAAAAAAAACAGGTAAAATTAATAATATACTTTATTTAATCCCATATATTCAAAATAGTATTATTTAGACATGTAATCAATATAAAAATCATTAATAAGACATTTTACATTTTACACTCTTTTTTTGTACTAAGTCTTCAAAATCTGGTGTATATTTTACACATCTGGCATATCTCAATTCACATTAGCCATGTTTTGATTGCTCAATGGCCACATGTGGCTAGTGGCTAATATAATGGACAATGAAGTCCTGGACCCTTCACTTACAAGCTGAGTGGTCTTGGACAAGTAATTTAAGCATTCTGAGTCTGCTCACTTCCCTTTAAAATGGAGTTATATTCTTTTAAAAACCTACATCCTAGGATTAAATATGAGATTAAATAAATCAAAAGAGAACAGTGTCTGGTAGATGCTCAGAATACTGTAGTTATCAATACTGCATTATCATGTTAGGGAGTGGGTCATTCAACTAGCCACTGTTCTCTTTTACTTTGAATTTTCATTGGTGGACTTCAGTAAAGCTTAAAATGAACTTTTTCCCTATAATAACTTCTGTCAGTCCCGTAACCAAAAGGTTAACATATAGAGTTATAGAATATTCTCAGGAATTACTGATGTCCTGATCAATTTATGAGATAAGGGTCTGGAGGTTTTATACATTTAGTATCAAGATGGAGAAATATGAGCCCAGGTTATAGTCTGGAGGTTAAAAGTTCATTACAAGATTGCCAAGAAACCAAAAACAGAACAGGCTTGGAAATATTGTTAAGCCTGCCTGCCATTTACTCTGCCAATTACAGAAGAAACACTAAGCAAAGTACCTTTTCACGTGTCTATTCACTTAACTACAACAAGGGCACTAAAACACACAGACAAAACGCTATAGAGCAGGGATTGTCATCTTCATTTTAAAGAAACAGAGGCCCAGAGTTGCTGACAAATTTGCCAAAGTTGGTAAGGCTGTTAGGTGGCTCTTTTCATCTCTCTGATTCTATAATACCTTCTATTCTTACTCATCAATTAAATATAATGTGGGTTGGGGTGATAGCTCTGGGACTAGCCAGGCTGCACAGAAGCATGAACTAATGGGTTTAGAGTGACAAACTTCCTCTCTCTATGAGTTTACTATGAAAGATCAAACACAGATGAGACTGCAGAAAAGGGAACCATTTTCTCTTCTATCTCAATACTCGAATTGATGGTTTGTTTCTAGATGGTGTTTAGACAACACAACAGGCACACACTAGTTCTTTCACTAGACAAAGCAAGACAACCAGATTGAGTCACAATTACTTTTTTTATTAATCCTATTTATTAAGAGATTGGCAACTCGTTTGAGGAGTCTGGTCTTGTAGGTAGCAGCCAAAAAAATTGGAGGAAATAGGGTGGGTTTTTTTGTTTGTGGTGCAGTGGTACCAGTGAAACTGACAGGCAAGTAGCTGATCCCAAACAACCAACCCCAGAAAGCACGTGGCTCTTGTTATATCTGGCTGGCTCAGCAACTATCCAAGTTATGGGGCTACAGGGGATACTGTCTAGACCAGTTCTTTTGGCCCTGGCGTTGGCAGAACATAGAACCAGAAAGCCAAAGCATGGTGCAAACATCTCTCTGCATTTTTTCTGGTCGGCAGTCAAGCTGGATGGAAACTAAATCTCAAACAATTACCAAATAGCAATAAATAAGGGAATAAAAAGACGGCACAGGGATTTCTTCTATCCTTGATGGATATGGCCTGACTCTTGTGCTTTAAAGCATGACTTCTGAAGTGACTGTCCTTAAGGGAGAAAGCACAGAGGGCAATCGGAAAGGTGGTATGACTTTTCCAGCTTGAGATAGTCTTATTGCATCACAGGTGTTTTCTAGACTCGATGATGGTACTGATAGGAAAAAGACATCCACATATCATCGAAATAATTTATTTACCACTAGAGCACCACAAAAACAGACATACATCGTGTTAAAATACAGCGTAATTGGTCATCAAAATACAAAACAGCTAATCTTATATTCCATTTTTTAACCATGCCAACGATCAAATTGTACTGCTGATTAACACAAAAATAATTGCTGCCCACTTGCATACTAGCACTTCACCCCTTCCTTGCCACCTCCACCCCCCTCCCATGGCAATATTTACTTATGGGAAATAAAGACCTTACAGAACCCCCAAATTAAAAAAAAAAAAAACAGATTCAAGAGATCTTAAAATAGAGCATTTAAAATATTATCAGTGCATTCATGAGGAAAGACAAAATAATACAAAACAAAATGTCATCCTATCTGAGAGGAAAATGTCTGCAGAAATAAAAGTGATTTACACATAATAGAAAAGTGGAAGACAAAAAAATAATCAACACACACTCAAATCTGGGATTGGGTTACATCCAACACAAGGGCTGTTTACTATTATGGCATCCCATCTCTTGCTTTTCCAGTTTTCAAACTTGCAAATCCAATTCTTTAATTAATGGTCAGGAAATTCCAAAAAAGAAGTAGACCATATCAAACAACTTCACTTTGGATTCCCGCCTCCTTATGCTGCTCTTTAGGTGAAACTGCAAATATTCCATTGCTTTGCCTATTAATTTTTATTTTAAAGCTAAATAAGCGACAAGTGATAAACTGACATATTCTATTAACCCCAGCATGAGGATACCTCTTCTGCAATGATGTGGCAAATTATTTATTAAAGCAAGGTAAACTTTAGCCTCAGATATAGATAACTCTCACTCAGAGGAAAGAAAGAATTTTTTGATCATAGGAAAAATTGGCTTGTGCCTTTTCCCCTTCAAAGAACATTTATAAAAACCTTATAACTTCAGTGAAATACACAAAATGACTTATGCTGACCTGGACTTTTTTCCCCTTTTGAAAAATCGACTAAAATATATATCTTTCAATTTCCCCCTGAATATTAAAAACCTGACTAAAGAAAAAGATGTTTCCTATGAAGTGTCCTCTTTGTAATAACAATAGGATTTTACAAAAATATTGATTAAACCAAGGTAGAGAAACTTTTCTTAACTCAATAAAGATTCTGAGTTTTAGTTAGAACCCTAAATCCTTGCTAAAATGAAAACATTTTACTTCAATTTTCTATGTATCTATAACATTCCTCCTTTTCCTAACATAAAAATTTGTTAACGTCTGACTTGGTTAGTAATGATGCTTGGAAGATGAAGACCACTGAACTCGAACCCATCTTTTCTGTGAAACAAAAAAAAGAAAAGACAAGTGGACCCAGGTAGCTTATGTCATAATAATGAAAGAAACACAAAGCACAAGTAGGGCAAATGTTATTAAAAAAAAAATGCATTTGTAGTGCAAGTCAAACTATAGGGGCTTTACTCAAAAGTACTGGCCAGCTAAAAGAAACATACATTTGTGAGTGATCATTAAAAAGAGCCCAAATTTAAGTCAATCTAAATCATAGTTGACATTATTACAGAATATAAAAAATATGGTAAAAATTTACACATTACACATAAAGTAGTTAATGTTTTGATTTAATAGTTTGCAAAAGAGATCTGCAGATGTGTTTTCAATTATGCTGGCTTCTATATCCATCTATTTTAATAATATAGGTATGGTTACATATACCAAAACAAAGGAAAAAACCTATAGCATAGCTATACAGCAATATTTTAAGGTCTGAAGTTTGACCAGTACATGTCAAAACATTTCAACATTTCACTGGTTTACTAAACTGACAAAGAACCATTTACAATTAAAAAGAAAAAAAAAAACTTACAGACTTATTCTGACTGAAAGTTTCTTTTATTAACAGTCTTTTTAGTTTTTGGACCTTACAAGAAGCTTCCTTAGGCAGCTGATACATAACATGTGTTTTCAGGGTCTTTATCTTAATGCAGACTTTCTCGGTCATATAATAACTCACTTGGGTTTTCATCCCATTAATATGACCTCTTTTTTTCTGGCTCGTTTGAGTTCAAGTTCCTTAAGCCATCCATGAGTTTCTGGCAAAGTATTTGGTCTCCACTTTATACACCTGTTTTATTTTCCAAGGGCAATGAAACGTTCATTATATAGTAACACACAATAAATAACTCACTGTTAACTCTAAGAGTAAGAATGGGAAGGGTGCCTATTGCATAGCAATACAGAAAAATCAAGTGAGGCGCGGGATAGGAACGGTACGTACAGCAACTCCACTTAATGGGATTTTCCTGTTTGTTGTTGTTGTTGTTGTTGTCGTTGTTCACATAATTAACACTAATAAATTCTTCCAGTGTTTATTTTTTTCTTTAAAAAAAATTTGCTTCTTGTCTCTCTCACTTACAAAGTAGGTGAAATGTAGAATAAGGCCTTCAACTTTTTTTGTGTCAGATGCCAGTTTTAACAAACAGAACACAAACTTCCAAAGTGTCTGAACTAGTACCGCCTTTTCAAAAATTTTTTAACACTGATGAACCAAGGCTCTCTTATGTTTTCTTGTTACAAGCATCATCGTTGTCGTCGTCATCATCATTATCATCATCATTGTCATTTTGGTCTTGCCACTTTTCCAAGAATTTTAGCTGCATTTGCAAGACTTTACAATCATATTAGAAAGCTGTTCAATCTTGGGTGTTTTGCCAATGTAGTAGAGAATGGTTAGAGGTTCTAAATCTTGGGACACGCAGCAAGGAGAAGCAGATGCTTCTGGATTTATGGTATTATATAAGCTCAGGACCTGAAAGGACACAGGAGAGGAGAGACAACATAGGGAAAGACGGAAAATGAACGCAATTCGTTTTTAAAAAGAATTCCACATTGTTAGCAGTCACAGCACTGAGTAGGCAATTTAAAATTATTTTTGGTTGCTAATTTCCTAAATTACAGTCAAACTGATATGTGACCTTAGCAATCACCAAAGTCATTATTTTCCCACACGGAACTCGTTTTCCACACATCTTAAGCAAATGATTCTGTAAGAGTCAGATTGGAAAAAATTGCTCATTCAACAGATTTTCCCGGTTTTTCCAGTAAGTCTTTCCTCTGATCAGTGCTTGGCTGCACATACATCCTAGGTCCCCACAAAACTTGATCCTTATAGCATTTGGTCTTATTTCTACACTACTCTGTAAATGAAGTTGTTTCTTGAGTATACATTTCAATCCCATCTAGATTAAGAGCTCCCTCCAGATCAGGAACTCTACAGACTTTGCTTTTATCTTGTGGCCCTAGTAAGTCTTCTCTGGACAAAATGAGATTCATGTACTAAGTGAAGAAATGAATACATGAATAAGTAGAAGAATAAAAAGTTTTATCAAAGCTCTCATAAGAGCTTTAATCTACCTTTGGGTATAGAAAAAGACACCTGTATGCAATGTGAAATCTTTCTACAGGCTGGGCACGGTGGCTCACGCCTGTAATCCCAACACTTTGAAGGATCACTTGAGTGTAGGAGTTCAGGACCAGCTTGGACAACAGACCCAGACCCTGTTTCTTTAAATAAATAAATAAGGAAGGAAGGAAATGAAATCTTTCTACGTTAAGTGTCTCCTCAGGCCAATTTAAGGTATCCTCAATTTTCATTAAAAAAAAAAAAGCCTGTTTTTTTACCATTGCTTCATAAACACAGTGATGCTAGAAATGACATAAAAGTGATCTCTAAGATCTCCTATAAGAAATAATTATTCACTTTCTTACATTTTGCTTAAAACGATCATAATCATAATCACAATCATAATCAACCCTCCACTAACCTATGCGGTAAATGGTAGTTGCTGAGTTGGAGGAGTTAATGGCAAGTCTGAAAACAGAATGAAGAGACGGTTCTATAATTAGCCTTACACCTTCAACCCCATTCTGTATCAGAGGGGTGTGAGACTTTTACTAATGGAAGTATGTAGGTTCCCCACTGATGATACAGAGACATTTCCAAGGATGCCATTAATGTGTTAGTCAAACAGCAAGTGACCTTTTCCTCGAGATTCACTGCAATTTTTTCAGCCTAAGACAGAAGATCTGTTCAGCACAGCAACACTGACTACTTTATTAAGCTACCTCTGGCTTCTTGGGTAACTGTCCAAACCACATATTTGTGACCATGACAGTTATTCTTCCTCTCTCCTTGAAAAACAAGCATGGTCTCAGCCTTCACACACTCCCTCTGTGTATCAGAGAGGAGAATTATGTTTCTACTTGGCAACAGGGCCTTGCCCACATTACAGCTACTGCTGCCGCAGCCCAGAGGAGGCAGCCTGGCCAGAGAGCTCAGACAAAGGGACAGGCATGAGCAAGCTTCCCTCACATGGCCAAGCACACGGTCGCCCCCGAGTGCCAAAGTCTACAGGGGAGTTGGGAAAACAGCTGAAGGAAGAGGAGCCGTATTTGTCAATTTAAATTCCAGCATATGTAGGTATTTATAAATAAATATACTTTATGCTCCCTGAACACATGAGTTTTCATATGAACTAAAGAGGAATTTTTATAATACAGATTGTCTAAAATAATTGATAACCCCCAAACTCATGAATTCAGCTGAATGTAGTATGTGATCTTTTTTGGCAGCTGATCCATTTTCCTACCCTGCAGTGAAGGCAATTTTTCTAATGCTTCTTTAATAGGGAGATTTACAGAGGCATAAAGAGCAGAATAGAAACCCTAACGTGTAACCATATTTTAGGAATTAAACCCACTAAGATAGAGCAAATGGAGGCCTGGTTATAAAACAAGGAGGCCTGCATGCCAAGCCTTGGTTTGTCACTAATTTTCTGTTTGGTTTTGGGTATCATCTAGACTACATGATCTAGACCCCAATTTCTTTTTTTTTTTTTTTTTTTTGAGACAGGATCTCACTCTGCCACCCAGGCTGGAGTGCAGTGGTGCGATCTCGGCTCACTGCAACCTCCGCCTCCTGGGTTCAAGCGATTCTCTGCCTCAACCTCCCGAGTAGCTGGGATTGCAGGCACCCGCCACCATGCCTGGTTAATTTTTTTGTATTTTTAGTAGAGACGGGGTTTCATCATCTTGACCAGGCTGGTCTTGAACTCCTGACCTCGTGATCCACCTGCCTCGGCCTCCCGAAGTGCTGGAAATACAGGCATGAGTCACTGCGCCCGGTCCCCAATTTCTTTAAGAAAATGAAAGCGTTGGATAAGATGTCCTTTCTATCTCTAAAATCCTGATGAGCCATCAAGAGGAAGCATGTGAACAAATATCATTATTACATAGAAAAACTCTTCTCTAATCTTGCCGGAAACTCATACCATCCAATCTGGGAATTACCTTCTGAATCAACTCTGTCTTCATTGAAACAACTTGATAAAATACTCAGATTCTCATTTACTTTGTGTTACATTAAAAAAAAAGTAGAGAAACGAATTTTCAAGTCATTTTCATGTATATCATCTTTTGTACTTCATATCAACTCTTGAGTTTGGCATTATTATTTTAAAGATAACTTTTAATACAGACATTCCTTCTTACTGATAAGAAACTGAGGTTTAGAGATGTTAAATTACATTCTGTCATACATTAGTAAATTGATAGTGTATTTACTAATAATCACACACTCCCAGGCATTAACTGAAATCCCCAATGTTCTTTCTAATATAACAGTCTCTGATGGAGATGATAGCAGATTTTTTTTTTAGATGGAGACCTGGGTCCCTTCACACTTTATCTATATATGATACTATGTGACATATTGATTCTAAAAAGGGTGTTTTCTTGGCTATTTATGCTTATAGCTGTTAAGAATATAAAACTTATGGAGGCAGAGAGTAGAATGATGGTTACCAGAGGCTGGGAACAGGGTAAGGGTGAAGAGAAGTTGATTAATAGGTATGAAAATACAGTTAGATAGAAGGAATAAATTCTAATGTTTTATAGCACAGTAGGGTTACTATAGTTAACAATAATTTATTGTCTATTTTAAAGTAACTAGAAGAGATGATCTGGAATGTTCCCCAAATGAGGAAATGATAAATTTTTGAGGCAATGGATATCCTAATTACCCTGATTTCATCATTACACATTGTATACATGTATCAAAATATCACATGTACCTCATTAATATATGCAATTATGTATCAATAAAAATTGTTTTTGAAAAAGAATATAAAATAAAGAAAAAAGTAAACAAAACTTCCCTCCAGTTGTTAATAACTGGGCAGGTGAGACTTATGGTTTGTAACCGATCAGTGTCACTTTCTGATTTCACCTACAGTTAACATTCTTCCTCCTCATCTATTAGGGGAGTTTCTTGCCATTATTTTCAATGGCAAAAACTGCGAATACTTTTGCACCAACCTAATGAAAGATTTTTCTCCAGTACCCATACATGTGTGATGGTAAGACAGCACGAGGTTAATTACAACTCATTTGGAAATACTATCAGCAGGTGCACATGGTAACCCAAGAACAGAGGCAACAGGTAAGCTGAACACTCACCCTGCTGTGCTGAGTGTCTGAACTCCATAAATACGGGCATGCTCCAGCACAGAAGTTGGCATTGTACCCTTTGGGTTCGTGTATCCATTTCCACCCTAGATCCCTCTTGAAATCAATGTAAAGTGGACGTAGGCAGCAATTATCCTGCACATTTCTGTTAAAAAAAAAAAAAAAAAGCAATGGAGATTTTAAAGCTGATTCACCACCCTCACTCTACCACCACCTCACCCCAAACCAGAAAAATGATTCATTCATTTATTCAACAAACATCTAATGAGCAAATATCATGGGCCAGGTTTTAATGGCTTTATTGTAATCTCAAGTGACTTTCATGATAGGGTGTTGTATGTGGTGGTGATTTGCTGGACTACTTGCCCTTATGAGTTCTATACCCTGACTTCCTTGTCTGTGACCTGGAAAATCATACATTTACCTTCAGATGACCAGATATAAGCAGAGAGTGGCTGGGCATGATGAAGCCCTTTCCAATCAACACTGGGCAGTTCTGCCATCCAGCCTCTATTGCCCTTTCAAATATAAAATGAAAGAAGTACAACAGCAATTTTCAAACAACCATCTAAGGCGTTTTCCTTTGAGAATTGATCCTTTGTTTCACCACATGTTCTCTGATCTAGGAATGAACCAGAGATCAAGAAACATGGAGTCTTGCTGAGGGCAACCACTGGATCTGGCAACCAAAAAGTGCCACTTTACTCATGGCCTCTGACATTTTGAGCACTTCATCAGTGAGGACCCTTCCCTGTCCTGTACCTCTCAAAATAAGGAAAGAGCCCTCCTCTTACTGAGACCACATAAGAACATTCACATTCTCCCTCCATGCACTCATGTGGGAATGGGAAATAAATTCTTCTTGCTTCTCTCATATGCTGTTGCTAAAGGTGTGACACACGGCATTCTTCTGCTGTCTCATCTCTGTTACTATGAAAGAAGTGTGACTATCAGCACTTGGACTTGGTGAGGATGAAGGCATCATCCAGATGGTGGGTCTTTCTTAATTAAGGAGTTGACATCACACACCTCAAATAAGCTTTTATTTGTTCTGAGGAGCAGAGAGCTTGTTTTCTTCTTCAGCACCAAAGAACTTCAGAGGAATTTTGGGGAAAAAATTCAGGGGGTTAGTTTTCTCCCTTCACACTTGGTTCACTGCTAAAGACCTGATGAATATAAGCCTCTGGGAAGAATGGTATTATGAGACACAGGAGCTGTACTGCACTCTATCTGGCCTTAGCAGTGAGTTCCACTTGGGTCAATACACAGTAAAAGAAAGGGCAAAGGCAGTTTAAGAGTTAACAGATGCAATTACTTGGTTTTACTTTTCTTTCCTTTACCTAAAGCAATAGGCCGCATCCAAAGCACGCTTCTTCCGCCGGTTGGTCTGTTGTGACTCAAGTCTGTAGGAGGGCAATAACATTAGCAGGAGATGTGGGGTCTTCCCACTGTTTTTTTTCCTAGTGGACTTTATAGTTTTCTGATCACCACTGGTATATGTGGAGGTGCCATCAATACCTTGAAAAAATGCATTTGGGTAATAAACATTTAGCTTCACCTTCATCAAATATAGTCAGCCATATTTTTTTCCTTTGTATATTGTCACAAATAGCAGTGATGACCACCAAAGCAGCATCAGCTGGCAACAGTTATTCCCCATGGAAATAGATATGGCACAACAGGACTACGACTAACCCACGTGACAATTAACACTTCTAAATGGGGCTCTTGTCAGAAGGCAGTTCGGTGTCAAAGCCAGGGCTGTTGGTTATGAAAGTCACTACAGAAGCAGTCTTTGACCTATAGTCCAAGGGCAATCTAGGCAGTTTATTTTAGTCAATCCTCAGTTTAGGCTGCGTTCAAGCCCTCAACAACTGAACACATGGCAATAGAACATGCCTTGTCACCCGCTGGTTCACACTCTTCCTAAGACTACTAAACTCAAAAGACTTTCCTAATGAACATAAACTGAGACTTAACTGAATTGGAGTGAATTAGGTTCAAGTGAAACAGAAGTCACCCTTACCTAATGCTATTTTGGGAAGCTGTGAAGAAAGGGCTTTTTCATTTATTTTATGGCATCCTCAACACTTTCCTGATTCCATCTGAGATTTAGAAACTTGAGCTCCCCAAAGCATGCTCAAGAGACTGCCAGTTTAAGCATTTAATCTCCACACTCCAGAGAATCATGACTAGGTTAGAGACTGAAATAAATCTCTAGACCTCTGGGAGTATTTTTCCATGAGCAAGGGCTGCTGTAGTCTTCTAAAAGTGGATGGAGGTCCTGGGTGATGTTAGGAGGGCAGGGAAATCAATTCTCTGGCCTGGCATTGTGGGCAGATGCTGTATCGGCACATAGGCATGGATTTCCTCTCACCTCTCATCATCCAACAACTCATCATCTAATACATGAAGTGACTTGAGCCCTTGGTATCGCCTCACTCTCCATGACTTTTGTCCAACTTACTTAAAGGTAAGCGTGGGGAAAGCCAAAACATTTTTATGTGTTTATAAACTAATATAAAATTCTGATAAGGAACCCACTTGAAATACTGGGTATGGACTAGAAAAGGTGGAATGTTCTTATACATGGAAGGTTAGTTATGGAAGCTGTAGCAGGAGGAGACTCCTTTCTTCTGTGAAATACGGTTGTCAGTTCCTGACATTTGGTTTGGGGGATTATCAATGAATTTTCTTAAACACATTCTATCTTTCTCTATAATATCAGTATAGATGGAAAGTTGGTTTGCTACAATGAAGAACAAAGGCCTTAACTTACTACTGGAGGGTTAATGAGTTAATCAGTTATTATTGACCAAGTCATCACTGGGCATTGAGAATTATAAACTGGGAACCTATTCCGTTCTTCCAATCCTTTCTCCCTTCACATATGTATATCCAACCATATCACTGTCCAAATGAATGAAACTCCCCAGGCCTTACCAGTCTCATTTTCACATGCAAACTGATTTTATCCCCCATGAGATTATCAATATAGACCCTTCCCTCCCCCACCTCATATGACCAAGTTTTGGTTACCTGCAAATCTTGCTTCTAGTTCTTCACTTTTATTTGGGATGATGTAATTATTAGATGGTACAAAAGTGCAGCAGGGACAGTGTAAGCTTATTTTAAATCCCAGGTTCCTGTCTGGAAAACATTAAGTCAAGGAGGTCATTTGTATGTGTGTCTATACCCTTAAATCTGCAATCAATTTAAAGTAACTTAGGGATACTGAACATCTTGGGAGGAAAAGAGAGAGTGGCTTGTAACCTTTATGGTGAAGCCATTCATGAACAGCATCAGTTACATCGAAGGAGAGCCATTCGCCTTCTGCTCTTGTTTTCACAACTTTGCTGTCGATGTAGCGCTGGGTTGGAGATGTTAAATCTTTGGACTTGAGAATCTGGAGGGGAAAAAGAGCAAGAGAAAAGGCTGAGTTGGCATTCTGACAGCATGACTAAACCAAAACTATTAACAGTGTTCTAATTCATTACCTAAATTTAGCTCTACTGTAGTATAGCCATGCATTGTCATCTCAATTGCATGGTCACATGCATAAAAACACAACACCAGGCTATTTGCCATGAAAAAATAGCTACTAAATCAGCTGCATGTTATGATAAAGGTGACAGGAACCATAAAGCCAAGTGTCTAAAAGAAAGTGACAGTAATTATTTTACTTTGCTGACATAAGCTTTGCAAGATTTCAGCCATAAATTCTATGCTATTAAGTTAATGGTTTTCTTGTTCTGCTTCCCTACTTATTTAATTTGGGGAGTTGGGGTACAGGAAGGGACAAGAGGAGAAGTCCAGTTCAGAGGACCCAGGCTCACTCTCAAAGGCCCTGAATTATAAATCTCCTTCTAATAAAGAAAGAACGGTCCTAACCTTGGTTTCCAAATCCATTGCCATTAAAATATGTGTCATGCCTCAGCTTTTGAGGTAAGTCCCTAGCTGGGATATTTTACTCTTAATGTGATTTGTTATGATTTATAAAGGTATTCCATCCCCTGCAGACTCAGAATGAATCTCAGCAGAAGTAGTTTGGTATGGTGCATAGATGAATATCTGAAAGCAAACCAGCCTAAACACTGAGGCTTTAGGAAGATGTATTTATCTCAGGCTGGGCGTGGTGGCTCACCGTAATCCCAGCACTTTGGGAGGCTGAGTTGGACGGATCACTTGAAGTCAGGAGTTCAAGACCAGCCTGGCCAACATGGTAAAACCCTGTCTCTACTAAACACAAAAATTAGCCAGGCACAGTGGTGGGCGCCTGTAATCCCAGCTACTCGGGAGGCTGAAGCAGGACAATCACCCGAACCCGGGAGACGGAGGTTGCAGTGAGCCGAGGTGGCATTACTGCACTCCAGCCTGGGTGACAGAGTGGGATTGCCTCTCAAAAACAAAAAAAATAAAGAAAAAGTTAACATTTCAAGAAAGGTGTATTTATCTCAAATGAGTAAAGCGCAACTGTAGTATGTTCCTAGGTTTCGAAAGGAAGTGAATATTTTAGGTGGTTTTAAAAAAATTCTATTTTGAAATGATAGTGGTTTTAGGAACTAAATCATGATTCTAAGTCTACTATAGTAAATCCCTACTGAAACCCTGTATGCTGCCTTTCCTCAGTACTTAGGGGTTCAAGCTGTCATTTTTGTACTACTCTTCCGGATTTTTGTACTACTCTGTTTTGTGGTCATTCCATACCTATGGGCTTGGTCTCTCCAGCAAATTCATAAAACTTCCCAGGTCAGGGATCATGTCTTCAATTTGATATCGTTTCAAACCATAGCACTCAATTGAATCAATATCTATTAAATGTTTATTTCAGTATCTAGAAGATTTATTAACTATCCTTTAAACCTTGTAAAACAAAAATGCATCATCTTTCCACTCATCTGAAAATGTACTTTCCTTCCATGTGTGTACATGATTTGTTTCAGGTAATTTGGCAACAGACGCTTCCTAAAATACTTGCCATAATGGTAGACTTTTTTCTGGATTAAGTAAATATAGAAAAGGAAGGAGATTCATACAATTAGACCCTTGGGTGCCCTCATGAATTTTACACAAGACTTATTCTACAGATCTGCCCCTGTGGTCCAAAACCTCCACTAAAAGAAGAGAATGTGGAGGCAACAATGGCTCTATGATAGGTAAGAAATGTTCTTTGCGAATTAAAGAAAGCAGATAAACATGACTTGAGGGCTGGGTACACTACGCTCTGGGCTTGGCATGCATTATTTTATTTTATTTAATCCTCAAAATGTTCCTGTAGGGTAGATTAAGGAAGCAAACTCAAGGAGGTTAACTAACTTGCCCAATGCCTCCCAGTGAACAAGTGTGAAGAGATGATCCAACTCAATCCCGAGTCATTTTCCCACTTCAGTGCTGGATTTTTAAAGGCCAAACAAGTTATTGAGTCAAGAAAACATTCAATGACAGAGGCAAAGATTTTTAAATAAGATTAAAATAAATGCTGGTACAAGATGAAAATATAAGATAGTGGAACGTATACACAATGAATGTTGGCATAAAGCTACAGCTTTAAAGATACAGCTTAATAGCAGTCCATCTCCTAGGAATCAAACCTTGCCTTGAAAATACTCCCAGTTGGGAAAGTAAGACATCACTTATCTAATTCTGAATAAATGGTATAATTAACCTACTATGGAACAGGAATAAGAAAAACAATGGTTGAGAAGCAGTTTTCAGGCATTCTGATCTGCCTCATTGACTAAAAACTGGTAACATTCACAGAACTCATCGTTTTGTCTCTAAATTCTTCCCCTAGCTAATCTGCAACAGTGCATTTTTACAAAATGCTTTGCATATTTCTGTGCTGCTAATTAGCACAGTGTATTATCTTATTCACATAGCTAACATTTAGACATACTACCTAGAACTAAACATTGTCTCCATTGCTGAATTAATTACTTATGATATACATGTCAAATGTCTATGACATATACATACATATACATGTATATATGTGTGTATATATATGTCCAGTTTCACTAAAGACACAGAATTTTTAAAAATTATGGCCATATCGACCAAATAAGCAGAAAAGACACATAATGCCAAATCTATATAAATCTTCCACCTTATAGAAAAGGAGTACATTTAGATTATCTTACTTGGAAAGAGTCCAAAGAGCAGCAAAGAGACTCTGAAGCTTTTTCTCTTTTAAATCCTACTAGGAGAACTACGATAAGAGCTTCCTCAACCACAGAGCACTGGTAGGCTCAGAAAACAGACAATCTCATCCTCTCACTTGGGTGAAAGGTCCTCTGGATCTTTTTCACTAGCTCCAGACTCATGAACAGGCCACATATAAACCACCCAAGAAATACAGTTAGTTAGCTACATAATTCTCAAACACAGTAGCGACTTTTGTCTGGTGGATTTGTTGTCTTGAACTTCATGGCCAAAGAGTTCTTAACCCACTTGTTGCATGTTAACTCCATTCTTCTTATCCAGTCCTTAGTGGAAACAGGAAACAGCTGCTTTCCATCACTCAGAGAATATCCCTCATATTCTTGGAGACTATGATTAAGTCCCCCTCAGCGTGCTTGCTTGCTTTCTCTAAACTAAATAAACCCAGTTCCTTTAGACCATATTTAAAGGTGTAATTTCCCAAACCTTTAATCATTTGGGTTGCTAACAAGGATGAATGATGCTATATAAAAGTATTCCTCCTACAGCTTCATGATTTTGCTTCAGAACTATCTAGAAAACCTTCTAATCACATCGTAAAGTCTTGAATCTTAACTTGAAAGGTATCTTCTTCCTAAGAATAGGCACAACCTCACTATCCTCTGTTTATCTCCCATTTATCACCCACACTAAATTGAACTGTAAGAGAAGAAGGCATGGAAAATCAACCTGCTGCTTACATTCAAAAGTTTATACAGGAAGTGACCAGATCAGTCAACTTCCCATTCTATTTTAGCCTTTGCTGTCTGTCTTTCTCAGGTCTCCAAACAACAAGAGTATTGAATGTTAGTAGTTGTGGATATGTAGCTGTTAATTGTTTTTCTAGATTCATGAGTCATTTGCTTCTAAATTTCTTTATACTTTTTTTTTTTTTGAGACAGGGTCTCACTCTATCACCCAGGTTGGAGTACAGTGGTGTGATCTTGGCTCACTGCAACCTCCGCCTCCAGGGTTCAAGTGATTCTCTCGCCTCAGACTCCGGAGTAGCTGGGACTACAGGTGTGCGCCACCCATGCCCGGCTAATTTTTTATATTTTTAGTAGAGACGGGGTTTTGCCATGTTGCCCAGGCTGGTCTCGAGCCACCCACCTCAGCCTCCCAAAGTGCTAGGATTACAGGCTTGAGCTACCACGCCCGGCCTCTTTATGTATCTTATCATGACAAAGATAATTTAGTTGAATAGTAGAAGCTCTCTTAACTGGCCTCCCCTTAACTGGCCAGAGTAACCAGCATTCTCCATTAATTCTGTGTTTTATAATATATATTGGCTGATGCCCAAAGCACACTGGGGATCATTGGGGAAAGTTACTCTCCAAGCACTTCCACTCTTACCAGTTGAGTTGTATGCTTAACAAATATCAATTTTATACATTTCTTTTTTTCCCTAGAAAGCATGAAATGATATACATTTCTAAACCTGCTTATGACACTTGGACTTGTTATTGTAATTATGCAAGTTAATTAAATGGTCTAGAAACTGATGAAATGCAGGACCAAAAGTAAAGAGAGCTGTTTCTTCTCCGAAAGCCAGTTGACTGTCTTGGAAAGTCTTCATAAAGACAAGTTCCTATAGGAAAGAAAGTTTTTTGGAAAACAGTTTGCTAGTTCCTCAAAAAGGCAAACATTGAATTACCCCATGATCCAGAAATTCCATTCTTAAGATATATAGCCAAAAGAACTGAAAGCTGGCACTCAAGCAATACTTATACATCAATGTTCATAGCAGCATTACTCACAATAGTCAAAAGGTGGGAAAAAATTCAAGTACTCATCAAGAGATGAATGCATAAACAAAATGTAGTACACTCATCCACTAAGATATTATTCAGCCATAAGAAAGAATAAAATTCAGACACATGCTACATGACATGGATGAACTCTGAGGATTATGCTAAGTGAAATAAGCTGACACAGAAGGACAAATATTGTGATTCCACTTACAAAAGGTACTTTAAATAGGCAAATTCATAGAGATAAAAAGCAGAATAGGCCAGGCACAGTGGCTCACGCCTGTAATCCCAGCTCTTTGGGAGGCCAAGGCAGGTGGATTACCTGAGGTCAGGAGTTTGAGACCAGCCTGGCCAACATGGTGAAACCCCGTCTCTATTAAAAATACAAAAATTAGCTGGGTGTTGTGGCACACACCTGTAATCCCAGCTACTCGGGAGACTGAGGCAGGAAAATTGCTTGAGCCCAGGAGGCGGAGGTTGCAGTGAGCTGAGATCGTGCCACTGCACTCCAGCCTGGCTGACAGAGCAAGACTCTGTCTCAGAAAAAAAAAAAAAAAAAAAAAAAAGATGCTCATGGATAGGGAGAATCAATATCGTGAAAATGGCCATACTGCCCAAGGTAATTTATAGATTCAGTGCCATCCCCATCAAGCTACCAGTGGCTTTCTTCACAGAATTGGAAAAAACTACTTTAAAGTTCATATGGAACCAAAAAAGAGCCCACATTGCCAAGACAAACCTAAGCCAAAAGAACAAAGCTGGAAGCATCATGCTACCTGACTTCAAACTATACTACAAGGCTACAGTAACCAAAAAAGCATGGTGCTGGTACCAAAACAGAGATATAGATCAATGGAACAGAACAGAGCCCTCAGAAATAACACCACACATCTACGACCATCTGATCTTTGACAAACCTGACAAAAACAAGAAATGGAGAAAGGATTCCCTATTTAATAAATGGTGCTGGGAAAACTGGCTAGCCATATGTAGAAAGCTGAAATTGGATCCCTTCCTTACACCTTATACAAAAATTAATTCAAGATGGATTAAAGACTTAAATGTTAGACCTAAAACCATAAAAGCCCTAGAAGAAAACCCAGGCAATACCATTCAGGACATGGGCATGGGCAAGGACTTCATGTCTAAAACACCAAAAGCAATGGCAACAAAAGCCAAAATTGGCAAATGGGATCTAATTAAACTAAAGAGCTTCTGCACAGCAAAAAGAAACTACCATCAAAGTGAACAGGCAACCTACAGAATGGGAGAAAATTTTTGCAATCTACCCATCTGACAAAGGGCTAATATCCAGAATCTACAAAGAACTTAAACAAATTTACAAGAAAAAATCAAACAACCCCATCAAAAAGTAGGCAAAGGATATGAACAGACACTTCTCAAAAGAAGACATTTATGCAGCCAACAGATACATGAAAAAATGCTCATCATCACTGGCCATCAGAGAAATGCAAATCAAAACCACAATGAGATACCATCTCACACCAGTTAGAATGGCAGTCATTAAAAAGTCAGGAAACAACAGGTGCTGGAGAGGATGTGGAGAAATAGGAACACTTTTACACTGTTGGTGGGACTGTAAACTAGTTCAACCATTGTGGAAGACAGTGTGGCAATTCCTCAAGGGTCTAGAAGTAGAAATACCATTTGACCCAGCCATCCCATTACTGGGTATATACCCAAAGGATTATAAATCATGCTGCTATAAAGACACATGCACACGAATGTTTATTGCGGCACTATTCACAATAGCAAAGACTTGGAACCAACCCAAATGCCCATCAATGATAGACTGGATTAAGAAAATGTGGCACATATACACCATGGAATACTACACAGTCAAAAAAAGGATGAGTTCATGTCTTCTGTAGGGACATGGATGAAGCTAGAAACCATCATTCTCAGCAAACTATCGCAAGGACAGAAAACCAAACACCGCATGTTCTCACTCATAGGTGGGAATTGAACAATGAGAACACTTGGACACAGGAAGGGGAACATCACACACTGGGGCTTGTCCTGAGGTGGGGGGAGAGGGGAGGGATAGCATTAGGAGATATACCTAATGTAAATGACAAGTTAATGGGTGCAGCACACCAACATGGCACATGTATACATATGTAACAAACCTGCACATTGTGCACATGTACCCTAGAACTTAAAGTATAATAATAAAATAAATAAATAAGAAGAAAAAAAAGAAGCAGAATAGAGGTTAGAGGTTAGTAGGGGTGTAGAAGGTAATTAGAAGGTATTGTTTAATGGGTACAGAGTTTCTGCTGGCGATAAAAAAAGTTCTAGAAATGGATAGTGGTGATGGCTATACAATATTGTGGTGAATGTACTTAATGCTGCTGACTTGTATACTTAAAGGATGGTTAAACTGTAATGTTTATATTATGTATATTTTATCACAATAATTTTTTTTCTAATTTTAGGTGTGAGAGAGACAGCTACAGAAGAAATAATACGATAAAAAGTTAGAAGAATCCTACACTCAGGTTGCTCAGCAATTGTCCTTAAACATCTCTACTTCAGAAAAATAAAAATAGAAATTGTAGATGATGCACTATAAATGTGATTTATACAAAACAAAATGACATGGATTGGTAATTGGCACATCCATGTCAAAGAAAAGTCCTTGGCCTTTCACAAAAAGAACTCAGCCTCAGCATGTGAATGTGTATGTATACATCCATATGTACATACATATATATTTGTTTTAAGTTTTAAAAATTTAAGGTTTGCATCTCTCTCTTTCTGTTTCTCTCTCCTATGTTTTTCTAATCCCTGGCTTTAACTGATTTTTTAATCTTTAACTGACCAACAACTGTTTCTGATTGAATTAGAAAAGGGGGCTTCTCATGTATTAAAAATAAGATTTAGCTGTCTTTGGCTTAGCTGCCACCCACAGTGATGTTTGAATGCCACCTTCATTACATTACTGATATATAATCATTAGATATAATATGTGTGAAATACCCACATATCGCCTTCAGCAAGGCTCCAAGCTCTTCATTGAATTACACAACTCCCTACACAAAAGCATCCATTCATTTCTCTGCCATTGGAAAGCAGCCAACTGGGCAGTGGATAAAGGTGAAAGTCACTGATGTTACCCAATAGTTTGAGGGGGGAAAAAACAAGTAGAAGTCTAGATGCAAAATTATAGCCAGAAGAAATCTTAACCTTAAAATAAAAATGCTGTAAAACAACTCAGGACTTGGGTTAGACACTAAGGGCAACATCTCTTACACGTCTATGAGACATTGCAAAGAGTTATAAGAAAGCATTGGGAATTCAATGTTACTTTCCAAATTCATACATCAACAGATCCACAGGAGACCATGGGGCTATTCAATCAGACTTCTAATGCAAAGGGAATTTAACTATAGTGCTGTAGAGAAAAATTGACACCAGGTTCATTAGTGTGGGCCCATCTTGTTTTTAAATGCATTTAATGTTTTTAACGCTTTAAATATGTTTAATCATTAAATATCTTTAAGTGTGTTCAGTGTTTAAATGTATTTAAATGTTTTAAATGTTTGCAGTGACTTGCAAGTAGTGATGAACAAATGATGAATCAAACATTCACTCTGCTGGCTGTGAGCACGAGTCTCTCAGATCTGCCTGACCTCAAGTCATTCACTTCAGCATTATGAAATACTGGCATTGGCAAGGCACTTTGAAACCATCTGCTTCAATCCCATACAGTTCATTCTCTAACATCTCTTTGTCTAAAGGCCTCTCATGACCGTGAACTCACTATTTAATGAGAAAGGTCGTCCCCCTTTTGGACAATCCATATTGTTGAGATTCTCCATTATCTTGGACTTAAAATTTCCATCAACTAGTCTTCCTTAATAATAGCGCCATTGCCTCATATTTGTACAACCATTGTA
Organism: Homo sapiens; assembly: GCF_000001405.40. NCBI lineage: Eukaryota > Metazoa > Chordata > Mammalia > Primates > Hominidae > Homo > Homo sapiens. The sequence goes on along the minus strand of NC_000001.11, from coordinate 218,425,615 downwards.
GTTTTTCAAATATTTGAACTTTTTGCCATGTTTTTAGCCCTTCACAGAAATCTTGTGGGATGAACATCATGGCCCTTATTATCTGCATTCTAAAAGAAACAGAAGACCAGGTCGGGCACGGTGGCTCACATCTGTAATCCTAGCACTTTGGGAGGCTGAGGTGGGCAGATTATGAGGTCAGGAGATCAAGACCATCCTGGCTAACACGGTGAAATCCCGTCTCTACTAAAAATACAAAAAATTAGCCGGGCGTGGTGGCTGGCACCTGTAATCCCAGCTACTCGGGAGGCTGAGGCAGGAGAATGGCGTGAACCCAGGAGACGGAGCTTGTGGTGAGCCGAGAACACACCACTGCACTCCAGCCTCCGTGATGGAGCAAGACTCCAACTAAATAAAAAACAAAAACAAACAAACAAACAAACAAAAAACGGAAGCCTGAAGCACTTAGGTGTGTTAACAAAGCCCTTCAGGAAGAGCCTGGACTAATGTCTTTCCCTCTTAATACCAGTGGAGAAGGCTTTCCAATATTGTTTTTCGCCCTCTGGAGCAAGATGTAAAATTCTTTCTTTTCCATGTCAGGCTCTAGTCACAAGAGGTGGCTTCCCTCAACTGATCCCTTTAAGGCAAAAGTTCAAGGTGTGTCACCATCCTTGTTAAAACCCTTTCCAATGTCTTCTTAAAATTAGTTCCTCAACAAACTCCAGATATGGTCTAACAGAATATGGAGATATACAGAACCTGTCAAATGTGAAGAGGGGAGTAGCTATTGCTTCCCTTGTTCTGGTCACTACTTTTAATGCAAACTATTTACTTTTGGCAGCAGCCACAACACATCATTGAGTCACAGAAATTTTTTTGTAAAATAAAACCTTTGTTCTTATTCACAAACTGTTGTTAAGTCAGATTTTTCCACTCCAAATCCTTTCTGGAATGAGGTGGAATAAAGAGAAAGAAATAATGCAAAGCAAGAAGGGAGGAGGGTTGGTCTTTCTAGCCCAGTGGTCTCCAATGTTAGCCTGCTTCAGAAACATCTGGAGTGCTCATTAACACAGATTGCTAAGCCCCATCCCCAGAGCCTCTGATTTAATAGGATGAGGTGGAGGCCCAAGAATCTGCATTTCTAACAAGTTCCCAGGTGATGTAGAAGCTGCTAACCAGGGATTACTCTGAGAACCACTGCTGTAGCCTGTATTTATATAATTCATTTTTCAAACATAAATGCAAATTACACATATATATCTGTTAATGTTGAACTCTATTATCTGACCCAAGTTTTAGCCTTTTGGAATCTCTCTGAATTTTCAGTTTGCTATTCAATGTATAAGCTACTCTTCGGAGCCACAGAGCACTAGCAACAGTGCAGCCAATGTCTTCATCATGTTGGTGATAACAATGTTAAAATCATAAGGCCAAAACCAGAACCTGTTGCTGGCTTCTTAGTTACCTCCTTCCTGGTGGCCATTTCTGAAATCAACACTCTGTGATATGCAGGGTATACAGCAGAAAAAAGTGGAATTTCACTCATTGACTAAGGGTCCTGGCCATCTGGGCCACCTGACAATCAATCCATTCCATTTACTCAGTGGTCCCTTAGAGTTCTTTGAAGAAGCCATAGGGCTGTGCCAAGTGCCTTTGAAAATCATTAGCGTAGCGAAAAGGTGCAGAGGCTTTGGAGTCAGACAAGCCTAAACTATGGCTTACTGGATCTATAATTCTCTCATCAATGAAAAGGAATAGTAAAACGCACCTTGTATGTTTGTCGAGAAAATTAAGTGTCACGGAGTAGGGAGAGCATCAGTCACATTGCCTGGTATTCAATACGTGTGAGTTATTGTTATGATTATGTTCCCTACCTTGTCAAAAACTTTCAGAGGCTTCTAATGCCTAGTGAATAAACTCCAGATTCCTTAGTTCAGTATTGATAACACAACTGGCCACCAACCTATCATCTCACACGCGCCTTTCATCCCTAGAAGCCTAATCTAAACAATATCTCTAAAACATGGATTATATACTCCAAACTTCCAAACTTTGGCTTCTAACTAGCAACCCTATCAGAATGCCTTTCCCTCCTCCAGTTTTCTCCTAAAAAACAAAACAAAACAAGCCTTTCCACTCTTCTAATCCAAACTTGAAGCCCAGTTTTTCAATGACATGCTTACTTTCACTCTAAACTAAAGTCAGGTCCCTTTCCCTAGTTCCCCATGCAATGCTACGGGATTTGCTGAGCATGTGGTCCCTTGCGCATAGTGGCTTCAAGGGTAATCCTGGATGTGTGGAAATGTCCATTTCCTCCAATAGAATATTAAGCCCATACAAGAGAGAGGGAAACATAAACTTATTTAAATCCCCACAAACCCTTATATTTTGGTTTGCTGACACTGGTAGAATACATATTCATTGATTAATTTTGGAGAAATCTGACTCTCTAGGTCAAAACCGTGTTATTAAAGACCAAGATTTTCTCTCAGGCAGACAGGCACAGAGAACACACTCTTGTGAGCATTTCTTGGCTTACCTACAGCAGGAACAAATGATTCTCCAACACATCACTCCCACATCCATACTCTGGAAGGCTTTCATTGGCTTTGGAGGAGCCTTTTACCCTCATTCAAAGTAATAATAATAACTAATAATATTCAAATATTTAATATGATCAGTTAATTTGTTTGTTCAGTCATTCATTCATTGCCGAGCATCTTGTATGCACTTGAGTCCTCATTTATTCATTTGTTTGATTTTATTTTATACCTCACTTCCTCCAGTTTAGTTCAACAAATATTAAGCACTGGCTGTAAGCAAAGCATTGCATTATACGTATACCCCAGGATAATAAGATGGTGCCTGTTCTTAAAGGAGTGCATTGGGTAGTAAGGGAATATAGACATCTCAACAAAAACTTAAAACGATGTGTTCATAGGTTACCAGGAAATGTTACAGGCAGGGCATCTATCCTTGCCAGGTAGATGAGGTCAGGGAAGATTTCCTGTAGAGAGGAGAGTGTAAAAGGATGACTATGAACATCCAAAAAACCAGCACTAAGAGAACACAGTCCAGGTAATAGGGATGTGCTGGTTCATTAGAAGGGAGAACAAGGCCAGGCGTGGTGCCTCACGCCTGTAATCTCAGCACTATGGGACGCTGAGATGGAAGGATCGTTTGAGCCCAGAAGTTTGAGACCAGTCTGAGCAACATAATGAGACCTCACCTCTATGAAAACATTTTTAAAAATTAGCTGGACATGGTGGTGCACATCTGTAGTCCCAGTTACTCAAAAGGCTGGGGCAGGAGGATCTGTTGAGCCTGGGAGGTTGAGGCTGCAGCGAGCCAAGATTGTACCACTGCATTCCAGCCTGGGTGACAGAGCGAGACTCTGTCAAAAACAAAAAAAAAGAAAACAAAAAAACAAAAAAAACAAGAAGAAAGAAAGAAAGAAGGAAGGAAGGAAGGCATCCTCCTCTCTCTTCAGTGCCCTTTTATCTTTTCTAACAATATATACTAGGATTTAGGGAGAGTTGGCTTGATAGGTGTATGGGTAACCTAGAACTGTAGTAACAAAGTACCACAAACTGGGTGACTTATAACACTAACTTATCCTGTCACAAATCTGGGGGCTAGAAGTCTGAAATCACGGTGTTGGCTGGGCCATGATCTCTCTGACGCCTCCAGGGAGGATCCTTCTTTGCCTCTTCTAGCATCTGGTGGTTTGCTGGCAATTTTTGGTGTTCCTTGGCTATAGTTGCATAGCTTCAATTTCTGCCTTCATCTTCACATGGCAGGCTCCCTGTGACTGAGTCTTCACATGGCTGTCTTTTTATAAGGACACCAGTCATACTGGATTAGGGACCCACCCTCCTGCAGGATGACCTCATCTCAACTAATTATATCTGCAATGAGCCTATTTTCAAATCAGATCACATTCCAAAGTACTGGGGATTATGACTTCAACATATCTTTTTTTTATGTGTAGGGGAAGGGACACAATCCCACTTCTAACAGTAGTGATTCATAAATTATACTGTGGGGAGTATAATGCTCAATCTAACTATGAGCTCCTTCAAAGCAAAAAATGTTCTTTCTCTCTCTTATTACCCCCACAGAGTATTTTTCATGGCAGCTTACCCAATCCCTGCTTGGTATATTCTTATTAGTTAACAGACTTCATTAGAAAGACACATTTGATCAAGTGACAAATAAGCCCCTGAACAATCGGTCTTTTATAGTGATAAAAAAAAAAAAAAACTGCTTCTTGGAATTTTAAACACATCCAGAAACCCACCACAGAGATTATATATATCAAGAAGGACAGAAAGAATTATCAGACAGAATAAGCAATTTAATACTGTATTTTACCCTTTCTATTTATTTCATTATAAAAATGAAATGAGGGAGAGAAAGCAAGAAAGAGAATTTCCAAATAATAGCCAGTGGAGCTTTATAGAGAATCAGAACTGGGTACAGTGGCTTTTATTTCAAGGAGGCACAAATGGAGCTCTCTCTTCCTGTCTAACTGTAGCCTCCTTGATTATGCTGGGTCACTTTGGGGGTGCCTACCACACCGACACACTGCATGATTATCCTTCAGAAGTGGCTTAACACACCCAGTACTTACCTTGCTTCTGCCATCACCATGTCCTGTAATTGTCATGGCTCCTTTATAATTGCATCTGTCTAAGAGGTCGTAAGTAATGTATACCTGGCAAGAGCTTCACGAGGGCCTTCAGTCAGCTCCCGTGGAATACATATCAGCCTCAGAAGACTGAGAATACAAGTCTCTTTGGAGCTCAGATAGCTACATTATTACATCACTACGTGAACTCTTTCGCTTTACAGTACAGAGTATTACACATTGATATACACCTGTATTATACATACCCATGTGAAATTATGATACAGTATGGCATACGCAGACCTTTGATGACCTTTATGGAAATGTCACTAGATGTGCCTTCAAGTTACACACATACACACATACACGCACACAACACACATGCACACACACACAGAAAAGTCTCTCCTCTGTGATGAAATACCTTATAATTCCCTATTGTTTCCTTCATTAAAAAAAAAAACTTTACAGATGAACCTTTGTGCTGAATGCACATGTGCATAAACAAGTAAATCCATTTCTCCAGGTTGAAGGGATGAAGGAGTCCTTTGTGTGAACAGAAAGTCTGTCAGATGCTGCAGCTCAGTAGCATTCATGAGACCATCAGGTATAAATCACACAAAAGAGAAAAGGATTCAACTGGACTAAAGCCACATCAGTATAGACCAGGCGAGAGAGGGGTGCAGTACAATACGTAATGGTAGAATTTGAAGGAGAATTAAATCAAGACTGTACTGTCTTTTTCTTAGCTGAATTCCTACAGTCTTTGAGGCTGTACCACACAGCCCAGCAGTATAAATTTTGACAATGACCTACCTATTTCCTGCCATTGAGGGAAAGACTGTCCACAAGACCTCAAGCTCTCTGGAGCCATATCTTCTAATTTTTTATTTGACCTCCCCCTTCCAATTCCACTCTGACTTTAACACTAACACATGTGAACTTGGGGAGTAGACTTCTAACTTGATTCCTACCTCCTGGCACCTATAACATATGTGGCCTGTACTATAATTTAAGTGAGCACTTTAATTTAGGGCATGTGACTATAAACTAACAAGCCCAAATAAATAAATAAAGAGCTTGTTTTTTCTGAAAACATCAAGTTTATGGGGTACCCAAGAATATCAGTTTCATTAATTTATTACATAATTTTATTTTATTTTTTTACCTACATGGTTATTATCTATTAATATTAAATACTTCATCAGAATTAGCTCTGAATAAGTCACAGAAGATGCATAGTTATATACATTTCTTTCTTCATCAATATTTAGATATCTTTAAAACAAATGGAGCAGAATTTCCAAATCCGAATAAATGAGTGATGTTTCTCAACAGAATCCCCTTTATAAGTTACATACTTATTTGAAGGACATTCCTTATAGTTGAATCTTATTTTGACATTTTAGTTAAATTCATTAAAAAACACTTATTGAACACCCACTGTGGACCAGACACATCTCCAGTAGTTTATGGCTAGAGGTAGAGATAAGATTATAAACAACATAAAGATGGAATAGATCAAATATGGCAGATAATGAAGATTATCAAGGAGAAAAGCACAGTAGACATTGGGGCTAGGATGTGTTGGGAAAAGCGACTCTGAGATCTTAGGTACGGTGGCCAAAGAAGGTCTCCCTGAGCAGGTGGTCTCTAAGGAAAGACCTAAAGAAATAAAGAGAACCAACCATATGGGTAGTTGGGAAAAGCACTGTGGGTGGAGGGAACAGTGGCCACAAGCCACAGGAAGGAGTGAGTGCAGTGTCTGAGGAAGAGCAAAGAGGTCATTGACAAATGGGGGAGCCCTATGAATGAGGGGGAAATTATGGCTGAGGGGTGGGTGACTAAGGAACAGGTCAGAGCCAGCCTCCTAAGTCATGGTAAGGACTTGGCTTCTACTCAGGGTGAGATACGAAGCCACTGTAGAGCTTTAAAGAGAAGACTTTGATCTGACCAATATTTTATCAGGAATCACTTTGATTGCTATGCTGTAAACAGCTGCTGAGGGGGTGTATTAGTCCATTTTCATGCTGCTGATAAAGACATAGCTGAGACTGAGCAATTTACAAAATAAAAAGGTTTATTGGACTTACAGTTCCACTTGGCTGAGGAGGCCTCACAATCATGATGGAAGGCAAGGAGGAGAAAGTCACATCTTAAGTGCATGGCAGCAGACAAAGAGAGAGAGCTTGTGTAGCAGAATGCCTCTTTTTAAAACCATCATATCATGAGACTTATCATGATATCATGAGACTTATTCACGATTACGAGAACAGCATGGGAAAGACTTGCCCCCATGATTCAATTACCTCCCACTAGGTCCCTCCCACAACACATGGAAATTCAAGATGAGATCTGGGTGGGGACACAGCCAAACCATACCATTCTGCCCCAGCCCCTCCCAAATCTCATGTCCTCACATTTCAAAACCAATCATGCCTTCTCAACAGCTCCCCAAAGTCTTAACTCATTTCAGCATTAACTCAAAAGTCCACAGTACAAAGTCTCATCTGAGACAAGGCAAGTCCCTTCTGCCTATGAGCCTATAAAATCAAAAGCAAGTTAGTTACTTCCTAGATACAACGGGGGTACAGGCATTGGGTAAATATAGTCATTCCAAATGGGAGAAATTGGTCAAAACAAAGGGGCTGTAGGCCCCATGAAAGTCTGAAATCCAGCAGGGCAGTAAAATCTTAAAGCTCCAAAATGATCTCCTTAGACTCCACGTCTCAAGTCCAGGTCACGCTGATGCAAGAAGTGGGCTCCCATGGCCTTGGGCAGCTCTGCCCCCATGGCTTTGCAAGGTATAGCCCCCCTCTTGGCTGCTTTTATGGGCTAGTGTTGAGTGTCTTGTGATTTTTCCAGGCATACGGTGCAAGCTGTTGGTGGATCTACCATTCTGGGGTCTGGAAGATGGTGGCCCTCTTTTCACAGCTCCACTAGGTGGTGCCCCAGTAGAAACTCTGTGTGGGGGCTCCAACTCCATATTTCGCTTCTGCACTGCCCTAGCAGAGGTTCTCCATGAGGACCCTGCCCCTACAGCAAACTTCTGCCTGGGCATCCAGGCATTTCCACACATCTTCTGAAATCTAGGCAGAGGTTTCCAAACCCCAGTTCTTTACTTCTGTGCACTCACAGGCTCAACACCATGTAGAAGCTGCCAAGGCTTGGGGCTTGCACCCTCTGAAGCCATGGCCCAAGCTCTATGTTGGCCCTTTTCAGCCACAGCTGGAGTGGCTGGGATGCAGGGCACCAAATCCCTAGCCTGCACACAGCACAGGGACCCTGGGCCAGGCCCACAAAACCACATTTTCCTCTTAGGCCTTTAGGCCTATGATGGGAGGGGCTGCCATGAAGACCTCTGGCATGCTCTGGAGACATTTTTCCCATTGTCTTGGGGATTAACATTTGGCTCCTCATTACTTAAGCAAATTTTTGCATCCAGCTTCAATTTCACCTCAGAAAATGAGATTTTCTTTTCTATTACATTGTCAGGCTGCAAATTTTCCAAACTTTTATTTTCTGTTTCCCTTTTAAAACTGAATGCCTTTAACAGCACCCAAGTCACCTCTTGAATGCTTTGCTGCTTAGAAGTTTCTTTCACCAGATACCCTAAATCATCTGTCTCAAGTTCAAAGTTCCACAAATCTCTAGGGTAGGGGCAAAATGCCATCTGTCTCTGCTAAAACAAAGCGTAGAGTCACCTTTGCTCCAGTTCCCAACAAGTTCCTGATCTCCATCTGAGACCACCTCAGCCTAGACCTTATTGTTCATATCACCATCAGCATTTTTGTCAAAGCCATTCAACAGGTCTCTAGGAAGTTCCAAACTTTCCCACATTTTCCTGACTTCTTCTGAGCCCTCCAAACTGTTTTAACCTCTGCTCGTTACCCAGTTCCAAAGTTGCTTCCACATTTTGGGTATCTTTTCAGCAGCACCCCACTCTACTGATACCAATTCACTGTATTAGTCCATTTTCGCACTGCTGCAAGACTGGGCAATTTATAAGAGAAAAGGGTTTATTGGACTTACAGTTCCATGTGGCTAGGGAGGCCTCACAGTCATGGCAGAAGGTGAAAGGCACATCTCACATGGTGGCAGACAAGAGAAGAGAAAGAGAGCTTGTGCGGGGGACCACCTCTATTTAAAACCATCAGATCTCATGAGACTTATTCACTATCACAAGAGCAGCATGGGAAAGACTTGCTCCCATGATTCAATTACCTCCCACCCAGTCCCTCCCACAACACATTTGAATTCAAGATGAGATTGAGTGGAGACACAGCCAAACCATATCAAGGGGCCAGGGTGGAAACAGGGGGACCAACCAGGAGGCCACTGCCATGGCCCAGGTGAGGGACAAGAACTGCTTGGACAAGCATAGTAACAGCAGAGACATGGGAGGTGGCTGACTTTCAGAAATATAAGAACCAGTAAAATCAGCTGAATGACTTATCATTTTCCTCTTCCATAGAACTTTGGCAGTCTTCAAAAATCAACACTACCTTTCGCAAATCCAGATTTGTCTCCTTTGGGGAATTCTCAAGTATGTATGCTGGACTCTGCCACAGTTCTAGAACGGGGTTCCAAAAAATATCCTGAGTACTGTTGGCATTGAGAAAAAAAACATGCATGCTCCCTTGAAACAGCTTTTGCCCTAAAGGAGGTTACAGGATAGTTGGCATACTGAACATTTACAACATGAAAAAAAAAAGGAACCTTATTAAAAATCAATTGGGAAGCATATATCAAACCTATTTGTGTGGTGGTGGAGCAGGGAGAGGTAGTAACAAGACAGGAGATGAGATAAAAAGACACCCCTATTGGAGTCAGTCATTGTAATCACTCTTCAAAAAGAGAAGCAAGACAGAGCACAGCCCCCAGTTCAGCACTGCAGCCCTTAACATCTTGATAAAGCAAATGTACACAGTGATAAAACAATGGCTGTTCCCCAAAACCCTGCTCTGTCCCACTGTTAACAGAAAACAGATCAGACCACATCCAAGCAGAGATGACTGACACCACTGTTGAGTGGTTTTAGAATCACAAGCCAACCTTAGGGGAAATATGAACCATGTTCAAGATGACAAGAAAAATCCTGACAGTAACCTACTCCTTCCGCATCTTGTGTGCCAGACACTTAACCTAGGCATTCTCCTCACAGGAACTCATTAGGCAAGAAATGTTATCTCCAGTTTCAGATGAAAAACTGAGGTTCAGAGAAAGGGCTGACTGGCTGCAAAGGTCTCCTCCTTTCCCACTCTGATATGCTCATCTGCAACTTTTTTTTTTTTTTTTTTTTTTTTTCTTTTGAGACAGAGTCTCGCTCTGTCGCCCAGGCTGGAGTGCAGTGACACAGTCTGGGCTCACTGCAAATTCCGCCTACCAGGTTCAAGTGATTCTCCTGCCTCAGCCTCCTGAGTAGCTGGGATTACAGGCGCCCGCCACCACGCCTGGCTAATTTTTATATTTATAGTAGAAATGGGGTTTCACCATGTTAGCCAGGCTGGTCTCAAACTCCTGACCTCAAGTGTTCCACCCACCTCGGCCTCCCAAAGTGCTGGAATTACAGGCATGAGCCACCGCGCCCGGCCTGCTCATCTGCAACTTAATGAACCACCACAAGCTGAGTGAGTGGAAAATATTCTTGAAGGAGACCCTGAAGCAAACTCCTGGGACAGCAACCAAGAACCCAGACCCTACAGCAAGAAGGGCTAGGGGAAGCATTCATTTTTAACAGATTCTGAGCAGATCATAAATTTCACACTGTTTCTTACAACAGTTCAAACTCAATGCTCGGAAACTGTAATGATAATAATAGTAACCGCTGAGGATACAGATACTGTGCTAGAAGTTTCCATGCATTATCTCTATGCCTTATAAAATCTTTGCCAAGTAGGTGCTTTCATCTGCATTTTACTGGTGTGGAAATAGTGTTAGTGACATGACTTCCTCAGACTCCCCAAAGGACCAAAGCTATGCCTTGCACCCACCCTGATCAACTCCAAAATCTGTGTTCTTTCTGCTAGTATGGAATCATGGTCAAGAGCATGATCCCTGGGGTCAGACCGCCTGGGTTCAAATCCTGGCTCTGCTTCTTCCTACCTGCCTGGCCTGGGCAAGCTACTGAACTTCACTGTATCCTAGTTTCCTCACTTGTAAAATAAGGATGAGACCAGTACCTACCTTAGCACACAGTAATCACTGCATGTATTAGCGATAATTATCAATATTGTTACTGAGTCACATTATGAAAAAAGAATAAGATTATTAGTTACTATTGCATATTCACTAACATTTATTTGAATACAGTGGAGAAGGTCTGCTGTTCATTCTACTTTTTGGGGGGTCTTGTCTGCTGACTAATGTTATAACCTAATGCAAATGGTAACAATCCAGTTTCCTTATGAGGCAAGCACGCCATTTGATCAGTTTGAAAAAAAACCCTGAGATATTAATAGCCTTGTGCAAACAAAGTGTTTATTATACCTCATGGTGTTTTTTATTCTTTTTTTAGGTGGGTTACTATGCTATGTATGTCTCCAATGTGGCGCCGGGGCTAGGATCAGTATTAAGAAGATTGTATGCTGTAAAATTATGTACAACAGGAGCACAGTATGACTTTTTGTTTGTTTGTTTGTTTGTCAGTAGCATTTTTGCAAGTCTAATTTAACAGACAGTTTTTTGGCTGACCTCTTTTTATTTTACACCCTCTTGGGCAATATGAGAAATGAAAGCTGAACCGTGTGTGCGTGTGTGTGTGTGTGTGTGTGTGTGTGCACATGTGTTTAGGGTTAGGAAAAAGAGGCAATTTTCATTAACCCCATTAGTGCTGTGCTCCCTGGTATGACAAAAACCCCACCTTTCAATTTTGCAGCATCAGAATCCCTTAAAAGGTAGGCCTAGGCCATCTACCCTGAACTTTCACTATGAAACCTTAAGAACGTGCATTTTAAAATCTGTTGCAGAGATGTTACATATGCAATGTCCAGTAAAGGTAGCTGATGATTCACTCCCCCCACTACCATCTTCCCTTACTTATTTTGCTCCATAAACATCAATTCACCCTATCATCCTCAAGTCTGAAAAATCAGTTAATATTTACTATACAAAACTAAATGGATGTAAATGACTTAGGATTTCACCACTGTTTTATATCCTTGCAACCGATAGCCTCTAGAAATGACATTTCATCACATTTGACAAGCTGGTTACTGTTTAAATGCAAATGCAATGAGACATTAAAATCCGAAGGAAAGAGGTCAGAGCAAATGGGGGGCAGATTTTATTTTACAGATGCTCCTCGACTTACAACGGGATTGTGTCCTGATATCATACGTATGAACAAAAGTAAGTTGAGTCACTTTTACACCATCACAAAGTTGAAAAAATCTTAAATAGGGGACCATCTGTACTTTCACTTGCCAAAGTCTTGACAGTTTTCTGTAGAGAGAGGGGTCCCTTTGCCATGCTAGCGGTGGCTTCAGCTGAAGCTGGATGCCCTGCCTCTCTGTAGAAATGCACAGCGCCGATGCCTTCTCAGGCCACAGTCAAGAAATCTAAGGTCCCCTTTAAATTCACCTCAGCACATTTCTCTTCTACTGATTAACAGGAACCCATTGGCAGATGATATTCTACCAGCGCCAACAGTGACGCAACCCGGGAGGCAGAGATTGTGTGATCTCGGCTCACTGCAACCTCTGCCTCTCGGGTTCAAGTGATTCTCCTGCCTCAGCCTCCAGAGTAGCTGGGTTTACAGGCATGTGCCACCGCGCCCAGCTAATTTTTGTATTTTTTAGTAGAGATGGATTTTCACCATGTTGCCCAGGCTGGTCTTGAACTCCTGGGCTCAAGCAATCCACCTGCCTCAGCCTCCCAAAGTGCTGGGATTATAGGTGTGAGCCACCGCGCCCAGCCTCTGGGCCTAGTTTTTAAGAGGACTTGCAGCTTCTGCCTTGGACATTTGCACACTTGAATCTCCATCTAAGAAGTCAGATTACTGTTCTGGGAAGACCACATGGAGACACCTGAGACTATCAGCCCCATGGGAAAAGGCAATATTTTAGTGGCTTTTTCTCCTGATATTGTAAGATGTATGAACCTAATACATCACTCTGCTTCCCCCAGGGAGTTATTTTTGTATGACTTTATTCAGTGCTCTGAAGCTAATAAATCAGTCTTAAAAACAACCTGGCAACTGACTTTCACAGGTAACTTAGGAGAGAGCTCTTCCCACTGGAGGAATCAAAGACATAGAAGTCAAAATCTAAGCAGTGACAGCAAAGGAAGGGAACTAACACATGTTGAACACGCACTCCCCACCTGGCCGTCATAGACATTATTTCATTTCACCCTCATAATAAACCCCAAGCTAATTGGGAATTACTAAGAAAGCTTAGGTCACAACGCCCATACCATTGCATACTATGCCATGCTGCCTCAATAAGGTAAACGGGGAGGACAGACGTAGTCACCAAATCCTGGGATGTGAGTACGCACACTGAAACACGAGGAAGGTCGTTCTGACGTAATACTATGCATACCAATTAACCAAACCCACTCCTGTTTCAATCTAATCTATTCAGATATCTCTGCAACAAATATTGTTGGGTTCAAAGGAATCTCTTGATTCAGGCATATGGCTCAGTTCCTTGGAATTACATGTCTGCCCACGAAAGGAGCCCAACCAAGATGGCAAGTTGCCTGCAAATTCTCACAACTCCCTTTCTGGCAAGAATGAGTTCTGAGGCATTTCTCTGAATTCTCCAGCTTTTGCTCTAAGAGTATCTTGGGTATATGTTTATTCATAGACAGATATCACTTATATGTACATTTCTTCACAAGACCCTGAGTAACCAGAAGGTGGAGGCTAATTTATCTCCAGATGGCTGGCACCAGGTATGATGCTGATGCCAGGAGGTGCACACTCACAGTCGGCTGACTATTACTTTACTTTACACAGTGGGTTAGTGTTCCAAGATTAAAGATGGCTGCAACTTCTTTGACACATTTCCCATTGATATATGGGATCTATTTCCTTTCCCTTTGAATCTGGGCTGCCCTGTAGTTCATTTGATTAATAGAGTAAGGCAAAAGTGATGCTGTGTCATTTCTGGGCCTGCTATTTTTTTTTTTTTTTTTTGAGACTGAATTTGGCTCTGTCGCCCAGGCTGGAGTGCAGTGGTGCAATCTCTGCTCACTGCAACCTCCACCTCCCGGGTTCAAGCGATTCTCCTGCCTCAGCCTCCTGAGTAGCTGGGATTACAGGTGTGTGCCACTGTGCCTGGGTAATTTTTGTATTTTTAGTAGAGATGGTATTTCACCATGTTGCCCAGGCTTGAACTCCTGGGCTCAAGAGATCCACCTGCCTCAGCCTCTCAAAGTGCTGGGATTACATGCGTAAGCCACCATGCCCAGCCTCTGGGCTGTTTTTAAGAGGACTTGCAGTTTCTACCTTAGACATTTGCACACCTGAGTCCCCATGTAAGAAACAAGACTACTCTTCTGGGAACACCACATGGAGACATCTGAGACTATCTAGGGGGAGGAGCCCAGCTGAGCCCGGCCTTCCAGTCATTCTACTGAAGTTCCAAGCATAGGCACAAAGCCATCATCAATCCTCCAGACCAGCCCAACTGTCATCTAAATGCTACCAAGTGACCCCAGCCAAAGCCACATGGAGCAAGACAATATCCAGCCAAGCTCTGATGAAATTTCTGACCCACAAAAACTTGTGAAGTATAACAAAATGATTATTATTTGAGGCCACAACATTTTGAAGCTTGTTGTGCAGCAAATAGATAACCCAGACAGTGGTATGAATCATACTATTCTGGAGGTGGTAAGGTTTTAAATGAGAAATGACTATTGAAAGGGTGTGAGTTGGTGAGAAGAAACTAGAAATACTGGAGAGCTCCAAGTCCTCTGAGGTTAGCAAATTTAAATATAAGTATTCTTTGGTGGTCCCAAAGGATTGTTTAGGGCCATGAAGTTATGGGTACCCTTAGATATGTCATTAAGTTCCCCAAGCATTTCTTCATGTGTAAAATGGGGATTTATCCAACTCCAAGACAGCAGGTGTTCTTGCCCATATAGAAGATGTTCAACTTGAAGAGAATTCTCCTTCCTATTTTCTTTCCCTCTACCTCATACTTCTGGTCATGATTTTAATCATACATACAGGGGAAACTTAATCAAAGAAAGGTGTGTTCAAATTTACAAATGGGCTGAGAGCTATAACAACTATCATGGGTTTGAATGCATTCCTAGAGCACTGGAGTTTTGTCTGAACATATCGCAATAAAGGCTGCCTTTGGCATAAAGCTTTAAAAATATGGCAAAGATCGTTACTATCTAAAAACAGTTGTTTTTCATCTTTGTTTTCTCCTCTTTCCCTTCATCTTTCAGACACTTTATCCCTCTCATATTCCCTCCATTATTGGTATACATGGGAAGCCTATCTTGATCACACCAGTAGATGCTATTTAGAGTTTGTTAACGTGAAAGAGGTTAGAGAAAGCAGGAAAGAAAGATTTTATTTTCCTATCATTCATTAATATTCTGACACACTGTTCTGTAGAGAGGGGAGGGTAATGAAAATCGTAAGTTCACAAGCTTTCAGGTTTAAACAAGCTCAGAGTGACTTCAACAGAAGCATGGGTTTCCTAACTATCCCAGGTGGAGAGAAACAATAGACCTTCGCAGCTCTGGACAAGACAAACCCTGAACTCATGTATAGAATTGTTATCCTACGTCCATCCAGCCTCATATTGTGACTCTAAAAAGAATACCTGGCGGCATTTTTATGAGACAGAATGACTCAAAACTCTTGGGCTATATTTTAAATCTGCGAATTCCAATTGGAAGATCCAAATCTGAACAATCACACATGTGAGTCACCAGGAGAGCTCTTTGAAACCAACATCTGTGCCGAGGCAACTCTCATTTTCCTTTCCAGGGAAAATCAGAATCCCCTTGAAGGAAACTGTGGTTAGTCTTCGTAAAAGCTCCCCCAGGGATTCCAAACCTGGTGGAGTGCCTATGCTCACATGTAAGTTCACAGGCACGTGTGCACACATGTACACACATACATACTCTCCTCCTACTGAACATCAGTGTCCTGAAGAGTCCTAATAAATAATCCAAACAACCATGTAAACGACCTGAGAACCTTTTCATAGTCACCCTGTTTTCCTCTAGGGATTAGGATGCCAATTGTGTGTCAAGTAGTACAGTAATCAAAGGGTATCCAAGAACTTCAAAGGTTTTGTTCTTCTGAAGAGCTGAGCTTTCCAAATAGCTGAAGATCTGCCCATTTAAGCATCAAATCTGTTTTTTTTTTCCAAAATAATATTTCAGCAATTTTGGATGTGAAACTCTGTAAAATTTATTGCATGTGTTCAGTTTCCTGACTATAATTTAGCCTCATCTTCATAATTCAAGGTTATTACCATCGGCATCAATTCCTGTAATAGGACTAGAGATGGGAGTTTATTACCAAAGACTACAAAGACCTCCAAATGGCAGCCGGAGACAAAAGGAAAGTTGGAGAACACCATACTAAAAATAGGACTCCAAATAAAGAGGCCAGAAGCAAAAGTCAGAAGCCAGACAGGAAGCCAAAGAGATAAAGAGTGGGTTAACTATAAACAGGGTAAGATTCAGAAAACTTGTCCACAACAGGCATTGCTTCTGTGGTCTGATTATCTGAGATAGCGTTACTGTGATACAGTGGTAAAAATCTTTAGTCTAAAGCAGAAGTCCCCAACCTGGACGGTACAGGTCCATGGCCCATCAGGAGCCGGGCCGCACAGCAGGAGGTGAGCAGCAGGCAAGCAAGCAAAGCTTCATCTGTGTTTACAGCCACTCCCCATTGCTTGCAGTACTGCCTGAGCTCCACCTCCTGTCAGATTAGCGGCGGCATTAGATTCTCAAAGGAGCAAGAACCCTATTGTGAACTGCACGTGCTAGGGATCTAGGTTGCACGCTCCTTATGATAATCAAATGCCTGATGATCGGACACTGTCTCCCATCACTGCCAGATGGGACCATATATAGTTGCAGGAAAACAAGCTCAGCGCTCCCACTGATTCTATATTATGGTGAGTTGTATAATTATTTCATTATATATTACAATGAAATAAAGTGCACAATAAAAGTAATGCTCTGTGGAAAAATTGTATTCCACAAAACTGGTCCCTGGTGCCAAAAAGGCTGGGGACTGCTGGTCTAAAGGACCTGCTGTTGATGTCACGGTGTCCTCCTCTAGCCCTCCTCTTTTAATTCAGTGCTTCTAATTTCTTCTGGCCCTACAGATAGTCAAACTAGTTGAAGCAATAAAAGACAAGAGGCTGCCTTTCTGATCCATCAAAAGTGTGTGTGAGTTGTCTTCTCTTCGGGTGTTCAAGGATCTCTTTGACTTGCTCTCTGGACCTTGTCTGTGCTTCAGGAGTTGTATAGCTGAGCCCCAGAAAGATAAAAAAATTGCTATTATTTTATATTTTTCTGCTAGAATCTTCTTCTTCCAGATGCCCGTGTATAGTGACAGTGAACGTGCCCATGCTTCTCCAAACTAAAAGCTTCCATCTTGGGCCGTTCCTCTTTCAAGCGTGGGACTCTAAGCCATGCACATCATGTCACTTGCGTCATGGAGCAGCCGGTGCTTCAGAAACCTCTGAGGCACATCTACCAAGAACTCACTAAGGTCCTCTAAGTTGCCAGCCTCAAGAGAAACACCCTTTCCTGGAGATGGGATGGGCCCTGGGAGGAAAAAAGCCATTGGCAAGCCTGCTGGCAGAGGCTACTCCTCAGAGGACAGGGTCAAGGGGCCACAGAAAAATAGGGACTTAGCAGCTTCCATTACAGGTAACAGGACCTAGGTGACCCTGCCTCCAATTTACTGAAGCCATGTAACTAAAGTAGGGCCAAAGAGAGCAACCTATGATGCTATCGTCAGCAAAGAAGGAAATTTAAGGGTGATTTAATTGGTAAAAAAGAGAAGAAAAAGGAGATATAATCATGTTTTTTGTTTGTTTGTTTAAATCATCTTGTAATTTATCTGGCTACCCTTAATCTGGCTTTTTTTCATAGGAACCAGTTTTTGCTTCCCCTCCAAATATTACTTCATCCTCTAGCCTAGTTTGTCTTATTATTCTTCTATTCTGGCTGATCCCAAGGGTAAGAGAAAGGGAAAATTTTGCTAGGAATAGCATAGTATGTGGTGAGGGGCAGGAGGGACTTGGGAGTCCGAGGTGGATTTGTATCCCAGCCCTGCCATTTCCCACCTGTGTGACCCTGGCCAAGTTACTTAATTTCTCTGGGATTTAGCACCATTCTCTGTGAAATGGAAAAGAATATAATAGCAGAAAGAATACTTCATTGTACAAACTTCATAGTATAGCTGTGAGTATCATTGGAAACAATACTTCTGAGTCTTTGCTCAGCATAGTGTCTGGTCACACAAGCATGCTCTCTGACCTTGGGGCGACGAGCAACGGCTGGCCCATTGGTGCTACCCAGAATGCCAGTTAGGATTTAAAAGTCTCAAAAACAGGTTCTCGAGGGCCTATTTAAATAAGTAAGAATTATTCTTCATGAACACACATGTGAACTAGTACTTTAAAACTGGGGCCAGGCACAGTGCCTCATGCCTGTAATCCCAGCACATTGGGAAGCAGAGGTGGGATGATCTCTTGAGCTCAAGAATTAAGAGACCAGCCTTGGCAACAAAGCGAGAACTCATCTGTACTAAAAATTAAACAGAAAAATACATTAGAGTTAGGCGTGGGGATGCACACCTGTAGGATCGCTTGAGCCCTGGAAGTTGAGGGTGCAGTGAGCTATGACTGCACCACTGCATTCTAGCCTGGGTGACAGAGCAAGATGCTGTCTCAAAAAAACAGAAAAAGAAAACAAAATGACTGCTTTAAGTATTTTAAACTATTCTTCAGGTCTCATATTCATTTGTGTGGTAGTTCTCTATTTTCATAATGAATACAAAGAAAATTTTGATCCTAATTATCACAAATTCCAAATGATTAGAGTCCAGAAAAACTAGCGGTTTCTGCACATAGATGCCAATTTCTTTTTCTCAAGTAATCCCATGTTTTAATCATATTGTCACACATATATACCCCTTATCACGGGGATCCCAAGGGGTTTTTTCTTAATCCTCTGTAGTGTCACTCTACACACTATCTTTGGAGGGCCACCTTCTCCCCAGTCTCTCCTCACCTCCAGGCACTGAGCGCTATGCATCAGGTACCCTCAGCAAGCCCATTCAAGACTGTCTTTGCAGTGCCTGCCCTTCCTGCCAAGAATGATGATCCCCCATCAGGTTTTAATAGATACGTCTCAAGGCCTCATCAAAATGTCAGCTCCCTGGTGAAATTTCCCCGCCTATACCCTATATGCAAGTACCACTATTCATATGGCATCAGGATGTATTTAAGTTGCCTGTTTACAAGGCTGCACCAGACTCAGGATTTTTCAAGTGGTTCTTTAATGTGCACAAGAAGCACCTGCGGATCTTGTTAAAATGGGGATTCTGATTCTGTAAAGTCTAGGGTGGGGCCTGAGATTCTACATTTCTCACAGCCCCAGGTGATGCCGATGCAAATGCCCTGTAGACTACACTCGGGTAACAAGCTTTTAAGAACATCTCTGAAAATCTCAGCAAGTTGGCATTTCATCATCATCATCATTACATTTTGACGCAGCTGCCCACCAACTCCAACTCCACTACAAAGATGAGAACAGGAGACATCAGGGCTGTCCAAATAATGGAGGAAAGTGTGTGTGTGTGTGTGTGTGTGTATTGAGTGGGTAGACTGGAGACAGTGGGTAGAATTAGAAAGGAAAAGGAAACGGGATAAAGTTAATAAAGAGAAGGAGGTTGCAAAGAGAGGAGAAAAAAGTGAAAAAGGAAGAGAGAAGACAATAAGAAAACAAAGAGAAAATCATAGAAAAGGAGAAAGAAACAGCTATAGGATGAATAAAGGAAGGTCAACTGACTGTTCCCCAGGAAGAAATCGGACCTACATTATCTGACTTTATAGTTTAACGGGTTGACTTCTGGAACCAAACCCTCTGAAGAGTACATACTCCAGCTGTTCATGCAACTGAGGAAGTGTGCTCAGAGCTTCAATACTGCATTCTAAAGGGTTCTTCCCTCCTGAGTGATTAGGAACAAGCTATTACTAGAACAGTAATAGTAAATGAGGGCCTATATCACGATTGTGAATATATAGCATGGCTTATATCAGCTAAGAAAATCTAAGACACTAGAATTCTTTTACTCTAAGACCTCAAACTGATTGCCCATTACAACAACCTAAATGAGCCAGGTATGGTGGCTCATGTCTGTAATCCCCAAACTTTTTGAGGCCAAGGTGGGAAGATTGCTTAAGGCCAGGAGTTCCAGATCAGCCAGGGCAACACGGTGAGACCTCGTATCTAAAAAAAGTTTTTTAAAAAGATAATCGGGTGTGATGGTGCACTCCTGCAGTCCCATTGACTAGGGAGGCTGAGGCAAGCGGATCGTTTGAACCCAGGAGTTCAAGGTTGCAGTGAGCTGTGATCATGCCACTGTACTCTAGCCTGTGACAGAGAGAGAGAGAGAGAGTCTGTCTAAAACAACAACAACAACAACAACAACAACAACAAATGAACATTACCTGATATAGCTCAATCCGTTGTTCAGGCACTCTGGCTTTTGGGTTCTGCAAACGAAAGACTCTGAACTCTGCTTTCACCAAATTGGAAGCATTCTTCTCCATTGCTGAGACGTCAAATCGAACAATTCTGAAGTAGGGTCTGTAGAAAGTGGGCGGGATGGCATCTGTAAAAAATTAGGGCAATCATTGAAAATGATAAAATCCATTGTGCTTTCAGAGAAGACTGTAGCGTGAGATAATCCCAAGAAACCATAAGGGAAATATCTACAGAATAGTTTCCAACGGCCAGTTTAATACCATTAACAATGTAACCAGAAAAAAAAGAAATAAAATAAACATGTGCATTTAGTTACAGGAGTAGCAAATTAATAGAGATTAACAAACCACTTCCAACTCCATTTGAAAGCATGCAGTTAACCCCATCCTTTGAAGGCTGACAGACTGGTGGAAATCATAGATGGTTTTGAATTGGAACAAGTTTATGACAGTTCATGCCTGGAGAGAGCTGTCAGGCCTGCATACACTTTAATCAGATGTGCCAAGAAAATAGTTCCTAATGGCCAGCAGTTTGCCCATGTATTTTTTTTCCTTGAAAGTTTGTCATCCAAATAATCTTTTTTTAACCAGGCTCATATATCGAATCTCTTTTGGCTTCAATATTTTAGTTTTTCACACACATATGACTTAACATATTCTCTAGTCAAGTTATGATGAGGAAATTTGAATAAACAAAAGTATAACCCACGTACTAGCTTATACCAGATCCAGTTTTAAAATTCTTTATGCAGGATAATGTCTGTTGGCGGGAGGTCATCCTAGCTAATGAAGAAAAAGAATTGGCACAAATTCCTTCAGTTCTAAACCATGTAAAATACAGAGTTGCTGATGGTACATGACATTTTAAAGCTTCTGGGAAGGACGGGCACAGTGGGTCACGCCTGTAATTCCAACAACACTTTGGGAGGCTGAGGTGGGCAGACCACTTAAGGTCAGGAGTTTGAGACCAGCCCTGGCCAACATGGCAAAACCCTGTTTCTACTAAAAATACAAAAATTAGCCAGGCGTGGTGGCGCGCACCTGTAATCCCATCTACTCCGGAGACTGAGGCAGGAGAATTGCTTGAACCCCGGGGGCGGAGGCTGCAGTGAGCTGAAATCACAACACTATACTCTAGCCTGGGCAATAGGGTGAGGTTCCATCTCAAATATCAATCAGTCAATCAATCAATCAAGCTCCTGGGTTGCTTTAGAGTTGTGCTGGCTTTTTTTTTTTTTTTTTTTTGTAATCTGCCAATGTCTTTGAATATGCAACTGAGGCTATACAAAGACCAGAGCAGGTCCTATTCTAACTCCATGCTTTCAAATACAATATTCATTTATCAAGCATCTACACTGTGCAGACCACTTGTTACAGGTATGTTTCTACAATCTTCTTCCAAAATCTCCTACACACTTTCTTTCCCCTTTCCAGAGTGTTTCATCCAACTCTAGTGGCTCCATTTCTTTCTACCCACTCTTCAATTATCTGACTTCATTACAAATAATCATTCACGGTTGTTCATGTTTCTTTATAAATGTTTTTATTACTTCTGCATTATGTTTGTTTATTTTGTTTCCCCTGTGAAATTTTAAGAATCTTGAGGGCAGAGACTGTATTTGCCAGGTCTTTCTTCTTTCCCACGTATCTGGACAGGGTTCACCAAATATCCCGTTTGCATAGTTGGTCATCAACAGGAGTCTCTTGAAAGACTCAGGCATCTGACTGTTGGCAACACTAACTTCTTATTAAATAAATGAGCCATCTTGCCGATCTTAAAATAGAAATAAATACCTTCCGTGATTTATTGGGAAATCCATGCCCTGACGATTACACTGAAGAAAAAAAGATGCTAGGAACACACCAACATTTTCTCATCTTAAGAGCCTGAATTTTTTCCTTCATAGGAACTTTCTCCCAACCCATCTCCTTCCCCTATATATGTGTGACTCTCAGCACACAGGCCCACGGAGAAGCGGGGAATTTCTACACCAGTCTCCTCCATACTGGTTCAGAAAATGACTGTGTGAATTGAGGCTTTATAACCCAGGAGTCAGAAGTCTCAGAAACAAACAAACAAACAAAAAAACCCCAAAAAATCCAAAGTATCCAGGTTTCAAAGAAAAAAAGTATTCATGCAGACATGGTGATGATCCGCCGCATCACCACTGCGAATTAGTTGATGGGCGGCTTCCAGGCCAGGGGGCACTGGTGCACGCAGAAAGGCTTTTGGAGCCCCCTAGCACACAGCATTTTGACAAGGTAGCTGCTGAGAACAAATAGAACTTTTTCTCCTCTGGAATATGCCCGCCCCCATGATTGGAACAGCTGGTCCTATGCCGACCAGCTCAGCTGAAAACAGGCCAGACAACCAGAGAAGCCTAGGCCAGTCTGGGGCCAGGCTTTCTGGCATTGCACACCGTCTTGGCCAAAACCTTCCACAGGCTGATGCTGCATTCATCTTCGCAGAGCCTCCGCATTAGACAGCAGAAGCTTCAAACATCCTTTGAAGGAGCATCCTGGAATAGAGAAGCTAATTTAGCGTGTTTCCTGTCGTTAGGAAGAGTAAACATCTCATTCAATTTTCCCCGCCTCTTTCAGTGGAATCCCTGCAGGCCTCTTCCACTTTCACAAACACCCATCTTTCACACACGCCTGCCTCAATCTTATCCTTCCATCAAGTTTGTAAATAAGTGCTCTTGAGATTTATTTTTATCTCTTTTGTGTTTATTAAACTTTGGACCATTTTTTTCCCCCCTTTTCTGGTCCTCTGCCCATCCACACTCTTTTCTTTTTATGGCTGCCTCAGACCATGAGGTCAATTTTGTTTCTTCTTCTTCTAAGCAAATCATCCAATGATCCTGTCCTAGGCTTTTGAGCTTTGAAGGGGAGTTTGCAAATATTTACAGGAGTAGCTTGCTAGTTAAGTACAGTTGTTCAGCTGGGCTTCCTATACATTGGCAAACAGCCCTCCTCCCCTCTGGCTCTTATAAGCATTTAGGCTGTTTATATTTCAACTGTCTAATAACACAAATCTGCATTTTTGGTCCTTGTTTTATAAGTAGAAGTAGCTAACACACACAGTGAAAGGACTGCTGAGCAGCCCCCATCAGCCACTGCTTTGGTGTTGTAACCATGGTGAAGCGACCAGGCCGGGAGGAGCCGGTAGCCTTCCCTGCCTGTACTCCTGCTCCAGCATACGAGAGTGTGGTAAAAACTGTCAACTGAAGAACCAACTACCCCTTCCAGGGGTTGATGCCAGCTGTCCTGTGCTGTCATCTGCTCTGGGTCACAAGCCCCCTGGCTGGCTGAGGAACATGAGCAACTGGCCAAATGTCTCCTCATTTGGAAACAACAAAATTACTGTCAATTGCTCTAGCACAGTCTTTGACCCTGCCTTTACTTCATAAACACCCTATACACGGAGCAGGGAGACCCAAAAAGGCCCCTTGATGCCCAGTCGGGACGCGGCAGGCTCCCGCCCTCCACTGAGGGAGCCCGGGGTAGGGGCTTAATGGCTTGTGCAGCTCTGATCCACCCGCTTAGTCTTGGAGGGATGGAGCTTTTTCCTCTGCTTCCTCCAAGAACTCATTTCCCCCTTTGGAATGGGAGTTCTCGCTAAAGTCCTCTGTAATGCGCATCCCAGTTCCTATTCCATTGCCAGGTGGTCAGGTACTTGTGTTTGACCTTTGCCAACTTATCCACACTCACATCCTGGCCCGCTCCTTCTCTCAATTTCTGACCTACTTTTTCAGTTCAATCAAATCGATTTTCCTTCAACCCTTTGGATTTCACACCAGGAGGCTGATTCTGGTCCTCCTCCCAGGCTTTCTCATGGGCCTTCCTCCCGGGGAAAATTTTGCACATAGAAGATTCCAGTATGTCATCAAGTGGTGTCCCCCTCACCTCAACCTTGGCCACACATGCCTGCAAAACCATATTTTGGGGACGGAAGGGAGAGAAAAAAAACCTGAGAAAATCTAACTAGTCACTAATTTCCAAAGTAACAGTATACAAAAAGCTTAAATACAGCACTTAATCACATACTACTGTATGAACATTATATGTTGACTTGTATCTGCTCCAAAAAATTTACCAACGTATTGTATGTAAGTATTTTGAACTCACAAATCTTTCCTTATAGTTTTTCTCCACTTCATGAGCGTGTGGCCAGCACAGGGGCACAGGGTCTCCATCCTCAGAAAGGTCTCATACCTGAATTTAGTGCTCTGTGGCCTCTCTAGTCACCATCTTGAAATTCTCAATCATTTTATTTTTGAATTGATGCTTTGTAAGCG
This sequence comes from Homo sapiens, assembly GCF_000001405.40. Lineage (NCBI taxonomy): Eukaryota > Metazoa > Chordata > Mammalia > Primates > Hominidae > Homo > Homo sapiens. The sequence goes on along the minus strand of NC_000001.11, from coordinate 218,400,998 downwards.
AGGTCTTATGGGACAATGGAGCATGCACAGAGGGCTGGGGACCTCAGCCCTGTGCCATCCCACCTCCTGTCACCTGTCCACTTGCCCAGGACTCTCTGCCTCCTACCCCTTGCCTTCTGGTGTCCCCAATCTCACCCTGCCTTCCCTGGCCCGCCCAGTGGCCACTGTTTTCCTCCACCCAATGACAGTTGGGGTCAGGCACACAACCCATGCCATTTCAGGAAAAAGCCTGGTGGCAGCTGTCCCCACCACAAGCTGGCAGTGCCACAATATGTTCAGGGAGCAACCCAGTAGAAGCACGTCTCTCACCCACTCCTTTTTTTAAAATGTTTTCAATACTTTTTGGGGTACAGGTGCTTTTTGGTGACATGAATGAGTTCTTTAATGGGTGATTTCTGAGATTTTCATGCACCCTCTTAATCCAGGTACCAAGCACATCCCAGTGCAGAGTTTGCAACCCTATGGGTTGAAGTGGCAGTCCCATGGGAAGGGAGATACCTGGCTCAATGTGTTATCAATCTTGTGGGCTTGTGGCAGGGGGACCCCAGCAGCTGCTGGACTACATGTTCCAAGTTTTAGGGCAAGGGTCTCAGGTCCCCATGAAAGTCTCCTGTCACTCTGGGAGCATCCCCATGCCCAAGTGAGCACAATATCAAACAGCACATAAAAAAACACCGTGACAGTTGGAGAGCGAGAGAGACAGAGAGAGGGAGACCATGGAACAAAGGAAAAAGTTTTATATTTTAGCATCTTCAATAGTACTCCTTTTCTTTTTTTTTTTGAACAAGAGACCCCATATTTTCATATTGAAAAAGGATTCTGCAAATTTTGTAGCTAGCCCTGCCGAAGCCTCATATAGTTATAGGATTCTTAAGTACTAAAGGACCTTCAAGGCTATCTGAATTCTAATCCAGTTAAGAATGAACTGGTTGAACTGAATCAACCAGTTCCTAGTTTTGTGGCAACAGGGATATTATCTGGCTTTTCTGAGCCTGTTTCTTCATCTATATAATGAAGTAAATAATTTTCTACCTCATATGTATTGGGTCATATTGTCAGGATTCTATAAGTAAGCAGATGGAAAGTTGGAGCGCTGGGTCTAGCACAAATTTCCACACAGTTTCCTCCCTGCCTCCCTTCCCATACCGTAACAGAACTGCCAGGTGGTCAGTGGGCCTTTCATGAATGCCCCCGAGAGACAGTGCTCTGATAGCCTGACAGACCAAATTAGAAGAGGAGAGAAAGAACAGGAGGAGCTAAGTGTCCTGGGGCAGTTTATACATGACGCTATATACTCTAATTCCTTTCCACTGAGTAGGGAGCAATTCCAGTCCCCAAAGTTCTCACAGACTCCCCACCACTATCCTTTAACATTTCACCTGTTTTACTATAAACCTGACCATCAGAAAAGGTGACAAGAGAAATCCTAACTTTCCACTAAACAGCTCTGCATCAAGCAATTTCACCTTTCACTACAATGTTCATATTAGGACTATTTTTATTAAAAAGTTTAATTGACATTGGTACAATACTATTAACTAGGCTTGGATTTCTTCGGTTTTTATATGTACTAATTTTTTTTAATTTTTAATTTTTGTGGCTACCTAGTAAGGGTGTATATATTCATGTGATACATGAAATACTTCGATACAGGCATGCAATGCCTAATAATCACATCATGGTAAATGGGTTATCCATCCCCTTTGAAAACGTACTACAGTTGTGATCATCATTAGGAGAAGCTGTTGAAGGGTATATAGGAACTCTCTGTACTATTTTTGCAATTTCTTGTGAGTCTAAAATTGTTTCAGGCCTGGCACAGTGGCTCATGCCTAAAATCCCAGCACTCTGGGAGGCCAAAGTGGGAGGATTGGTTAAGGCTAGGAGTTTGAGACCAGCCTGGGCAACAAAGCAAGACAAGACCCCATTTCTATTAAAAAATAAAAAATTAGCTGGGTGATGTGGCATGTGCCTGTAACTCCCACCTACTTGGGAGGCTGAGGTGGGAGGATCACTTGAGCCTGAGAGGGTGAGACTACAGTGAGCCATGACTGAGTCACTGCACTGAAGCCTGGGCAACAGAGTGAGACCTGTCTCTAAAAAAAATTAAAATAATCCAGGCACAGTGGCTCACGCCTGTAATCCCACCACTGTGGGAGGCTGAGGCAGGCAGATCGCGAGGTCAAGAGATCAAGACCATCCTGGCCACATGGTGAAACCCCGTCTCTACTAAAAATACAAAAATTAGCTGGGCGTGGTGGCAGGCGTCTATAGCCCCAGCTACTCGGGAGGCTGAGATAGGAGAATCGCTTGAACCCGGGAGGCAGAGGTTGCAGCGAGCCGAGATTGCACCACTGCACTCCAGCCTGGTGACGGAGAAAGACTCCAACTCAAAAAATAAAATAAAAAATAAATAAATAAAATAAAATAAAATAAAATAATTTCAAAATAAAGTTAAAGGTTAATAAAAAAACAAAACTGAATAAAGGTCTTACAATGTCACTCATATGTGATGAGCTCTGAAACAGAATGTAGATTTGAGGCTTGCAAGAAGTCCCCCAATGATGTCTAGGGTTCAGCCCTTCAGGAGGGCAATGCTTCAGCCATCTATCTATTGTTTATTCCCTCTTAGATTGGTTACACCACAAAACTGGCAGGAAGAAAGTGCGTGAATGTTGAAATGCTTGGGTCAAGAACCTATAGGTATTTGCTGTATTTGCTAAAGCAGTGGTTCTTAAAGTGAGGCTCCCAGCCCACGGCATCAGCCTTGCCTAGGAATCCGTGATAAATGTGAATCATCCAGGAAAGTCTGATGGCACCATTTCATCAAAGTTTGAGAACCAATGTGTGACTACATACTGGTTGACTCCTAGCTGGTGAAACCAGTCCTAGTTAACAATTAAAAGCAGATTGATAAAGTCCGGGGAAAAGAAGAAGGAGGCTTTAGTGTTTAATATCAGCTTTCTTGGAGTCAGCACTGACCACAATTGTCAAGGACAGACAAGCACTGGTCTCAGTGTCCTCGTGGGGGATTTTCCAAGATAAGCCAGAAAGGTCAGTAGTTCAAAGTGAAACACAGAAGGTGTGGGTATGAACGGAATTGGTAGTGGCCTGGAGGTTTTGTTTATCCTCCTGCCTGAGGTACTCACCGATTACCTCAACATCAAGTCCAAGCTAGTCCCCCTCCTAGAGGCAAAGCTAAACGAGGCTTACAAAGCAGCACAGGTTCCTGCTCATTGCAGTGGATATATGGATCCTATATAACAGTCTTTCTTAAAGAGTATGGATGGTGGTCTGCATTTTAGCAAACTCCTTGAGCAATTCCTATGTACCCTAACATTTCAGAACTGCTGAAATATACGACAGAAGAAAAGAAATCTACAAAGAAATACAGAAAGACAAAGGAGCACCTAAACTTTTTTTTTTTTTTTTTTTGAGACGGAGTCTCGCTCTGTTGCACAGGTTGGAGTGCAGTGGCGCGATCTCGGCTCACTGCAAGCTCAGCCTCCCGGGTTCACGCCATTCTCCTGCCTCAGCCTCCCGAGTAGCTGGGACTACAGGCACCCACCACCATGCCCGGCTAATTTTTTGTATTTTTTAGTAGAGACGGGGTTTCACCGTGTTAGCCAGGATGGTCTCAATCTCTTGACCTCGTGATCCGCCTGCCTTAGCCTCCCAAAGTGCTGGGATTACAGGCATAAGCCACCGCGCCCGGCCTTTTTTTTTTTTTTTAGATGGAGTCTTGCTCTGTGGCCCAGGCTGGAGTGTAATGGCGCAATCTCAGCTCACTGCAACCTCCGCCTCTTGGGTTCACGCAACTCACCTGTCTCAGCCTCCTGAGTAGCTGGGATTACAGGCGCCTGCCACCACGCCTGGCTAATTTTTTGTATTTTTAGTAGAGACGGGATTTCACCATGTTGGCCAGGCTGGTCTCAAACTCCTGACCTCAGGTGATCCACTGCCTCCGCCTCCCAAAGTGCTGGGATTACAGGCGTGAGCCACTGCACCTGGCTCAAGCACCTAAACTTTGGATCAGGCTTTATACCTAGAAAAAAAGAGTAAGACAGAGAAAAGAGGAAGAGTTCTAAAGCTCTTAAACTGGAAAAATAGGATTCCTCTATGATTTGCAGTAGTAGTCTGCCTTGACTGCACATTTTAATCAACGGAGGAACTTGAAAATCTTGATGCCTGGGTTGAAGTCCCTAAAAGTCTAGTTAATTGACTGGGGTGGACTTAGTTTTAAGTTCCTCAGATGATTTTAAATGTACAGCCAGGATCAGCACCCCTCACTGAAAGAAACTGGTAGTACTCAGACTGAAGAAGGGAAGACTTAGGGATATCAAATCTCAAGGGATTTCAAAGATTTCAGGGACTTACTTTCTATATAGCCAAGGAGCCACAGTTTGACTCAATATAAAAATAATTTTCTAAAAATTTAGAAGATTAAAAAAAAAAAAGAAACCAAACAACTCACTCTCTTTCAAGGTTGTGAGAGATCACACCTCACTGGCCTCCCTGGAAGAACCTGTGTACTCACAAGGCGCAGTCTGTCCCAAAAGATGCAGTGGGGCTTCCTGAATATGGTGGCAGGGTGAGCTAGATGGCCTGGCAGCCCACTTCCAGTTCTGCCATTACATCATGCTCTCCACCGATGGAGCCTCCAAAAATTGTTTTTCTTCCCTAAATTCCACTATGTTAGTTAGATATTTGTTTACTCACCCCCTGCATCAAAATCACCTGATAGGCTTATTAATATGCTTGTTACTTGGTTCCATATTAGATCTACTGGGTGAATAGTAGGCAATTCTTTTTTACACTCAAGTTTGAGAACTTCTGCCCTAGACTATGATGGTCTAACCACAATGCACTTGACCAGGCTTCCCTTCTGGTTACTCAGCGTCATGAACTAGCTAGAGAGGAATGAAAAATGTCCATCCTACCTTTCCTACTCCAAAAAGAATGACCTGATTTCACTGCAGGCTCAGAATTCTATTTTATGTCCCCTTCTCATTTTATAATACCTTTACTAACTTCATCACTGCAAAGGCCATTTTTTAATCCCCATTTCACAGATAAAGAAATCAAGGCCTGGCGCGGTGGCTCACACCTGTAATCCCAGCACTTTGGGAGGCCGAGGTGGGTGGATCACGAGGTCAGGAGATCGAGACCATCCTGGCTAACATGGTGAAATCCCGTCTCTACTAAAAATACAAAACAAAATTAGCCAGGTGTGGTGGCAGACGCCTGTAGTCCCAGCTACTCTGGAGGCTGAGGCAGGAGAATGGTGTGAACCCAGGAGGCAGAGCTTGCAGTGAGCCGAGATTGCGCCACTGCACTCCAGCCTGGGCGACAGAGCGAGACTCCATCTCAACAAAAAAAAAAAAAAAGAAAAAGAAAAGAAAATAAATCAAGAGTGAGGAAAGTAAAATAACTTTGGGCTAAAGTCGAAGTGAGGCTAGCCTTTGAATCCAAAGCTTTTCAGTATAATATCCTGCCTTCTGTGCAAAGGAGTCCTGAGTTGAAGGTATGACTACCACGCCAGGCAGAAACACCAACACATGCAATGGAGCGTGGTGGCAACAAAATACAAATAAAATAACAAGGCAGCAGCTCCTCCTCCACTAGAGATAAGTTTGACCTTGAAGTAAAGCTTGAAAAACTTTAATGCAAGGCCATAGTATTTTCACGGATACTCCCTAAGAGAACGCACCTGATGTGGAGACCTGGGGGCTCACCCAGTGTGAAAGTTTCCCAGTGAGAAGCACTTTACTAATACCAGTATTGCCCAGGGTCTTTCAGATCCCCATACATTGGTGCCTAGTGCTGCTGTTCTCAGTGGTATCCCCTGGCTCTTATTCACAAGCCCACAGAATGAAGAGAACAAACCCCCTCATTTCCCTTTCCAGAAATGACTGCACTTTTCCTGCAGCTCAGCAGTGACTGGTGTGGACTTCTGACATGCTTAATGAATGTGTAGTGGCCCCTCATTCCTGACATCCCCAGCTTTGAAGGAAGTAGTTTGGGGTTCATTAGCCATTCCCCAGAGTGTGGCAAGACAAGCAACCCACCGAGTGGTTGGAGGGCAATAAACTAGCTACTATTTGTGTGTGCACAGACACAGCCAGCAAGAAACCAAGACAATTGTGTTTTGGGGTTTTCTGAAATTTGTCTTGGCACACTGGATATGGATTTTATTTCACTACCACATCCCAAACACTGCTGACGTTCAAGTCACAGCAATTTAACATAAAATGACTAAGAAATAAACAGCGCATCAGCGGTGGTTTCTGATTTTCTCTCCGGCCATCCCACCTATTACATGTAACACAGCACCAGAGCATCTGCTATGTAAAGACAGAGTCTCCGAGAGGGGGATGATATCAGACTTGACGAGCTGTTGGCAATGGTGAGTCTAATTGTGTCGGCATCAGCTTACGTGACTTGGCCTTCATCTAACTGCTATTTGAGACTGTGCGTACTGTCAGCATGAGTGTTTGGGCTCCTTCTTACACTGCGCAAAAAAAAAGTAAAATAACAGTGGTGCCGGCCCATGGTGTTTAGTTTTCTTGAACTGTGTCAGACATGGGGTTTCCAGTTTCTATTCCAAAGTTTCCATCATCCTCATAAAACCCCACCTACACGGAGACACCTATTTCACTTCAGTTCCTCTACATTCCTCATCAGGCTCAGGGTTGTGCAGGCAGTTTGTGTAGGGTGTACTGGGTGTTAGCAGTAAAAGCATTGGGTGCTGAAAGGGCAGGCCAACTGTTGATGTTAAGAGGCCAATGCCGGCCGGGTGCGGTGGCTTACGCCTATAATCCAAGCACTTTGGGAGGCCGAGGCGGGCGGATCACGAGGTCAGGAGATCGAGACCATCCTGGCTAACGCAGTGAAACCCCGTCTCTACTAAAAATACAAAAAAAAATTAGCCAGGCATGGTGGTGGGCACCTGTAATCCCAGCTACTCGGGAGGCTGAGGCAGGAGAATGGCGTTAACCCGGGAGGTGGAGCTTGCAGTGAGCCGAGATTGCGCCACTGGACTCCAGCCTGGGCGACAGAGCAAGGCTCTGTCTAAAAAAAAAAAAAAAAGAGGCCGATGCCTAACGTAGAGGAGTCTCAGAGCCCATGAGCATGAAGAGTATGGCTGCACCCACGTTTGTGGGCAGGTAAACCGTGAATGTGATATGTCCCTTCCCAATGGCCTCATCGGGGCAGGTGGTCCTCACAGCTGGAACAGGCCACTGAAGCAGCTCTTCTCTGCCATAATCTCATCCCTTAAAGCAGATAACTTTATTTTTTTCTTTTTCTCTCTCCCTTCCTATCTTTTCTACTTCCTTTGCTCCATTTTCTTTCTCTCCTCTTTTTCTCACTTCCCTTCAATCTGTGCTTTTGTTTGCTGTGATATCCAGGGAGCAAAATAGTCATCTTTTTGGTTCTTTCATGGCTTTTAATGAGGCCAGTGAGCCCATGACACAGATAACCATATACCATTCTAGAATGCAGTAAAGGCTTCAAACAAGATCAGTAGAAGGAAGCCGGCCTGTGTTGATTCCTTTAATGAATTAAACTTGGAAATTTAGGATCTCATCCTTAACCTTTTAATAGATTAGAAGCACATTTTATTTTGATCTCTTTTACAGATTAAGAAACTGAAGGGTAAAATCTTTGCAGGATGACACCAAGCATTGGCAAAATAGGACTTAAACCACACAGCCCTGGACATCCTTGCTCAGCATTGGACATTCTTGCTCATCCCTGCAAAGAAAGCACTCTTATCCCACAACAAATAAACGCCAACATTCCCCTTTCCAGAAACGAATGCACTTTCCCCTGCAGCTCTGTAATGACTAGTATGGACTTTTGACATGCTTAATGGGTGTAGCGGGTCATTATTAGCCGAAAATCTTTCTCTAATCTTTTCAAAATTATAGCAGTGATGCATGTAATGGCCAATGCATGTCTTGTACTGTGAGATTTTCTTTGTGTTTTCTGTAAGCTTCTTGCTTGTGGGCTAATTTTTCTGTAAGGGAATTGCCTAATTACTTTGAGGCACTGTGCTGATTTGTTGCTCTGCCCTAAAGCTTAAGCTAATAAGTGGCGGGGCACACCCTGCTAGGATTGCAAGCTGTTTACCAACTTAACCAAGTGGCATGGGCTGTTATTACTAGCACATTAAATTAATGGCTTGAGAGTGAATAAATACGAAGAGGAATACATGGTCTGGATTATCCAGTTTTAGAGAAGTAAAAAGCAAAGACAGCTGATGTTCAATTTCTCTGCAAGTCTTTATTGAAATTAGAAATGATAGCACACAAAGGGGTTGCCTGGCACCTACTAGGTGCTCTCTCTTATAAGCATCAAACTCTTCTTACTGCAATTTTCTTTACAAGACAAGACAAGACAGTTTCTCTCAGAACCCTTCAGTGACAGAGAACTTAGAACCCAGACAGGTGGCCCACTTCAGCCTCTGACCATTGTTCCAACAGTACAAGAGTTCTTCCCTACCTCAGGCTGACAGCTGCTTTCTACAAGAGCTACACCACATAAGTGGGTCTAGTTCAGCCACATAAGATGATCTATTCCCTTTCCACTCGATCCTACTTAGATCAAGCCAGTTTTTTGTTTGTTTGTTTGTTTGTTTGTTTTGAGACGGAGTCTTGCTCTGTCGTCCAGGCTGGAGTGCAGTGGCATGATCTCGGCTCACTGCAAGCTCCGCCTCCTGGGTTCACACCATTCTCCTGCCTCAGCCTCCTGAGTAGCTGGGACTGCAGGCACCCGCCACCATACCCGGCTATTTTATTCTTATTTTTTTAGTAGAGATGGGGTTTCACGTATTGGCCAGGATGGTCTCGATCTCTTGACCTTGTGATCCGCCCACCTTGGCCTCCCAAAGTGCTGGGATTACAGGCGTGAGCCACCGTGCCTGGCCGATCAAGCCAGTTTTTGAAGCCAGTTTTTGCATCTTCTCTTCTTCATCTCTTTTCTTCTGTAAGCAAACATCCCATCTTTCCTTTCACATTTTGTCATGAAAGCCATTCACTTGTTCTAGTTGTTCTCTACTTTGCCCCAATCTTAAACCTGAACCATTACATCTGAACATAATTCTCAAGGCAGAATAGAGTAGAACTATCTATCCCCTTCCTTATGTGGAACTTATGCTTTTATGAATGCATCCCAACAATGAATTATTCTATTTTTTGACCTTTGCACTCACATCATACATTCTTTGTATTCTGAATGTCTAATAAATTACAAGTCTTTGGTCTTTTCCACACAAACAGTTTTGCAGATGTCATCATCTTACGCTTACACCCTGTGCAATATTTACAATATACTCCTATTCAGGGTATACTTATTTGATTTAAGTCCTGATTTTAAATATGCTGAGAAGGATTTGAAGTCTGATGTGGTGAGCCTGTGCATTCATTTGTTAAATGATACTGCAGGGCACAGTGTTGTGTAATAAAATGAAGAATCGTTGATGTTATTTCATTCAATCCCCAAAACTCACAGATAAGGAACAAAGGTCTTCAAGTTTGTTTAGGTGGAAAAGGACCTGAATTCACACTAGAACTTATTCCTTCTGAGGTGCTTCTTCTGTACTAGGCACTTCCCACTGTGCTGCTCAACTCCAGGGACACAGCCAAGTCTACGGGCAGGGGCTCTGGACCTGTACAGGCACACACTACCACCACAGTGAGTCTTCCAGTTTGCCCAGCAGCACATCTTCTTCAAGGGGGACCAGTAGGCCAGCTGTGTCCTACTGCAAATCATCAAGGAAAATGGCCAGTGGGACAGAACTCAGGAAGGTTCTGGAACCCACCTTAGCCCAGAATGCCCATCCTCTATTAATCAGCACTCTGAGGAATTCGTTTCAAAATATACTTCCTTGAAAAGCTGAATGGAAAGTCTGAATTTTTGTTTATGCCAAATGGTAGCCCTCTATCTAGAATATAAAGATAGTAGGGAGTAAGCATTGCTCGGAAGAAACGTTAAGTTACCAGATATCCATATTAGCACTTCAGTAGATGGCCATTTAGTGCCAGAAAGAATATTGAGAGTTTCAAATGATGGTGCTTTCTTAGGGTTGGTAGATGTATTCATTAAGGGTGTGCACTCTTCCCTCATCCTGTTTGTACTGGCAACACAGCTATGGGCAATTAAGATATGGGAACATACAGGAATTATAGGAATCCAGATGAACTGTGGCATGAACGAGATCTGGAATGGAGCCAAGGGTGTTATGCTTGTTTTAAGGAATCATGTTCATTTGGGTGCTAAGCAGCTTTCTGTTCTTCAAGGTTGGGCCACTGTTTGTGAGAGGAAGAAAAACAGCCTTTAAATTAAGAATCTCCATTGCAGAACTAGACCCTGGCTAAGTACTTTAAAATGTTTAAGTATGTGTTATTTTAATTCAATTGAACTAGCTGAGAGCAAGCCCCTATAGTTTAGCTTCAATCTCATTATTTTTGTGCACAGAGGCTATAAAATGTTTGAATTTTAACCTGCTCTCGGGACACTGGGAGAAAAAACTGACTGAAAAATGGCAGCTAGGGTCTCCAAGGAGTTAATCCAGCGGGTCCCAACTTATTGGAAAGCACAGTCGTTTTGAGAATGGAAGGAGAATTCTTAAGAAAAAAATAAGCTGTTTTTTTTTTTCTTTGGGGAAGCTTAAGATCTGTCATATAGCTCTCTCTGTTTTCTTTAGGAACATTCAAGAAGTCTTTGCAATGGAGGTGCAAAAAAAACTCAGGTGGTTCCCAAAGCTTTCCTGCTTTCTTTTCTCACTAGTGGTTGTGTAGACCGGGGTGGGGGCACGACAAATGCTTTTAGTTAGTTCCAAGTCAATGGCTGTTCTGTGCTTCCTGAAAAGCATTTACTAAGTCCTCTTTAAAGAAGTGTTTCTTGATTAAAGCCAGTGGTTTATAAATGTGTGAGGGTGAAAGTAAATAGAGCACCATAGTGGAGTGGTACATATATAACAAAAATTAACAAATAGCAAATGAAGATATAGAGATGGGAATTTTACACAAAGCCTGCATGGGGCTTACCTATGTGTACTCAAGTATATCCTAAAGTCAGTGGAATCACTTCTCGTATGTCAGGGTGCCTCAGTGATGTCACTGAAGATGTTTATTTCTCACATATTACATTGGTTTCACTAATCTACTCTTAAAGGTTAGACATGTCTGAAAAATTTCCTTGTGTCAGAAAAGTGAAAAAATAGTGACTTCTACAATTGCATCTGAATACCTTAATTCAGCTTCTATGTGTGTAGTGCCTGAAAGGTTACCAATAAAGAACGTATGTTCCTTGAATAGTTGATAAGCACCCATATACACTGTACCACAGAGCACCCATGAGATACTATCTGAGTACATTCATTGGCCAGAGGGGTTTTGATCAGGGAAAATTGATAACTCCTCTCAATTCTTTTCAGTGATCTTAAACACTTGAGAATGTTCTTCAGCCGGAAGCAAGCTGTGCTGCTGTCTGACTGTAGCACTGGATTAGAGATCACTGAAGGCTAGGCAGAGGTCTGCTTTACTTGAAAGCAGGTGCATATGGGACCGGTACAGGAAGAACAGCCTCTCTATCGGGCGAGGGTGCCTTTGTAAGTTTCACAAGCACAGATACTGAATCTGTCATCTTCCCACTCCTGTGTCCTAGCTCCAGGCCCAGGACAAGGTCTCTTAGTACACAATAGGTGTTCAACATGTATCACAAAGCAAAAGGAAATTAATCGCTCTCAAACAGCTAAGTCACATAACAATGATGAATGTTAATCCCAATCCTTTAGGTCTTCATAGTGTTTCACCAAGCACCTCCACATATACTATTTCATCCTAGCCTGATAACCCTGTAAGCCAGGTTAGGATTACCCCCATTTTACTGTTGAGAAAACCACAATTCAGAGGCCAAATGATTCGATGTAAGTGACTCCCCCAGACTTCTCAGTGCTAATCCAACGCTCATCTTCTGACATCGAGCTCAAGAATAGGCTCCCCTGTAGGATATCAAGCAGCCAGTGGAATAACGAACCCTGTATAGAGTGCCTTCTAAAGGGCAAGCACATTCAGCTGAGAAGGCCAATTCTGAGACCGCCATCATATTCCAACTTGAAGAGATACAGCAACATTAAAACAAACAAGCTGCCTTTTCAACTGGCACTGATACTCTGACAAGAGCGATTTTTCTCTTCATTATGATTGTGAATAGTTATTACTAGTGCTGAGAGCGGAAGTATCTTCCTCTAAACGCACAGCAGCCTTAGAGTGTACAATGTCTGGAAGGGACCAGGATGGAGAAAGTTATTAGTGTTCAGGCAGCCAACTCAGGGATCAGCTATTCAGCGGCTCCCGACATACGGTGACCTTCTTTGGAAATGGTACTTTGGGAATGACCTAGGGATAAGATCCAGAGAGGGACAAGCAAGGAAAGGACCAGGTCCCCCATGTTTCAGCAGGAATAAAGATGTCTTCAGAACAGCCTGCTCTTTCTTTCATGGTGGGCGAGGGGGCCACGGGTCCACCTCAGTGGGCACAGCGGAGACTCAGAGATGTTGTCTGAGCATCAGCTTCAAAGACAAAATCACTTTTTGGTGTGCCAAGCAATCCATAATTGCCCAGTAGTTTACTGAACTTTAAAATTTCCCTCTGGATGTGGGGGGGCCAACTGTGACCTCTCTTCCCTCAGGATGGCCTGACGCAGGTCAGACTGCCTTGGACAGGCAATCGGTGCAGCCTAAACACAGACAGAGTTTTAAAAACTCCAGTTGATCCCTTTGCTTCCTTTTATTGAAAACAACTAACTGCACATTACCCCTTTTTTATTGTCAGAAGGAAGCTGGGGAGCTCTAGGAGCCAAAATGTGCCTTCTCCATAGCTCTACTCTAATTATATACTATGCCTAATTCCACGTCCATTCCTCTGTGGGTGCACAGGTCCTTTAACTATAGCTTCTATTCTTGCAGAGGACACAGATGTGTTCTTGCTGTCTATGGGCCTTCCAGATCACAGTCATTTCCATGTAGAATAATGCCAGTGGGGGTGGGGGGACATAGAAAAAGACATGAACTTCATGGCATGGTGAACCCTTTCAAATATCTCAGAGAAGGATCCCAGAATCCTAAAAGGATTTTGTAAGTCTCATAGCCAGGCAACATAGAGTCATCAATCCTAATTTCCCAGCCTTCAATCAGACCACCTTTTCTCACAAGTCTGCCTTGGGCAGAAGAAACAAAAAGGTCAGGTGGGAACAGGCCTTGTACAGTAACCACTTGAGCTGTGAAGGGATTTAAGATGTGCAATATGGGAGGGGCTTTTCAGGAGTGAGCATTAAGAGAAGGTAGTGGTACAACTGATTTCTCTGTAGATCTCATATAGGGTATCATCAACTTCCCAGGCCTCGGTTCCCTCGTGTCTAAAAGAATAATTGGGCTTGGATGAGACTCTTCCATCCAAGGCTAGGAGAGACACTACCTGCCCTTGAGGTTACTGGGTTCAAGGTGAGAAAGCACTACCCTCTGTAGCTGGGCATGCCTTTTCCAGGAACATAGACAGCATGGTACCAAGCAAGCCTACTTCAATTCTTAACCATCCTTTTCTCTCTCTTAACCTCTAACAAGTGCACAGTCTTGATACATTTCAGATATCCCAAAGAGACAACTCCACGGCATGTCAATTTTTGTACCTTCTGACCCCAAACTCCCTTTCCAGCTTAATGGGCACCCTGCTGTCTCCCCTCCACTCCCCTCCCACCCCTGCCATACTGGACTCTGCCCCAGCCCCTAAGTGCACCACATCACTTCCAATCTCCAAATATGCCAAGCACCACCACACCCATGCCATGTCAGTCTTTCACCTAGAAACCTTTACATTTGGCAAATTCTATTCATCCTTGAAGGTCCAGCCTAGTGTCACCTCTTTTTAGAAGTGTCTCTGGCTCTTCCAGAGCACAATGAATTTCTCCATTCTTTGCATCCTGGCACTTATCATACTGTGTATTATAGTGGCCTCTTTAGGTGTTCACCTTGATAGACGGGAACAGCAAAAGAGCAGGGACTCACTTTATTTCTGTATCTTTAAAATATGATAATACTAGCATTTGCCTCTAAGAATTGCCATAAGGATTAAATAAGGTAATAAATATGAACATAGTAAGTACTCAGTAAACGTAAGCTTATATTATTAACAGAACATTGACAGCCAAAGAGGAAAGGGTGCACCTACTTTCAGAATCTGATGTCAATAAGACTTTTCTAGGCAGGAACATAGAAAAGGTCACAAATCTCAAGACAGGAGCAGTATCAAAAAGCTTGTGGATGGAAGCCCTCCCTTTCTCTGCCATCCAGAATCAAACAAACCAGAATGGCCCTGGGGTCTGCCTCTACTCCTCAGTTTGTAACTATTAGCATCAGGAACCTGTGGGCAGGCTTGAGCCTGATTCAGTAGGACACATCTTAGAAAGCCATTCTTGGAGTCATTAGTTTTGTTGGCCCATTAGATTACTTGATAAATCAGCTACACAAAGAGACTTCCAGTGATTTTCTAGGAGCAGTGCCTACATTTGAAAACAACTTACAAAGGGCTTTCTTCGACATAATCTCATTTTTAATGACATCTGGCAATCTCATATAAATGCTATCTTATTGATAGTGCCTACTAGGTTGGCTAGATAATTTCCAATCCCCACCATTCTCATTGTGTGAATGAAGAGACTGAGGTTTCCAGCAGGCAAGTCACTTGTGCAACAGTATACAGCTGAAACAGAAAGGTAGCTGGAAATTTGCAAATCAAGTCTATCTGATCCCAAGTCCACACTCTTTCCACTGTCCCGTGTCCCCACCTCTCCTGATAAAGATTTGTTCTGTAGTACTTAAAGGATGGGGTGGGGGTGATAAATCTCAGAACAGCCCAAGCTCAGTACAGTGAAGAGCCTTCAAACAGAGTTACCTACAAAAGGTTCAAGCAACATCCCTGCGAGTAGCCAGGATCTTATGACAGGATTCAAGGAGTAATGACAGAACTAGATGACCTTTAAAATGCAACCATGGGAGTCTCTCTGAACTTATTCTGGTTTGGGGGAAAAGGCTGGGGGAGAGGCTGCCCAATTAAGAAAAAATAAAAATAAAAACAAAATAAAATGCAACAACTGTGACAACCTGTGACACTGAGGCTTATTAGAGAAGTCTAGTTCTAACAGCTTAATTCTTCAGTTTTCCTCCAAGGGGAAAGATGGGAAAGGAGCCAGACAGCACTGAGTTCAGAGACTGAGCTTATGAAAAGCCTAATTTTGGTTTTGAAGGACACACTAGGAGGCCCCTGCTATGCTCCATCTCATGAGCCCCTCACCAGCCAAAGACACCCTCTGTGTGTGATCCTCTGCAGCTATGTGAGAAGATCTTGGTCTTAGTCTTGACATGGGGTCATGTTAAAACCCTTCAGCAAAAAATCTCCCAAATATCATGGCTAAAGGGATAAAGGGGCTTATACACCAAGGATGGCCACTTCTTAGCAGGAATTCTCATTTTCCTCTGAAGTCGTGTTACTTTGGGGAAGGCCCAAAACCTCTGTGCTCTGTGAACCGGTGATCACAGGCTTTCGTCAAGCTCAAATACGATAATGCATGTCCACGTCCTTTTGTTAAATGCAAAATGATAAGTACAAGGTGGCATCACTGTACTTCAACTTATTCTTAATTATCATTGAATAACAATATGCTGTCCACATATTCCAGAGGTCATTCAGAAACACCAAGCATTTGCTTACATTATCTTATCTAATTCTACTCTACCCTTCTAAACAACTTTTGAGGTACATCTCCCTTTTGCAGATAAGGAAACTGAGGCTCAGAGCTACCAACCAGAAAGTACCAGTAAGAGAGGGGGAAAAAATAGAATCAAACCCAGATCCTACCTCCTAACAGGTGTTCCTCCCACTCACCACACCCATCCCAAACATGGGAAGGGTTCACTCTGGTTTCAATGCATATAATAATACGAGCCATCTGCCGGGTGGTTATGTGACATCATTGTGGCATCGGCCTTAGGAATAATAACTGCACAGGCTGCAATGTGCTCTGGGGGCAGCCTCTGAAGCATCTGCAGCCACTTTGTCCTCAACTGTCAGAGACAATCGGGCTTCACTGAACCTCCTCCTGCCATGAGTCATCCCCCACGTTTCATGTTAACCATCCATTCTCAGCAGATTTGAATTCTGCCTTCTGTCCTTTTCTGGTGAGACTCTAGGGGTGTGAATGGACTGTCCATAGCCCCTGAGTTTAAGGAAAAATGAGATGAAGCAAACGTATGTTAAATCCACTGCCTGGAAAGCCAGCCTCTCTCAATATGTACAGGGCCAAGAATAACAGCAGCTGGGTCTGACCTGGATTATCTCGTTTAAGCCTCACAAGAACTCTGCGAGGTAGATACTGTTTTCATTTCCATTTTGCAGATGAGGAGACTAAGGCTTATGAGGATTAAATAATTTATCTAAGGTCACACAGCTAATAAGTGGTACAGCCAGAGCGGAAGTGACTTGTAATGAACCACTTTTAGTACTTTATTTTAAAAGGTAAGATAGCCTCTTATTATACATAATCTGTCTTATAACACATAATAGTATAGGAAGCATTTAACATGCTTGTTTTTCTAAGGCTTTCAAATATCCCACATACCTGCTAACGCTTTTTCCACCACGATATTCCAAATTATTCTAACTCCATTCCTACATACATAGCTACTTTAATTATCTACCTGAAAATGATTATAACTTTTAACCCAATAAAATAATGAGTGACAAGACAGTTATTAAAAATAAAACCCATAACCAATGCATTCAAAATACTTATGCTATTTAATTCCTTTTTTTTTTTCTTTTTAATGAATCAAGATGTTCTAGAAGAGGAGAGGGGGGAATATCTGTGACCTTATATTATTTAAATAAATCTTAAAAATACTTTCTCTGTATCTCATTTTCACAGAACTGTTAAAACAACCACAAAATCGTCATAAATGACAAACTCTGTGACGTGGAAAGGAAGGAAAGGGAGGAGGAAAAGCATTCTTGTGTTGTTTCACAATTATTTTCGGGATCCCGAATGTGGTGCTTTTTTGTCAGTACATGTTTACTCTCTACCTTTCTAGATGGGGAAATCCAAAGCCAATATTTCTTAGTCTAAAATGCCTTTCATGGAAAGTTTTTCCAAAGCCTGTGGTTGATTTTATTGCAATCTGTAACCCATCGAAACCTGACTCATGGGATATATAATCAAATCTCGCAAGTCCTTCGCCACGTAGCTGTGTGAAAATCCTTCAGTAAAAAAACTCACAAACAGTATGGCTGAAGGGACAAAGGGCTTCTGCAAGGACTGCCATTTCTTGCTAGGACTTTCTGCCTGTGAAGCCACTTGAGGGCTGTGTGACAATGAACACCTGAGGACACTCTCCCTCTCCCCCACACCCCCCACATACACACACTTCTCATGCACCTGCTTTCCCAACAAAGAAAATGAAAAATGACTTCTGAAGGGCAAATTAGCAGCCCTATTATTGCATTTTAAAATGGTCTTGTGTTTTTCTAAAGGCAGATTCATATTTGCAATAGACTATACATTAAAAAGGACACATGCTTTCCAGCTTTGAATTTTGGACCCTCCTAAAAAAATAAAGGTCACTTGCAAATTCCTGTAGAATTATGCATTGACAAAACAGAGGTTTCAGATTCTGTCTAAATGTGGCTCCATTCGAGCTCATAGTCTTCTAATTAAACCCCTGGTTGCATCATAAATCCAGTCCTAGGGCCTTGCTGTAATATCCAAGGGCAGAATACAAAAGCTTAAGACTCCATCACATAGGTTTCTTTCCTCTTCGTTGGGAATTGCCTTTCTTTTTAACTTTATCCTCCCTTGAAACCTTTCCTTATCACCTAGTGTTTAATTTAAAAACTCAAATATTTTCAAGAAGACTCCAAAAAGAATTTACAGTAGGCTAGTGTCATAAAACAATCTTCTTACCCCCATGAACATTTATTTTCAAAATTTGAGATGAGTAGCCAAAAGAGAAACACCACCTCATACCTCCATATAGACCACCAGTGCTTAAAATTGAATACTCATGAAAGACTAGAACTCCTACGGGAAGTAGAAGTGGCATTTGAAGGTGATCTTAGTGATTGTGTTGGGAGCAGAAGTTTGTGACTTTAGTCCTTGTTTTCCTAGTCCTGACTTTTTTACCCAGAGACTGGCCGATTCATCACAAGCAAATCACTCCATCTCTCTTCTACTTTAAGATTTCAAGTGATAGAAAATCATCCCTTGAATTCAGTTCCTATGTGTCCAAATGTCCAGTGGGACATGGTGGTACTGTGAAGTAAGTAGAGAAAAAAAAATCTCACTTTCCACAAAACAAATTTATTATTTCTGAATAATCTATGAATACTTTAATTCAGAAGTATGATCAACTGCTTAAAAATAAGTCACTTTATCAGTCTCACATCAGCGAGCGCCTGGATGAATCAGTGGTCCTGCTCAAGCGTGTGTATGTGTCTTGGGGCACCTATTACTCCACTGGGGTGACTGTTCTTCCACTGACAGCACTAACCAAAGAGCTTCACTTCACACCTTTGCTTTTATAATTTTCCGCCTTCAGCTAAAAACATTGATTTTTGGGTGAGACTCAACCAAAGCTACAGTCCCCAAAAGCAAAGGTACCAGTAGCTGATTAAGAGCTCTTGCCAGGGGCCTCTGGGCAAGATATTTTTTCTACTTATATTTCCAGCTTCCTTGGAAGACAGCTTTGAGCACTGCAGGAGGTGGGGAGGGGGATGTAAAGAGTGGTTTCCAATGCTATAGCTTAATTTTCACAAAAATACTTCATAAAATTTTTTTTTTCAGTTGAGTTGAGGGCTTTAATGGTGGCCTCCATCTGGTAAGGGCAGCAAAGAACTAGGGCTAGATTTCACCCTCTCTTTCTGCTGACCTGCAGGAATCCCCTTAAAATTTATTCATCAGATGGAGAGATGATGAAAGTAAAACATAAGACATTGCACATGTGCTTCTCTGGCAACTACTAATTTCTTCAATTTAAAAATAAATCTTCCCTGCTCCAGCCTACAACTGCCCCATTGTGTGCATAGGCACGCGCGTGTGCACACACACACACACACCCCTACACACACACCTAGTAGCACTATCTCATCTACTACCTCTGTTTATTCACACACAGGATTCAGTACAAGCTACCTGGAGCTCTGCCTCAATCCCCTTCCCTTTTAGGAACATCGCAGAAAATTGAGCTTGTCCAGAGATAGAGTTTTGTTTTATTTGTGATCTTGTCACTGGTGCCTAATGAAGACGTCATGTTTGAACACAAAGAGATTTAAGATGTGGGATTCAGCAGACCCAGATTCTACTCCTGGATTTACCACTTAAAAATCTGGCCTTTCAGTCGGGCGCTGTGGCTCACACCTGTACTCCCAGCACTTTGGGAGGCCGAGGCGGGTGGATCACGAGGTCAGGAGATCCAGACCATCCTGGCTAACAAGGTGAAACCCCGTCTCTACTAAAAATACAAAAATTAGCTGGGCTTGGTGGCGGTTGCCTGTAGTCCCACCTACTCAGGAGGCTGAGGCAGGAGAATGGCGTGAACCCGGGAGGCGGAGCTTGCAGTGAGCCAAGACTGTGCCACTTCAATCCAGCCTGGGCAACAGAGCGAGACTCTGTCTCAAAAAAAAAAAAAAACAAAAACAAAAACAAAAATGTGCCTTTGGCAAATATCTTAAGCTCTAAGGCCTCAGTTTCCTCGTCTGTAAAATGTTAACAACACCTAACTTTCAGGGCAGTTGCGAAGGTTAGAGAAAGTAAGAACCAACAGAAGATACTGTAAGTGCCTTGACTTGTTGGGGTTCGGCTTGATGCACTGTCATTCCTTGCTCTGTACTAGTTTTACTAAAGTAACAAAGAGACCTTGGAACAGAAGAGAATTGATCTTGGGTAATTAACTCTCTCAGCTGCACTTTTCCCATCTACAAAGTAGGGATAATAATAGCATCTATCTCATAGAATTGAAAGGATGAGATAGGCTCATGAAAGCAGAACATTTGGCACTATGCCTGGCACATGGTAAGCACCCCAGCATGTTAGCCTCTGTTATTTTTTCCTAGATTCCAAGTTGCCAGCAAAAGGGCTTTTTCTGGCAAATCTCTGTTCCCTTCCCAGCTACCTACTCATTCAGGGATTCCTCTCAACACTGAGCTCCCTTCCCAGCAGCCTGACCCACCCCCACTCTATTCATCTCTGCTCTTCATCTCCAGATGAAGCAAAAATCTGGTAAATATTACACTTACAAGGTAACAGGTCTGGAATGCTTGGCATCCCAGGCGGAGTGCAGTTGCTTCTTGGCACCCGGACACATATACTCTGCAGCCTAGGGCCAAACTACATTTGGCTGCTTTGTGCAATTCAAATAAAGATATTAAAAATCTTCCAACTCTATAAACATTTGTACTATTTGCTAATCAAAGGGGTTAGCTAGGAAAAAAAAAACAGGCCATCTAAAGAGAACTTTGCATGCTGATTACTGTTGCCAGTTTCAGACTGTAAGGAGCTTAGCATGTGTGTGCACCATGTGAGTTTCTAACTTGGTGTGATAGCACAGTGATTTACACATTTTAGGCCAGGTGGAATCTACTTCTAGAGTGGAATGTCCGTCCCCAAACACACAAACCTAGGCCATTTTCATTCCAGAGTTTGTGCCCTTAATCATTACACTGTACTGCTGCTTTAGGGACACATGATTGGTCACCGACTTGAGCTTCCAATGAATGCGAGTGAGTGCTGACGATGGCAGCGACTTTGATAGGTAAATGTCTCAGCTCTACTATCTCACAGCTTGGGCAAGTTATTTAATCTCTCTCTGCCTTGGTTTCCTCACATGTGAAACAAAGAGAGTAATAATACCTATTATTGCCAGGATCAAATGAATATCGATGTCTCTAAAAGTGTTTAGAAGAGTGCCTGGAGTATATGAAGCACCGCATCGGTATTATTATTGTTGTTATTGTTATTATTGACTAAATACCAACTGTGGATAAAAGGAACTAGACATAGGTACTTATCAAAGGGTAACTGGTTCCTTAAGTAAGTAAAAGAAGTTAAATGCAATTGGATATTTTAAGACCCAGCTTCCTCCATTAACTAAAAGCATGTGAAAGAAAATGGTAAAATAAGATTGTATCACAGCCAGCTGACTTAAACTTTGGTCTACCCCGATTGAAAAATCAGGACTGACTGAACTTCTCTCAGGCATGAGAACAGAAAAAGGACACTGTTTTCAACTGGCTTCATCTTATCTTCCAGGTATTTAACCTCAGAACTTTTAAATAAAACCTCCTGTCAAATGACAACCTTGAGAAAAAATATGAAAGCTAGATTTGAGCATTAGAGAGGAAGAAAGACAGCATCAAATTAAAGAAAAGATGTTCCAGGCTCGCAGAAGTAAAAAAAAAAAAAAGAAAGAAAGAAAGAAAGAAAAAGAAATAAAATTAAAAAATAAAGAAAAGGTACTGGCCGGGCACGGTGGCTCACGCCTGTAATCCCAGCACTTTGGGAGGCCAAGGCGGGTGGATCATGAGGTCAGGAGATCGAGGCCATCCTGGCGAACCACGGTGAAACCCTGTCTCTACTAAAAATACAAAAAAATTAGCCAGGTGTGGTGGCGGGCGCCTGTAGTCCCAGCTACTCAGGAGGCTGAGGCAGGAGAATGGCGTGAACCCGGGAGGCGGAGCTTGCAGTGAGCCGAGATCGCACCACTGCACTCCAGCCTGGGTGACAGAGTGAGACTCCGTCTCTAAAAAAGAAAAAAAAAAAA
Source organism: Homo sapiens (assembly GCF_000001405.40). Classification (NCBI taxonomy): domain Eukaryota; kingdom Metazoa; phylum Chordata; class Mammalia; order Primates; family Hominidae; genus Homo; species Homo sapiens. The sequence goes on along the minus strand of NC_000001.11, from coordinate 218,379,130 downwards.
GAAAGAAAGAAAGAAAATGTACCATGTGTTCTCGGTCTGCTTTTATAATTAAAGGTACTAATGAGACCAGATTTCCCTTGTGGGTGGCAGGTCATGTTTTAAGGACTGCTGGGATGACAACTAGAATCTGCTGGCAGACAGCTTTCTAGACCGAGCTGGCCTGAGAAGGTGCTGCTCAGGAGGGTAATAGCCACAGACCCAGCGAGGAAGCAATGTGAAGGCTGCTGCCCTTGCCACACCTCTTCTTCCATTACCCGCCTTTCCTCTCCTTTCCTTGTCTGCCTTTCTCTATCCCTCTGGTGTGCACTCACAATGCATATTGTTTCCTCAGGTCCCTTCTGTATAAGAAAAAAAAAACAGGCCGGGTGTGGTGTAGCACCCCTGTGATCCCAGCGCTCTAGGAGGTTGAGGCGGAAGGATCCTTTGGGGCCAGGAGTTCCAGGCTGCAGTGAGCTATGGTCCCTGCACCCCAGACTGGGTGGCAGAGTGAGACTCTGTCTCAACAGCAAAATGAACAGGCTGGGCACGGTGGCTCACATCTATAATCCCAGCACTTTGGGAGGCCGAGGGGGGAGGAGCACTTGAGGTCAGAAGTTCGAGACTAGCCTGGCCAACATGGTGAAACCTCGTCTCTACTAAAAATACCCAAAAAATGGCCGGGTGCAGTAGCTCACGCCTGTAATCCCAGCACTTTGGGAGGCCGAGGCGGGCGGATCACCTGAGGTCAGGACTTCGAAACCAGCCTGGCCAACATGGCGAAACCCCGTCTCTACTAAAAATGCAAAAATTACCTGGGCGCAGTGGCGGGCGCCTGTAATCCCAACTACTCGAGAGGCTGAGGCAGGAGAATCACATGAACCCGGGAGGCGGAGGTTGCAGTGAGCTAAGATCGCACCATTGCACTCATAGAGTGCCTGGTGCGACAGAGCAAGACTCCATCTTAAATAAATAAATAAATAAATAAATAAATAAATAAATAAATCCAAAATTAGCCAGGCATAGTGACAGGGGCCTGTAATCCCAGCTACTCAGGAGACTAAGGCAGGAGAATTGCTTGAACCCGGGAGGCGGCGGTTGCAGTGAGCCAAGATGGCACCACTGCACTCCAGCCTGGGAAACAGAGCAAGGCTCTGTATCAAAAACAAACAAACAAACAAACAAACAAACAAACACACTATAATATATGTAATGAATTAAAACGAAGGAGGTGGTGGCAAATGGGAAGCCTCATCTCAGGATTCAATTTAAGGAAGACACAGGAAGATGGATGCTGGGGTTATATTAGTAAGAAAGAAGAAAAGACTTTTTTCTCAGTAAGGTCTTCTGGGACCTCAGACTGCATCCTTTGGAAGCATCTGTCCTGCTTCTGCATGAAACTGGGCAGAGTTTCTCCCCAGCCACAGCTACCCAGGGTATAGGCCACGACTGGACTTCCCAGGGGTCGGGGGTGGGGCAAGACGGCACAACATAGGGGCAGGCGACCAGCAGAAGAGTAGGATTTCTGATTTTTGTGCTGAGGAAGCATAAGTATCTCCCAATGTAAAATACATTAGGGGGAGGAGGACTACATTGAATGAATCATAGTGCTGATTTGGGGGTGGAGCTGGTGGGGAGGGATGCCCTTGTGGTTAACCACATTTTACTGGGGTTTTTATTGATTGCAGTTGTATTGAAAGAGACATGACTCACACATACCATATTCAAAGCCACGTAAAGCACTGGGTTCCAATGGAATTTCAGTGTCTGAGAATGTCATGAACTATACTACAAAATGTGAAAAGTTATGCTATCAACATAGATATCTATGTTTTGCTTCTGTCCTGTACCAGCTAAAGAGGAGGCTGATTTTTCTATTTCCCTTTCACTTTAAGGCTGTGGCTAAGCACTTAAGAAATACACGTTGTTCTAGGCATGGTAGGGACTGCTTCTCCTAAAAGTTGGTTTCAGCTGGGCACAGTGGCTCACGCCTGTAATCCCAGCACTTTAGGAGGATCCCTTGAGCCCAGGAGTCTGAGACCAGCCCGGGCAACAAAGTGAGACCTCATCTCTATAAAAATTTTTTTTTTTAAATTAGCCAGGTGTGGTGGCATCATCTGTAGTCCCAGCTAACCTCCTAGGCTGAGGTGGGAGAGTCACTTGAGCCCAGGAGGTCAAGGCTGCAGTGAGCTATCATTACACCACTGCACTCCAGCCTGGGCAACAGAGCAAGACCGTGTCTCAAAACAAACAAAGCTGGTTTCATTAACCAACCATCTTCCTATGTGTTTGGATTGAACTTTGCTTGTAAATGTCATTCAGCAGTTTTTTAATTTTTCTGCTTTGTGCAGGGTAGTGTGTACAAATGGGTCTCCACAAATAGGCTATAAGCTACTTGAGGGCAGGGATAATATAGTAATAACAATAAAAAGAATAAGCATAACAGCAAAAGCAATGTTACTAGCTACTGGGAGCACATCAGCTGTCAGGTACACATCTGGATTCATCCCACTTAGGTGGGGGATAAGAAACTGAGGCTTAAAGAGGGAACTTGCCCGGTGCTATGGAACTGGAAACAGTAAGGCCTCCACTTAAACCTAGGTTGTATGGTCCTAGTACTCTCTGAGCTGTTGGTGATGCCTCTTCCAAGAGGGACTCATCCCTACCTATCTCATTTTTTATTCATCTGCATAATTCAGGCACCAAATTCTTAAGGCAGTATATGCTTGGTGAATTATAACTGAATTAAATAGAATAAAACAAAATTTTGTAGGTCATGGTTTTCAGGAACCATCCAGGCAGAGCTTAAAGTGAAATGACAAGGAATTGAGGTGGCTGATGTTCCGCCTGGTTGTAGAAATCATTACTAACACACATTGTCCTTTCATGCAAGGTCTGAGCTTCCAGCCCTCCTAACAAGATAAAGAATGTCATTCTGCCTTATTCACTTCTAACAATATTTTAAATTCTATTGTGTAAGAACACTTAACGGGAGATGTACGCACTTACCACATTTTTAAGTGTGCAATCTATTATTGTTGACTGTGGGTACGACGTTGTGCAGCAGCTCTCTAGATCTTATTCATCTTGCTCAACTGAAACTTTAGGCCCATTTATTAGTAACTCCTCATTTCCCCTTCGCTACAGCCCCTGGCAACCACCAATCCTCCCTTTGATTCTATACATTCAACTTATGAATATAAATTATAGATATCCCATATTTTTTCTTCAACTTCTTAAGTTCAGGGGTACATATGCAGGATGTGAAGGTTTGTTACATAGGTAAACGTGCCATGGTGGTTTGTTGCACAGATCATCCCATCACCTAGGTATTAAGGCCAGCATCCATTAGCTATTCCTCCTGATGCTCTCCCTCCTCCCTCAATATCCCGTATTTTAAAATACTATCTCCAATATTATCTTCCTCTCACAGAAATTGGTACCACTTTTCTTCTTTTCTAGACTGAAAAAAAAGCACTCGCTGTTCTCAATGTATGCTGACATGAGATTTAAAATATGGGCTAGAATTTCTAGTTTTTCTATGGTTTTCAGAATAAGAAAGCAAAAATGCTAAAGTCTTCAATGATCACCTTAAAATGATTGATTGAATGAATGACAATTTACTCAGCCTCTACCATGTGAAAAACATTTTTCTGTGTTAGATAATTTCTTCTTTTGAAGAACCATTAAGAAATAATGTTGGGTTTTTTTTTTTTAATTAACTCTCATTTTAGGAAAAAAAAAAAAGTTCAGAAAGGGTAACTGACTTTCTCGATGTTACACAGTCAGGATTTTACCCAGGTCCCCTGTATGCAAATCCTATATTTTCTTGCTACTCAATTGTAAGACTAATTGTCACACTCAAGAGTTATTGTTGGCTCATGTGTGAGTCACTTTCTTGGCTTATCAACAGCAGGTTGGGATAAAAAAAACCAAAGGTTGACATCTTCACAAAGTTTAAAGGAAGGGACCACCGTCTGTTATACAAAGCAAAAGAAACATAGAGGCCCATTATATGAACTCGTCTGTCTAGACAGATGACTAAACAGGGGTCCCTCCAGGGTTAGACTTGAATTTCCTCCGTTCAGCCTGTTGGATATTTAGCAATAAAAAAAAATCTTTTTTTGAACTGTTTAAAGGCTGTAGTACTAATCCAACCCCTCCTACACTGCCCAGAGAGTAGTTTAAAAGTATTTCAGTGAAGCCTGCATGTGTTAAAGTTTCAAGCAGAAATCAGATTGAGACAAAAAGAGCCCTAAAAATACTTGTGCTGTCTGGCTACAGACCCAAGAACACAAGCCTAAATGTCCCTTTATAACTCCAGTGACAGCAGTTTGAACTCACAGAGGGAGCAGGGTCTCATCCAGGTGTCCCTGTAGCAGGGGACATGAATGAATCCAAGTTGGGCTTCTCATCTTTCACATGGGCTGGCAAGCAACTTCTCTCCTGTTCCTTATGTGCCCTGGGGACAACAGAACTTTTTCTAACTTGTAATATGAAGAATGCTACTTAGAGTAAAGCAAAAGTCAGCTTCCTTTCATCAAGGCTGAGAGATATAAACGGAAGCTTGTGATGATAAGATTTTTTAAAAGCCTACTAATATTGCTATGTTTAGTGTACAGAGAACTGCTTCTGGTAGGCAATTAGGAGTTGGTCAGCAGACCACGGGGGCCCCGTGGAGAAACTGGGAGCATAGCAATTGACTAAAATCACTCTCCTTTCCCAAGAAGTCCTTAGCAATACGTGGGGTGCTATTTCTGTTATGGTACATATGTGCAAAAATTCATTCACTCTCTCATTTAATAAATATTTATTGGATGCCTCAATGTAACATTCCTTCATAAGTATGGGGCCTATCAGGAACTGGCTATGGAATTTCCAGGATCCTGCTTATTGATAGGTGCTGGTACTATTCTAATCTTTTAACAGGCATTAGAGAATTAACACAGTCCTTTAAGTAAGAAGTATGTACTCTGATTTACAAATCTGCCAACAACAAAAGCAACAACAAAACAGTTGTCCTATTCAGGGAACAAAATGAAAACACTGGAGTTTATATTGCCCACTCTAATTATTACCCAGCCTAGACAAGAAAATAACTGTAAGCACACACTCATCCTCCATATAGATTCACATAAGAAGCTATTTTCATTCTTCTAATGAGGAACATGAAGAGCATGCATGAGCTAAGCTCAGAGGCCACTGCTTAATTCCAATACCAGTATGCAAGCCCTTGGGTTCTACTGCCTGCCTTGAACTTTCACAGGTTCTTAGGAAAAAAATACTGCATTTAAGAGAAAAAAAGAAACACATCCAGACTTGTCTTTTTTTTCCTTTTATCAGAAGAGAATGATGCCCTGACACATACAGATGCATATGGTTCTCACTCAGAGGATTCTCCTTTTTAGACTTCTCATTCTTTAATCCACATTTTCCTTATTTAAATGGAAATTAATCATCTTGGAGGAGTGATGAATAGGATGAGCTTTGGAGTCAGACAGCTGTGTGATCGTGAGGAAATTACACGTGATGTTACTACACCTCAGTTTCCTTATTTATAAAATTTAGAATAATAATAGTGTTTATATATAGTGCTAATATGGAGATTAGCCCAGAGCCTAATATAACTATTCCATAACTGATAGTTAGTATTATTAACAATATGATTAGTAATATAATCATATTATAACTAATCATATTACTAATCATATTAGTCATATTATTACTAATCATATTACTAATCATATTAGTCATATTATTATTACTAATCATATTGTTATAAAAGACAGGATCCACTGCCCCAACCATCAACATCACCACCCAAATAGATGTCTTTTCTTCATGCAGAAATTCACTCAAAACCTAACATGGATATCTAGACACAGCCACACAGTTTTATTAAAAGCTTTGTAAGCCTCCAAAATACAGGTTCTCAACTCCAGTTGCACATTAGAATCTCCTGGGAAACTTTTTTTTGAGACGGAGCTTTGCTCTTTTTGCCCAGGGTGGAGTGCAGTGGCGCGATCTCAGCTCACCACAACCTCCGCCTCCCAGATTCAAGCGATTCTCCTACCTCAGCCTCCCGAGTAGCTGGGATTACAGGCATGTGCCACCACTCCTAGCTAATTTTTTGTATTTTTAGTAGAGATGGGGTTTGTCCATGGTGATCAGGCTGGTCTTGAACTCCTGACCTCAGGTGATCCGCCCACCTCAGTCTCCCAAAGTGCTGGGATTACAGGCGTGAGCCACCGTGCCCAGCCGGGAAACTTTCTAAAACTAAAGATGCAAAGTCCCACTCCAGACCAACGGAGTCAGAATTTCTGGAGTTGGACTCTGGCCTGAGTAATATAAGTAATATGTTAAGTGCTCCCCAGGTGATTCTGATACATAGTGAAGTTGAGAACCTCTGCACTACAGCTACCAAACAGAAACATCAGCCTTGACTGTCAAAGCTCCCAACAAAGAACCTAAGTGCTTGGATATCCCAAGTCCAAGTCCAAGTCTTTGCCATGGTACCAGTGCACCTAGTAGGTTAGCTATTCTTGGTGCTTCACCTGTTTCATTTCTGAAAAACAGTCTGCTCTCTTCCTAACAATAACACTAGAGTTAACGATCCTTGAAGTCCCAGTGGCCACAGTTCCATAGGGAGTTACCTTCCTGGTCTCCTGAGTATAGACAATGGACAAGGTAAGCAGCAGTCTTGGGAAAACAAACAACACAGACCAGGAAAACAGAGAAGCAACCCCTGCTGCCACTGTGAACACATACGAAGTCAGCTCCACTTCAGAGCAAAGATACAATCCAGCTGAATATTAGAAAAATATGGTCTGACCATTTAGATTTCAGAGGGATCCAAAACCAATTTAGACTCCAGTCGGTTGACAAAGTTCACATTCAGCAAAACAGCTCCAGCAGTTGCATCATACACACAACAGGGCAATTCAGAAATACAGATGTCCAGCCATGTGCAAAACAATGCTTTCATTTTTTTTCTTCTCTTTCCCACCACTGACCCCGAGAGCAGGCTGGAAAAGCTCAGCATCTGTTGCTACTAAGAATAGGCTGTGGAGATAATTATTTATGAACTTGCAAGCCCTGAGCTACCTAGCACGCTCAGGGACGGTCAGAGCAGATCACTGTCACTGTGTTGAGGGTTACACAGCAGACACCCCATGCCAGGCAGGGTTACTTTCCAGTTTGCTCACCGGAAACAACAGGTAGGAACGTGGCTCTAAACAATCACCCTGGTGGGTCATTCTCAAGAGACTAAGGTTCAAGTTATAGATGGGGTTCTAGGGAACTACATGGTACACACTGTTTAAGATGGCATGGAACTCGCACAAGACAGATAAGAAACAGGAAAGCCATGCTCCTTCTGGCAAACAGCTAAACATCTACAGAACCTCATGGAAACTCGCCTGAATTCTTATTGTGGACAACATCTATCAGACACTGCCAGACATATCAGGACCAGAGTGACAATCTAGGACCTAAGGCTCAAAGATATCACTGCATGCTTTGGAGGTAAGCCTGAGTTTCAGAGTCTGCCGGACATACATAAACTCCATATAACGTATCAGGACTTGCTTTAGAAACCTGGTACTGCCAACAGGGCCTTTTAAAATAGATAAACTCATCTTGATTGGAGGAGAATGGCATTAATGAAAATGGAGGGAAATAACATGATGCATGTCTTATAAAACCAACCAAATATGCAGTAAATATTCATATTTCAATAAAGTGCCCCATATTCCCACAGACACAGCAATAGTGTGGATCCAATCATGTCATATCCACAAAACAGAAAGTTTTTCTTTTCTGTTTTTAAATTTTTATTTATTTATTGATTGATTGAGACAGGGTCTCCCCTCTATCGCCCAGGCTGGAGTGCAGTAGTGCGATCTCGGCTCACTGCACCTTCCAACTCCCGGGATCAAGTGACCCTCCCACCTCAGCCTCCTGAATAGCTGGGACCACAGGCACGTGCCACATTAGGCCCGGCTATTTTTTGTATTTTTTGTAAAGATGGGGTTTCACCATGTTGCCCAGGCTTGTCTCAAACTCCTGGGCTCAAGTGATCCTCCCACCGGGCCTTCCAAAGAGCTGGGATTACAGGCACGAGCCACTGCGCCCAGCCAGAAAGTTTTTTTAAAGTGGGCGAAACCTTTCCCTGTTCCCCAACTCCTCCACCTACACTGTGGTAGACTGTATCATTTGTTCAAAATGCTGGCTGTCCCTCTCCCCTGGGCCCATCCCCACAGCCTCTCTCCCTTGTACCCAATTCCTACTCTACTGAAATCATGTGTGGCCATGTGACCTGCTTTGGCTAATGGAATGTGGGTAAAGACAACTGCCACATCTCCTGGTTCTGCCATGAGGTCAGCATGCCTGGGTTAGGGGCTGCTCCCTAAGCCCTGGTCCTGGAATAAAGAGCTCATGGAACAGAGCCACAGCCATCCCACAAGGCCATCTATATGAACGTGCGAGAAACCTGTGCTGTTTATCACTCACTGAGATTGAGAGAAAAGCTCTAGACAGTGACCCTGAGCTTATAAAATAATGCCAAATTCCAGAGTCCCAGTATACTATATCATCACATGGATGTTTATATACAATAGGCCCATTATGTCTTCTGAATATATCAACTTTGAATAACAAATACTTGATGTAACCATATTGTCCTATTCTCTAGTCTCAGTATTTCAAAGTTGTTCCCTTGTAAAAATACATCAATTTTTTCAAAGACCACACTAAGCATTTCTTGGTGTTTCATGACTCATTAAGACAGTAGTCATGCAAACTCACAGAGAAAGAAATTACATGAAGGGGCAAATCTCCTTCCAGAAAACATAAGCAGTTTTCTATTGCTGCTTGATGACTACCAAACTACAATCTCAAAGGCCATCTTTCAAGAGGTAAATATCATCTCCCCCAGTAAGGCTTCCTTCACCACTAGGCCAAGTTGTACAATTCTTTTTCTGGCCTCTCAGATGCTTTCCTTGTCATCAACCACAGGGTTGGCTTTTTGTTTCTGTTTGGTTGGTTTAGTCTGCCTGACTTCCTCACTAAGTGCAGGCTCCCTGAGGACAGGATCTATGCAGTTTTCTTACACCTATCACCTGGCACACAGTAGGCTCAACTCATGTTTCTTGTACAGATGGATGAAGAAATAACACCAACATCCCCGTGTAAAGTCTTCCTGTTCAAAGCTTAAGAATTAGAAAGCAAACTTCAGTCCCACAGAAATTCTTTTTGACTGATAAGAGACATAGTTTTACAAATTCTCTGGCTTATGACCTCATTTCAAAGTTTAGGCAAAAGCCCTTCTATTGCATGCAGAGCACAGCTGGACAGATCCAAAGAAGGATCCTTCCAAGCTTGACTTTCTATTTCACACCGGAAAAGGCAGTTTGACATTCTCCTAGGCCAAAGTATGGTCAGCTATGGGTATAGTGCCACATGTCCCTGGCCATCATGTCAAAGACGGCCATGACTAGGCTTCACCGCGAGTACGAACTCCAGTAGCTGCCATTCCACATGCGTGAGCACAAGATGGGAGACCCAAGGGGTTATTTTCACACACAGAAGGCTGCAGAACTGGCTGCTCCTCAGAAAGGAAGGGGGTGAGTTGCCAATAACTAAGGACTATTAACTAAAAACCATCAAACAGAAAAACATTTTCTAAATACAAAACCCACTGTAGCCTGCCTATCAAACTGTTTGCTAAAGGAAAAACTCAGCATAAGGCAGGTCTGTTTGAGATTCTTGCTATAGAAATGCAGTTGCCAAGTGCCATCCTGATGCATCACGAAGACCTCCTCACTGAATTTCCTACTTCCACCTTGGCCATTCAACATACCATTTTTTTTTTTTTTTTTTTTTTTTTTTTTTTTTTTTTCTGAGACGGAATCTTGCTTTGTTGCCCAGGCTGGAGTGAAGAGGCACGATCTCGGCTTACTGCAACCTCCACCTCCGGGGTTGAAGTGATTCTCCTGTCTCAGCCTCCTGAGTAGCTGGGACTACAGATGCATGCCACCATGCCCAGCTAATTTTTGTATTTTTAGTAGAGACAGGGTTTCACCATGTTGGCCAGGATGGTCTCGATCTCTTGACCTTGTGATCCACCCGCCTCGGCCTCCCAAAGTGGTGGGATTACAGACATGAGCCACCGTGCCCGGCCCAACATACCATTCTTAACAGCTACACGGCCCTCTGGCTAAAACCACTCTTCTCTCCGTTTTAGTCAGAGGAAAAGCCACAGACTTGATGATGGCCTACAAGGCCCCACATCACTTATCCCTCATTATCTCTCTAATCTCATCCCTAGGATACTTTTGACAATCCTTGAACATGTCACAACAGAACCAGCTATTCCCTCTGCCAGAATGGAACAGAATAGAATGCCCTTCCCCAGGTAGTCCCAGATTACTCTCTAACATCCTTCAAGTGTCTGCTTACATGCACTCCCTTCTTAACAAATTCATCCATGCCCAGCTTATATAAAATTACACCTCACATCCTCATCCCTGTGACCAATCTCTACTTCCCCTGCAAAACATTTATCCAATTCTAAATTCTTATTTCATCTTTATTATTGATTATCTATCCTATGCCACCAGAATGTAAGCTCCCCATGGGCAAGGATTTTTGCTATTCAATTCACTAGCAGCTAGACTGCTGCCTGATACAAGTAAATACTCAATAAACACAGCTGAATAGGCCGGGCACGGTGGCTCATGCCTGTAATCCCAGCATTTTGGGATGCCAAGGTGGGTGGATCACCTGAGTTTAGGAGTTCGAGACCAGTGGGGCCAACATGGTGAAACCCCGTCTCTACTAAAAATTAGCCAGGTGTGGTGGTGTGTGCCTGTAATCCCAGCTACTCGGGAGATTCAGGCAGGAGAATTGCTTGAACCCGGGTGGTGGAGGTCGCAGTGAGCCGAGATCACGCTGCTGTACTCCAGCCTGGGCAACAAGAGTGAAACTCCGTCTCAAAATAAAATAAAATAAATACAGCTGAATGAACTAATATATCATAAGAATGTCCTCTCTTCAGCCGGGCACGGTGGCTCATGCCTGTGATTCCAGCACTTTGGGAGGCTGAGGCAGGCGGATCACGAGGTCAAGAGATCGAGACCATACTTGCCAAGATGGTGAGACCCTGTCGCTACTAAAAATACAAAAATTAGCTGGGAGTGGCGGCGTGCGGCTGTAGTCCCAGCTACTCAGGAGGCTGAGGCAGGAGAATTGCTTGAACCTGGGAGGCGGAGGTTGCAGTAAGCTGAGATGGACCACTGCCTTCTAGCCTGGTGACAGAGCGAGGAGCGAGACTCCATCTCAAAAAGAAGAAGAAGAAAAAAAATGAACGTCCTCTCTTCACCTTTCTCTTCCAAAGGTCTCTACATGCATTTGACATTTATCTTAAAATTATATCTGTATTTGCAGTTAATGTACAGCTCTTTTAACTGAAGACTTATGCGGAGGTAAAATGAACACTATCAAGTCATTCTTCTCACACTTCAATCAGATTATTTAGTGATGTAGACCACATACGAGAACTGGGTATTTCTGTAAATAGTTCAATAGCCAAAAAATCTACGGTAGTTATAGAATATCCATACTGTACAGTTGTCTTCAAAGTATTAGGTGGTTCAAAAACATCAGAATACCAGGGGGCACAGGGTTGCACAAAGAAAATACCAAGTGATTTATCATTAACTTTGCTTCTTAATAGGTTGGTCAGATTCTTGCCTGCTCTAATGCCTCTGGTTGAACAAAACACTGTTTGGAAAGAGAAACCTGCAGTTACCCAAAGCTGAGTTTGGCTGAGATAGTAAAGTTTACATTCCATTGTTTGCTAGGTCCTTACCCCATGGAATGTCTCAGAACACGATTCAGGCCACCAAGAGGTCAGCAGCGCTTTGGCCAAATGCTACCTCAGGGAATTACATATTACCTTATACATGGTATGTGTCACTTATGCATTAAACACTAGCTTTGAAAGTCCCTTCCCCACTCCACCGTTGCCCGGTTGAAGGCATCTGAGTGCAGAAATACATAACATCCAACACCCACACACGATTAATTTACTTCCTTGCACACTCATTGTTCTCCTCTGTGATGAACAGTGAGCAGAGGGTATGTGTGGTACTCTTAATAACAAGTAATATTATTAAAAACTACCTCAATATTTGCCTGCATTTGGGAAAATGGAAAGCACGTGGCAAAAACTCCACAGGGGCTGTAGGTTCAGGGTCACACTTGAAGGACCAGCTGATCAAACAGAGAGTCCACTGGATCTGAATCCATCCATGTGGTATGACTGAGTAAACAGATGTGCATAATCAGAGCATCCTTTGACTTGAGCAGCTGCAAACTTTAGTGACGTCAGAAGCACCTGCAGTGCCTGTTTAAAATGTGCAGAGTCCTCAGCTCCACCCACCCCAGTGATTCTGACTTGGCAGCTCTGAAATGGGGCCAAGAAATCTGATGGATGTCCCAGGAGACAGAAATGCATATCACACTTTGAGAAACACCACCTCGGGTCAGGCGCAGTGGCTCATGTCTTATAATCGCTGCACTTCAGAAGGCTGAGGCAGGAGGACTGTGTGAGGTCAGAAGTTTGAGCCCAGCCTGGGCAATATAGCAAGACCCCATCTCTAAAAAAAAATTTTTTTTTTAATTAGCCAGTGTGGTGGTGCACACTTGTGGTCCTAGCTACTCAGGAGGCTGGGGTGGGAGGATTGCTTCAGCCCAGGAGTTAGAGGTTACAGTGAGCTATGATCATGCTACCACACTCCAGCCTGGACAACAGAGAGACCTTGTCTCTGTCTCTAAAAAAAGAGAGAGAGAGAGAAATACCACCTTTAAATCTTAACCAAGTTACTTAAAAGCCTCTTATTCAGTAAATACTCTTTTTAAAAAATTATATTTGCCTTCATGACTATTAATCCATTCCTTCATAGAGAGACTTATCTCTACTGCTTACACACTGGATTCTTATGTCTTAATAGGAAAACCTTTAGGCAGGCTAACCACATCTTAACCAATATTATTGGGGATAATAAGCTTGAAAAGAGAAAAATGATTTCGCAGTCACATGGCTGTGAGGAGCATGGACTATTTTCTCCTCCAGGGTATTTAATTTAAAGCTGATGCAGCATCAGAGCTGCCAGTCCAATTGTCAGTGTCAGAACACGTCGTTATCAACAACACCCAGGTTAGAGTGAGAAAAGCAAGAGGCGCCACAGGCCTCACGCTCACTTCAGCCGCTCCCAACATCTCCTTGGAATGGAGAGGCGGTTCACGCAAGGTGACAGGGATGGCCCTGGAGCTGCTTGGCACAGGCCAACTTCACTTAACGAGTGTTCAGAATCACACTCAGCATGGAGAAATTCACCCTGACCCTGGATGCCTGCCCCCTGGCATACACTCACTTACATTTTTACTCAATTACTATTTCTAAGAACAGAGACAAAAAAAAAAAAAAATGCAGAGCCCCACTGCTCAGCAGCCTTGCAGGGAAGGTCTGAAAGGGGTCTGCAGGGTTTTTCCAGAGCCTGCGAGCTAGGCAAGGTGGAAGAGCCTCCCACTGTTATGGGAATCTATGTGGAGCTTGCGCCCCATCTCCCCTTCCACACCCTCAGACACTCCTGATTTTCCCTGACTCGCTGAGGAGCAGGGTGGGTTTCCAATGCTTTTTCACCAAAGGAAGACAGAAGCTCGCAGCAATTAAGTGACCGAAAATAACCCCAAGTGAGGAGTGTCTGAGAAGAAAAACCGCCCGAAGAACCAGGGTAGGCCTCTCACTTTGTTTACTATGGGAGGAAAAGATGAAAAGGAAATTAATCCCAAGTAGTAGGCAAGAAAGTTACAAAATTAACAGGACAGGATTCCAAAGGAAAAGCCAAAAAAGGGGGGAAAAGTTTGGGGTCTCTGTGGTATGGTGGCATCTGGGCCAGACCTGAATTCAGATTTTGGCTCTGTCACCAGCCAGCTCTGTGACCAAGGACAAGGTGTTTACCTCTCCAAACCACGATTTCCTAAAAAATGGGGATCGTCATTCTGGCCCTCCCTGACCAACCAATGTGGGGAAAATTAGGATGATGTGTCTTAAGTACCAGGGACATAGGGGGTATTCAACAAATGTTTTCTTTCTCTCATTCCCTCCCGTTTTCCTTTCCAAATAGCCAGTTAGCTAGGGGGAAAAAATCAGATGTTTAACTCCTTGGTTGAGCTAGTGAAATAAAATTAGAATTTAGAGTATAAAAACAAAACGTAATGACTCACAAACGGGAGCTTTAAAGGCATGATTAAACTTTTCACTCTTTTTATTCACATTGCAGCTTGTAGCCACTTTGAGGCTCTCTGTACTAAAATCAACGTATATTCTCAACAGAATGAGTTCTTTTTGAGGAAACCCCAGCTTAGGCCACTGTAAATAAACTATACTGATTTCTAACCAACAATGTGTAGGCATGATACATTGCAGAATAGGGTATCCAGTGACCTAGGCTTTTCCTAGGATAATAAAAACATTTCTTTTGTCTCTAGCCGGGACCTCCACCCACACTTAGAATCAACATAATCCAAACCTTCTCAGGGCCTCAAAAATATGCAGTGAACCAATGCCAGGATTGCAAGTCTGTTTCCTTTTTTCCTGAGCATGGTTCAGGGATAACTTTAGCCACTGAATTCCTTGAGCGTCAGGATCACCCAAGCTCTATTCTTTGTTGTGGACTCATCGTCCAGCATATAGTAAGCATTCAATAAATGGCTGAATTAATCAGTGTTCCCAATAAGAAAGGGTTGAGGACTTCTGGCTTTTGTACCCCTCAGCCTAACACCTGGTGCTGGCTCTGAGGAGCTTGCACCTGCTCCGAGGGTCAGGGCTAAGTGGTTTGAGCAAGTGGCAAGCTCACAGGTCCAGTTGGCTGAGGGCCTGACCCATGACGATCCATTTCCTTAAGCAAACGAGACATGTCAATACAAAGGTCACAAATAATCAGCAGCATAACTCCCCGACAGGTCTCCCTCTAGAGCAGGGGCGTCCAATCTTTCAGCTTCCCTGGGCCTCACTGGAAAAACAAGAATTGTCTTGGGCCACACATAAAATAGACTAACACTAACGATAGCTGATAAGCTTTAAAAATATTGCAAAAAAAAATCTCATAATTTTTTAAGAAAATTTACAAATTTACATTGGGCCGCATTCAAGGCCATCCTGGACTGCATGCAGGCCGAGGGTTGGACAAGCTTGCTCTAGAACCTTAAAGGAGAGAAAATCTCCTTTCACTTTGGTTCAGGACAAGAAACATTAATTGAGCAACTACTATGTGTCAAGAACAAGAACATAGATACAAATAAAGATATAAAAAGGAACATTCCCTTGACATTCAGGCCATGCTGTCCAACCCTCCAGAGAGTGGCCTCCATGGGGATCAGGAAAGGTGTATGTCAAATCACTCTGTGACCCCTAAAACACATATCTCATCCCCACAAGTCATTCTTTTACATGCTGCAATATAGTCATTGCATTACTTCAAAGCTATTCATCAGTTTTTCTCATGTAAACTCTTACTAAAAAAAATTCTAGGCACCTTTGTGATCGCTCAGGTACAAGGCTGCATTTCAGAATCTCATCTTGCCTCTGGCAAGTTCCCCACAGGAGACAAACACTAAAGATGGATTTGATATAACTATGTCAAACGAGGAATAAAGCAGACAAGTGTACTCACCAAGGTACCCACAGAGCACCTGGGACTGTCTGGAGCACAAGCTGCCCACTGAGCCAGAGGGTGTTGTAACAACTGGGCAGACAGCTAGGAGTTTTAAAAAGCACAGTCATTAGCTATTTTACTGAAGAGATGCCTGGCACAGAACTATACAAAGATTCAAAGTAGAAGAGGGACTCATTGAATGTTCTTATCATTTCCCCAGAAATAAGGTCCCTGCTACCTGGGGCCAGGGGATTAGACACTGAGGATCTAAGGAGGATTCCAGATTTTAGTCCCAGATCTTCTGGCATCCCTTAACCAGCAGTCAGACTCCTGAATTCAGTTTTCCCTTTAGCACGTTCTAATGTTAAAATAACAGAGTACAATTTACATACTGAAACGGTAAAATAAATACCTTGATTTATATTAAAGATGAATAAGAAAGGCTTTGACCTCCTTTGACAAAAGACAGTCTACCGATTAAGAATAAAACTTTGGTTTTCATTTGGCTGGCCTAGATTTCAGTGTTCTTAAAACCACCTGTCATCATTTCTAACCCGCATGTGAAAACTCCTTCTTGAATGAGTCAAAAATACAAGTGAATATTGGTTTGGGGCTACTTACCTACAGTTTAAAAAGCTAGAGCTCTCTGAAATGGACTAAACGCATCTTCCACAATAGTTATTACATCTGGAAAATTTGAACTTCACTTTCTTTAAAGTAACAGCAACCCAATTTGTATTTTGCCCACCATATTCTTAGAAAAGAAAGCACACCCCCTCCCCCACAAAATATCTCAAATTGAAGAGGAAATATTGCTGAGTGTTCAAAACTTTTTCCATTGGTGGTAAGGTCAATAAAAATATAGAATTTTTGCAGAAGAAGATGTTAATTCAAACCCCTGTTCTGTCACTGATTTCCTGTGAATCCATGGAGAAGTCTGTAAGATGAGGCAGACGTAACCCTGCCTCTGAGGGTTTTTATAAAATTGAAATGAGATGATATATTTAAAACAGACTGACAGACAAAAGGTGGTCAAGGAATATGAGCAGTTGTCTAACTTGTGTGACAAAAGAAGCCCTGACTGCCTATTAGGGCCTGGCATGAATATCATTCTTTCCTGGCTCCTTTCATACACTGGGAGTCCATGCACCTTCCATGTTTATAGAGCACGTCTTCTAGAAGTAACACTGCCACTATTCAGACCTGACTTGAAAACTTCTTTCAACACAAGACAAAGGCTTTGTGGACTCTTCTCTTGATTTATTTTTTATTTTTGCCATATGTGTGCCTCTTATCACTTGATTTTTAAATGGATAACAAAGACTTTTTCCATACTCTGGAACTTACCATGTCCAATATTCAGCCCACTATCAAGATCCCAGTGGCAGATTTTTCACAAATGTGTGGATTACACCTTCTAGGCGGAACACTCTTTAACTGAGATATGGGGCTCTGACTGGCCAGTGTGGCATGGAAGACGAAGACCCAACAGCGGGGATTCTATAAGCACATACTGCTATCATGTTGCCACCATATGCTGCTTCCAGCTGACATCTGCTCACATATGTTCCCACCAATAAGAAACCATGCTGTTTATTTTTAGAGGCTTCTCCACAGTCTTACAGGAAGAAAATTCCCTCAAATAACCAGTCAGCAAAGACAGGAAGCTACACTGGATATAAACGGTTTGTCACAAGATTAACAAGTCAGACAAAGTTTTCTCATTCGTATCTGACCTTTAAAAAGAGATGCTGAAAGTTATCTTAAATAAAAATCTCAAAGAATACAACCAGAGAAAGGTAGAATATGCAGAGTAAGTCACTTGGTTAGCAATACTTTTTCTTCAAACTATGGCCCTATGCATTTCTTGGGGGGATTTAAGTGCTTTTCCTGGGAAACAGCACCTTCTTCAGGCCAGTGTACGCCGTGGTGCAGAAGAGGGACAATTCTATTAAACAGAATTCAGATCCCAAGGTCACCCAGGTCATAGGAAGTCTGTGTGGGAATAAGATGAGGTAATTATTGTCACTTGCAATTTCCAGCCTGCAGTTCTCAAGTATGCACCTTTGGTTTACTTTCACTCTGCTATAAAACAGCATTAAAATCCCTTCTTTTCTTTCCTTTCTTTCTTTTTTGTTTTTAAGTAAGGCAGGAGGACAGGGAGCTCTGGTGCTGATCCAATGCCTTAGAAGTTAAGACCATGAATGAGATAGAGATGTAAGGATGCTAATGATTGTTCAGTCTACAGAAAGCAAACCTTAGTTTTAAAATAATCAGTTTTCAGGCCGGGCGCGGTGGCTCACGCCTATAATCCCAACACTTTGGGAGGCCGAGGCAGGCAGACCACGAGGTCAGGAGTTTGAGACCAGCCTGGCCAATATGGTGAAACTCCGTCTCTACTAAAAATACAAAAATGAACTGGGTGTGGTGCCACGTGCCTGTAGTCCCAGTTACTCAGGAGACTAAGGTAGAAGAATCGCTTGAACCCAGGAGGCGGAGGTTGCAGTAAACTGAGATCACACCACTGCACTCCAGCCTGGGTGACACAGTGAGACTCTGTCTCAGAAAAAGGAAAAAAAATCAGTTTTCAATCATCTACATCATTGAAGCAGCACTGAGGTATGGATACACTCTGTTTAGAACAGTGAGGCTTTGGATATATGCGAAAAGGCTTTGTAACAAAGAAATGTAAAGAATTCTCAAAATCTGAGGCATTTATAGTCTTACAAACATAACTTTTTTTATTTTAAATTTTATTTTATTTTATTTTAAGTTCCGGGATACATGTGCAGGATGTGCAGGTTTGTGACACAGGTAAACGTGTGCCATGGTGGTTTGCTGCACCTATCAACCCCATCACCTAGGTATCAAGCCCTGCATGCATTAGCAATGAATCCTGATGCTCTCCCTACCCCATCCCCACTGACAGACCCCAGTGTGTGTTGTTCCCCTCACTACGTGCATGTGAGAAACCTGATATTTTTAGAAGAACGCAGGCACTCACTAATTTATGATGGGGGACTATGGGTAACACAAGTCATAAAATAGAAACAGTCCTAGAATTAAAACTTCGCATGGGTAATTTACAAAGTAATTAAATGACTAGGAAGTTAATTAACTGTAACAATGTTGGGGTTTATTTTTGCCTGCAATGACACAGCTAAGAAATAAAGCAACAAAACAAAAATACACAGTGTTTCCAGAGTATGTTTCTGAACTATCTGCACAAGGATCACCTGGCCGCCTTATCAAGATGCAGGTTTCTGGAGCCCATCTTAAAACGAACTGAATTATAATCTGAATTGGAGTGGCTGACAAAGGCTTGGGAATCTACATTTATAAAGGTACATCAGTAATTATTTTGCATGGTAAAATTTGAGAACCCTGGTACAGGTTATTATGCCTTACAGGTTAGCAAGGCCTTTTACAGAACCTCATTTGACCTCAAAACAATCCAATCAGGTGAATCAAGGAAAAATTATTCCCTCATAAGGGCTATTTGTTCTGAGTAGGTAGTGGTTTTGTCTACTGTGAGGGTCTATAGGATAGAGATAAAGCCATTCTTACTGCAATGATATCTTAAGTAAAATTAGATGTCTTACAAATGTACAACTAAACTCCCTATCAAATAAGCTCCTGCCCTAATCCCTCCAGCCTCTCCACACAAACAAACAATGCATCTCTCTTGTGATATAGCAACTCTGTAAGTGGGTACAATCATTCCTCCCAACACTGAACTACAATGAGTTTCTACTCTTCTTAGAGAATTCTCAGCAAGAAAGGGAAAACTGATCCAAATGTATAACAATTCAGGGTCAGCTTAGATCAAGACCCTCTTTCTATAATCTGAGTACTTGTGACAAACAGTTAATAAAATTAGACATGACTTTACACACATAGTTTCATTATTGATGGTGATATTTTCTGACAGTGGAATTCTTCTGAAATACCTCTCTCTCCAGGACAAACTAGCACCGGTCACCTCATTCTACGTAGAAGAAAAGTGTAAGTTTAGTAGGTGGAATCATGGCAGTTCAGGACTTAGTTTAGAGATCCGATCAGTGATTTTAGTTAACACACATAATAACCTAAGGCTTAATACTATGAAGAGATACAAATGAGTGACTAAATTACTATCCAAAACAACTTAATGTTTTAAAAATGCCTCAAGATATCTCAGACAGAAAACAGTGAAGACAGGTACAAGAAACCCAGGGTGGTGAAGTTTAACAGATCCATCTGAAGGTGGAACCTCCTGCTTCAGAGCCTGAGGTCATGGCTATTATTCAGCTTTGCTTCTGCTTGGCTACTTCCAGGTAGGAGTCAGAGGTTTGGTGCACTCCTTCCTCTGTCTCCCTCTCGTTAACCTGCAGAGCCCAAAATGCCAAGGATGAACTTGAATGTAGAAACATTTTCCCCACAGAAAGCCCTGACTGACCTCTGGGGGGACCGTTCCTTGACCAAACCACCCATCCTTTGCACAGAAAAGTCCTCCATCTGTGATTGTTTCTTTATCTGTCTAAAGTAGAATCAGAATAAGTCATTCACACTTTTCTGGAGTTTCTAAGCCAGCAGTTTTATTACAAGAGTTCACTGCTGGGTGCGGTGGCTCACGACTGTAATCCCAGCACTTTGGGAGGCCAAGGCAGGCAGATCATGAGGTCAGGAGACTGAGACCATCCTGGCTAACACGGTGAAACCCCGTCTCTACTAAAAAAAATTAGCTGGGCATGGTGGGGGGTGCCTGTAGTCCCAGCTACTCGGGAGGCTGAGGCAGAAGAATGGCATGAACCCCGGAGGCAGAGCTTGCAGTGAGCTGAAATCGCACCACTGCACTCCAGCCTAGGTGACGGAGCGAGACTCTGTCTCAAAAAAAAAAAAAAAAAAGAGTTCACTATAAAGGAAGTAGAAACAACTGCAGTCATATTGCCATAAGATGTCAAAGCAAAAGTGAAAATAAGTGAAAATGAGATTAAGCCAATAGATAGGGGAATAAATGATCATATTTTAAAAAAATCAAAATAGAAGAAATGACAAAGTTACTGCTACATCTGGTGTAAACAGAAAAATCCCTGATAAACTTGGTCTAAGAAGCACTGACATTACCAACACTGAAATGAATCCAAAACTTTAAAATTAAATTATATTTCTCAGAAAATTCCCATCTATGTTTTGGCAACAATAAATATTTTAGAGCTCTGAAAATCCACTAAAAAGTACACAGTCATCTTTTTCAGATGGAGAGATTTGCAAAGACCAGTGGACTTGCGGTCATTTCAGTGTCTTTCTCAAAACCAAATTTTGCATTCTTGCTTACAAGATGAAGTAACAAATAAGGATTCTTACAATAGCCTAAAATTATGAATGAATAGTTATTTGCAAACTAGCTTGTCAAGACAGATGTGGTATTTGTCAGTGTCGTGTGGGTTAGATAAGAAAAGTAAAATAAACAGAGCCAAAGTCACAGTCACAACGTTTTTCTTTTTCTTTCAGAAGACCAAAAAGATACTACAGTACTTCCTGAAACAACAACTCCAAAAGACCAGTGTTATTCTTAAATAGCTACTCCATGACTTTTTCTTCAGAAACGCAGCGTCTCTTCTTCAGAAATAACCTGTTTCATAATTACCGACATATAGATAGCTTGGAAGGCCTGAGGGACGGGGACACGCTAGTGGAACATGCTAGTGTGAGAGAAAAACAGCTGCCTGTGGAGGGATGGAAATGCATTCAAACTATTTCCAGAAGGTTTGGACTTTACAATATCCAGGAAGCATTTTCCATTTGCCTTAAGTTCCTCAAGTCATTGTGGTTGAGGGAACATCTAAGCCAAACATTTCTGACTTATCAGGCAGTAACAAATCCAAGCGTTCATTTGAGAGAATGAAGGGATGGTCCCGGCCCAGGGAGGACCGCTTTCTCAGCACGATGAGGCTTTCCCTCCTAACAGACACTAAAGCCAGTGAATTCAATTCCTCTTGGACAGCAATGTTTTTCCACATCACTGAAGTGGTGTTACTGGGTTGCCCCAGGAAAGCCAGGATGCTAACTCACTGAGAGAATATGTTGCACTGTGAACAACTACCCAAGGCCTTAGTGTGGCTTCCCCTCTCTGATATCATTTCTACTCCTCAAACCCTCTGCAGTTACTCTCGACCAGCCCCTCCCCTTCATCTCATCCAGCTTCCTCTTTGAGATTTCTTTTTTTTTTTTTTTCATTTTTCAGATGAAGTCTTGCTCTTGTCTCCCAGGCTGGAGTGCAGTGGCGCAATCTCGGCTCACTGCAACCTCTGCCTCCCGGGTTCGAGCAATTCTCCTGCCTCAGCCTCCCAAGTAGCTGGGATTACAGGCGCCTACCACCATGCCCGGCTAATTTTTGTATTTTAAGTAGAGACAGGGTTTCACCATATTGGCCAGGCTAGTTTCAAACTCCTGACCCCAGGTGATCCACCCGCCTCAGCCTCCCAAAGTGCTGGGATTACAGGCGCCAGCCACTGCACCCGGCCTCCTCTTTTAGATTTCTACACCGTAATGTCATACTATTGCTAAAGCCGCCTTTAAAATGAATTGCCTGAAGGCTAAGAGGCGGCTGTGGCCAGTGCTTGGTTGCGGAGGTGAGATGAGGTCTACATGAGTATAACCACAGCTGCCTGACCTGCCTCAGCCTTGACTCCAAATGTCCTGGTTTCTTTTCAACCAGTGGAAGTGATGAGAGACAGGACACCTGTGAGGAGAAGCGAAACCAGCCCCAGAAGCACATTACATAGAAGCCCCGCCTGCATGTCAGTCTTTTATAGGCAACATCCCCTCTGTTCTTTGATTTTGGACTTTGGGATCCAGAAAAATAAAGAGGCAAGTACTATGTGACACATATGAACCTTCAGAGATCAGTTCAAATAGTTTAAATAATTTTTCCCGGCTGGGTGCGGTGGCTCACATCTGTGATCCCAGCACTTTAGAAGGCAGAGGCAGGAGGATTGCTTCAGGCCAAGAGTTCAAGACCAGCTTGAACAACATGACAAGACCCCAGCTCTACAAAAAAATTGAAAAAATTAGCCAGGCATGGTGGTGCATGCCTGTGGTCCCAACTATTGTAGAGGCTGAGGCAGGAGGATAACTAGAGCCCAGGAGATGGAGGCTTCAGTGAGCCATGTCTGTGCCACTTACTCCAGCCTGGGCAACAGAGTGAGACTGTCTCGAAAAAAAAAAAATTCCCCTAAAAATTTATATACCCTTTGAAACAAATGGTAAATCTTGAGATGTCAAAAATAAAATAAAAACAAAAAAATTTTGATTTCCAAGACTCTGGCTGGGAGGAGTATATACTATGTGGATCTCCTGTTCTTGATTCCACAGATGGGCTCCTAACATTCATTAACTAGAAAACGTTTCTGAGGGCAGATGTCATGCCTCCACTTAATTTCATTTTCCATGTACTTCTGCTATAGCACTCTATACCATGTGCACATAGACCGCTATTCTTTATTTCACAAACCTTTATGTGATTTCACTGATTCTATATATTTTTCATATTCTATTATTTCTAAAATCCAGATTCTCTCTTATAATCAATGGCTGAGTTAATTGGCAGTGACATTTAGTTAATGTTATAACTAATAGTTAAATGGGCAGTGATATTTCTTTGTTAGTGGCACATAAAATAGTGGTGCATTTTAAAGTCAATGAGATTCGATGAATAATAGCTGCTGTGGAAAGAAGGCCAGAAGCAGCTGCACCAGGTGCTTTTTCACACACATCATCCTTTACAACCCCTAGAAAGTCGATGTTCTTCTTTACAAATGAAGAAACTGAGGCTGGGCTAAGTGAAGGGGTTTCAAATCCAGCTGCAAAGCCGACAGTGGCAGAGCCAAGATCTGAATTCGGTAGGAAGCAACTTAAATATCAATGAGGCAGTTTTAATGACTTGCACTGAGAGAGCCAAGTTGCTAACCAAAACAGGACCACTCTTTAACAACTGCCACAGGCCTGGAGTAGGATTTCTTGTCTTTGATGTTACCGCTTCCATTTCAGCCTTTGAGATTCCTTTGGTACAATTCCCTTTTATTTATTCTCCTTTCTTTATTTAATGGGTCTGTCCAGCTCCAAAGTCATCATGCTCATTGTATATCATCTTGCCTTCCCAAATAAATTAATTCTCTGAAATAGGAATGCCCTATCAATAAAATTTATCAAAATTTTTGTGAGGAAAATGATTGCAGTTCAAAAACAAAACCAAGGCTGGGCACGGTGGCTCGGGCCTATAATCCCAGCACTTTGGGAGACCGAGGCGGATGGATCACTTGAGATCAGTTCGAGACCAGCCTGACCAACATGGTGAAACCCCATCTTGACTAAAAACACAAAAATTAGCTGGGCGTGGTGGCACATGCTTGTAATCCCAGCTAGTTGGGAGGCTGAGGCAGGAGAATTGCTTGGACCCGGGAGCCAGAGGTTGCAGTAAGCTGAGATGGTGCCACTGCACTCCAGCCTGGACAACAGAGCAAGGCTCTGTCTCACAAACAAACAAACAGAAACAACCAAAGTCTTAATAAATCACACTTTTTGTATCAATTAAGTGCAGAAATAAAAGTTGAATGTGTTAAGAGGCAAGAAAAAAAAACCCAGGTTGTGTGCTTCAGAGGTATATTTTCTCAGTGCTTGTGAATGTAATTCTTGTTAACAGAGGAGAGCCACCATTCTTCCATGGATGTATTACATCATTTATCAAGAAGGCAAGAAAGGTCATGCTCTCTATTTCCTGGGCTCTGTATTAGGGCTCCTATTACCTGTGGTGGCTGAAAGTCTAATTTCCATAACACATCACTAATAGAAATAGCTATTTCCATTTCCTCAGCTGTCAAAGGGACAGTATGAGTATTAACCTCATAGGATTGCTTGTGAGTATTAAAGAGTACATATATGTAAAATATTTAAAACTATGCTTGGTTTATAAGTCTTCAATAAAGGTTAGCTATGCTTGGCCTGTAAAAAGTCCTCAATAAAGGTTAGCTTTAATCATCATTATCACCACCTTCATTATTATCTGAGAATTGGAAACAGAAAATATTATGGTTATGAGAATCCCTGTGCTCTTTAGCATAGTGACATGACCCATCAGACACATTTTCCCTGATAATGAAGGTCAGAACATTTCATCTCTCCGCATCTCCTGGCCCTGACACCTCTTTGAACTCACAGATTCTTCTTCTTCCTGTAGTTCAATCTCATTCTGTAAAGGGAATGCTCATCCATTTGTCAAACATTCCTTGATCAAACACAATATGCTAAGTTCTATAAGAATATAGATAAGTTAGACTTGATTTCTGTTCCTGGGGCAGTCTACAAACCAATGAAGAAGACAGCCCAGAACAGAGTTAGATCTTACTAAGATCAAAAGAAAAGAGGGAGAGATAGAGATAACCATCAGTATAGTAAGAGTGCAAAGGAAGAGCTAATTAAATAAGACTAGGACAATCAAGGAAGGTTTTCTAAGGAGGTGGCATCTGACTAAGCCCAGAAATATTTTGTTTTATTTTGTTATGTTTAGAGACAGGGTCACGCTCTGTTGCCCAGGCTGGAGGACAGCGGGGCAGTCATAGCTCACTGCAGCCTCAAACTCCTAGGCTCAAGCAATCCTCCTGCTTCAGCCGCCCAAGTAGCTAGGACTACAGGCACATACCACCAGGCCCAACTAAATTCTCTGTAGAGACAAGATCTTGCTATGTTGCCCAGGCTGGTCTTCAACTCCTGCCCTCAAGTGATCCTCCCGCCTCAGCTTCCTAAAGTGCTAAGATTATAGGCGTGGGCCACCACACCAGGCAGAAGGATTTTTAAAGGTGTGAAAAGATAGATCTCTATGTAGAAGAAACAGCATAAACAAAGACCCCAGAGGCATGAAAATAAATGGCCCATTTGGGTAAAGGCAAAGAGGACAATGTGACTGGAGTATAGTTTTCATGCAGGGATTTAGTGAGAGGAGGGGCTGAGCAAGGAGGAGGGACCAGACCCTGAAAGGCCTGAATCTAATTGCCTAAACTCTCAGGCCTTCTCATAGGAGAACTGGATAGTGCCAGACATGGTGAATTACCAACCCTATGTTCTCTGTTTCCAGCCCCATCCCATCCCTGCCCTGAAGTGTCAGAGGCCACCTAAGGAACAAACTGAGTGAGCAAAGGAAAGAGATCCACTGAGTGGAACTATCGCAAAGGAAAAGAATGAGCTGGAGGTTCCAAGACATCCGAGGTTAATGGAAGTGGTTCCTGGGGTATCGCTCATAATCACATTTTCATCTCCCTAAAATCCAGACCCTCTCTTAAAATCAATGGCATGATCACTGAAGTGATATTTTTTTCTTAGTGGCACATAAAATAATGGTATACCCTGAAGTCAAAGGCATTTGAGACTCAGAGAATTGCTGCCAGGCAAAGAAGACCTACTCCATGCCAGAGCAGCTGCACTAGGTGCTTCTTCACATATGTCATCATCAATCCTTACAACCCTAGAAGGCCAGTGTTACTTTCTTCATCTTTACAAGGGAAGAAACTGAGGCCTGGTTAAGTAAAGGGGGTGCTGTCTCCCACAAACTCAGTAGAGTATCAAATGGGACATGATATGTGAGCACTCGACCATCCATCCATGCAGACATTCCATCACAATGAAGGAAAAGAAGGCAATTTAGAGATGGTAGGGAAGAGGCCAAGGGGCAGTTTCATTCAGAGTCAAGACCACCAAGCCAATTCAGGAAGTAAGGTAGTGGTGAGAGTGTGGGGCACTTAAACACCCACTTCTGGATATCAGCGCTTAGAAAAGAAACAAAACAGCCAACCATCAAAAGCAGCTTGTG
The DNA here is from genome assembly GCF_000001405.40 of Homo sapiens. NCBI lineage: Eukaryota > Metazoa > Chordata > Mammalia > Primates > Hominidae > Homo > Homo sapiens. Next base: position 218,352,592 of record NC_000001.11, on the reverse strand, counting down.
GTTGTAGCATGATGCAAATTTATTCCAAACAAATGACAGAAGCAAACTTTTCAGTCTAAACAAACCCATCAAAGAATCCCCTAACATATTATTAAATCTAAAATAAAATACCTGGAGAACGTTGAATTCCCAGGTTAAAAACTATCATTGTTTAAAGGATATTTTTTAAAATGAAAGCACACATATGCCTTCAAAATGACAATGGGCATTTGTTTATCTCGGGCAGAGCCACATTTCATCAAGCTGTGCAGAATCTGCAAAATGGAATCCACCCTTGAGCAGAAGCGCTGCCTAAATAGAGCAAGCACATCTGGCAAATCCAAATCCTCTCTCCGGGAGCCCATCAGTACCGGAAATGCTACATCAAGATAGCGGAAGGGGCTATTTCCAGAGCTCTTCCATGCAGTCTCTTGCTCGGCTGCTCACCTTACTCCTGAACCTATAATGGGGCGGGGTGGGGTGGGGGTGCTGTGGGCAAGGGGCAGGGGGAGGCGGGCTGGAGTGGCAGTGGGCCAGAGTCCCACTCCAGTGGTGACCCTGCACACCTCTCCCAGGGCCAGGAGCCTCCACTCTAATTTCTCGAACCTTCTAAATATGCAGCCTAAAGTGTGTTGTAATCTCTGGGCGAAGGCCTACAAGTCAGTGAACTCCTTGGTTCTAACCCAGATTTGATGTGGGTTCAACAGTGAGTCATTAGCCCTTTTTTCACATCTCAGTTTCCTCTAGGAAAAACGATCTGTCATTCTTTCATATCTTTATATGAAAGATGCTGCGACTAGGTTACATCACCATCTTTTCACCAGGGAGAAATCATTCAAAAAGTGCAACTCCTCGAGTAGACCACAGGGGTTGCTGTGGAGACGCAGTGGGCTCCCCCAACCCCTTCCTTCTGTGAGGTGGAGAGGTCCCCACCTGCCCCTCAACCTCTGCAAAGCCCCTCTTTCATCGGGTGGGGTCTCCTCAGGAGAGGCATAAAGCTGGCTGGCCTCACTTGGCAACAAAGACGACCCAACTGCTTTCGTTATAAATAGTATACTTCTTTGAGAGGTTTTTCTAGTCTTTGAAAAGTAAAAAAAAGAGGAAATCCTGAAGGAGGAGCATGTGACCTAACTTAAATGTAACCACAATTAGACACTAGAGTTAGTACAAGCAACGATGCAATAAAAAAGGGAGAATTAAAGTTTGGTCTGTTGTATATTAATAACTCAATCATTCTGGAAGTCAAGAAGTTCAAGTCTGTCTTTGATACGCTCTCTTTTTCTTTCTGTTTCTATCTCATACACCCACATGCAAACACACACATAGAGAATCCTAAAAAATAAAATAGTAAAAATGCTTACTACATAAAGCAAAAATACCACTACGTTCCAGCAATCGCTAACATTTTCCTTCATTGGGCAAGTGGCCAACAGACCAGCAACTTGTATATAGAAAGACATATTCATGAATTGAATGCTAAGTCACATTCCCCAAAACCATAGTGTCATTGGTATTCATTCTACATTCCACAATTTAACTTGGAAAATTACAGAGGAAATAGAAAAGGAGATTGCTTCATGTTAAATGTTTAACACTCATGTGAAACAACTACAAAGGGAATCTCATTGTGATTTTTCAGGCTGTATATTTTTAGTGTATCTACTTCAAAATGGTAGAATAAATCAAGATGATTATTTACTTTCTTCCATTGCCTAGCTTGGAGATTCCACTCTTTGTTAACACAAACTGCTTATTTCCCTTGCAAGGGGAATCCATGATAATTCCTCACTTCTTTTTTCTCTGTTCTAACATCACACTGCTGCTGACTGAAGCTAGTAATGGATAGGTCAACACCATCACTTAAGCTAAATAAATGGGAAGTTTTGATGTCTCTAATTTAGGGGCTTTAAGACCACAAAAAATAAAGTACATACTGTATACAATGGTCTAATCCACACTCCATTTAATTAAGATAACTGTCTGACTATCCTCCTATTCAGTATTCTCATTTGAATATGCTTTGATCATAAAGATATTTTATTTTTGTTATTATTTTCTAAATGGTACTGTTAACAGAATTCAGTAACCCCCAACAAATACCAGGGCTCCTCAACAGAGGCATTACTGACATTGTGGTCAGGATAATTCTTTGATGTTGGGAATGGGGGGTTGCCCTATGCATTATAGGATGGTTAGAAACATCCCTGGCTGACCCACTAAATACCGGTAGCACCCCTCCACCTCCAGTCATGACAACCCAAAGTGTCTCTGGACATTGCCAAACGTTCCAGTGGGAGTAGGGGTGCGGGTGTTGGGGGGAGTACAAAATCACCAGGGTTAGAACCACAACATGTGCTGATTGGTTACAATGAAAAAGGGAGAGAAAAGAAAGAAAATGAAACGTTGTGTCTCTTCCTCTTTTTGATTGTCGGACTCTCTACAGATTCTTACATGTCAATTATTTGAATTCTTCCTGTGTATAACTGAATCACCCTTTCTAAGTTTCTAAAACCTTGTGCAGCATCTTTCGAATAGATGTGCCTCGAACTTCAAATGGATTGTTAAACTACTAGAGGTCCACTAATTCCCAGTGGGCAAACTATCGGTAAACCTTAGCATAACTCCACTTCGAGTCTTAAACTAACAGCACGTGAAAAGATCAATATGAATAAATTCAAAACTAATCAGACCCCTTCTTTAAATGTTGACACAGTATTATTTATATCCCATAAATACATTCTTGACTAAAATTCATCCTAGGAGATTGGCACCTGGCCAGTTCTATTCATATTTACTGTATTTATATAGTATACTTGGCCAAGGATAATATTTAAGACAAAATATGCCTCAGGGCATATACAATATCTCTTATATTTTTACTTTTAAATCTCCACATTGCTAAAAATATGTAGTCTGAACTTTATAAAATGTCCCACAAAGGGCTATCAGCAATCTGTAATGATATATAGCTCATTGAGTATAATTAGAGCATATTTGTAATACTTGAGCTGAAGTCACTCCCTGAACGCTAATAAGTTGATGGTAAAAAATGAACCAGTGATCTTTCCCATGGCTTCATCTCTGGGGCTTATGACCCTCGCCAGATTCACTGCAAGGAATGACAGGCACACTCCCTCCCCACAGCCACTTCAGTGACAGCTGAGTTAAAAGTTAGGCAGAAAAGTCCTAAAGAGGGAAAGCTGGTATATAAGCCAATGCTGTACTTTCAATTTGCTTTTTAAAAATATGGTTTTTTTCTTTTTTTCCTTTTTTTTGGAAGGGTTTGCTATATTCCAGTATAACTAAAAAGTGCTGGAAAATCAGTTAACCTATTTTCTATAAAATTATCCAGTCCTTGCACAGTAGTATCGAACCTGCTATTAATATGGCTTTCTGCTCCTAAACTTCCATACAGAATACAGACTTTTTAAAGCCTGTATTCTTTGTATGAAAACTGGCAGTATATTTTATTTATCTTGGACGTATCGGAGGTTTTCATTTATTTGGTGGCTGGGGTGAAATGGAAAGGAGAATCCACACATTGATGTTAAATGCCATACTCTGAAATCCTCCTAATAATCTAGGAATTTTTCCAGTTTGTTGATGACCATGACCCTGGGTTGGATCATCTCAGCTCTTCAGACTGAAGTGTGCTTCAGAGAACAAAGAACTAATGCCCTCTTGGGTTACTTGCTCTCTCCACACCTATTCAGTAAATGGGATCAGAGCTCCTTTCTGTGTTATAGAAGTGCTGGCAGTTTATTAGACCTTTTGCATATAAACATTGAAAGATGAGTTATTCAGGTTCTACATAACATACTTTCCGCTCTGCCCAAATACCGGTAGAACCGATGCACATGCTAGAGAAAGCAAACTGACTGAACTCCTTGTTTGTCTCAATGGTTTTGGACTAATTACAATGAACTTTCTTTCCTAATATCTCCTTGGCTCCACCCCAGATAGAAAGCTTTACTTCCCAAAGGGGATAACCAGGGGTGGAGTGTATTTATCACCGCTGTTGCGGATAGTGCCATAATTACAATAATAAAATCATCCTGCTTGCCAGAATTCTCTGCATCTGTTCTGCTATTGAACAAGAACAGGAGAAACTGCAGCAAAATAAGGGTCACTAGGAAGACTGGGGTTAGATACATGGGCTGACTTCTGAGACCATCAAGTACAAGACATGGCAGGTCACATAGCTAGGACTTGTCAAACTAAAAATAAATATTAAAAAAGAAAAGCACCACCCTGCAACTAGAACCTTTAAGAGAAAATTACCAAGATGGCTATATTATCTATTTAGGCAAGACACAGAGACTTTGCAAAGGCAGCCAGCAAGTATACAGGGCATGGAAAGGGGAGGAGAGAAATGAGCAACCAATGAAAAGTTTATGACTTGGGATTTGGAATACACAAATGTTGAAGAGGTTCCCCCCACCCCGCCCCCACTTTTCTTTTTCTTCTTCCTGGTATTTAACCCTCTCAGGTATCAAGTGGATGCTGCTGCCCCTTTTCTTTCTTTCTTTCTTTTTTTTCTTTTTTTAAGAACTCTGAAATCATTCTACACTGTCTGTTCCCTTCCTCTGCAATAAATCATTTCACTCCTATTGCTACTGTATGCCAGCTGGTTTTGAGGACACTGTTCTCAGAGAAGCCAGTAAAAAAAAAAAAAAAAAATACGGCTGTCGTCTACTCTGAGTTTTAGGAATGCATTGAAGTAACTGCAGGAAGCCTACGAAAAGGCAGGAGCAGGATAACAGACCCGTAAGAAAAATGATCTGCTACACTGGAGATGTGAAGAAGGCAGGTTTGAGTGTATTCTGAAAAATAACGTGAACAAAACCTTTTAAAACACAGTCAGAAACGGAGTTGTCCTTTCTACACTCCAGGTTAAGTGAAAAGGGAACGTGGTTATAGGATTTTGCCTTTGGGTAATGAAACACCTAGTGATAGCAAATGATACATCAAGGACTGAGGGCCAGGTAGGTTTCTCGAGGGGTCTCCAAACCGGGTTTTGTCTCGGCGATGCTGACATTTTTAGGGTAGTTAGAGACAATAGAGAAGGCTTGGGGAACCAGCTGATAGGTCAGCACGGAAAGGGGGCGCCTTCCGGAGAGGCTAGTTTTGAGACACTTTTTTTAACCCTTCGTGCACCAGTTCGGCGCGCTCCACGCCAATCGGAGCAAAGAAAACAAACCTACCAAGATTCCTCAGTTTAACTCTGCCCCTGGGAGCACCTCTAGTTTGACAGAGTGGGGCTGACTCCTAGCTGGTGGCCGACTAAAGAACTTCAGGGAAGAGAAAAAGAGAATAACGCCTTTTAAAGCACCGAATTGTTAGGGGGAAGGGAAAGATGGAGAAAATAAAGTAGAAAGTAAACATTTTAAAGCCTGATGGCCTCAAGCATACAACTGAAAAGGAGGTGGTGGGGTGAAGGACAGGAGAACGGGAAAAGAGCGAACGGGAACCGCGAGAGGGAAGGGCGATCCCGGGAGCTGCTGCGGTTTTGAGAGCTCCGGGCAGAGCTAAACCTCAGGGGATGGAAGTCAAAATAAGTACTTACTTTCGGAGGGGAAGAAGGGCGGCATGTCTATTTTGTAAACCTCCTTGGCGTAGTACTCTTCGTCGCTCCTCTCGCGCTCGCAGGCGGCCGCCCTCCGGCTCGCCTTCTCCTGGAGCAAGTCCCTGGTGCTGTTGTAGATGGAAATCACCTCCGGGGGGACTTCCTCGGGCTCAGGATAGTCTTCTGGGGGACTGGTGAGCTTCAGCTTGCTCAGGATCTGCCCGCGGATCGCCTCGATCCTCTTGCGCATGAACTGGTCCATATCGAGTGTGCTGCAGGTAGACAGGCTGAGCGCGACCGTGACCAGATGCAGGATCAGAAAAGCGCTCAGCACACAGTAGTGCATTTTTTAAAAAAGTGGAAAAAAAAGTTGTTTTTAAAAGTCAGAATAAAAAAAAGAAATCAACAATTCTCAAAGTATAGATCAAGGAGAGTTGTTTGGTTTTTTGTTGTTGTTGTTTTTGATGCGAAACTTTTGCAAACAATCTAGTCAATGCCCAACAGAAAAACGTATCCTGCTTGAATTCCTTTAAAAAGAAAAGGCCAGTAGTTCCAAAAGTGGAAATATTAATACGGGACGGGCAGAGGGAACCCTGACTTTGGCGAGTAAGAAGAAAAAAATTCTTGGAGCAATGAGATGGGGAAAAAAAGAGACGAGTGGCTATTAAGTAGAAATAAATTTAAGAGGAGGAAGTGGAGTTCAGTGTGTCAGTCTCGGGTGCGGAGTGGCGGATCTGAACTCGGCTCCTCCGGCCAAAAGGGAAGAGATGAAAAGGTCCCGGGGCTGGCAGCTGGCGAACTGACGGGAGGGGCGCCGGGAGCGCGGTGAGGGGGGCCGCCGAGGCTGACCTGGGCTGAAATTTATATATTTAAAGAAGGAGCGGTTCGGTCCTGCCTTCCACTGCGGCGCTGAGAGCAGGAGCAGCAGCAGCTCCGGAGCAGAGAAGCGCACACGTGTGTGCGTGCGTGTGTGTGTGTGTGTGTGTGTGTGCGTGTGCGCGCGCTGGGGGCGAGCCCAGCGCACCGCGGGGAGGAGGGTGCGCTTCGCAGGGCGCTCGGTACTCGGTCGGGTGCCGCAGGGGCCGCAGAGGCTGCTGAGGCGGCGCGGATCCTGCTCTGGGAGCTGCGCTCCGTGGCCTACACCCTGGCGGGCGCGCGCTGACCCGCTTGGTTACTCCACGTTGCTGCCGCCGCCGCTTGCAAACGCTTCCAGCCTCCAGCTCCCTCCTTCTCCTGCTCCTCCTTCTCTTGCTCCAAACGCCAACCCAGCCACAGACGATCAGCCGTCGCGGTTGCGTTCACCCCCTGCGGATCACAACGGCAGCCCTTGCGACACCCTGGCTGGGGAGTTTTATTCCTGAGGGGGTTGCGCAGGGGCTCCCTTGGACTCCCACCCTTTCCCAACCTCTGCTGGCTTCTCCCCAACGTGGAATTGCTCGCTTAGGGTAGGTAGGCACTTGCCACCCTAAAATAGATCCTCTCTGTCTCCTCCTGTCTGCAGCCGGGCAGCCCCTCAGTTTGTTCCTGGATGACTCCCTAGACCGTCAGGCTAATATTCTCCATCCCCCTCCCCTGCCTCTTTCACTTGCGCTCTCGCTCTGCTGTCTCTTTCTCTCTTTCTCTTTCTATCTCTATCTCAATCTGTCTTTCTCTTGTCAGGAGCTTCTGGAGCTCCGCTCGGAGCGAACCTTCTGCTGCCAGCAGATAACATCACGATCTTGCCGGGGAGGGGAGATTTATAAGTTCTCTCTGAACCACGTGTCTGCCTTCAACAAAGTGACGTGCTAGGATTACAGTCAGAAGTCCTCTCGTTACTTAGACCACGAGCTCTCCCCGAACCGTTGAGGGAGTGTGGAAATGAGGACCGCTGTGGGTAAGGGAGGAAGGAGGTGGAATGTGCGCCCTGACAACAGTGATTTACGGTATTTACTTTCCAGTCATTTTGGACAGGTCTGTTGAAGGAAGGACAATCAAGTCTCCCGTTTTTACTTAGTGTAGCTCAGTCACAGCCTCCCAAGCTGAATCACTTGCTCTAGAAGGGAAGGCTTCCCTCCTGTATTATGTGTGCACACGCACCCCTATGGGAGGGAGCACTAGTCTACTCAGGGCCAGGCCAGTACTGAAGACATACCTTCCAATCTTTTAAATTCATGTCCTACCTCTTATTTTCTGGGATACCTTAGCAGGTTGCCATCCCAGAATTTATTTTGTTAGTTTGTTGTTTACAATGTACCCCTCTGTTTGTGAACTGCTGGAAAACAGAGATCCATCAATTTTACCTAAAGAATAAGGTATACTTGTTTGTTTTACTGATTTGAATGAATGGTCACCTTTATAATTTGCTGCCTAAGCCACTTCTTGTATGGCTTTCTTCTTCACCTTCTTGCTAGGCTAAACATTATCAACCAACTTCATTCTTTCCATAGCATTAATCCAGGAAGCTGGAATTTTAAGTGTTTGATGTCTACTGTTCTACACTACTCATAACTTGACATTTTCAATTTCAACTAAGTCTAAATTAGATGAATACAAGAATAACTCTTACCACTGTTCCACCTTCCCTTTTTCTTTTATTTTACCTTTAGTTACTCAAAGTCAACATTTTCATTTCGGCATGACTCTGCAGCCATACTGACCAGACAGATGATTTAAACTGGAAACTCTGTTGAATGTACTCCCAAACCCAAGATCTCTATACTGTTCTCTACTTCAGATGTTCCTGAGTTCAGAAAAGTCACAAAGAACTTTCTATCACTTTTGGAATTTATACTTCAGTTGTGTATGGGGCCTAGGTTATTAGTAGAGCACTGAATAAATAAAATAATAATAGCTAACATATACTACACTTAGTAATTTGATGTGTGTTGTGTATGGTCATTTAATCTTCACTATGAACCTATAAAGTGGGTCTTATTATCCATATCTGGCAGATGAGGAGACTGAGGTACAAAGAAGTTAAGTACTTTGTTCGAGACCACAGTAAGTGGTAGAGCTGGATTTTTGCAGTCAGGATCCACTATGTTCTTACCTACTATGTACTTCTGAGAAACAATGGTCCCAGAATATGTTCTGACAAACAGGAATTCTGGAGTCAAACAAGTTTGGGAGATACTGGGTACTCTCCTGTCCTCTTAGATTCCTCATTCTGGAACATTATCATGTTAAAGGCTCTGAAACTCCTGTAGAAGAGAAAACCTTTTCACTCTTTTAACCCAGCATTTTCCAAACTCCCTTGAATACAGAATTTTTTCCATTATCACACATTGAAAAACTCTGGAATAAAATAATTGTTCCAACCCACTTCTGAATAATTCTAAAAATTATGTATAAATCAGCACCAGCAGGTTCCTTTCCTTGATACCAGTTTTGAGTTGAAGCAAAGCTACCATCCCAGTAGCCCAAGAAAAAGATAATCAAGAGGCGCTACTGTCAGACTAGTAGTTTCATCCAGTTAGGTCCTCCCTCTGAGTTCAGTTTGAGAACTGCAGTAGGCTAGCTCTACAGATTGGACAAAAAGTGAATATTCTTACACCTGTGGCCATTATAGACACAGAGCAGGAGCTCCAAACCAGAGCTACTGAGAGAAGATGCTGCTGTGGAATATGGCTGGTTACCTGAATTAGCTATCACTGTATTTTGCTGAGGATACAGGTTCAGCTTCCACAAGCCAGTGAGCATCTTTCATGTTTATAGACAACCTTCTTGGTACAGACACTGATGCACCTTAAGTAGATTCAGATTAGAGTGTGGATAGAGTAGCAAAAGTTCATTTACATCACTTCTAGGAAAACAGCGCAAGCCATAAATTCTGATGGCCACCCCTCTTCCTGACATAGACATACACACTTTTGTTCATAATACTTAGTTTACTGAGTACCTATTGCTCACTTAACAACTCCTTAGACCTGAGACCCCTGACTTACTCATAAGAGGCTACTTTAATTTCCCCAAAGCCCAGGAGGGTAAGACGGGAGGTATTGGTAAAAGCTTCTGGAATGGGTAAGTGCAGTAAGTGAGTATAGCAGGAGAGGAGGAGCCCCTTTCCACCTCTCAAATGATCAGTTCTTTGAAGACCTAACCGGCAAGATTGCTAGAGCTGTCTCCCTGGTAACCGTAAATGAATCATTTCTTCTATTAAATGGCTCTTATAATGCCTTTTCATCTCTATATTTAATGGAGGTCTTATGTGCCGGGGTCTCTACAGTCTTCATGGTAAAAGGGTATTTAAATGATATACACCCATCTTGATTACTTCAAGGAGGCAGGAGAGCACAGTGGTTTAAAGGGCAGGCTCCAGTCATGGTTTTTTGGGTTCAGATTTCTGTCACTTTCTGGCTTTGTGATCCTGAACAAGTTACTCACTGACTCTGTGAGTTTCTTATCCTATCATGTCTTTATTTCTGTCAAGGAATTTATAATAAAAATATCTGGCCTTCTCTCTCTCTCTCTCTCGCTCTCTCTGAAAAGCCAGGAAAGAACCCAAGAAGAATTTGCTTCTAGTTCTGCCTCCTAGTAGTTTCTGTAGGCACATTTTAAATATTATGGTATTTTGCCCCCAGTAATTATAGGAGGGAAGGACAAGAAAATACACTTTTGGTGAATAAAATGCTAAATGACTATCAAAGTTCAGTTAAGCATTCACGATTAAAGTCTCTTATTAAAGCCCTCAAATGGAATCTTTTGTTTTGAAATTACAGAGGTAGAGAGTGGAGCTGTTTCCACTCTTAGCCATTCTCCACTCATCAATGGGTCTATTCACTTAAGTAATGTGGGATTTCTACAAGAGGCTGAAGAAAACAAAACTACTCATCCCTGTCCTGGAGTTTTACGCCTATGGATCATAGGTCCTTACTAACATTGACCAAAGCATAACTTCATTTGTAACAATTCTGGAAGCTTTCCAGAACGGTTTCAAGCATGAAAAATCAGGAGGTGAAAAAAAGAAATACATGGAACGACGGTAATTGATTACATTTCCCCCCAAATAGTGATACTTGATAAATGCAAAATAACCCTTTAATATGAAAATACACCAAAAGTCTTTTAAGATTTTATTTATAATTTTATATTTGATACCACTATTCAAGAACAATGTTTGGTCTATATCAATTTTGTCTCATGTTCTAGATGCATTTCTATAAACAGCTTTATTTCATTATTCTAGTTATGAATAATGAAACAGAAAGGTGGTTTCCTTACAAAAAATAATCCGATTATTATTTCCATTTGTATTTAAAGGTTAATCTAAGGAAGAAGTGTTAAGGAAAAATGAGGAAACAATGGGCGGGGAGGAAAATGGAAACAGGGTGGGTTTAAAGAGATCAGAGGTGGTAAAAGATAAAGAGATAGGACCAAGAAAAACCACAGCATATCAGCAGGTTGTGAGGCTTTAAAGAGATAAACTCATCACACTAATGATACACTGTGGGAACATTATCTCACCCTTTGGAATTATGATTAGTTGATTGATTACTGCTTGTGGCTTTTGGGCCACTCATAACTCTACAATTTTAGCTCTCCAGGAAAGTCTTTCTTTGGGAGGCAGTCTCACAGTGGCCTGTGCTATGTCATCCCTGTAGCTGCAGCCTCTGGTTTCTTGCCCCTGGTGAAATTCACCCACTAAGATAGCATTTAGTAACTGATATAAATAAATGAACATATGGTAATAGTTGGGACACAGCATAACGCTATGGATAAGTGCTTAACAAAATCCTAATGTTGACAAAAAGAAACCAGCAGCAGAATTTTCCTTATTTTTTAGGGCAGTACTTGACACTCACCTTTACAGAATCTCTACTCCTCCTTCATTTACTCTGTCACCACAGAAGTTCACAGATAGACTTCACAAAGCAAGAAACCAGAATGAGGTTGCTGGGGAGAAATGGAGAGAGTGTTTTGGCCAACTAAAAATAAACACAAAAGATGAGAAAGAAAAAGAGAAGGTGAGTGATAGAGAAAAATATGACTGTGTTCTCATAATTAAAATGAGTATAATATAACAAAAGTTTTTTTTTTTTTTTTAAAGATACATGGTCTTTAAATGAATTTATGTGTCTGTCATCATCTCAGTGGGCTTCATAGATTGGGTAAAATTCCAAATGTCTAAATTTCCACTGCCAAAATTACCAACCTACATTTCAAACAAATATGCCGTTCTGCTGCCTCGATTAGCCTGCAATTAAAAAAAAAATAAATAAATAAAAACCAAGGGTCAATAGTAATTGCATAAAAAAAGAAAACCTCAGTGTAGTTTATGATAGAGGGAAAAATTAGTAAATAAGTATTTTTAAAAGCCTAAGTATGTAAGTATTTTGAAAAGCACAGCTATATAGATGGTTATAATTTATAAAACGGGAGACTACAGACCACAAACTCTCACTGATGATTATTTGAAATCTTAGTAGAAAATAAAGTTCTCATAACTAGGGTAGCTACATCATTTGTCACACAAATCCAAACATTTTTTGCAGTAAAGAGGATGCCACTCATTGATACACTAAGACAACAGGGGTAAATCAGGACTCTCCCAGATAATTACCTTATTTAAAATGAAGCCACTTTAAATCTGTAAGAATACATCTGTTAGTCTTTCACCTTTTTTCGGTTACAGTGGTGATATTATATTTTGCATACTTCCAAGACCTTTTTTTTCCTTTGCCTATGCAGCATATTCTAAAAATCACCATCAGAGATACATTTTGAAAATGCTACTTGCACAATTTTAGCATTAATATAAACCTGCACTGCCACAAAAATGAACCCCCGAGAGGTGCTTGGTCAAGTTCTTTTGAGCTCCATGAAAGCAGTCTCCCACAGAGAAAGGTAGGAGAAGATAAATACAACAATAATGGGATTAACAAGCATTTTATGTATTCTTTGTATAGCCAGAGAAATTCATTTTTAAATTTTTGAAAATCAACAACAGAAAAAGAATCCCAAAGGTAAAAACGAGTTTGGCCCCCCTTCCCATTTTAGTGCCAGTACAGAAAAAAAAAGAACAGTGTTTCTGTTTGTTGTTTGATGCTTGCAGGTCACATAATAATGACTTTTCACATGTTGATCCTTCTTGTTTAGCACACAGTAACTGCTTCATAAAACCAGGGACACCAGGAAAGTTACTTTCACATAATTGAAGGGGCTGTTTCCTGTTAACGTGAAAATTTTTGTGATCAAGAATCCTACCATTTGTGGTTTCTCTTTAGATTTGTTACATCTATATGAGTCCTTTTAAGTAAAAAGGCAGTATCATTACTGTTCCAAGCAAATAGCACTATCTACCATAAGAAATAAATATATGCCAAAGAAATAAATCCAGAAATGGGTGTGTCATTGTGACCTGAAGAGACAAATAATTTTGCCTGCTGGGTTATTGGAGGTAACAAGTTTTTTGTATCTGTTTCTTTAAGAGGACTTTGTCTTACAATTTTAAGTTACTTAAGATCATTAAACAATAGACTATTATAAGGTCAATCTGGTTATTTAACCAGTTGTAACAATTAAATCTAATCAATGTCACACTTATACTGATTGTTCAGAAACTACATACTCGTGTGCTTGTAGGGAAAAAGGATTTTTATCAGTTGACTCAATGATAGCTGAAATCATGCCACCTAGAGGAAAGCTGTGGTATGTCTTAAAACTTCATACTGTTAAATTCATTAATGTATAATTTTGCATTGATTTGTTGTTACTGCACATCAAATAAAAATTAGTTTCACATAAATATTGTAAAACATGCATTTTTAGAAAAGATGCTAGATCAACAGCAATGGGATATCCTTAATTATCAAGTTTTAGTTACCTGTTATCTCCTAGGCAATAACATGATAAAAATCTAATCCTCATTTATAAAGCATAATTTGAATATCTAAATTCTTAATAGCAAAAATGTCAACCACTTACATTTATGAGTCATCTAATGTCATTAAGTAACAGAGCAGCAAATAGCCAATATATTGTATCTTAGGAATAAAAAACCAATAGCTGTATATAGTAAATTATTGGATACCACTTCAGTAGAGTAGTTCCATTTCTGCAGCATCCAGATAATTCAAATATAAAGTTTTAATTATCAGACATGCTCAGGCAAGACCTATAATGAATTATCCAGTAGCAAGTTACAGAATAAACTGACAACAACAGCCTGGGGTGATATGTTAACTCTAAATTGACACAGCCAGGAAAATTTTCACCTTCTGATTAACGGCATCTATTAATTTTTTTTAAGTACTATTTCCATTTTACTTTTCTCCAGAGGATAGTTTTGCTTCAGTCCTTAAAGACTCAGCTCCTTACATGAGCTTTGGTGCCAGCATCTGCAGGTCTAAATAGAAGTGGAGATGTTCAGTTCTTGCAGGCTTCCTGCTGTGAATGGCACAACTCACACAATAATGTAGCTTCACATACAGCTCGGGAAGCACATATGCATTGAAGACACTTGCTGCAGCCTCTACTGTGTTTTGAATAAAGAAATTCTTAATAGCCCTGTCCTTGGGCACACATGTGGCTGCCACCCTTTTTGGCATGATCATTGTTCCTTTTGTCACCTTGGAAGTGAGGACCCGAAAGAGCATGGCATCTACTACTACCTTCCATTGGCCATAGGTTTACGTCATGGTTAAATGAGACCAAAATACTGAATGCCCATTTTTCTTTCCAGAGAAGAGTTCAATTTCTAGAATCTAATTTTCTATAAGACATTAATATCTACAATGTGAGCAATCACTATTGTGTATAGCAGCTCTGTAACTCAAACCTGGATTGGACTATACTATCTGTGTGGCCTTGGGCAGGTTACTGAAACTTACTGCTTGTTTCCTCATCTGTATAATGGGGACAATAACAACATCTACCTAACAGGGTTATAAGGAAAAGGGTATGAATTAAGGGGCATTATGAAACCCTTAAATATTGTCTGGCATAAAATCAATATTGTTTAAATGTTTGCTATTATTATTACATGTTCTGTTCCAACTTTTACTTGAATAAGTGATAGAACTATGCAAAATAGGATGGTTAAAAACAAAATAGCAATGGCTTTTTTTAAAAATCAAGAAAACAGAGGTTCTCACTTAAAAATAAAGTTTTATTAATCAAAAGGCACAAGGAAACAGTGGACACATGGAAAGGGAGTCAAATTTTTTATGTTCAACATTCATTGCAGGGTAATTAGCAAAACTTAAAAGATAAAGTAGGATTCTAGCAAACAGGACTCTTCATACAGTCATCTAATACAGCTAATATCAATAATGCTCTATTAAACAGTATGTAGAGTTTGGATTCTAGAACAGAATAAGTAAGCAAAAAATAAAAACTGTTTTAGTGTCTCATTAAATGTCAGGATCATTTTTCTCAATATAAATATAAGGCCTGTCTTTTCAGACTGTCAAAAATTACATTCTTTAAAAAAAAGTCTTATTCTATTCACCTCATGCATTGTTGGCATTTAAGAAACTTATACTATCCATAATGTTTTTAATCTTACTTTTTCAGTTAACATATCATTGACACTGTGTTTTCATCAGTCTTCACAACCATCATTTTAAAAGGAATTGACAGAAGACTGGTGGTTCGATAGTTTATGTAAATGTCCTCATATCACTGAACTTGTAAGTTTTAAAAAATTTCTTGCTATTAAAAACAATTCTATATAATACTGTTCACACAGCATTTTCTGTCATCAGAATCTTTTCCTGAGGAAGGTTTCCAGAAGTAGAATTGCTGGGCCTCAATAAGCACCTACCACCTGTTAGACTTTAAATTTTTGTTGGGGGGAATTCTATCTAGAAAAGGAAGACTCAGAATTACATAGATGAGAAATGAATGGAAACCTATAGGTGCAGCACCTAATCCTCCAAATGCATAAGAGAGAACATCTCTTGACACGCTACTACATAACAGGCACTGTGCTAGATAGACACTGCATACATTAATCCAATCTTTACACCCTGAACTATATATTATTGTATCTGATTTACATGCTAGCCTTACAAAGGTTAAGAAACTTACACAAGGAAACAAAACTAGTAGGACTCAAAACTGAACTCTGAACTCAGTTGTGATTCCAAAATTATGCTGTCTCTCATCTAACAACGAACACTGGTATTTCTTAAAATGTCCAGTGTAAATATAACTTTACTGGTTATTAAGGAGTATATTTGGGAATCCTAGTAAGGACCAAGATACGGCAGTCATGTCTCATGCAATCTACCCTGGTGTTCCTGGCATTTGTAGAGAAGGATATCATCACATTGAACCTTTTGGACTTTGAGCTTTTATATTTATAATATACTTAAGAGAACCCAGTGTTGCTGTACAAAGACAAATATTATTGTGTAGAAACAGTCTTGATGTTATGCTTGGTACTTCTCAGTATTTCAGGGCAACTGCTGAGTCTGGCTGCTGCACTGTTTTCAGAGCTGATGTCAATCTATTGTTTATGTCCTGTCCATGGGAGGGATACATTTTTACCTAAGATTGAAGTCTGGTTCTGCAAATGCAAAGAGGCAACTGTCTGGTAGCCTGAGGGTGAATCAACAGCTGCAAGGCCACCCACGCATAGGGACACAGCTCTCAGCTGTCTCTCCATTTAGAGCCCCAGTTGGTCCTGACCTCTTACAAATTTGGTGTTTTCACTTTGATGTTTATGAACCGATTGCATTAAAAATGCAGGATAATGATTCAGGGTTAGAGAAACTATTATTTATACAAATGTGGTTAACACCTCATCATTTTAAATTGGCTGTGCTAATAATGCTCATTGTGCTCTTCAGGGTTTTGTGTGTGTGTGTGTGTGTGTTTTGCCTGAATCTGCAACCTACATTTGCTCTGGCAGTATGTTGAGTATATGCTAGAATAGAATGGACCTAGGCAACTCTAAGGTCCTACAACTAAATACACTTACTTAGGAAACCTCCTAAATAAGTAGGCCTCTAGATATAAGTGAAAAACATGGGAATTCACTCCTTACATGGTGGTATCTGTTGCTCCGGCAGTTCTCAAAATGTCCTTTTGGTGCATCATAAACCCATTCTTTTAGAGAACAACAAAAATATTTAAGGTTTGGTGCATTAATTCTGAAAGCCTCAGATGATAAATAATGCTAAAAAACCAAATGCTATTTGTTATTAACTAAGTGGCTTAACATTTAAGGACAATGGTTACCCTACAATACAAGTTAATTATAAAGAAACATATCTTTTTAAAAATATAAATACTGAAAAAAAAGTCAACAATAATTCAATCAATAAAATTTCACCAGTATTTGTATATGCCTAAATTATATCAATAAAAGTTTATGGAAAAAGCTTAAGACAGATTTACAATTCCCAAATTCACTGTTGTTTCATTAGACTAGATAGATGCTCTGTAGCTTTATTCTCTTCATAGTTGGGATAGACCCACTAGCCACGTGTAACTTTTAAAATTTAAAGTAATTAAGTAAAATTAAAAATTTAGTTCCTCTGTATCACAAGCCACACGTGAAATGCTCAGTAGTCACCTCTGCGAGTGGCTACCATATTGAACAGCACAGACATAAATTATTTCCATCATCAAAAAAAGTCCTATTGACAGCAATGATTTAGACTTTTAGTCCCTATAATTTTAATATAAAGTATTATGCCCACTCTTCTAACATATATCCTTGCTTGCCTTACTCAGTTGAAAACCAAAGAGTGTTTAACAGAAAGCTGAATATGTGCTCCTCCCACTGAAGGAGAGGGCAAAAAGGAGGGAGAAGAAAGGTGAGCAATGTTGGAACAGGTATTTTAAGAAAGCAAATTTAAATTTAAAAGGTTTACCGCATCTCTAGGTAAAAAGTCCTAAATACTAACTCCCTGAAATTATGTTCAGTAGACTAGGTAAAAAATATTAATATTGCTCTCTAAGCTAGAAAACACTCTAAATTTAGAGAATCTAAAATTATTTAAGAACTGTTAGAATATATCTTCCATCTATATAATTATGATTATTCATTCTAACTTAGCATTTTATTAAAACATTAATCACAATTCTAAATGTCTTGTCAACCACCTCAAACATTCTACTTCTAAATCTATTCACAGATTCCCTTGACTAATATGTTTAATCAAATTTCAGAAAAGCTCGCCCACTGAAAAAATTTACCAGGACTACCAGTGCTGCAACAGTCAGTAAGATTCAAATACCCAGCTGGCCAAAATTCAGACTCCTGTTTTCTTGGGGAAGGAGTGAGAGAGCTTTTTATAGGCACGAAGTAGTTCTCTCTCCTGTTTCCAAAATTTGCTCTCACTGCCAATTCACCTCAAATAGTCTTCATACCCATAATATCTACAGGGCTTATAGCGTCTATACCATATCAGTGACATGCAGAGTGGAGATAAATGTCAATCACATTGATCCTAATAGATGAATTTGAGGGAAGAACAGAATGAATTCTGCTTTGGTCAACTGGAAAAAATGTTTCCAAATAAAAACAAAGTTAACATTATCAATAAAGTATTGACAAATTATAATATTCACAGCTCTACATAAACTTCATCAGTCAACTTTCCTTGAAGTTAAATTCCTTCAAGTTAGCACATTAATGGAGACATAGAAGGAAATGGGAGGAAAACATAAGAGGTTTCCCAGAATTTATACGTCCCTTTCTTCACCCATCTGTTTTAAAAGGCAAAAAATATTTTATTTTAAAGAAATTGGATTGCCTTCAAATAGACCTTTGAGAACCTCCTACTGAGTGACTTTAGGCTCTAAGTACTAGTGGTAACCCTCTGAACTGTTCTATCCAAAGGGTTTCCAAGGTATATTTTGCAATCAATTGAATAATGTTTGAGCAATGCAGAATTCTAGGTAATTTGAAAATAAATTCAGTGCTCCAACTCCATTATAAAAAGTGCTAAACTACTAAGATAATTCTATTTTCAGTCCTAATCAGGTATTATCATTGGCTTTCAAATTCTGATGCTTAAAAATAACAACCAATGCTAAACTATGATAAATACTAAGAACATCAACCCCAGCCATCCAAGTATCTAGAATATTCTATATATGAAATAAGGAAATAAGATAATTATTTCTATATATGAAATAAGGAAATAATACTTCCAAATTATTGGTTCCTATTTTCCATAGTTCTTTCTAACCGAAGATAAGTAACCTACTATATTATTCTAAGTAGTTACCAAAAATAAAATCCTAGGTGTTATGTTTAAATAAATGGGGAGGCAGGAATTGCAGTTTTCTTTCCCCTCGTTAAAAAATTCAAAGACAGGTGGTATGGTGGCTCACACCTGTAATCCAAGCACTTTGGGAGGCAAGAGGCGGGGGGATCCCTTGAGCTCAGGAGTTCACAACCAGCCTGGGCAACATGGGGTAACCCCATCTACATCAAAAAGACAAAAAATTAGCTGGGCATGGTGGTGCACACCTGTAGTCCTAGCTACTTGGGAGGCTGAGGTGGGAGGATAGCTGGAACCTGGGAGGTGGAGGTTGCAGTGAGCTGAGATTGCACCACTGCACTCCAGCCTGGGTGACAGTGTGAGACCGTCTCAAAAACAAACAAACAAAAACCACAAAGACAATGTAGAAAGATGAAATACACTCGGATTATTTATCTGATTGATATCAGAATAATTTAAATGTTGTAGGTAAAATATTTAGAATAGGGGTGACAGAACTACTCAAAACATTCACTTAAGATACACAATTAGTTTCTAAAATATGCACATTCCTGGTTTCATATTTATACATATGGTATTTTGCTTAATACCCAAGATGCAAAAATACGAATACATAGAAGATATCAAATCTATATGATAAAAATTGTCATATAATTTATATATACTTCATAGCCTTCTAACAGAAGTGATACATTTTTTTTTTCCTGATAGTGGCAACTCAATTTTTCTTTGGAATAAAATAATTTTGGAACGAAGGAAATCTGCAAATATTCTCGTCCTTACTTTCAATGTGAAGATCTTGTCAAATTTTTTCAAATCAAATGAGGGACTATAAAATATGTTTCAAAACATTTTAGTAAATAAGGTATTTATCCGTATCTATCATGTGAATGTACTATTCAGAAAAATTCCTGCAAAACTCTAGTATAACGCAGAAACACATTAAATTAAATTAAGTGTAATCTTAGTTCTGGGGAGAAAAATGTGTTTAAGTTGCTGCACTTTTTTTTTTTTTTTTTCAAAATTGTGTGTTTGTTAAGTCATATTGAAATATGTATCTGTATTAAGTTATAGCAGGATATTTAGTTCTCCTGTATTACTACTGAGGTATATTTGTTCACATTTATTTATACTGAAAGACACTAATGTTCAAAAGTTAGAATAAATACAAAAATGCATCTTGTACTTTGCTGTTTTAACCACTTGATACCTTAGGTGTACATCTTCCTTTATGATAACAAATACCAGGCCACAGACTGATTCAGCTTTAGTCATATAATACTGTAACACTCAAATGGGTTTCAAAATATAAACATCTCTGCTCTTGGATAGTTTTTTTGGGGGGGATTATCCTTCAATACATAACAGATGCAAGTATGTGCAACTGGGTGGTAGGAGGGAATTATTTTTATTATGAAAAGGGATGGATCCTTTTCAAAAAGGGACAGATCATATTTATTAAAAATAATTCCCTTAAAAACTTTAGATCTTGGGCCACATTTCACAAAAATTTTGGAATGATATTAAACAGTCTTTCCTCTTTTTAACAGCTGGATACTAAAAGTCACCCAATTTAATAGCCTTTAAGGCAATAATATGGAATCAAGTCTCAAATTGGATGCAATATTCTGCTGCAGATTACTTGTTGTCTAAGTGCATCAATTCACTGGTTGGGCAGTCCATAAAAAAGAATTTAAGCTAACTCAAATATTTGGGAGGAAAAAAAAGAAGAGAGAGACTAAAGCATGTCAAACTTGCTTCCTGAGAAATTGTCTCATTGCATAAGTTAAGCATGAGAATTTCCACCTCTGTAAATCTCTCATGCAAAAATAGGCTAACACCTAAAATAAATCTGTCATTATTTATATTATTTAATAAATGAAAGGAAATAAAATAAAAGTTGAAATCTGGGCCGGGCGCAGTGGCTCACGCCTGTAATCCCAGCACTTTGGGAGGCCGAGGCGGGTGGATCACGAGGTCAGGAGATTGAGACCATCCTGGCTAACATGGTGAAACCCCGTCTCTACTAAAAATACAAAAACAAAAAATTAGCTGGGCGTGGTGGCAGGCACCTGTAGTCCCAGCTACTTGAGAGGTTGAGGTGGGAGAATGGCGTGAACCTGGGAGGCGGTGCTTGCAGTGAGCCGAGATCACGCCACTGCATTCCATCCGGGGCCACAGAGCAAGACTCCGTCTCAAAAAAAAAAAAAAAAAAAAAAAAAAAAAAAAAAAAAAAGTTGAAATCTGTTGTTTCTTAAATCATATCTTCCAGATTACCTAAAACTAAAATCACGACCCAAAATCTGAAAAACTATAATTTTAAATTTTATTATATAGGTTTTCTCAATAACTTCCCAACACAAAGCAAAAAACACCAACCATTCCCAAAAACTACAGATACATAGTTGAGTCTATAAGTTAGAAGGCAGAAAAATATTAACTTCAAAGAGTTTAATGATGAATTAGTACTGTATTTCTGAAAACATTGGTGATACTGAAATAATACACCAATAGACATGACCAATATGATCCTGGCAAAATGCACATCTCGCTGGTCAAGCAGAAATATATCCTTTTACAAATGTTCTGAGGAACAATGCTTAAAATTATACAAGGGTTTAAAATATAATTTTAATGAAGTATATATAAAGTGTACATGAAAAGGGGAAATATGAAATCTGGCAAAAGTCTTTTGGCTTTCTTACAAATGGTATCCTTATAATTCCCCAACTATCAGAGGATGACATATTTTTCTAGAAAAAATAAAACGACTGCAATTGTATTTCCTATGATGCTTTATGTATCAGAGTCACTTGCAGATTCTGGTCTGCTGTCATCTGGCCCATCACTTTCCTTGTCCCAGTCTTTCATAGATGCTCCCATCATGAAATCATCACGTAGGATCGTCCAACCTGGGCCTTCTTCTGATTTCACTTCAGTCTAAGGAAAATTATAGAATCAAAATATTCAAAAGTCAATTCCATCATAAGGAAACAAAAAGGTACAAGCTACAAAACAAACTTTTCAATGCTTAGTTTTTAAAATAGGGGTAAAACCAAGAGAAATTATAAATCGACTTACTTTATACACTATGATTATACTATGATTATATATGTACA
Source organism: Homo sapiens (assembly GCF_000001405.40). Lineage (NCBI taxonomy): Eukaryota > Metazoa > Chordata > Mammalia > Primates > Hominidae > Homo > Homo sapiens. Next base: position 218,330,768 of record NC_000001.11, on the reverse strand, counting down.
AATGTATAATAAAGAACTAAACATTAATAAAATATTGTATGGACTCCATAAAAGAAACATGAAAGCAAAATAAAAAAATTTTTTTGAAGTGAGGGAAAAAATATAAATCTAGGTTTGGTATTAATTTTTTAAGCACTTCTGACAACAAAAAACAGACTTACAATACTATTTAACCTTCAGTGATAATTTACTAGAAAATTTTGGGCAAATTATTTCACCGCAACTGACAATTTAACAAAGGCATTTAACCCAAAGTAAATTAAAAGTGGGAAAAAGAAACTACATTGGTACTATGCTAGGTTTTTTAAGATGCCATCTCACTTAATGTTTTTATAAAAATTTGAACCAAATGTTCTTTATTTAGGTTATGAGCTCACTGCCTGACCCAATCATGTAATCAAAGACTAATCGTATGTTGAAATTATAAATAAATGAAGCAGGCAATAAACATAATAGGTAGTCAATTCGTTTCATTTAGTCACAGGATTTATGTGGTACTAATTACAGCCTTTCATTTCATGGTACAACAGTACCACCTTGTGGTATCAATTAAGTAATACAATAGATGCAGCACTCAAAATTTTTCATTCCTTCCACAAATATTTATTGAGAATTAGCTGTGTATCAAGCACTATGTTAGAAACATAGTGATGAACAAAACGAAGTTCCTGTTTTCAGGGGGCTAACAGTCTATGCATATCTATTTATGTCAATCACAGAAATACAAAATTTTGTAAAAACCTAAGGTACAAGAACCCATGACATTTGGTTAGAAAACAGTGTTATCATTATGCTGTCATTAACTACATAAAAACAGTTTAAAATATAATATATATTAAAGATATTTGCTGGGTTACAAGAGATTACTTACCTAACTGCTATAGCTTCCCTTTATTTAAAAAAAGATAGCCCTGAAACATTCATTCCATTTAAAAAAAAAAAAATTGACCACTATTACAAGCAAATAGGAAAACTGTCCTATTGGCTCACTCTTGTCTTCTTGAGGTCAAAATATCAAGCAGAGCTTGTGCTTAAATATAACTTGAAGACTGAATGGGATATAAATGTAAGCAAAGATTTCAGAACTGACTTCGTATATCAAACATCAGCACACTTTTTACTATAATTTACCCAACATACAGAAATAAATAAAAAACATCTGTGCTATTTAAAAACCAACATAAAACAGTTCCAATGCTTCTCACGTCACACTGATAGGAGAACAATAACGTAGGAAGATAACTGGAGTATATTAACAACTTTTCATTTATTTCTACAATATCAAACCTACTCTTAAAACTGAAATTCTACTTCTATTAGATTGTTAGCTAGCTGGATAAAAGGCCATTTTCCCTGATTTTCACTCTGTCACCCAGGCTGGAGTGCAGTGGCGTTATCATGGCTCACAGAAGCCTCGACCTCCCAGGCTCAAGTGATCCTCCCACCTCAGCCTCCAGAGTAGCTGGGACTACAGGTGCACACCATCATGCCTGGCTAATTTTTTTTTTTTTTTTTTTTTTTTTTTTTTTTTGTAGAGACAGGGTTTTGCCATGTGGTCCAGGCTGGTTTCGAGCTCCTGGGCTCAAGCAATCCACCTGCCTTGGCTTCCCAAAGTGCTGGGATTATAGGCAAGAGCCACCACACCCAGCCAACCCAGGTTTTCTTTAAATAAAAAACTGATGTTCACAGTGAACAAAAATCCACTTAGAACCAACAATTATAACACCTCTCCTGTCAAAGTAAGAATTCAAAGCTTTCAATTAAATTCGGAAAAGTGTATAGCCATATCAAAATTGCTGACTAGCAAAGACCTATCCTGCCTTTGATATTTGAGTTTACATATGAACAAGTACAATCTCAGTGTGAAGCCTCTATGTTAGGCAAGTACACCCAATATGCCATCAACACGTTACCGAAAGAGCACACTGATCCCATGTGACTGACTCAACACAGAGTGTTTCTACAAGAGAGCTCACCCTGACAACCAACCTCTAGTTGGACTGAGCTACTCCTCTACTCCTCTCCTAGGTAGCATCAGAAAACCCGCAGGCAACAGAAGAACGAAGAAGAAAAGGGAACATGGAAAAAAAAATTTTTTTTTTTTTTGAGACGGAGTCTCGCTCTGTCGCCCAGGCTGGAGTGCAGTGGCGCAATCTCGGCTCACTGCAAGCTCCGCCTCCCGGGTTCACGCCATTCTCCTGCCTCAGCCTCCCGAGTAGCTGGGACTATAGGCACCTGCCACCATGCCTGGCTTATCTTTTTGTATTTTTAGTAGAGATGGGGTTTCACCATGTTAGCCAGGATGGTCTCAATCTCCTGACTTCATGATCTGCCCGCCTTGGCCTCCCAAAGTGCTGAGATTACAGGCGTGAGCCACCGTGCCCAGCCCACAAAACTTTAAACGTGTATTTCAGAAAGAAAGGAACAATAGTAGACCAAAGGAAGGAATTCACTAATTAAAATGGTGACACCAACTATATTGCATGCTTGTCTTGAAAGATGATTGCTGTAAACATGTATTTTAGGCAAGAAGAGCAACAACAGACTAAGTACAACGTTTTACTCAATTGTCCAACGTAAAGAATAACAGGAAGAGCTTTACAGGGGGATTTTGGTGATGTTTTTGTTTCTTGGTTTCAAGGATCAATATAGTCTGTATCAGTGATTCTTAAAGTGTGATCTTTACACCAGCAGCATTATCTGCATAACTTGAAAATATGTTATTAGCAATTCAAAATCTCGAGGCCTGTTAAATCAGAAACTCCAGGCATGGGGCCTAGCAATCTGTTTTTATAAGCCAGTCAGTGATTCCGGTGCATGTTAAAGATAATTATTTATTTGCTTTACATAAACAAACATTTTTTCTTAGTGATGGTTTTTGTTCACTGCTATAAGACCAAGTACACTTTATGGCTGAGAGGGAAAGATTTTAGAAAATCTAATATTCGATTTTGTAAATCTAATGTAAAATTCAGCACTGTATGCCTTAAGTATGGACATCATTCAAGCTAATCATTACAGTAGCATTTTTACACTGTGAAGCAACAATTTGGAAAAAAAAGACACAATAGAAAATTTATAAAAACAAGTGTTGTTAACACATTTTAAAAACAGGTATGTTAGATGGCATCTGTCAAGATGGCAGCTCAAGAAAACCTTGTTTAAGGCCAGGCGTGGTGGCTCACACCTGTAATCCCAGGAGTTTGGGAGGCTGAGGCGGGCAGATCACTTGAGGTCAGGAGTTTCAGACCAGCCTGGCCAACATGGTGAAACCCCGCTTCTATTAAAAATACAAAAAATAGCCTACGCATGATAGCACAGGCTTATAATCCCAGCTACTGGGGAAGCTAAGGAGGGAGAATCACTTAGGAGGAGGAGGTTGCAGTGAGCCGAGATCACACCACTGCACTCCAGCCTGAGCGACGGAGTAAGACTCTGTCTCAAAAAAATAAAGAAAACCTTGTTTTAAAGGCAGCAGAATGACTCTTTAAATTCTAATCCCTACATTTGCTAAAGACACACGTAGAAAGAAAAAAGGCAGAGGGCCCATGCTAAAGTGGCAGTTTGAACATAAACAACTAGTCTTGCTCAACTGCTATATTCAATAAAACTACAGAAAAGTGATTTGTTGTTTTAAAGACATAACTCAGAAGGTCAAGATCAGAAAAGACAATATCAACACAATTTTGAAGGTGAAGGAGATGGACCAGAAGACACCAGGAAAGTTAAATCCTAAGACTGCAACTATCACACTGACAAAACCAACCCTATTTACACTGCAGAATCTGCAAAAGAAACAGAAACTGGCAGTATGTATCAGGGACTTCTGGAAGTTAAGGGTTGAAGTGGAAGAACCAAAATAAAAAGCACTGGGGTGAAAGGTATGCTTTGAGAAACATTTAGTGCTCTACTTCCCCATCCCATTCCACAATAACCTGGCATAATACCTGGAGGTTTAAATTCTGAAGAGGTAATGGGCTTGCACAGATGAAAGCATAGGTATAGAACCAAAAATGGGATTAAGTTACACACACACACAGCAACCAGATATTGAATCCCAGCTCTCTTCTCACACTGGGCTCCCAAAATGCTGGTACGCAGACCTTTTTCTTCTAAGTAGGAGACTGGAAGAGTTACTTTATTGAAAACCTGACAAGTTGCTAATAAATTCACCCAGAGAACCCTACAGTGAAATTTAAGGTGGATGACACCCATATATTCATAGCTTCCAGTTGAATTTTTTGGTCTATTTGTTCTAATCATGAACACACAACTAAGGATTATCAGAAAGAAGAGAACAATGCAAACACAAAATTTAAAAAACGACTTGTAGGAACAAAAATCTCAAGAGAAAAAAATTTAGGGAAAAATATCATCAACATCCTCAAAGAGTTAAAATATATTGCATCCATAAAATCAGAACAGTTGTTATTTGATTTCACCTTGTTTATTTATTATTTTTGAGATGAAGTTTCACTCTTGTTGCCTAGGCTGGAGTGCAATGGTGCATTCTTGGCTCACTGCAACCTCCACCTCTTGGGTTCAACCGATTATCCTGCCTCAGCCTCCCGAGTAGCTGGGATTACAGGCACCTGCCACCACGCCCAGCTAATTTTTTGTATTTTTAGTAAAGATGGGGTTTCACCATGTTGGCCAAACTGGTCTCAAACTACTGACTTCACGTGATCCACCCACCTTGGCCTCCCAAAGTGCTAAGATTACAGGCCTGAACCACCACACTCGGCCAACAGTTGCTATTTTAAAAGAAACATTAGGAGAATAACAAAGAGCTTAAAATTAAAAATATGGTGGAAGAAACAAAACAAAAAACCACATTATAAAAGTCAGAAGATAACGCTGAGGAAATTGCCCAGAAAATAGACTAAAAGAAAAGAGATGAAAAATGGAAGAAAAAGATAACTGGAGAACCAGTCCAAGAGGCCCAGTATGCAAATAATAGGAGTTCTACAGACAGAGAAAAAATGTACAGGAGGAAATTAATAAAATACTTTAACAAAATTTCCCAGTGAAGGACACACATTTCCAGATTAAAACCAGCCCTCGAGTGTCCAGGACACAATGAGAATATTATTGTAAAACTTCAGGACAACAGGAACTAAAAGAATATCCCATAAGCTTCCAGGAAAACAAAAGTCACATGCATACCAATAATCAGAAATCGAAAGATTCAGATTTTCCAGTAGCAATATTGGAAAGCAAGGAAGCAATAGACAAATACTTTCAAAATGTCAAAGGAAAATAATATCCAACCTAAAATTCAATATTGAGACACATTATTATTGAAATGTGAATACTGAACAGAGGTATTTTCAGACATACGAGGTCCCCAAAAGTTTACTTCCAATGCAGCCTTTCTCAGGACACTGAGGATGTTCTCCATAAACAGATGGAGTAAAACAAAAAGAAGAAAACATGGGATAGAGAAAATAGGAGTCCCACCAAAGGAAAAAGAAGGAAACAGCCAGGATGAGAATGAATGGAGATTCCAAAATAACAACTACACATCACGCATGAAGGACAACCTGCAGCCAAGTGACTCCGTGGGACGGCATGCTGAAAGCGGTCATCACCATGACATCTGTCACTGTATGTTATTTTAACTTGACAAAACCGCTGGAGAATATGCTTTACCAAAAGAGTGAGAGTGAACCAAGAAAAAAAGGAAGATCCAAGAACCCAGACATAGGGAATTCAATCCAGAAGAAATTCCAAGGATCAAAGAAAATTTAAGTCCCAGATGACAAGAGTGAAGCAACCCAAGAAAGCAATCAGGGGATACAAAGGAAAATAGAGGCCTCTAGGAAAGAATATCTCAGAGAAAATAATTAAAATAGATACATCACTTCAGATCATTTGACTTCAAAAAACTAAATTAATAAAGGAAATTAAATATGAAAAGTCAAGACAATGATTAACTTCAGGAAAAATAGAAAGGAAACATATAAATATGGAATATTACAACATTCAGCTGTAAATAATTTTTTCACACGAATAAGAAATGCTGAATACTGACAACTATAATTGTAAACTACATTGAGTGGCCAAAGGAGAAGAGACTGTGTAAGATAATTAAATCTTTGCCTACTAAAACAGAAAACTAATAGATAATGCCTCAAACTGATTAATCAAAAGATACGACTACACATATGCACATGAGTTAGTGATGGCAGTGGCCGACCATCCGGAGTGGCTGCTGCCATCACACCAGTTGCAGCAGGGAGGTGCAGGCGGTGGTAGCAGGAGCGGAAGCAGCAGTGGCGGCGCTGGAACCCTTGTGCCCCGCGTCCCTGAGGCAGATAATTGTGTCACACCCACGCTCACACAGGCAGGCAGGACCCACTCCCAGGCCCGGAGCCTCTGCCATGGCCTCAACCTCACTGCCGGCCGCGTCTTGGGAACCCGCGAGTACCCGGCCGAAGGTGCAGGCAAGACTCAAGGGGCCAGCCCCCAGAGCGTCGGGTTCATTTGTGCGGGGTTGGCAGGGGCCATGCCACCTGCACCTCCCCTGCAGCTGCTGCTGCAGGGAAAACATGGAGTAGGCACCAGTTCCCAGGCCCGCTCCTGGGAATCACAGCGATGGGGCCAGACTAAGTCACCCGCCAGCAAAGGAGCAGCACAGTCAGGCACGGAGGGGCAGGCTGAGAGGGGCCAAGAGGAGGACTTGGGCCTGGGACGGTGCCAGGCTCCACAGAGCTGGTGGGAGTTGGGAGCAGGCAGAAGCCCCGCCCTCGCAGGAATAGCTGCAGCAACCCAAGTCCCGGCTGCAGACCTAGGTATGGCTGCACTCTGGAGTGGAGGGGGCCAGGAAGGCGCCCCCTGCCCCTGCAGGCTCGGAAGTATCTTCTCCCACTGCCCGGTTTCTCCCCGCTCCCAGTGCCCGCTCTGATCTCAGAGCAAGGTTGGAGCGGAACCCGGGCACTGTTACAGCCCAGCTGGGTATACGCACACTGGGGGCAGCGCTGACATGCCAGGCCCCTGCCCCCTTGGCCCCCTCCGGACTTTGGGTGCCAACAAGCATGAGAGGGAGGCCGAGGTGGGGCTAAGGGCAGCTCAGCATTGACCTGCAGGCACTCCTTGGCCAGAACAGTCTGGGCGCCATGAGCAGTGGCAGGAAGCAGACAGGCTTCTGGGTAGAAGGGGGAGGGTCCCCGGTGAGGCCCCACCTTCAGGCCAGGGAGGGCCCGAAGCCTGGGGACCGGGCTGCCAGTCCTGGGGACCAGAGTGGGAACTTGTAGTGCTTTTTCTGGGCCCATCCACGGTAGCCCATGGACCAATTGGTACTCAGTTCCTCTCCTCTAAGGCCCATAAAAAGCCCCGAACTCAGCCAGACCCAGAGACAACAAGACCACCAGCTGCAGCGAGGAGCTATCCACCCCAGGGTCTCCTCTGTTCTATCGCTCAATAAAGCTCCTCTTCATCTTGCTCATCCTCCACTTGTCTGTGTACCTCATTCTTCCTGGATGCAGCACAAGAACTCGGGACCTGCCGAACGGCGGGGCTAAAAGAGGTGTAACACAAACAGCGCTGAAATATGTCCCTTGCTCACCACGTTGCAGGTGACAAGGAAAGAAGAAGGAGAGAAGAGCTGCAGCCCTTCGGGAAGCCCAGACCTAGGAGCTCCCTGAGCCAGGGCTGTGACACCTCTTTAGGGCTCTGCAGTTACTGGCATCTCCAAGCTTCCAGAACGCCACGACGTTCCCTGGTGTCGGCCATGGAAGCTGCTTACAGTACACCTGGTCCAGCTGCAGCCTCGCAAGTAGCCGGCGCCCATGCCATTGCCGGGAGCTATGGACCCTGCCGCAGCTGGCATGCCTGGCTGTGTTCAGTGGCAGGACCCCACTCTCGCTCATACATCCCTCGCTCTTGGCAGGCATGGGATCCAGGCTGGTAGCACGAGCCGAGCGCAGACTGCCAGGCTGAGTGGGCAAAACGAGCCCATAGGACCGAGCAAAACAGGCAAAGGCACCACTGGTCACAGAGGTTTCCAGCTGGTGAAGCGACACCCAAGGATCCTGTAACATTAAGAATACAGAGATGTATAAATGCCAGCAGGACTAGCTAGAGAATTAAGAATTAGTTGCCCCTGAGATAGGAGCTATGAAGAGTAGGCAGAATGGGGTGGAAAACAACTTTATTTTATAATAAACGTTTATGGCAAAATGTGGCTTTTTAAACTACATGTATAAGTAAAGAATTTAAAAAAAAAGGGACAGCAAGAAACAGAAAAAAAAAAAAGTACACCTAAACCATTTCCACAAATCCTAAGTTTCCCAAGCTTTTTTCTACCAAGATCGTCCCAAAAATATCCTAAGAAATCCTTCTAGTTTTATTAACAATGATGATTCTGTTTTACTTCCTAACAATAAATGAAAAAGGGTCAAACACAATAAGTATACTATGAACTCATTGTGTGCCAAGCACTTTATATAATATTGCCTTATTTCTAATTCTCTTAAGATTCCTGGCCAGATAGCAAGTATCATGCTTACCTTATAAGAAAACTAAGGCTCAGAGAAGTGAAGTAATTATTCAAGTTCAGAGTTAATAAAGAGCTGAGTCTATACCCAAACACAGATCCATTTGATTCCAAAGCCCATGTTCTTTCCACAACACTAAACTTCTCTAAAACTTAACTGATGATATGAACACAATACAGTAATATACTGTGTTCTTATATAACCTGTTATAACCTATGAATGAGGACTAAAATACATGCAAAATGCTGAATATGCTTAAGGTAATTTCCATAAAAGATTTGGAGTAAATTACATTACACACTGGATTGACATAATTTCAATTTGCTATATCTTTTCCATAAATATGATTTACCATTAAGTATAAAAACTTCTTAAATACTTGGAGCACCCACACAAAAAAAAGGTAGATCAAAGATTAATATAAGAAAAAAGAAAAAAAAAAGCCTGAGGCAAATTCTAAATGTGTCATTCATCGGAAAAGCTTGCTTGGGGTGATCCCTGAATAGATTTCATTAAATGTTAAGACATCCTGAGAATGAAGGGTTTTTTGTTTTGTTTGTAAAAGAGAAGTAGCAATTTGGTATATTCTTTTTATAAAAGGAATAAAAAGAGAGTTCTGGATTTGAATCTTAGATAAGCCATTGACTCCAGTACTGCAAATTAGAAAGTTTTAGAGGTACAGGCCTTGAAAGAAATAAAAAATTTATTATTTTTTATTAACTGGTTATAGCTATAAGATAAAGTTAACCATACTGTACATGTTAGACATAGGTATTTACTATCATAGATGGAAGCTGTGTTAGCTGTTAAACATAACTAACTGTAATATAAATCGTAAAGTATAAACTGAAATAACCAAACTTTTATCAACTTACGGAGTCTTTCAGTGTTGCTGCAAGGCAGCACTGATTCAAAGACTTAAAGCAACCTATACAACTCTTTCTGCTTATATCAAATGAAAAGTAAAAGTGACTAAATGCAAGAACTTAACGAAAACTGCATGATGCAAGGAAACAAACAGTCCCCACCTTCCTTGGCCTAGTTTTATACAAATATTGAATTGAAACCATACAGAAGCAGTCTGTGTCCATTTTGAAGGTGAAGACAACCCTTAAAAATGTTAATCAGCTTTCATTTCAAAGCGCAAACATACATTGGCAGCCACTGAACACTGAAAAAGAAGGTTTGGAATTACACATTCATCTCACACCAATGAGATGGTTAACTTCATTTCATTTGCTGGGGTGGGGGATAATTAAAATCAAACCATAAAGAAAGAAACAATATAGTCTCATCTATATTTAGTAATCAACAATAGTTGATTTCATTGCTTTCCCTAACAAGAAAGTTCAGTTTTCATTTTAACTCAGTTTCACCTAAATTTTAAAAAGTTCTTAACATTGACTAAATTCATCTTAATATCTTTGTTGTTAAAAATTTTCAGTAAGCTATTTGCAATTGTAGTTAAAAACATACTTTATGGATTCAATTTTTTTCGCCCACTGATTTTTTTTTTGTTTTGTTTTAATTTCATTTACGGCCCCTGAGATAGGAGCTATGAAGAGTGTGCAGAATGGGGTGGAAAACAACTTGATTTTATAATAAACGTTTATGGCAAAATGTGGACATATGTACCCACTACATATGTCCTTGTTCAAAGCGGTTCTATTTGGTGGTTTCTATTATTATACATCTTGTTATCCATACATTTAGTTCTTAATTCAACATTGATTTTCCTCAACATTTAAATTATCTTAAGAACTCTAAGTAAGTTAAAGTTAACTAAGGTGACCAAGCCAAATGTCCAACAATGATAGACTGGATCAAGAAAATGTGGCACATATACACCATGGAATACTATGCAGCCATAAAAAATGATGAGTTCATGTCCTTTGTAGGGACATGGATGAAACTGGAAATCATCATTCTCAGTAAACTATCGCAAGAACAAAAAACTAAACACCGCATGTTCTCACTCATAGGTGGGAATTGAACAGTGAGAACGCATGGACACAGGAAGGGGAACATCACACTCTGGGGACTGTTGTGGGGTGGGGGGAAGGGGGAGGGATAGCTTTAGGAGATATATCTAACGCTAAATGATGAGTTAATGGGTGCAGCACACCAGCGTGGCACATGTATACATATGTAACGAACCTGCACATTGTGCACATGTACCCTAAAACTTAAAGTATAATAATAATAAAATAAAAGAAAAAAAAAGAAATAAAACATAGTAAAAAAAAAAAAAAACCTAAGGTACCTGAAAAGTCAAATGTAACACTTCAGGGAGCCTTTTGACAGTGCTCTATTCATTTTCATAGTAAATTAGTTGTTTGAAATATTCAGATACACTCTGCCAATTAGTCTCTTAAAGCACATTTTATCTGCTATATTATATAGCATATAAATGAAAATCCAGATTTATAAAAAATTAGCAGAGCTGTGAATTCAGCTGAAAAATAGATACCAACGTCTTCCTGATATCACAAATTTGCTAAAAAGCTTACATAAGAAAACATATGTAAAAGTGCTTTGCAAAACTATGAAATGCTATATAAACAAAACAAAGCTGCATCTAGTAAGGAATATGCACACTATAAATCTACTGAACTCAACAAACAATTTAGAAATAAATAGATTGGTCCCATCAGACCCCTTTGGAGAAACAGGTGATTCTAGGTCTGGGACACAGAAAGCACAAGGTTTGGGCTGGACATCCTGTCCCAGAATGCAAGGAATCACTCAAAGAAAATGAGGTCATGCCAAAAGGACACATGAGCCAGTTTACACAGGTTCTCACAGCCACATTTGCAAACTTAAGCAACAAAAAGTATAATGACACTCATTGACTGTAAACACTGAATAAAAATCCCTATGTCCATGACATTTTAAAAAGACAAACAAGCCGGGCACAGTGGCTCACGTCTGTAATCCCAGAACTTTGGGAGGCTGAGGTGGGTGGATCACCTGAGGTCAGGAGTTTGAGACTAGCCTGGCCAACATGGTGAAACCCCATCTCTACTAAAAATACAAAAATTAGCTAAGCGTCGTGGCGGGCGCCTGTAATCCCAGCTACTCAGGAGGCTGAGGTAGGAGAACCACTTGAACCCGGGAGGTGGAGGTTGCAGTGAGCCGAGCCGAGATTGCACCATTGCACTCCAGCCTGGGTGACAAGAATGAGACTCCATCTCAAAAAAAAAAAGACAAAAGAAAAAAGAAGAGACTGGAGGTGACTATTAAACTCCTTACTCTGGAAGACCATAATTAAAAGGGATGAAACAACCCCCATCTTTAGGAACTTTAATTCATCTCTTGAAAAGTGTCAGCTAATAAATTAGAAAACAAATGAGAAAATCACCATTCTGTAACCTCAAGTCACTTAACTGTTTTAGGCAAGGATCACTAATTGATGGTAAAAGGCAAAAGATGGAGACAGGTACACTTGCTCCTGTGAAACTATTTGTCCCAGAAATTACTTTCTAACTGGGAGGTGGGGAGGGTGCACCTTTAATAAAAAAAAAAAAAGTATTTATTATCACTTTAACCAAGTGGAAACTGGCATCACTAGCACGAAACATTCTGATAATGTGTCTCCTGATGTGTTACAATAGCAAGTACATAGTATAAGCTGTCACACATATGATGTAATTATGGCAAAAAAAGTTTAACCTAAATCTCAGCAAGCCCGTAGTCCTAACTTCTAGCTTACAGGAAAAAGGCATAGAACAAGATAAATGACACCATAATGAAGTAATCAGACAAATTCATAAACCTGGATTCATTATTCATTCTTCAAGACAACTGGCCTGGATTCATTATTCATTCTTCAAGACAACTGGCTTGTCTCTTTAAAAAGCTAGTCTTTAAAAGAAAAAAAAAGACAAGGGATTGGTCTAGAACAAAAGAGAACAAGACAGAATCAAATGTAATAGGTGAGACTTAATTGAATTCTAATTCTCAAAAAGTTATAAAAAAATTTTAATTGTATGGTATATGAACATCATACCTCAATAAAACTGATTTTTTTTTAAAAAAGAGAATCTTCGGGGCACATGGGGGTAATACTTTCAAATAATCAACCTAAACAAACAAAAACTAGATGGAGAGAAAGGCAGATAGCTATTAACACAAACACAGTAAGTGTTAACAACTTTTAAACCTAAGTAGAAATACAGAAATATAGGTGGTTATATTACTATTCTTTGTAATTTTCTTCTTGTTTGACAATTTTTATAAAAGAGCTGGGAGTTCACGCCTGTAATCCCAGCACTTTGGGAGGCTGAGGCAGAAGAATCACTTGAGCCCAGGAATTCAAGATCAGCCTGGGCAACATGATGAGACCCCCATCTCTAGAAAAAAAAATTTTAAATCAACCGGGCCTAATGGTGCCTGTGGCTCTAGCTACTCGCGAGGCTGAGGAGGGAGGATCACTTGAGCCCAGGAGGTTGAGGCTGCAGTGAGCTGTGATCACACCACTATATTCCAGCCTGAGTGACACACCAAGACCCTGTCTTTAAATTAAAAAAAAAAAAAAAAAAAAAGGGTGTGGGGCATGGGGGAAGATTCTAAAATCTGTATTCGACACACAATCATCAAATACATGATGCATTTGATTTCTAGTAAATTTTAATTCCTTGACAAATGAAGAGAAAGTCAATTCTAACTTGAATTTATAAATAATTTTCTAAGTTGGTTTTATGAGTTTCATAACTTGAAAATATCTTACTATGTTTAACATTTTATCTTACATAACAGTTTTGAGAAATCAGATTTTAAAATGTGTCAGACTTCATTATGCTTTACATCAAATGAGCAGCACGAGAGACCTAGGAAAAAGCAGAATGCAAGCTGCTTCCTTCACCATTCTCTTCCTAGTCTTGCTGACACTGTGGCTTATCAGCCAGCCACAGTTCTTCCAGCTCATCTGGGTGAGAGAAGGAAGAGAAGTTTTCTATTGGAAGTGGAATTACGTAAAAACATCTGCCACAGCATCTGGCACAAAGCATACGCTAGTAAGTGCCCTCTCAGTCCTTCTACTCACTATCCTTACTTGCTGATGCCGAGTCATTGTGTATCACGTAATCCCCAACTTGGGACAGGTATGATCTTCTAATGATGTTCTGCACATTATTCACAAAGATGATGACATTCAAATAGTATGACAGCACCCCCATAAAAACCAAACTTATCTTAATAAGTAAATTCTTGTAAGTAATACAGTTAGTTCAACCATAAGTGGAAATGGGGAACAAGAGAAAGTGGACACATTTCTAGTTCCTTCAAATCTAGTTTTATATTTTCTAAGAATTATGCATTACTAGAGCCATCACACCTAACGTGAGTGAGAATATCCAAATCTAAACATAATTTTAATCAAATTATTGGAAGGTTTTTGGATTATTCAATAATTCAGATAAAAAGTAGTAAGAGTTCCCCTTCAAATTGGTTTCCAACTTTGGAATTCATCTTTGACTACAATTTTTAGAGAAAAAATAAGCACCAATATAGGGAACTCGTTTTGATGGCATGCAATGGAAAATAAAAATTATTGCAAACATTTATACAGCACTTACTATGTGTTAAGCATCATTCTAAGTGCTTTATGTATATTAACTTAATTGACTCTCACAACATCCCTATGAGGTAGGGACTGTTATTACTACTATATATAACAGGCATTTTGAACTCAGGCAGTCTGGTTCTAGAATCTGTGGCTTTAGTACTATGTGTTATATATCCCCACAAATGGTCTCAACTGCCTACTACTCAAAAATGGTAATTTTTACCAAGATGCAATAAAATATTATTCTGACTTTTAAAAATGCATTATAGGTGCTAACATGTAAGACTGATGTCTTAATATAATGCATTTTTAAAAGTCAAATGCATAGACTCATCTGTGCAGGATAATTTTTTTTTAAAGCCTCAGCCTCACTAAAGAAAATCCAATACAGGCAGCCACTTCAAATAGCACATTTATTCATATAGGGGCAAAAAGATGTATGGCACCATTAATTTTAAGTTAACAGTAACTAAAGATTTCTACAGCAGTTCTGTAATAACTAGTTCTTATTCTTCACTAATATCCATATTTTCCATAAGTCAAAATGCTGCATGTGCCATATTGCCAAACCTAAGTTCATTTTGATTAAAACTGTTGTTCAAATCAGAAACCACCCTACATGAAAACTAAATAGCATATTTTAAAAGACATAAATACAATGGGAAACTGGCTTAAAACCATTCCCATCAACAGTAATATGTATAATCCTGCTTGTTCTCATTTCAAACATGGAGTCTCACTTTTGCCTAAGCTCTATTTAGGCATTTTCAGTAAACAAACATTAAGCTGAATTATTTACAAAATTAGGATTCCACACATTCCTGTTAGAGAGCTTTACGTGAGAGTAAAACACTGTTGTCCTGCAATGCAGAGGCAATCTAAGGACAGCATCTTTCTCTACCTCCTTGCCTGCCTTCCACACCCCAACTTGATTTAAAAGCTAAATCCTGGCCAGGCACGGTGGCTCAAGCCTGTAATCCCAGCACTTTGGGAGGCCCAGGTCGGAGGATCACTTGAGGCCAGGAGTTCGAGGAGACCAGCCTGGCCAACATGGTAAAACCCCATCTCTACTAAAAATACAAAAAAAAAAAAATAAAATAATAAAAAAATAAAGCCAGGTGCGGTGGCATGCGCCTGTAATCTCAGCTACTCAAGAGGCTGGGGCATGAGAATTGCTTGAACCTGGGAGGCAGAGGTTGCAGTAAGCCAAGATCGTGACACTGCACTCCCACCTGGGCGACAGAGTGAGATCCTGCCTTAGAAAAACCAAAAGTAAATAATGAAAATAGCCAGAGGCCCACCAAGGGACCTGGGTGAGGAAGTCCTCCTTTCCTAGGCTTCTGTCTTTAGAAGCAAGAATTCAGCAGATCTAAGAACCAGAAGAAATGCACATTTTTAAAAGTACATAGCAATTTGGAGTCTGGGTCTAAGTTGTAAGATACCAAAGAAGCCAGGTATTTCAAAAGCATTCTCACCACTAATTATTTACCTATGAAGAAATTACAAGGTTGCCATTTATGACAAATAAATGAGAAATAGAGGAGTACCCTACCTTACCTCTATGTATGACATTTAAAGTGCTCATACCACAAAATCAGAAAAAATAAATACCTGGACTCTTCCAGTAACTCTTTTTCCTAGGGACTTCTATTAAAAATTATTGTCTAGCAATCACTAAGGAAATCACTTTCTTTCTTTTTTTTTTTTTTTTTTTGAGATGGAGCCTTTCTCTGTCACCAGGCTGGAGTGCAGTGGCGCAATCTCAGCACACTGCTACCTCCATCTCCCAGGTTCAAGCGATTCTCCTGCCTCAGCCTCCCAAGTAGCTGGGATTACAGGCCCCTACCACCACGCCTGGCTAATTTTTGTATTTTTTAGTAGAGACGGGGTTTCACCATGTTGGCCAGGATGGTTTCGATCTCCTGACCTTGTGATCAGCCTGCCTCGGCCTCCCAAAGTGCTGAGATTACAGATGTGAGCCACCATGTCCCGCCAAAAAATCATTTTCTAACAGAAACCAGCTAGCATTTTCCCTTACTATAAAATTATAATTTCAGTTTCATTATTAAAAAAAAACCTGAAATTGATATATTGGCAATTTCAAATAAATGAAAACCTTGTAGAAAGTCTGTAATTCAAGAGTACAAGTAAAGCCAATGCTTTCCTAAGAGCAGCCAATATATTCTCCTTAGAGACTCACAGATTTAACATCACATCCGCTTCTGTCGGCCTTTAGAGTAACAGAATTACATTCCAAGAAATCTGATTGAATTTTAGTTGGCTTTTCAAGAAAACATTAAAAGGAATAATTACAACTTTGAAAGCTAAGAAAAAAAATTAATGCCTCTACATTAATAAAATCTTGATTAACATACTGAGAAACAAATCACTCTAGATAAGAACATGTTTTGAATAGAGGAACAGAGGTATTAATCCTTTAAGAGTTAAAGCTTAATTTTTTTATAAAACTTTACTTAAAAAATATGTTTTTGTTGCTTCCTTAAACAGTGTTCTAAATACAATGTAATATTTTTAAAAATCACTCAGGGTCACCAGGCATGGTGGCTCATGCCTGTAATCCCAGCACTTTGGGAGGCCTAGGTGGGTGGATCACTTGAACCCAGGAGTTCGAGACCAGGCTGGGCAGCATAGCAAGATTCCATCTCTTTAAAAATAATAAAATAACAAAACATAAAATAAAATAAAATAAAATAAAATAAAATAAAATAAAAATCACTCGGGGTCAACATCAAGATATTGGTCAATATGCCTTGCCACATGTTGGTATGTAATTGGGATGATGCTTCCTGTATTTGATCGAAGAATTACAGCTTCTGGATTAGGGAATTCCTTCCAAATAACTGAAAATTAGTTATCTAAACCTAGAAGATATTACATTTATTCATGTGGAAAACTCTCTAAAATAGACTATTCATCTTCCCTGACTCAGTAAACAAGTTAATCATTCTTAAAGATTCAGGAACCCTACTAAGACATACAGGACTCATTAGTGCCTGCCCCAGGTGGCCTCACCATACTCTGCTATTCTGGTTGCCTCCTTGTTTCTGGCCATGCTATTTCCCGCACTAACCAAATGCTTCTGCCACACTGCTGCTGTTAACCTGATCTTTACTGTCATCCTTCTCATTTCTGATTATAACCTGGAGCAGTCACTGCCTCCAAAAATCTTTACCTCTCAGACATGTTCCATATTTTATATTCTCTATTTTGGTGAAAGCTGTCACCATTTCTGAGTCTCCCAAGTTGTAAACCTCTGAGTTATTAATAAATCCTCCCTCTCCCATATCCCTCTACATCATGTTAATCACAAATCAAGTCAATCTATACCTTAAAATTGCCTCTCCAATCTGATTCTTCTTTTCCCTTCACCCCAACCCAATTTACCCCACACAATCTTAGTTCACGTTCTCTCCCCTTGCTTTAATTATGGCAATTGTCTTCCACTAATTGGTCTTCTGACCATCCTTCAGCCCTTTCTTTTCCTTAAAAATAATGAAATCTTCACTAACTGAGCAACAGATTCAATCATTCCCCAAACTTCAGCACTGCACAATATTACTCTTGTAACAAACCTCTACATGTACCTCCTTAGTCTAAAATAAAAGCTGAAATAAATCAAAAGAGAAAGACAGAAAAATCAAATCTGACCAGATCACTTACCTTATGGCATTGGCCTCCAAATGCGTAAGGAATAAAGTCCAGATTCCTCAAGATAGGACACTTCAAATCTAATGCCAACCTACTTCCTCAGAATCCCTTTTTCTAACTCCCCACTCATTAGCAAACATCCTACATTCCAACTTCCATGGAAGAAAACAGGAAAGAAAACTATAAGGAATCTGAAAAATTACAGAACTGGCAGGCTTTTTCCCCCTTACCATGTTTACTTCATGCCATTTTAAAAATCAAAGCTAAGTTTCTTATATTCTTCTAAAGTACTTTCCTCCTGAGTCACATTTCCTATGACTATCCCCACATCACAATTTTTCCAACTTTACGATTTTCTAATTTCGTGAGCAATATATGTACCACCCAGAACAGCTACTAAAACAATTTGGCAAAGAAGGTTCCTCTTCTTGTTTCTAAATGAAATATGTGGTGATCTGATTCATTCCATAGAACCAAATCTCCACTGAATTTAACATTCAACATTTTACCCCAAAGTTCTATTTATTGGCTAAGAATCATTCTTTTTTTATGTCTTCTCACATCCACTAACAGTATCTTTTTTCATAGCCCTATCTCACAAAAATATAAATAAAATAAAATTAGTGACTACCAATTATTCACTACAAATGTTTTAAGAACGGGGATAGAGAAGGTCTTAAAAGGTTCCAAAAAGAAAAGAATCAAAACGAGCAGAGCAGCACTGAACCGCTCAATGGCTAAAAAAAAAAAAAAGAAAAAAGAAAGAAAGAAAAAATTTCTCTCAAACTTCTGAGAGAAAATTACTTTCCAACATGGACATCTATGTTCTATTAGTTTCCTGTGGCTGCCATAACAAATTGCTACAAACTAGGTAGCTGAAAACAATAGCAATTTACTCTCTCACAGTTGTGGAGGCCCGATGCCCATATCTGGCAAAGCCTCACTCCCTCTTGGGGCTTCAGGGGAGAACCCATCCCTTGCTGTCTCCTCCAGCTTCTGGTGTTTCTTGGCATTCTTTGACTTGCAGCCACATCACTCCCACCTATTCCTCCATGGTCACACTGCCTGCTCCGATTCTGTCTGTCAAATTTCTCCTATGTGTCTAAGAACACTTGTCACTGGTCTTAGGGCCTACCCGAATAATTCGAGATTACCTCCTTCATCTCAAGATCATTAATTTAACTGCATCTGCAAAAACCCTTTTCCAAATATTGGAAGCCATCTATCGGGCCAACATATCAATAAAAAATAAGGACACCTATACTCTCTCCCAGAAAGCTGAAAACTGTGCCATCACTAAAATGCAGGAGAAGGCCAAGAGAAAATAAGACGTTTAGTCCGAAAAAACAGAGGATACTGCATAGGAGAGAGGCGAGAGGCAAATGGAATTCCCAGGAAGGGGATAAAGCAATGTTGCAAAATGACAGTGCACAGCAGGTAAAGAACAACCAGTTTAGAGAGTAGCAGCAGGATGATCACAAGAAATATACTACTGAGAAGGGCTTAACAGTTCTTTTGAAGAGTATGGAAGGATTTTGGCATATACAAAACTAAAGGAAAAAAAAGGCAAGTGATAACTCCAGGAAAAATAAAAATTGTAACAAAGCTGAAGAAAGTAAGTATTATTATTGTATATTATTTTGCTCAGCAGTGAACAATATTCACATTGAATACTAGTATTCAATCTAGTGTAAGAAATTTTAATATACTATGTTGGAAGGACAGAATGTGGAGAGGTGTGAGGAAAACCAACTTTATCTTCCATGAAAGATAGTATCTAGTACTGATAAAGAAATAGTGTAAATATTATTTAAGATATGGAGGTAAATACCAGAAGAAAGTACTAAGAGTTGCCAAGGTATAGAGAAGAATGGAAAAGGGCAGTGGTTATTTTATTTAACCATAAATTCAGTTTTCATACTGTGCTCCTATTGCTTTGATAATAAAATTCTAATGCAGAAAAGACTCTAAGAAAAATGACTTGTTCGGCTGGGCATGGTGGGTCATGCCTGTAATCCCAGCACTTTGGGAGGCCGAGGCAGGCGGATCACCTGAGGTCAGGAGTTCGTGACCAGCCTGATCAACATGGTGAAACCCTGTCTCTACTAAAAATACAAAAATTAGCTGGGCATGGTGGTGCACGCCTGTAATCCCAGCTACTCGGGAGGCTGAGACAGGAGAATCGCTTGAACCCAGGAGGCGGAAGTTGCAATGAGCTGAGATTGCTCCACTGCACTCCTGCCTGGGCAACAGAGCAAGACTTTGTCTCAAAAAAAAAAGAAAGAAAGAAAAAGAAAAATGACTTGTTCGGGCCCTATCACAGTTAAAAAACATTTATCACAATGTCTGTTTCTTATACCTTGAAGAAATATGAAATTTCTATAACAATTATTTTTTAAAAAAGTTCTTTAAAATAAATTCCCAAGTCATGTGTACATTAGGAGAAAACAAAACCAAACACCAAAACCACTCCTAAAGTATGGTTAACTATAATGGGCTCAATGTATATAACCTATGTTATATTATTACAATTCTATCCATATTTAATATAAAACTCCTGCCTCTTTTGATTATTGAACATAAGACTTTAATGTCAAAACTGAATAACACATATAACTGGGAAAAAGAATTGAAGTCATTAAAATGAAGGTGTTTCCAAATTGGTATCCTGATAGATGGCTGCCAGTGAAATCTAGTTTATATGTGGGTGGCCTCCAATTTTAGAGACTTCACAATATTAGGAATATTGAATTTAAAAATCTGTGCTCTGAATATCATTACAGCCCAGGGAAGGGAAAACAATAAGATTTCTTTTGTTCCATTTTATGATGAGAGAAGGAACACCTATGAGGAAAGAGTACAATAGCTATGGTGCTAGGACAAGGTTAAATATAAGAAAAAATGGCAAATATTACTTTCTACTTTCTTAATCTCTTCCTTTATTTAGCTCATCAATGATTCATTTCTGAATAGCACTTTGGCACATCAAATCTATGCTCACCTTTGCCACCCTGCCTTCCCTTGATCTACCTTAAAAGTTCACCTATTTCAAGTAACATACATAGATATAATGATCTATGCTCTAAATAAATAGTACACCGTTACTCTGAAATTCCCTTCACACAGGGGTAGCCACTTAATGTACATCTTGTTAGAGCTGGTGTAACTAATGTTAACGTGTACTTGACATACTAATTTAGAATTTGCCTACTATCAAGTTAATCTTGCTTACTTATTTACTTGAAGTCATTTGTCCATCTTAATTGTAAGATTTTAAAGGACACAACAAGGATAACACCTGGTAGAAACAGGCACTTAATAAATATGTTTTTTTTTTTTTTTTTTTTTTTTTTGAGATGGAGTCTCTCTCTGTCACCCAGGCTGGAGTGCAGTGGCACAATCTCGGCTCACTGCACCCTCTGCCTCCCGGGTTCAAGAGATTCTCCCACCTCAGCCTCCTGATTAGCTGGGATTACAGGTGGGTGCCACCATGCCCAGTTAATTTTTGTATTTTTAGTAGAGACAGTGTTTCACCATGTTGGCCAGGCTGGTCTCGAACTCCTGACCTCGTGATCCGCCCACCTTGGCCTCCCAAAGTGCTGGGATTACAGGCATGAGCCACCGCATCCAGCCAAGAAATATGCTTTATATCAGTAACTGATCCAATCTCAAACAGTGTAGTACTTTCATAGTTATTCAGATGCAAACTCAAGCAAAATTTTTAAAAAGGAGTCTGTTTTTCCATAAATATGCAATCAACATGAAAACACACATTTTTAAAAGAAAGAAATATGTCAGGGTATTGATGGCATGGGGCAGGGTGTTCTAGAAACAAATTACTTTTAGAGCAAAATCACTTTGGCTTAAGTCTCAAGCAATTTTTGACCTTGTCCCAGACTTACAAATACTGTGATCACTGAAGTAGAAAAAAAGAAAGTCAAGGGCAAGTGCAAATGGTAAGAAAAAAATACAATGCCAGTGGAAAGAATCTGTTGTGTATTTTCATAACTCATGAAAGAAATAATCCCAAAGCAAAAGTATGTGCTTCTATAAAATGTTATTTTGAAACCAATAGGAAAAAGAAAAAAAACTAAGTCTCTTCATCTTCCCACTAGTTCTTTCCCATCCAATGTTGCTGAATCTTTCTCTAACTCTTACAGTAAAATGTTACTAGCGAGAATACAGCCTATTAAAGCCTTTGAACTAAAAAGTATAAATCCCCAAACACAGTGTTCATGTATTTACAAGTACTTCTGATAGACACTTTAAAATAGCAGCACTAGTGAGAACTATTATTATATAAAAATACAATTTGAGCCCTTTGATATTCAAGAAAGAGACAAGTAGATTCAAAAACTTTTGTCACTTAGGTAAAATATGAACTTAAGAAACTTTAAAAAATGCTCCAACCCTAGGCTAGCATAAAATTCCTAAATGCTCTTCTTGCTCGGGTTTCAATTATTTTCCCAAACAAAAAAATTTATGACAGAAATTCTCATTTCCTGACTGATTAAAAGTACCTTTGGTTTTGGCAACAGAAATCAAGCCATCAAAATATAACTACATATTTTGCTTTTTTAAAACGACAACAATAGAAACCCACCGCTTATAAAAGTAAAGCACATCTCAAAACCTTTCACCTGGTACATTAAAAAGAAATTACTGGCTGGGCTCGGTGGCTCACACCTGGAATCCCAGCACTTTGGAAGGCCGAGGCGAGTGGATCACCTGAGGTCAGAAGTTCAAGACCAGCCTGGTCAACATGGTGAAACCCCGTCTCTACTAAAAATACAAAAATTAGCCGGAGGTGATGGCATGTGCCTGTAAACCTGGCTACTCAGGAGGCTGAGGCAAGAGAATTGCTTGAACCTGGGAGGCGGAGGTTTCAGTGAGCCGAGATCGCGCCACTGCACTCCAGCCTGGGCCAGGGAGCAAGACTCCATCAAAAAAAAAAAAAAAAAAAAAAAAAAAAAGAAAGAAAGAAACTACTGAGGCAGCTGGAGAAGCAAAGTTCTCATGCCAAAGGTCATAGAAAGTATTTATGCTCTTAATCTCTCAACCAAACATCACTAAAGATGCCTCAATGCAAGAATGACTTTCTACCATTATTTCCTAAAACTCTCTGACTCTTCATATTTTGTAAGTTACACACCCTCTATGGGTAAAGTCTGAAATTAAAGCTGTGGCCCACACAGGCTTCTATTCTCCAAAATGTGCAAAATGGCAGGATTTCAGATAGGAGAGAGGCAAGCCCTATCTCTAAAGGTTGCGGGCATGGAGGAATTTTAATAAAATTTAGGAAAAAAACACAAAACTCTGTAATTCTATAGTCTGGTTTTCCATCTCAAGACTAGTTTTAGAGCTGAAAGTCTGATACACTGAATCCTATAGAAAAGTTTTTACCTGTTTGGCTTTTGGTTTCTTCCTGCTTGAAGCAGTCTCATTTGTACTTCCATCCATCCCTCTCAAAACACTGATGAAATCTTTCTTGGAAACAGTTGATATCAACTTAGCACGCTTTCTCATAGAACTTCCAGCTTCCTTAACCTTTTCATCAACATTCTTTTGATGTTTCTGAACAGCATTAAATAATTGCACCACACCCCTGTAGAATATAAAATGACCAGAATGATGTATTAAATAATTACCCTAGAATACAAACTCTGAGGATAGGAAAAATGTATTTTCACTGTCTAGAAAAGAGGCAAGCATTTAACAAGTACTCAAAGGAAAGAACGGGATAAGTGGTTAAATACATTTGATAAATACAACTGAAAAATGAATATACATTTCAATGAATGAATATAAATTTCTAAACAGATAACAAATGTGGATTGGTACATAACTTTGTGCTTCACTCCAAGAAAGATTTTTCTGGATCTCAATTTCATCTGTAAATTGGAAAAATAATGCCTCAGTAGCTTAAAAAGTATTTAGCTACGTTATCTGCAACTCTTGTGTTATGAAACCATTGTAAAATCCTACTTTAAAAAATACTTATTTTAAAAACTATGTTCTGTATTTATTTGAGTTCATTCAAAGATAAATTCTGAAAATTAAGACCTGCAGCATCCAATACAGGAGCCACAAGCCACATGTGGCTAGTGAGCACTTGAAATGTGACTGGTCTGAATTGCCATGTGCTGTAAATGAAAATACACCAGATTTCAAAGACTCAGTATGAAAAATAGAATCCTTAAATATCATTAATAACTGCTTCATACTGACCACATGATGAATATTTTGAATGCAGAGTTAAATAAAATATTATTGAAGTTAATTTCACCTCTTTCATTTTATATTTCTCATTGTGGCTATAAGAACATTTTAAATTACATATTAAATTACAAATGAATGTAGCTCACATTCATTTCTCCTGGATAGCGTTGATTTAGACTGTTAAGATCCCTTCCGGCTCTAAAATTCTGCAATCTATGAATTTTCTTGCTCTAATAAGAGGCAATCTGCCTCTTCCAATAATTATTGGGCCTTGAGCATCCCTGCATATGGTTGCTGGATTTTTCAAGAATGAATGCACCTGACTGCTCTTTATCCAGGCCATTTCTCAGGGTTGTGTTTGTAGGTAGTGACCTTGAGGGATGAGGTAACATCTCCCCCCGACAAAGAGCAGGCTTGTTACCAATCAGTATAAAAGTGATAGAATCCCAAGCACAGTGTTCCAGTTCTTGTAACACAACATATTGCACATGCGGGCATCCATCTAGGACACCTGCACTCCCTCTATGGGACAAAGGAAACAGTGGGAACATGAAGCTCTGCTACTGTTTTTGCCATGAATAATAAAGTCCTTTGTCTTTGATCCAAAGTGTCTTGTCTTCTATCAGCATCCAGGAAACTTTGACAGGCTAGCTTATGAGCTTATAAGGAGAGTAAAATTCCAGACCCTTCACAGTAGTGACAGGACCAGGGTGAGGAAAGGGAGGCGCCTAGGACATAAATTTTAAGGAGGCACTCACTCTCATGTACTGAGCCTGTACTTTTCTAAGTTCTGTATATGTATTAATCCATTTAATTATCAAAGAAACCCTATAGGCTAGGTATATTATCCTCTATTTACAGATAAACTGAGAGAAAAAGAAATCAAGTAGCATGCCCAGGGACACACTGCTAGTAAGAGCCAGTACTACGATTTGAACCGAGCACTGGCTCTATCACTCATGCCCTTATTCACCACACCACGCTATCGCACTGTGTAACACCGAGATGGATTAGAAAATGACCAAAATAATTTAGGTAACAAGAATTTAAAAGTAATTCTGCTAAATATAACTGCTAGGTTCTTTAGCAGCAGCCCAAATGTTATCTCCTCTGTAATGCCTTCTCAAACTCTCCCAGACAATCTCCTGTTCTATGTTCCCAACACATAGACATAATTCTACTCTCAAAGAGACTGTAATTCCTACAGATGACCAGGCAAGGACCACCTAGCAGCCACCATATCCTGTTTGTCTTTGGACACAGAGGGCATCAAGTAAACGTTTGGTGCCAATGAATAAATAAGCAGAGTAAAAAGATAGCATGAAATAGCTATAATGTGTAATGTATTATGCCATAAATATAATGCAAGATAAAAACCATCATTGAGTGCCACAAATTTAGACAAGCATCATAAGAGAAATGCAGTAAGAGGTCTGATTACACAGTTCTCGTGACTATAAAAACAAGATGATCTGAAATAGGTTCTTACCAAATATACACTTAGCACATTATATTCTTGCTTCACGAGACCTGGAAAATCTTTGGTTGAATTCAGTGTTGAACAGGCAGGCTTAGATATATATCACTTGGCTCTGAGAAGGCTGAGCTTAAGAATCAAATTGGGTCAAAAATAGAACCACTATGATAGCTTTAGTATACTTATTTTTTAAAGGGCAAAAACACTACCTTACCTTGTTGCAATTCTCTGAAGATTTCTCTCTGTCTCTTTGTCTTGGACAACATCTGGCTTTACTCTGCACATCATTTCCCACTCCAGCCTCTTATCACGCTGCGTTATAAATATTGTTATGTGAAAGAATATTAGATATTTCTGAAAGTGCAGCAAACATTGGTATGATACTCTGTGAAAGGGTGAAGGTAATAAATCATTCTGGCTTAGTTTGTCAGGGGCTTTTAAAAAAACACAATGTTAGGGGTTTAGCTTCGAGAGCCTGTGGTTAGCACTCAGCGTGTCATGCGAGAGGCACAAAGTGAGTTTCTGTCAGGCCCTCTGACAGCAGGGGCCTGGAGAGCTGCCAGCATATTCGGCCAGGCAGTACAAGATAGGGTGTGAGGGAGCCACATGCCTGCTCTGCCATCACCAGATCATCAGAGGGAAGCATAAGGAAGAATTCCAAACTACCCTCTTTGAAAATTATAAGTTTATCTTTACTTTCAGAAAATGACTTCCTCAGTCATCAGAATTACTATTAAGAAAATGTATCAGCTTTTAAAAGAACAGCATCGTATCCAGATACTTATACAATGACTATTTTTCTATGCAGAGAATCATTTAAATCCATTTCTCCTCTCGTAGCATATCTGACCAATAGTCTTGCCATATATGGTTTATCAGTTGTAAGCTACAGCAAACTGTACAGAAGCAGAAGGGGAGGTGGGAAATAAGAAAATTCCCTAGGTAACATAATTTAGTTTGAACTTGTCTTTAAATAGTATCCTGGTCCCAGGAATCTGATTTGATACATTGCATGTTCATGTCTCCTTCTCAGGCCAACATTTAACCAAATATCAAATATAATGATATAATGCATTAATCAATGAATGCTGGCAAGCATCAAAACCAGTAATAAAGACAACGTTTTTATTAAAATTTCTTTTTTTATCTATGCCTTTACTCTTCTATTTCTCATTTTGTATTAATGAAAGTGTCTAATCACAGTAAAACCAAATTCTTGCGCTCACTATAAAGATTAGCCTGATAGCTTTCTAAAGTAATAGATTATTCTCCTAACCAGACAATTCATTTTAGTGGTCATGAAATTCACTGTCAGATTATGACAGGAATTTTTTTTTAAAATCTTACTTTTAAGTTTGAAACAGTCAATTCTTAATTATATTCCGTACTCAAAGGATAATATGTATGCTTAATCCTGAAACATTCTTAACTCTGAAATTTGTTTTTGTATTTATGATTAGAAATAAGTAGCTGATATATTGGAAAACCATAATAGTTAAATTAGGAAATAATAATTTACATATTCTCTTCTAAGAAATACACACAAAGAGCATTTGTAGCTGCCATGTCTTGCTTCTGGTATCAATACATGTGCTTTCATGCATTATGGAGACAGTATCATCTCTAGCACTCAAAGCTTTGGCCTAGAGCAGAGTTACAGACTCATTCCTCTTGGCTTCAAAATGTTCTTACCCTCACTAGAACTCTGAGACCAGAGGAAATCAAAGATTCTGATATTTTTGAAGCCTCTTCTAGCATTTGCCAGATAATAAACAAAGATTCAAATTTTCAGTTGAAAAGCTATCCATAAGATTTAAAGACAAAACTTACCTTAAATAAAGTACAATAAGAATATTGAATTAATAATAGAGTATGCTGTGTTTCTAAGAGCAATACTTAAAAATTTCCACCTTTCACACAGAGCAACCAGTATTAAGAACAAAGAAAACATTCATCTTGAAACAAGAAAAGGAGATGGTAAACATAAAAGGAAATATATGTCAGTTCAAACCTATGTTTCTTTCATTTTTACCTATGAAGTGACTTTGGGAATTAGTACTTCTATGCTGCCAGTACATTTGTAGAAAGTTATTTTTCTTTAATTAAAAAACATGCTTAATTTAGTAACCAAGTATTTTAGACAGAGATCATCAAGTACAGGTGATATGAAAGCCTTATCATGGATTTTTAGCTTTTATAATAAACCACAAATTTATGTACAACTTTTGGCCTTTAATTAATAGATTATACCTAGTCTAACAACTATCATCAGTAGTTCAACAAAAGCATAATGAATTCAAATTTATCCAACACTGATTTGTATCTAACACTGAAATAATCCGTTTTCAGAACTACAACCAATCCTTGAGTTACGACATTGTCACAGATTCCTATTGTAAAATAAGTTTTGGCAAAAAAAAAAAGTAACTAACATGCTTCTTAGTTCACAACCTAATAAAGTCAGCAAACAGACAGCTAAAACAAATAAAATAGGCTCAGGAATCACTACCATGTGTATAATTACTTGATTTTAAAAAGATGTTTCCTCAGCGTTTACATTTCTATTACTTTGCCTTTGCATAGATGATTAAAAAGTGAACATGCTCAATGGAATAATTTAGACTAAATTCCTAAACATAACCTTAGTTATCCACCTTCACATAAAAAACAAGTTAAAAACTGGAACGTTAATTGGTCAAACACTGCAAGAAACAGTTCGGTCAAGATAAGAGCTAGCCTAGACAAACAATCTAATCTACAAGAGAACTGGTGGAACATACCTGTTTTATTTTCTCTAGTCTTTCTTGCTTTAACTTTTCTTTTTCCTTTTCCAGCTTCTTATTTTTGACCAGAATAGTAGGTTTACTTTCAGGAGTTTTCTTGTTGAGGACTTTAGCCATAGCATCTGCCCAGCCCATATTAGTCCCAACACTTGATTCTCCATCATTTTCATTTTCTTTGTCACAGGGCTCAGCATCACCCTCACTGTCAGCTTCTATTGCGTCATCATCAGAATAAAAGTGGTCCTTTTCCGATCCACAGCTTCCTATAGAACCAAAGAGTAAAGGCAAATTAAACTTTAATATCCTAGGCAGAGGCTGCCAAGGCCCCCCGAACCCTTCCTGGAGCTCTGCCTGTCCCCATTTTTGCAAGGGGGGTACTTTTCTGAGTCCCACAGCTACAGTAATGATGAAGAGCAATAGGACCATCTATCCCATTGCCATCAGCTCCCAGAGACCTCGCCCAGCCACATATACAGGGGATGTCACAGCAGCTTCCAAACCCAGGACCCAGGCAGCAGAAACAAATCCAACAGCCTCTGCCACGTCCTTATTGTCAAAATGGTGACAGATGTTGGCATGGAGTTGGTGCAAGGTATATTCAAGTACACAAACCTTAATTGTGTCACTAAACTAATGGAAGGGGCTAATGAAGGTTATTAAAACAAATAACAGAAAACTTTAATAAGAAAAAGGTACAGTATTATCAGAATAAATCTTCTAAGGGATTTGTCCCAGATATTTAAAATTCTGAATTTGTATGCAGAAAAAAAGCCTAAAACTAAAAATCAGCCTCATGTAAAAGAATTTGCATATAACATTAGAAAATTGGGCATTTTAACATTTTTGGAAAAAAAAATTATCTAACAACGTGCCCAAGATACTAGATTCAATTGTAGGACTGAGTGACTGAATGAAAATACCAAGTTCTGATTGAAGATACAAATGTGTAAGTGTACCATTGAATTTTATCATGAGAACCACCAAAAAAAGCACCTACAGGTTACCAGCAAACTAGTTCATCATTTAAAATTCAAATGGATGAGGAAGATTAGCAGAAACAATAGTCCAGAAGGCGGCTTGTCTTGCAAATCAACTTGCTGAGCAGCTCTTTTTCACCTTCTTAAATTAAGTGCACTTTAACAAGGAGAGCACAAGCACCCAGCATTGCATGCATGCATCTCTATGATCCAGAGCCCTCTGGAGAGCTTCTGTTCTTCAGAAACCTGCAGAACTTATTAGGAAATACTTGGAAGAAGACAATCATCCAATAGCTTAGTAACTTGGAGTGTTTTTTAATTAGCAGAAGAAGAGCTAACAAAGAAGGCTGAGAAGTCAACAAGAAAGAAAACTCAGTAATATACAAACAGCTGCCATTTAGCAGTGATGTCTTTGGGTAAACAACTGCACTTTCTTTGGATGACTCCAAAACTAGTTGAATCTCAAAAGATTATTACAGAAAATGCCATTAGCTGAAACTTTTCCTATCAAAGTACCTCTACAAATGTAACAATATTAGTAGTTTAAGTATTTTTTTAAATATTGATATACTTGCATTAAGATAAAATACTATTTAACACTAGAAGAAAAAGGCCAAGGCATAAGCAGGTTTCCTGCTGCTCCTTACTTTACTCAATTCTGTTCCACCCACCCGGATCAGAACCTTCACTTAAATGCAGAGGATTAGAAAGCAATCCATATGCCAAAAGCACTGCAGCATTTCAGTGAGGCTGCTCTGGGTCCATTTACCCTTACCAAAGCCAAGCATCAGAACCATAACCGCTGTTTCTACCTTCTGAGAAGTCTATTGATTGAGTCTTGTTGTTGCTTCAAAATTATCTATTCTTCAACTCCGAGGCTCAGTTTCTTCTTTAAATAATTTCAACAAAATGTTCATAATTTGCCTTTAAACATCCTCTTAGCCTTTTTATATCAGCTTATTGTTATGACCAAAGTAAATGGAAGACAGTGTATAGTCAGGTATTACCTTCTGAGTGATCCCCTCTACTCTCTTGACTTTAAGCCATAAAAAGACCTGACTTTTAGCAAGTGATTACAATACTTGCAATTTGGGCATTATTTTTGCGTAATACCTTTATTTTTTCAGTGCTGAAAATTCATGAAACAAAAAATGATGTAAAACATTAATACGTTTCAAGTAAAAATTAATAACAAATTAGAAAGTAGGAAATAAAAACATGCCTATATAAAAATGAACCTCGAGCATGAGTAAAAATAAAGTATCTTCAAAAAACTAACTGAACATTACATAGCAAAGAACAATAACATTTCACATTTTTTAAAAGCATGATCTTAAAACACGAAATGCCAACAGTATAAAAGAAAATGTTATAAAGACAAGAAATCACTTGCAATTCTATCATGCTAATAGAGCTGCATATTTCTTAATAAAGACAAAAAAATTAATGAAAACATTTAATTTGAAGTTTTTTCTGTATCTTATACGCTGGGTCAATTTAAGAAATCTGAACACATTTGTGACTCTAGGCTTTAACATACAAATATAGTTAATATATAAGAACCTTATTATTGCCCATAACACTAAAAAAAAAGGTATCTAAATTAAAAGCTGGCAGCACTATTAACAAATTCAATAAAAGACTGAATTATTTTATTCCAGGGCCACAAAATGTTTCCCCAAGAGGCATCTCCTAGGACCAGTGTACCCAGGAAAGTACACTGGAAAACAAAGTTTGAAGAATATAGTTAGCTGAAAACTGTATTATTTTAATACTGTATATGTTTTACTCTTCAGAGTCAGTAGCATTACACAGACACTAATAACAAAATAAACAATTCTTAGAAAAAGTGCTTCCTGTAGTAAGTATTTAACTAAATGTAAGGAGGCAAGATGGCTTAAAAGTTTGGGTCAATAAAAAAATATCTTGGTGATTAAAAGCAGAAAAATCTTGACTAGCTCCTGGTAACATGTCAGAACTGCAACACTGACATCTAGTGTTTTGTCCTGATGTATTCACACACAAATTGCCACAGATTTCATGTTTTTCAATGGTACTGTAAAGGCAGCCAAAGCAAGCCGAAACACTTTCTGATGGTGTAACCCACACCAATTCTCCACTTCAAAACCATGGCTATTTTTCTTTGGTGCATTTCTTACCCCGCTTGACTACCACAACATGCATAATATGAACACACAATAAATCCATGAAAAGTTTATAGCACCATTTTATACAACCTGCACTCACCCCACCAATTAAAAAAATATCCAGAAGAATTCCCTTAAGTCATGGTTTTATTTTATTATTTTCTTAAAGAAGCTCTATCTCAGAAGTTTTTAATCAGGCATTCACTGACAATGAAAATGATGACATTTAATATGAACAAATTAAAAATGCCAAAGTAATGAAGTCTCCCAGCATACTAAAAAAATAGGATTTACTTCTAGGATATCAAAGATTATCACTATGCAAACCAGAAAATAGAACTGGCTCAAAATATTATTATATCCTAATCAAATGAGGTTTTTAAAAAAATTTTCCACTCACTGATTTATAACAGCAGAAGCAGATATATCCAGGTGTCTAAGGGCATAGACGGAAATCACCAGACAAGTAAAAAATGCCTTTGAAGTCCTGTGTGTTGCCTTAAACATTAATTTTGCATTCTACTATAAAAATCTGGAACTTAAAGGACTACAAAGGATGCTTATTGAAGTAATGACTAAAAGTTCCAATCATGGCAGTGTTCTCTATTAAAGCTGCTCAGTAGCCACTAGCCACAAGAGCCTATTGAGTATTTCAAATGTGGCTAGCACAACTGAAGAACTGAATTTTTATTTTCTTTAATTACCTTAAATTTAAATCACATGTGGCTAGAGGCTACCATATTGAACAGAGCAGGGCTAAACCTCCGACGTACTGAGGTAGTCATAACGCATTTCTTATCTCCTGCTGCCTTTTCCCCCAAACCTCCAGCTCCCTTTCAAACTTGCCATCTGTTCCCTGACCCCAGATACGAATGGTTAGCTGCTGGCAGGAAAGTGAGCCATTTTCCTTAGCCTGGGATAAAGTTTTAAGAAGGCTCACAGTCCCTCAACATTCACTGAGCACTTATGAGTGATGGCCAAGAAAGGACAAAGGAAAAATCTAAATCTAGGTTTCTCTCCTTGAAGAACTCAGGAGTTTAGTAGGGTGAATAAATTACATAGCCAAATTGTAATAGAATTTGTAGGTGTTCTTAAAGAAAAACAATGAGGAAAGGGTGACCAGAGATATCTGGGATGGCTTAGAGGAAGTTTTACAAAGATGATATTCAAGTTGTTTCTTAATGCAAGAATTTGAATGACAAAAGAAAGGAGGAAGCCAAGGAAGTAAGATTCCATAACCCAAGCCAGTTGATCAGACGGCAAGATCACTGAACCTAGAACCAAACACATCCTAGATTTGAGTCAGTGCTCTGTATGAAAATCAAAATTACTATTGTAATCATATTATTATTGGCATTCCAGGCAGAAGAAATCAGCATGTCCAAAGGGATAGGAATGTTAAAGATGATGAAATATTTATAAAATGACACCAAGTTGAGACTGGCTGAAACAAAAGATTTGAGAATTGGATGGTAAAAATTGGGCATAAAGAAAGTAAGTTTGGGATTTCATAAAAGCATGATTTATGATCCAAGAAATGCAATACACATCAATTCCAAGATTAAAACCAAGTAGTTTAAAAGTTCATACTCCAGGTGTGTGCTTCCAATAAAAGGCCAAATAGCTGGAATTTTTTCTCTTAGCACTTATCTTAAGTCCTTACTTTTAAAAACATTCTCTATTACAGTTTTTCTTTTAAAATGTAAATACCACCTGAAAGTGGTAAGCCTATTGGTTAACCTTTAACTTCCTTCACACCTTTAAAATTTGCCCTAAGTCAAACAGAACTCCCGGTAAAAACGTGATTGAGGACAGTTAGTAAGGGACAATGAAGTAAGGCTACCAGGATTCAATTTCAACTCCACACACTAATCTAAGTGGCTTTTCTGACATTAAGTCTTCTGTCTTAGTTTCTTCATCTGTAAAAATAGGAATAAAATGGTACTTCATTGGGTTTTCATAATTAAAATATGTAAAGTTCTTTGAGTGCCTACCCCTTAGTAAGCACCACTTAAATGCTGATTACACACCACACACACATGCAGAAATACACTCACAGACACATACAATGAGAATTTTTATGTGGCTGTGGTAGAGAAGGAGAAAGAAACAAGGAAGGAATGCCTCTGGTACTGGGAATCTTGAATTCATGTGAGGTGTTAAATGAGAAGCTTTAGATGACTAGAGAGTTATAGCATAGGGGTTAAGAGCTCAGATTACTGAATTAGACTTGGGGTGTTATGTTCTTATTCCAGTACTTTCTAATAGCCTAGTTTTGGGTAAGTTACCTAACCCTTCTGTGTCTCAGTTTCTTTATCAGTAAAACAGGGATAAAAACAGTAACTACTTCACTGGGTTGCTATGATGATTAAATATGATAACACATGAAAAGCGCTTAGCACAGACCTGGCACAATAGTAGGCACTAAATAAATGATAATCAGTAATCAGAGGACAGACAGAGATCCTGAGGACCTGGGGAACAGAGAAGAGAGCTTAAAAATTGATGTCAAGAAATAGAGGGAAAATAAGTGTGACTTCAATTATAAAAGTGCTGCCTAAGTCTTGTTATAGTTTATAACTCGTATGCCAGGGAATCATCACATGCAGGCCACCTTTTGCTTATTTCAAGAGTGGCCAATGTCTCTGTGCTACAACCTTTCCAAAGTACTGTAAAATAATGATAATACTAACTAGCTAACATGTAGTTAGATGTAGGCACTATTTATAAAGCACTTTTTATGTATTATCATTTCACAACACTTATTTTCTTTTCCTTTTTTTTTTTTTGAGACAAGGTCTCACTCTGGCGCCCAGGCTGGAGTATAGTGACAGAATCTTAGCTCACTGCAGCCTATCTCCCAGGCTCACACAATCCTCTCCTTTCAGCCTCCCAAGTAGCTGGGACTATAGGCACACACCACCACGCTGAGCTAATTTTTTGTAGAGATGAAGTCTCACTATGTTGTCCAGGCTGGTCTTGAACTCCTGGGCTCAAATGATCAACCCACCTCAGCCTTCCAAAGTGCTGGAATTCAGGAGTAAGCCACCACACCCAGCTCATTTCACAACATTTCTATGAGTTGCTTTTATTATTGTATTTACACAGGTGATGATTCTGAAGCTTAGAAAAGTTAAAAACATGCTCAAAGTCAAAAAGGCAAAGCTAACGGGGCTGTCAACTTGTGAGACACTACAAAGTTTTGTATCAGAGATTCAATTTGGACTAATGTGTACTGAACTAATGTAACTACTCATTAAATATTTTAAAACATAGTTTAATAAAGCTTGAATTTAAAAAATTTCTATCTAAGCCTCAGTTAAGCTGAACAGTCTGCTCACCATCCTCATTCTGATTTTACCTAAGTATACATATCCCCCTAGTTATTCAAGGCTCTCTAAAACTACTGCTCCCCATTCAGCTGTAAATCATCTGTTCTGCTCATGCCACATGGTCTTTCCTGCCAATTACTAAATTTAGAATATTCAAAATTGATGCTTTAAAACTTCAAAAAAAAAAAGTTACCTTTGAAAAAATGAAGTCATCCCAGGTTTCCATAAAAATAACCAAAAATAAAATGATAGTGGTACCATGGGAAAACACTTTCAGATGTGATTACATGTGCTATTGGGCAAGCCAAAACAGATAGACTCTGGAAGTAGTCTGTTTCCTGAGCCTGTCTTATAAATTGCTAAACCACTCAAGTAGGACTATGATATACTTCATTTCTTAGGCATGTTCCTTTGCTATTTCAAGTAACTTAAATGATAAAGGAGGCTATAAGCTACAGTTTGATGAAAAGCACATTTATCCACTAGGTTATTATATCTTAAATACAGCATTGTAGTTTATCAAAAATGAAGGGATATCTCCTAGGACCTTCTAACCTGAATTGTTATCAAGTCTTTTGTTATAAGTAGATGGCCATTTTTCACATACATAACAAGAACAATTCAGGCTTTTTAGCTGCCTGGAAAACCTGAAATGATATTCCTTATTGTTTTATAGTCATATGGGCACATTCTATGAGGGAGGAGTCAATCAGATCACAGCCCCGAGTAACAATCAAGGCTTCTTTTTTTTAACCTGGGTTGATTTACAGACAACAGACGCTTCCCCCGCACCCTGTCCCAAGACTACAATCTTAAGAACCTAGTTAGAGTTGCATCTTAACTTCCATAAATCTGAGTAGCTCAAGGATAACTCAGAGGTAGGGGCTATCATCTTACCCTTTATCATACTTGATATCATCAACCACTGTTATTTTTTCACCTGAGGTGATTTACTGACTAGGAAGACTGTTTTTCTGTTTTGGGGTTTTTATTGTTTTAAGACTACAAGCTTAAGAACCGAGTATATATTGTATCTAAACTTCCAACAAGGTATCAAGTCAATAAATTTGAGTAGTTCAGGGATAACTCAGGTAGGGCCATCACCTTCCCCTCTATAACACTTGTCATTTATATATTACTTAAAATGCAGACTGTAGCACTTTACCTTCTGTGATACTGTGAAATATCTATTTGGTCAACTCCTAAAATCCTTGGAATCTCCAAAGGAGTATCTTCTTGTATGCTAATGATTGAGGGCTGGTAGCCCCAAGGCAGCTTCAGGATCAGGGCTGGTCACCAGATGCACCAAGACAGGAATAGAAGTTTGGGACTTTCAGCTCCATTCCCCAACCTCTGGGAAGGGAGGGAAGCTGAAAGTTAAATGAGTCACCTCGATGATTTAATCAACCATGCTTATGTAATGAAGTCTCCATAAAACATTAAAAAAAAAACAGGGTTCAGAGAGCTTCTGGATAGCCGAACTCCTGGAGGTTCCTGCAGGACGGCACACCCAGGGAGGGCATGGAAGCTCCACACACCTTCACCCTATACTTCACCCTATGCATCTGTTCATCTGTATCCTCTGTAATATGCTTTATAATAAACCCATAAACTTAAGTGTCTCCCTGAGTTCTGTGAGTTGCTCTAGAAAATTAATCGAACCCAAAGGGAAGATTATGGGAACCCCAATTTTAAGTCAGTTGGTCAGAAGTTCCAGAGGTCTGGATTTAGGACTGGTATCTGAAGGGTTTGGGCAGTCTTATGAAGCTGAGCCCTCAGTCTGTGGGGTCTGACACTACCTCCAGGTAGATAATGTTGAAATGAATTGGAGAGCAAACAGGTGGTATCCACTGCAGAATTGATTACTTGCTTAGGGTGTGAGAATGAATCCATACACATTTAATCACAGAAGTCTTCTGTGATGATTGTTGCTGTTGAGTGGCTGAGTGAGAAAATAGAGAAAAGCACACTGAGTGGTGTTTTTTCCACATTCACCGGCTGTATATCTCTAATTCGTGATCCCCTTCAATTTTATTATGATCAAATTTCAAATCGTACTGACAGTACTGCAATTCACCAAAAATTCAATCTTAGTCATTTTGCTATTATTCAAGTTGATATATATAACTGCTAATTTCACCTCCATGATAATCTAGTATATGAGAAAAGAGTATTAAAAAAATCATGTTAAGAGAAATTTCCAATTTATTCAGTGAATAAATGGATATCAAGTACTACACCATGAATCAGGCTCTATGTCAAACTGAGATATAGCTGTCCTCACAGTAACAAGGTCTCTGTCCCCATGGAACTTAGGAAACTTCTGCAGTCTAACAAACAATACTTGAGTTTTGAGTTTTGTTCTCATGAAAGCACACTCTTCTACTTTTCTTATACAATATGTGAAAAGAAATTAAAGCCAGAAAAATAAAATTCAAACAACATATGGGTTATATCTGGGTTTTCTATGAAACTCAAGTAGCGTCTTACTAAAGGAAGTTTTTCAAATGTCGATATAGGGCACATCCCTATCAATTTTTATAATCCAGTTAAAATTCAAAGATAAGTGCCTGATTCAGTTTCCTGATAAAACAAGTCAGTACTCTTTAAATATATCTGTAATTTACACACTGATTCCTCATAGGTCTGAAGACTCTGCCTTTATAGTTTCTCAGTACTATCATATAAAAGTTTTTGATAACTTAATAGTTTAACCAAGACCACATGTATACAACTACCTGACTAGAAAATCCACCTCCATGGGTCACCTTTACAGAAATACTTAATTTCATGAGCGGAAAACAGCAATTTCTTATATTAAATAGCAAATTCTGAGTTAAGCCAAAGAAGAATTGTCCCATCTTTAACCAACAGACCTATATTACTAACTGTATTAAATAAAGGACTCTTTAACCAGGCATGGTGGTGTGCACCTATGGTCCCAATTATTAAAAGGCTGAGGCAGGAGGATTGCTTGAGCATGGGAATTGGAGGTTACAGTGAGCTATGATCATGCCACACTGCACACCAGCATGGGCAACATACCAAGACCCTGTCTCAAAAAAAAAAAAATAAGAAAAAAAAGTTTTAAAATAATAAGTAAAATATATGATCCTTTATTATTTATCTATATTGCAGAGATAGGAAAATTTGTAAAAGACAAAGTGGAGGAGACATTTAAGTTGAAACCTAAAGGATAGAGAAAAGCTGGTTAAGAGAAAGTAAAGAATAAAAAGAGTATGCCAATAGAGTACCATAAGCACGACTAGAAAGACAGAGAGCAGACTGTATTCCAGAAACTAGTTCAGAATGCTATGACCCTAGTCGTCTAGGGAATGACAAGATGTGAGCCTGAGAGGCAAGCAGTGGTCAGATCACACAGGTTGGGTATGCAGACTGTTGCCAGTTTACAAGGAGATTCAGTCAGTCAATCACTGTTATTTGTGGATTCTGTATTTGAGAATTCACTAACTCAGTAAAATGTATTCGTAACCCCAAATCAATACTCATGGCACTTTTGCAGTCATTCACAGACATGCTTAGAGCAGTGAAGGGTTGGAGTCTCCCTACATGCACACTCCTAGCTGAGGCTGAAGGAGACACTCTGCCTTGTTTTAACTTTCTCATTGTAAACTGGTGTTCTTCCTACAGCTATTTAGTGCCACATTTTTTCCATTTCTGTGCTTTTTCTTGGCTACAGCAATGTTTAAAATGGCCCACAAGCATAATGCTGACGGGTTGTGCAGTGTCCCTAAGCACAAGGATGCAATGTGCCTCTCAGAGAAAATATGTGTTGAATAAGCTTTTTTCAGGCACGTTATTGGCCATCCATGAGTTCAAATGTTAATGAATCAACAAAGTATATTAAATATAACTATTATTATCCACTTCCTCTAACAGTACAGTATGCCCAAAATGTATGGTGCTATGAGTTTGCATTAAAGTTTGTTGTTTGAAAAATTGAAGGCTGGGTGCAGTGGCTCATGCCTGTAATCCCAACACTTCGGGAGGCCGAGGCAGGAGGATCACTTGACCCCAGGAGTTTGGGAACAGCCTGGGCAACAGAGTGAGACCCATCTTTACAAAAAATGAAAAATTAGCTGGACATGATGGCACGCACTTGTGGTCCTAGCTACTTTGGAGGCTGAAGTGGGAGAACTGCTTGAGCCTGGGAGGTTAAGACTGCAGAGAGCTCTGATTATGCCACTGCACTCCAGCCTAGGCAACAGACCAAGACTTTGTCTTAAAAAAAAAGGGGGTGGGGAGTGGGGGGCCAGCCGCGGTGGCTCACGCCTGTAATCCCAACACTTTGGGAGACCAAGGTGGGTGTATCATGAGGTCAAGAGATCCAGACTATCCTGGCCAACATGTTGAAACCCCGTCTCTACTAAAAATACAAAAATTAGCCGGGCGTGGTGGCACGTGCCTGTAGTACCAGCTACTCGGAAGGCTGAGGCAGAAGAATTGCTTGAACCTGGGAGGCGGAGGTTGTGGTGAACCGAGATAGCACCACTGTACTCCAGCCTGGCAACAGAACGAGACTCCATCTCAAAAAAAAAAAAAAAAAAAAAAGGAAAATTCAATGATTTCTTTCTTTTTTTTTTCCTTTTTCTTTAATCTCAGAGTTTTGTTTTTAAAATTTATTTATTCATTTTTGAGACAGAGTCTCACTCTGTCAGCCAGGCTGGAGTGCAGTGGCACAATCTTGGCCCACTGCAACCTCTGCCTCCCAGGTTCAAGTGATTCTTATGCCTTAGCCTCACAAGTAGCTGGCACTACAGGCATACACCACCATGTTGGGCTAATTTTTTGTATATTTTTTTTTTGGTAGAGATGGGTTTTGCCATGTTAGCCAGGCTGGTCTCAAATTCCTGACTTTAAGTGATCTGCCCACCTTGGCCTCCCAAAGTGCTGGGATTACAGGTGTGAGCCACCATGTCCAGTCTAAATTTTTTATTTTTTGGGACAGGGTCATGCTGTGTCACCCAGGCTGGAGTACAGTGGCACAGTCACAGCTCACTGCAGTCTCGAACTCCCAGGCTCAAGCAACCCTCCCACCTTAGCCTCCCAAGTAGCTGGGATTACAGGCACACGGCACACACCACCATATCCAGCTAGTTTTTTCCATTTTTTTTGTAGTGACGGGGTCTCACTATGTTGCCTAGGCTGGCCTCAGACTCCTGGGTTCAAGCAATCCTCCCACCTCAGCCTCCAAAGTGCTGAGATTACAGATGTATGCCCCCCGCATGTGGCCAAGGAAAATCAAACACTTTCTTTCTGAAAACCATTTCAAGTGGAGCTCTTCTTTGTCTTCAAACAAAAACACACATAAGGCTGGGAGCAGTGGCTCATGCCTGTAATCCCAGCACTTTGGGAGGCCAAGGCAGGCAGATCAATTGAGCTCATGAGTTCAAGACCAGTCTGAGCAACATGGCAAAACCTCATCTCTTCCAAAAATACAAAAATCAGCCAGGTGTGGGTAGTGTACGCCTATAGTCCCAGCTAATCCAGAGGCTGAGGTGGGAGGATGGCTTGAGCCTAACAGGCAGAGGTTGCAGTGAGCCAAGATTGCACCACTGCACTCCAGCAGCCTGGGTAATAGAGCCAGATCTTGTTTCAGAAAACAAAAACAAAAACAAACAAACAAACAAAAAACCCAAAAAAAATCCACATAAGACAAGGTTATGTATTGATAAAATGACAAAAATGTTCTGACCAGAGGCTCACAGGAGCCTAAAACTGTATTTCCTCTAGAAGCAATGGTTCACTAATTCAGGGATTCAGGGTTTCCTGCAACTTTACTGAACATTACTGTAACTAGAATCAACTGCGAATTCACAAATTGAGAGTAAGTATTTATAAACATTTATAGTAATTTGATATTACCATGATGTCCAACAATGTGGTCATGTTTCCAGTTACTCTTTTTCATTGATTTTTTTTAAAAAAAACACCTGTCTATTACAGATTGGAGATTAAAAAACAAAACTCAGAATGGTCCTTCAACATTGATGGTTAAAGAAGCAATTGCCTAGAAGACTGAAGGGAGTAAGGCTGCAATGACAGGCCCAACAGATAGGTACCCTATGAACTAATGTAAACAAAAGAGATGCAGGCAAGGCCAGGCACAGTGGCTCATGCCTGTAATCCCAGCACTTTGGGAGGCCAAGGTGGGTGGATCACCTGAGGTCAGGAGTTCAAGACCAGCCTGACCAACATGGAGAAACTCTGTCTCTACTAAAAATACAAAATTAGCTGGGTGTGGTGGTGCATGCCTGTAATCCCAGCTACTTGGGAGGCTGAGGCAGAAGAATCACTTGAACCCTGGAGGTGGAGGTTGGGGTGACCTGAGATCATACCATTGCACTCCAGCCTGGGCAACAAGAGCAAAACTCCATCTCAAAAAAGAGAGAGAGAGAGATGCGGGCAAGAACTAAAGTAGTGGCAACAGAATAAATGGATTAATTAAACCAAATAGATATGGAAGCAACAGGAAGACTAAAGGATGACACTTGTGTTTCCAGCTTGGATGGGAGTAGATGGCAGTGTCTTTCTTAGAGACAGAAGCAGCTTTGGCAAAGAAAATGTGTCTATGGCATAACCAAGCAGACACAATCAATTGTTATCAACATCGTTATCACTGATCTTGAATTTTACCAAAAATATATGATCTAATGGTTAGATTATGGAATAAAACGAGTGGAATAACAGATAACATCTTGCACCTATGGAGGTAACAGTTTTCTACTAGGAAGCAATATGATATACTGGAAGCACTATTTCCAAGCTTCTTTTCTTATCTGTAAAATAGAAATGCCATCAGCTACCTTACAGGGTTACTAGAATAATTCAAACCTCTTTTCTGGGGAGAGCTCCAGCTTACAAATACCACATTACCAAAGGTGGGAAAACTTATTTGGCAAAAAGAGATGGGACTAGCAGTTTTTTTAGGTCAGAAGAGACATCATCGTCATCACTAATATTTATGAGTGGGTACCATGTGCCAAATATTAAATGCTTACCATATATAAACTCATTTAATTGTTACAACAATCCTAAAGTAGACATTATTATTATCCTCATTTTGTAGATGAGGAAATTGGGGTAGATAATAATAACTAGCACAAAGTCACTCTGAAAGGTAGTACCATCACAGGTGCCTCTTATACAATTGAGTGAACAGGGGAATTTGCTTCCAGAAATAACATATGGATTTTAGGAGAAAGGAAGGAAGGAAAGAATACTCTGGTTATAAACATTGGAAGTGCTATAGAAATCTGAACACAAAAATGTCCCTTGGTGATGAAATCTTCTTGAGTGGGAGGGAGAAAAGTTTGTCTCCATACCAAAGTCTCCTTGTCCCCAATCCTTTCTTTCCTTAGATTCAAAGGCCCAACGCTTTCACTTTCCAGATACTTTTTAAAATTATCTATGTCCTCCTGATTCCTCAAACATATTAAGGTAGTGGTCAAGAGCATAAGCTCTACAATCAAACTTCAATAATTGTTGTATCATTTATCAACTTGCTTATCTGCTTATGTACAGAAGTGGGCAAGTTATAAGCCTCTGTGCCTCAGTTTTTTAAATGTAACAGGAGGATAATAGCAGCATCTATCTCATAGAGTTGTCAGAATTCTCTGAGCTGATATATAGAAGGAACTCAGAACAGAACCAGGCACATAGGAAAGTTCCAAAAGTATAACTATTGTTATTATCCAATTCCTCTAACAGTGTAGTATGCCCAAAACCTATGGTGCTATAAGCTCACATGAAAGTTGCCTGTTTGCAAAATTGAATACTTTCTTTTTGAAAAATATTTCAAGTGGGGCCCTTCTCTGTCTTCACTGCTGTGTCCTAGTGCAGATCCTAACATAGAATTTTGCAATTGCCTACAAACTGTCCTGGCACTCTTTGGCAGTCACCGTACATCTGGCAGTAATATTTATAAACAACTGTCACCATCTTGCTTAAAAGTTCTCAATAGCTCCCTGCTGCCTACAAATACACAAGGCCCTTTATAATCTACTTTTAACCATTGTTTCCAGTTTTACTTCTAGTCACTTCTCTGAACAGCTGGAGCCATAACAGAAGATTACTTTGTCTGAAATAGGCCATGAATTTTAAGAGACCGCATGCCACTGTATATGCTTTTATGTCTGAGAAAACTGCCCTCTATACTCCCAGGTCAGGAAAACTATTCATCCTTCTAAAGCCTAGATAGAATGCCACCTTATACATTTATTCAACAAAACAATTTACTGAATACTAAAGTATGC
The DNA here is from genome assembly GCF_000001405.40 of Homo sapiens. Lineage (NCBI taxonomy): Eukaryota > Metazoa > Chordata > Mammalia > Primates > Hominidae > Homo > Homo sapiens. Next base: position 218,287,824 of record NC_000001.11, on the reverse strand, counting down.
AAAGAAGACCCTGTGAAAATAAACAAGACATACTTTTGACATTTGGGGAACTTATCTCTATAAGGAGAGAGATATGTTAAAATATAATAACATAGTATATTATCAATAATACACGTAAGATATAAGTAAGCAACGCCTAGGCTGGGTTCCAGAGGATATGAATTTCTCTGTCTCCATCCTTACCTTTCCAAAATTGAACCATGATCTTGAAAACTACCTTTTAATTATACTAATACACTATATTACAGTCCTGTGTTTAATATCTTTCCTAAAACTGAAATTTTAATGCAGAAATATATTCATCCTTTGTATCCTCAACACCTAGAGGGTGACTGGAACCTAAGGGAACACAACAAGTGTTCATTGAATTGAATTAGATAAATTAGGTTTCCATATTGGCCAAAAACCTTTTTAACCCGTAATGTGGCTGATCTATAACAGCAAGAGAACCTTAAAACCTAATCAGCATTTATAATAATACGCTGAAAAGTCAGAACAGTTCCAACTTGGAATTATCCAGTATTTGAATAGAAAAATCCAATTTGGCCAGGTGTGCTGGCTCACACCTGTAATCTCAGCACTTTGGGAGGCCGAGACGGGTGGATCACTTGAACCTAGGAGTTCGAGACATGCCTGGGCAACATGGCAAAATCCCATCTCTACCAAAAAAAAAAAAAAAAAAGAAAAAAAAAATTAGCCAGGTACAGTGGTATGCGCCTGTAGTCCTAGCTACCTGGGGAAGCTGAAGCAAGAGGATCGCTTTGGGGGGCGGTGGGGGAGGAGGTCAAGGTTGCAGTGAGCCCTGTTTGTGCCACTGCACTCTAGCCTGGGTGGCAAAGCAAGACCCTGTCTCAAAAAGAAAAAGAAAAATCCAATTTGTAAGCAGTACTGACATTTTGCTCCAAATATAGCAAATATAGTACTCTTCCCTTCTTGAACAATAGTGTTTGAACTAGTCTAATGAATTTAAAAAATATCAGAACCAGAAGTTCTAATTTTGGCCCAACAAATAGTTTGTTTTCCTTAACAATGTGGCAGGAGATGAAGACTCTAATTACCTAGGAATTGCAGTAGCATATGACACTTTCTTCTTGGTCCTGGAAGTCCAGGTTAATTCATTCATTTACTTAAATATCTGTGAAGGACCCACAAGGCAATAGGAACTGGGGATACAGTAGGCTCTATTTTTATGGAACTTATATTCCAATTGGGAAAGCAGCAAATACATACATCAAATGGTTTGGGCAGGGTTGAGAAAAAATAAAGCAGGGCAATAAGTCAAAAAGTGAAGAAAAGAAGGCAGGAAGAAGAGTAGTGGTGGTACGTTACATAGGGTAGTCAGGGACAAGTCTCTCTGGTAAGGCACTGGATCAGAGGCTGGTGAGGGAGAGACATGCCAAGCATTTGAAAACTATTCTAGGCAGCGGAGCCAACAAATGAAGAAACCATGGTGTGGGAGCATGTTTAAGGTGTTAAACACAAGCATACCGGTATGGCATGATTACAGTTAGTGGTTTGTGAGGGGCATATTGGCCTATGACAGACAACCTGGCCCAAATCATACAGCCTAAGGATTTTGGATATTATATACTGAGATGAGAAGCCACTGGATCATCTCAAACAGACAGCGGGCATAATTAGAAATACGTTATAAAAGAATAGCTCTGTCTGTTTTTTGGGTATCAGCTGGTACAAAGGAGCAATAACTGGGCAGTAGGAAGTCAGGGATTACCTGCAATTCCTTGTAACCTAATAAGCTGGTGCCAAGAATGATGGTAAAGAGGAGCAACAGACACAGCATGGTTGAAAGCCTCAAAAACACATCCTTCCTTCCTTTTATTATCAAGCGTCTCTGAGAGACATAGTTATCAAACACTACCAGTTTTTAATCGACCTTAACCACCAAACTCTTCTTTCATTCACTATTATTTAGTCTCTAAAACACGCACACATCTACCGCACAAAAAGTCAAGTACACCCCCTTCTTCCTCTTACCTCTTTTAACCTTTTGCTTCTTACACCCTATGAGACCCATTCTTCTCCTGTTTTCAAGTACCCTCTTCCTTTCACCCTTTGCTACTGTAAGTTTCTCGGTAGCTGCAGGTGTTTCACCCATTTTATTATAATTAATAATGGTGACCCTGAAAATACCTAGTAAAAGAATGTGGAAACTCAAAATTACAGTTGACAGCGTTACTTCTCTGAACACGACTTCCCCAAGCCTCCTCACTAAGCCAAAGTCGCCCCTCTGAAGTGGTGCCAAGATAAAACCCAGGTGGCTAGCAGCAAATGAAGTCGCAAGCGCTGCTTGACACGAACTCAGCCCCGCCTTTCCTCCCAGACACCAAAGCTCAGCCCTACCACATTACCTTCACTATCAGAAGTGTCTGTGGCCTCGTCTTCCAGCACCGACGCTACGGCTCCAGTTACCATTTTCATCTTCTTCTTTGGGGTCTTTTTCAGGTTTTCTTCCTCACTCACACGTGAGTCCGGAGCGGCGGCTGCCATTTTTCTGCGCCGGAAGCGTCACCTGACAGTTGCGTCCGGTGGCAACCAGAGGAACTTCTGCATTTAGTGCCGGTAACACAAGGTTCCGGGGCGGGGTCGTCTAGCCCAGAGTTCCGGGGCCGGAGCCTCAGAATGTGACTTGGAGAGAGCTCTGAATGGCTCGGTGTGTTTACGCGAAGTCCGTTCCAGGACGAAAATCAGCGGCTGAATGGCCTCAGCCGACTCCTCCGCTAGCTCGCCTGTGCCCTGGTCCTCCGCCCCAGTGCGTCCCCAGCCCGTCCCCAGCCCAGCGCGGTCCACTTTGATTTCCTAGCCTCGGCGGCTTCCCTTGTCTGCTGCCTTAATGTTGGTTTAGTGTCCTCCTCAGGTGTCTCTTACGTGCCCACTGAACGCCGCAGCAGCTAGGACGCGGGACAGATCCACTGGGGGCCGATAATTAGAATACGATCGTATCATCCCCCCGCCCAAGATAACACGCGAGACCTTTCTTGCAAACCGAATAGACTCACCTTCTTTCCCTGGGGCGGGTGTTGAATCCAACCGCACCCTTCTCCCTCGGACCCGGCTGGGGCCTGGAGGGTTTCTGGCGCCCGACTGCGCAGTGCAGACCGAGGGTGCGAATACCTTGCTATCCGCGCGAGGATCCTGCCTCCCACCCGGGGCTAGCTTTTCTCTGAAGTTAGCCTCTGTCACCAGCTCCTAGTTCCATCGAAGCACCTACCACAGTCGGCCTTCATTTTCCCCCCTAAAATGTTGGCTTCTCGCAGGAGGGGAACGTATTTCATTTACCATGTCCCCTCAAGGTTAGCAACAGAAGTTGGCCTGAAGTGAATTTTCCAAAAATATTTTTGGAAGGGATGAATGAATCAATGAATGAGTGACAGAATATAACTATTGACAAAGTTAATGACTCAGATGGATAATGCAGCAAACCTTTACTGGCTAGACTTGTTCTAAAGGCTTTCCCCAAACTTAGCGTTTTCCCTTTCCCCTCTTAAGGAGGTTCATAGATTGTGATACCCATAAGTCAAAAACAAAAACAAGAATCCTCATTTTGACATATTCCAGTAGATGTTTATGTAGGAAATAAATATATATTCACATCCTAAAAACTCAATACAACATTTTTAAACTTGGTTTTTAATTTTTTTGTCTTTTAAGAGAGAGAGGGTCTAGCCGGGTGCGGTGGCTCACACCTGTAATCCCAGCACTTTGGGAGGCTGAGATAAGTGGATCGCTTGAGTCCAGGAGTTTGAGAACAGCCTGGCCAACATGGTGAAACCCCATCTCTACTAAAAATACACAAATTAGCCAAACGCAGTGACGAGTGCCTGTAGTCCCAGTTACTCGGGAGGCTGAAGCAGGAGAATCGCTTGAACCTTGGAGGCGGAGGTTGCAGTGAGCGGAGATCGCGACTCTGCACTCCAGCCTCGGCGACAGAGCGAGACTCTGTCTCAAAAACAAACAAACAAAATCTACCACCACCACCACCAACAACAAAAAATTGTGCAGAAAAAAAATGACATTTTGAATACAGTTGGTAAGAGATGAGATTCCAGTTTAAACCTTTAAAAAGTGCAGGTATTGACCAGGCGTGGTGACTCATGCCTGTATTTCCAGCACCTTGGGAGGCGGAGGCGGGAGGATCTCTTGAGGCCAGGAGTTAAGAGACTAGGCTGGACGACATGGTGAAACCCCGTCTCCACTAAAAATACAAAAATTCGCCAGCCATGGTGGTGAGCACCTGTAGTCCCAGCTACTCAGCTACTCAGGAGGCTGAGGTGAGAATTGCTTGAACCCAGAGGGGCGGGGAGGGGCAAAGATTGCAGTGAGCCAAGATGGCAGGTATGGTGGCTCCAGCCTGTAATCCTGGCTTCTCCAAGGCTGAGATGGGAGGATCACTTGAGTCCAGGAGTTCGAGGCTGCAGTGAGCCATGACTGCACTACTGCATTCCAGCCTGGGTGACAAAGTGAGACCCTTACTCTTGACAAAATAAAAAGGGGTGCACTTTAGAGGTGCCCTTTAGGATGCTGCTGATGCCCAGCAGCTCTCACCATCCTGCTCAGTGTGATCCTTTCATTACCACTGTGTCCTGATCTGGAACCTATTTTTTTGCTGTCTTTCATAGCTAATGCTTGCTTTTGCCTAGGGCTAAATGTAAATTGGAACAAGGAGTTCCAAATAAAGTTGGGAATGCACTGGAGAAAGTTGTAGAGAAGGAAGCAAAGTTAAAAAAAAATGATTGCAGTGGTTCAATGGAAAACATGTTCCTGCATATTAAACACAAAGTTCCTGCATTAATGTTAGTGTTATTTAGTGATCAAGAAGTGATGTTTTGTGCATTTAACATGTTAATGTGAGTTTACGTATATATAGAAATTTTTTTTGTGTTTAGTTGCAATTTAAGAAATTGCCTGGAGGGTAGGAATGGCTGATTTGTTACACATTCACATTTTTCTTCCTTTAAAATAATATAAAATAGGATCCAGGTTTTTATCCAGAAGTCTGATTTTCAGAAATTGATTACTGCTGTTAAGTTGGAGATACCTATGTTAGCTTATTTAATCTTCACAATAAGCTAATGAGTTAAGTACTATTATTTTTTCCATTTTATAGATGAGGAAACAGAGGCACAGGGTAAATAACTGCTGACCGTCACACAACCAGTACATGGCAGAATCACATTCAGACCCAAGCACTCCACTGCAGAGTCTGCTCAACCACGGAGTTGCACTGCCCACTCAGAGGGTTGTGCTTTATCACTTAGCATACAGTCAGAATAGGCAACAAAAATTTCCTTTTTTCTTCCTGTTTTTTCTTTTTTTAAATTTTACTTTACATTCTGGGATACAAGTGCAGAACGTGTAGGTTTCTTACGTAGGTGTACATGTGCCGTGGTGGTTTGCTGCACCTTTCAACCCGTCATCTAGGTTTTAAGCCCTGCATGCATTAGCTATTTGTCCTAACGCTCTCCCTCCTGTCACACCCCAATCCCCGATTGGCCCTGGTGTGTGTTGTTCCCCTTCCTGTGTCCATGCGTTCTCATTGTTCAGCTCCCACTTATGAGTGAGAACGTGTGGTATGTGGTTTTCTGTTCCTGCGTTAGTTTGCTGAGGATGATGGCTTCTAGCTTCATCTATGTCCCTGTGAAAGACATGATCCCATTCCTTTTTATGGCTGCATAGTATTTCCTAATGTCTATGTACCCGCATTTTCTTTATCCAGTCTATCATTAATGGGCATTTAGATGGGTTCCATGTCTTCGCTATTGTAAATAGTGCTGCAATAAACATATGTGTGCCTGTGTCTTTATAGTAGAATGATTTATATTTTTTGGGTATATACCCAGTAATTGGATTGCTGGGTCAAATGATATTTCTGGTTCTAGATCCTTGAGGAATTGCCACAGTTTCTTCCACAATGGTTGAACTAATTTACATTCCCACCAACAGTGTAAAAGCATTCTTATTTCTCCACAGCCTCTCCAGCGTCTATTGTTTCTTGACTTTTTAATAATCACTATTCTGACTTGCATGAGATGGTATCTCATTGTGGTTTTGATTTAGGCAACAGAAATTTCTAACAAGCACTGGAATTCATGAATTAAAAAAATAGTTTCTGCTGTTACAATGAACCAAAATAGCTGACAATATTGAAACGGAATGCCCACTGTATGGTGGAAATAACTGAAGTCACCTAAATGCTTGTGTAAGAGTTTTACAAACAAACCTATGCTAGTTATCAGCTTATTGCCTCTCGGCTCTAAATTCATCCTTTTTGGCTGCTCTGTGAAAATTGAGCTGGGCTCTTAAATATTTTTATTTGCCTGAAGGCCAGATGTTCAGATTTGTCAGTAGAGGGCATTAGAGTGACATTATAAGAAAAAGGGGCCATCTTCCTGGTTCTGATGTGCTTTTCTCTACAGACTCCTGTGGAAACTTCTCCAGCATCAGGGTGCTGAAGTATATTCACGTTCTCCTGTAGCATAGAAGGCTTCTCCAGCATCTGACTCCTGAATGCCTCTAGCGAGACACCTGGCCATCCACAGCTTCTTCTAGCACCTCAAAGGGAAATTTCAGGAAGGCGGATTTTTGAACGAGTTTTTTTGTTTTGCTTTTGTTTTTTAAAGATGAGATCACACTCTGTTGCCTATGCTGGAGTGCAGTGACATGATCTTGGCTCACTGCAGCCTCAAAATTATGGGCTTAAGTGATCCTCCCACCTCAGCCCCCTAAGTAGCTGGGACCACAGGTGCAAGCCACCCCATTGGCAATTTTCAACAAGTTCTGACAGGGCAGTATCACAGCAACTCCTCCGCCACCCAGTGAACCACAACTGTGCCCTCCCACAAGAGCTGTATCTCAGCTGTGGGTAGAAAGATAGGCCTCTTCCTTGGATGCTGCATTTTACAGTGTCACTGCTCCTTATATCTGCCATTACTATATTCTATAGAGTTTACTTAACCTCTTACTAACAATCCCTTTTTACTTCAACCTTCTGATATAGCTAATGATTCTTTATATTAAATTATCCTATTCAAATTACTAAAGCAGTTTCTGTCTCCTGAGTGGCCCTGAATGATATAAATCTAGAATGGGTGTTGTAACGAAAATATCAGCACCCACATACCTTCTTTGCCTGCCTACAGCATGGTTAGAAAGTTTTACGGGGAGTTTCTCACTTTGGGAAAGGCCAGAGGCAGGGTGGTTATGAGAGTTTCCTGTTGAAATGCCAATAGTTATAGAAGAATAACAGATAAAATATTTTTCTTCTGAATAATTTGTGCAGCTTGGCTGATATGAGTGCCTCGAAGTGGTCTAAGCTAATAGACATGGAACAGAAAAGAGAGAGGGGTAATTGCCCAGGGTATCCCAAGCAGAAGGGTGGTCCTCTGGGAAGGTCTGAGCATAAAGCTAACTTGATAGGAGCCCTGGACAGAGATTCTGGTTACAGAATAGTTCTTGGGATTCTCTACATACAGAGGATCTATAAAGGGAGAGAGTAAAGAGAAAGAAGACATCTCAGAATTATAGAGGATACCAGAGCTCCTAGTTGAGAAGGAACGAGAAAGAAAGATCAGGATAGAGAGTTATGAGAAGAGCAGTGCTAAGTCCCTAAACACTAGTGAAATGAAGTCCCCCAAAAAAGAGATTGCCACTGATGTTAAATTCTACTATAGTTGGCCCAGCGCAGTGGCTCACGCCTGTATTCCCAGCACTTTGGGAGGCCGAGGCAGGCGGATCACGAGGTCAGGAGATCGAGACCATCCTGGCTAACACGGTGAAACCCTGTCTCTACTAAAAATACAAAAAAATTAGCCTGGCATGGTGGCAGGCGCCTGTAGTCCCAGCTACTTGGGAGGCTGAGGCTGGAGAATGGCGTGAACCCGGGAGGCGGAGCTTGCGGTGAGCCGAGATCGCGCCACTGCGCTCCAGCCAGGGAGACAGAGCGAGACTCCCTCTCAATGAGGACCAAAAAAAAAAAAAAAAAAAAAAAATTCTACTATAGTCTCAGAGAAAAAGGAATCATACACAATTAACATACATTAATTAAATCTTACATGTAATTAACTTGACGCTATAATGGGAGACGTAAAGGAAAACTTTAAAAAAATATGTATTTCCAGAAGGATAGACCAGATATTCTAAAGATGTTTGTTTCAACCAAAATTTCACTGGAATTAATTTTGACAGGAGAGGAGCAGAGAGAGAGAGGTCTTGTTAAAATAATTATCAGGTACAAAAGAAGTAAAGGATAATTAAAAAAATAGAAAAAGAGTCTTGAGGCAAAATTTGCCCATTCAGGTATTAGAATATACTATAAATCTACAACAATTAAAATATATAGATCAAAAGAAAAACTAAATGGAGATGAAATAAATCCTAGAATATGTAAAATCTTAAAATATTATAAAGGAAGTATTACAAGTAAAAGAATATATTATGCAAAAATTGTGTTATAAAATTGATGATTAGAAGAGAAAGAGGCCAGGTGTGGTGGCTCATGCCTGTAATCCCAGAACTTTGGGAGGCTTAGGCGGGAGGATCGCTTGGGCTCAGGAGTTTGAGACTACCCTGGCAAATGGCAAAATCCTGTCTCTACAAAAAACACACAAAAAATAAGCCAGGTGTGGTTGTGAGCACCTGTAGTCCCAGCTACTCAGGAGGCTGAGGTGGGAGGATGGCTTGAGCCCAGGAGGCGGAGGTTGCAGAGAGCTGAGATCATACCACTGCACTGCAGCCTGGGTGACAAAGCCAGAACCTGTCTAAAAAAATAATAAAAAACAAAAAGTTGATTAGCAATGAACTAATTAACTAATTGAGGGACTAGGAACACAAAAAAAAGAGAGAAAAAAATTACAGGCTCATGTCTTACCCTAAAATTAATTTCAGGATTATGAAAATAAGCTGTAAGAAAAGAAAAAAAGAAAAATAAGTGACAATCTGATTTATCTGGATTGTAGAAACAACTTTCCAAGTTAAAGGTAAATAGAATGTAAATAAATATAAGACAGAACATCAAGTTTGAAATAACTACATAACGAATTCATGGGACTTCGGCATGGATAGGACTTCTTTATCAAGATGGAGTAGCAGGGAGCAAATCTACCTTGTCACTTGAAACAACCCAAAACAGACAAAACCTATAGAACAACAGTTTTCAAGACACTGGACATTAGATAATGAAGCCTAATAATCACTGAGAGATGGAAAGCAAATCAGGTGAGCCCCACAATTACTCCAGCATACTGCTTTGAGAAAATTTCCAGACCCTAGCACAGGAAGCAGGGACCTAAGCTGAGCCTGGAAGACTCTCCAAGTTGAAGAGATATAGCTGAGAGTCAGGCGAGACCGAGGTGACTGGAGTTGGAAGGGCAGAATGCCAGAGAAGAGAGAGAGAACTCAAGAGATCTGCGAAGAGGATCCCTTAAGAATTTAGGTGATTACTGACCAGTGCACACATGTGAGGAAACTACGCAAGGCCAGAGAAAGAACCACAAGAAAGAATTAGAGGCAACAGTTGTTATCGACACATACACAAGGCTGATTATAGTCTCCATTCCCACTAGGCACTGGTTAGGGTACCTGTTAGAAACTATGAAGGTGTGAGATTTTTATCATACTTGCAGACTAACAGATAGCCTGCCAAAATTTCATGAGTGCTTGTAGGAGATATAAGACTCCTGGGTAGGAGACAATGGGCAGTTAATTTATTGTTCTGGACAATAGCAGTAGAAGCATATCGGCAGTTCCCACAGAGTGACACAAAGAGGATCAGATGACACCACATGCAGTAGGCTGCCTTACAGGAGAGGAACTTTAAGCTATTTACAATAGCATTAAAAATATGTGAAATAATTAGGGATAAATGCCTGTACATTAAACAATAAAAAGCATTGCTTAGCAAAATTAAAGAAGATCAAACTACATGGAGATATACAATGTTCCTGGGTCAGAAGACTTAAAATTATTAAGATGTTAATTCTTCCCAAATTGACCTACAGATTCAATGCAATCCCTATAAAAATTCCAGCAGACTTCTTTGTAGAAGTTAGTAAGTTTATCCTAAAATTTATATGGAATTTCAAATGATCTAGAATAGCAAAGAAACAACTTTGAAAAAGAAGAAAAAATTTGAAGGCCTAACACTACCTGATTTCAAGACTTATGATAAGCGTGTGGTTATTAAAACAGTGTAGTATTAAATCAAGGTAGACAAATAGAACAATTAAACAGAATAGGGCATAAAGAAAAGACATCTATCTATCTATCTATCTATCTATCTATCTATCTGTCTATCTATGAAAAACTGATTGTTGACAAAGGCATAAAGTCAATACAATGGAGAAAAGATAGTATTTTCAACAAATGTTCTTGGAACAATTGGATATTCATATACCAAAAAAAGAAAAGAGAAAAAAATTGGATATCTATATACAAAAACCTGTACTTCAATTTATACCTCACACCATACATAAAAATTGACTCAAAACGGAATAGCCCTGAAGACAAAACACGCAACTATAAAGCTTCTATACGAAGCACTGGAGAAAACCATTGTGCCCTTGGGTTAGGCAAAGATTTCCTAGGTACAACCACAAGCATGATCTATAAAGGGACAACTTGTTAAATTGAACTTTATCAAAATTTAGAACCTGCTACCTGAAAGACAAAGTATAAAGAATGAAAAGACAGGCCACAGGCGGGGAGAAAATATTTGCAAAGCATACATCTGATAAAAGATTGTGTCTAGAATGCATAAAGAATTCTCCAATTCAGTATTCACTTGAATATTGACACTTCACCAAAGAAGATATACCAATGGCAGATAACACATGAAAAGATGTTCAACATTGTAAGTCACTAAGGAAATGTAGAAAGAAAACCACATAATCAGATACGACCATACACCTTTTAGAATGGCTAAAAATAAGAAGACTAACTACACTAAGCATCGATGAAGATGTGGAACAACCAGAGCTCTCACAGGCTGCTAGTGAGAATGTGAAATGGTCAACCAATGGGAAGGCAGGTGGTCAGCTTCTTAAAAAATTAATCATACACTTACCACATGATCTAGCCATTCCACCCCTAGTTATTGACCCAGAGAAACATAAACTTATTTCCATGTAAAGACTTCCACATGAATATTCATAGCAGCTTCACTCATAATACTTCCAAACTGAAAGCAACTCAAATATCCATCAATAGGTGAATGAATAAATAAATTGTGGTATGACCATGCAGTAGAGAGCTATACCCAACAATAAAAAGGAACAAACTATGGATCTACAAAACAACTAGGTGAATCTGAAAATAATTATGCCAGAAAAAAAGAGTGCATACTGTATGATTCCAGTTGTATTAAACCTTTTTTTTTTTTTTTTTGTTACGGGGTCTCACTCTGTCACCCAGGCTGGAATGCAGTAGCATGATCATGGTTTACTGCAGCTTTGATCTCCTGGGCTCAAATGATCCTCCCACCTCAGCCTCCCAAGTAGCTGGGACTACAGGTGTGCTATGGGCATGCACCACCACACCCAGGTAATTTTTGTATTTTTTTGCAGAGACAGAGTTTCGTCATGTTGCCCAGGCTGGTCTTGAACTCCTGAGCTCCAAGCAATCCGCCTGCCTCTGTCTCTCAAAGTGCTGGGATTACAGACATGAGTCACAGCACCTGGCCTTACGCTCTTTACAAATATAAATTTTTCTATGGTGACAGAAATAAGATCAATGGCTGCTGAAGGGGTGGGAGGTTAGAAGGGCTATGAAGGGGCAGAGTTATCATGAGGCACAAGGAAACTTTTTGAAGCAATGGACATGTTTATTATTTAGATTGTGGTGAGTTTCCCAGTATAGATATATAGATACCAGGAAACATAAAATAGCACACTTTAATATCTGCAGTTTACTGTAAGTCAGTTATGCCTTAATATAGCTGGTAAAAAATACATACAATTGACTAGGGAAATACACAAAATAAGAAATACAAACATGAACCAAATATGAGAAAACTGTATGGCTACTGTAACAGAATAACACAAACTTGGTGGCTTAAAGCAGCACAGATTTACTTTCTTGCAGTTCTGGAAGCTATATGTCCAAAATCAGTTTCACTAGGGTAATCCAGGTGTCTGCAGGCTGATGCTTTCTGGTGTATGTATGGGAGAATAAATTTTCTTGCCTTTTGTAGCTTCCAGAGACCATCTGTATTCCTTAGCTCAGGACCCCTTCCTCACATCACTCCAACCTCTTGCTTCCATTGTGACATTCCTTACTCCTCTTCTGCAGTCAAACGTCCGTCTGCCTCCATCTTTCTAGGACACTTGTGATTGCATTTTAGGGCTCACCTGGATAATCCAGGATATTCTTTCCATCTCAGGATTCTTAATTTAATCACATCAGCAAAGCCCCTTTTGCTGTACAGATGCTTCTCAATTTATGATGAGGTTATATCCCAAAAACCCACCCTAAGTTGAAAAGATAGTAAGTCAAAAATATATCTAATACACTTAAACATCACAGCTTGTCCTAGCCTACCTTAAACATACTCAAAACACTTACATTAGCTTACAGTGAGGCAAAATTATCTAACCAAAGCCTATTTTATAATTAAGTGTTGAATAATCTCATGTAAATTACTGAATACTGTGCTGAAAGTGAAAAACAAAATTGTTCTATGGGGTCCTAGTCCATTTTCTGTTGCTTATAACAGAATATCTGAAACTTACTAATTTATCAAGAAATGAGATTTATTTATTACAGTTATGGAGGCTGAGAAGTCCACGGCCAAGGGGTTATATATGGTGATGGCCTTCATGCTGGTGGGAACTCTCTGCAGAGTCCCAAAGCAACACAGGGCATCCCATGCTGAGGAGGCTAGCTCAGGTTTCTCTTCCTCTTAGAAAGCTATCAGTCCCATTCCCATGAAAACCCATTAATCCATGAAAGTAATAATCTATTAATCCATTAATTCGTAAGTGGATTAATCTATTTATGAGAGCTCTGACCTCATGGCCCAATCACCTCTTAAAGGCCCCACCTTTCAATACTGCCACATTGGGGATTAAGGTTCAACATGAGTTTCCAAGGCGATAAACATTCAAATCACAGCATATGAGTACTTGAAGTACAGCTTCTACTGAATGCATATCACTTTCACACCATCATAAAGCAGAAAAATCCTAAATTGAACCACTGTAAATCAGGGACCATCTGTATAAGGTAGCATTCACAGGTTCCAGGGATTAGGACAGGGAATCTTTGGGTCTATTATTCAGCTTACTATGGTTTGTTTTAATTTACTCAGTTTTAAGGACAGTGTTTAAAAAAAGGCCCTTTGGAACACTTTTTTTTTTTTTTTAAAGAAGATATCTTTCTTCTTTATCTTTACTTTCCTCTGGCACTGAACTACTGCATGTGATATAATTAAGACCCAGGCCTCATTATTACTAACCACACTGAGCCCTTTGTACTATGTTTGATTGCCTCTTTAGAAACCTCCCTGTAAACAAGAAAGGGACAGATTACATCATCTGGTTGGTGTTAAACAATGGAGCAGGTGAATACTGGCAAGACTAATAGGCTTTATTTCATTTGAACAAATTACTCTTGGACTCCTGGTCTCAGAGCCTGTATTAGTGAGACTGGTACTATCATGCATCAAGGAGACATATTCCACCTTGCATAAAACCCTTCCATTAAAAACTCACCTCGCTATGGGACTTAACTGTCTCTTAGGCAGTATTCGTCAGCAATGACAAGATTGCCCAGCATTTCTGACTTTGATCCTGCCAGACTTTCAGACATTTCTTTCTGCCAGTAGAAAGTGCATCCTGAGTTGTGTATGAGGAACTACCACTTCCTTTCATTGTGACAGTTAACCCCAACCTGTGTCCCTAATAGACCAGAGACACAACTGAAAGAGGCCTCAAGAGTGCAGTCTTTTTATTCCATTCTTCTAAAGTTGAGTGGCCGTGTCATCCAGGACCAGTGATTGTTTGTCCAGTGATGAAGTCTCAGGGTCCAGCCTTCCTCAAAATGCCATTCACTCATTTGAAAAATATTCAATGAGCCTTGTACCAAGTTCTCTTCATTTTAGTTTTTACTTTTTATTCTTTTGGGTACACAGTAGGTGTATATATTTATGGGGTGCATAAGCTCTTTTGATACAGTCATACAATGTGTAATAATTACATCAGAGTAAATGGGGTTTCCATCACCTCAAGAATTCATCATTTCTTTGTGGTACAAACATTCCAATTGTACTCCTTCAGTTATTCTAAAATGTCCAACAAATTATTGCTAACTGTACTCACTCTGTTGTGCTATCAAAGGCTAGATCTTATTCATTGTATCTAACTGTATTTTTGTACCCATTAACCAACCCCATTTCTCTCCCACCCCAAATCCTTACAGCCTCTGGTAACCATAATTCTACTCTCTATGTCCATGAGTTCAAATGATTAATTTTTAGCTCCCATAGATGAGTGAGAACATGTGAAGTTTGTCTTTCTGTACCTGGATTCTTTCACTTAACATAATGTCCTCCAGTTCCATCCATATTGTTGCAAATGACAGGATCTCATTCTTTTTACAGCTGAATAGTATCAATTACGTGTATGCACCAAATTTTCTCTGTCAATTTATCTGTTGATGGACACTTAGGATGATTCCAAATCTTGACTATTGTGAATAGTGCTGCAATAAACATAGCAATGCAGATATCTCTTCAATATACTGATTTCCTTTCTTTCGGGTATATGCCTAGTGCTAAGTTCTTTTTAGGCACTGAGGATTTCTAGCAAGACAGACAATTCCTTGTTCTTATGATGCTTTGCTTCTGTTTGAGTGAGACAACAATAAACTTGTAAATTTTAAAAATAGAACAAATTGCTGAAGAAAGCAGTATCAGGAAGATGAAACAGAGTAGTAGAATAGAGAATGGTTTGGGGACTGAAAGGTGGCTGGTGTGGGACACTTTAGATCAGTGGTCCCCAACCTTTTTGGCACCAGAAAGTGGTTTCATGGAAGACAATTTTTCCACTGGTAAGGGATGGTTTCAGGATGAAACTGATCCACCTCAGATCATCAGGCATTAGTTAGATTCTCATAAGGAGAATCCTAGATCCCTCGCATGCGCAGTTCACAATAGGGGTCCCGCTCCTGTGAATCTGATGCTGCAGCTGATCTGACAGGAGCTGGAGCTCAGGCGGTAATGCTCACTCATCCATCACTCACCTCCTGCTGTGCGGCCCAGTTCCTAACAGGCCATGGACCAGTAGTGGTCCGTTACTCTGGGGTTGGGGACTCTTGCTCTAGTTGGAGGTCAGAGATGCTCTCAGGATGTGACATTTGAGCTGATATAGGAGTGGTGTGACTGAAATGGCATGTGAAAATCTAGGACAGAATTTTCCAGGAAAATGCAATGAGCCCCTTTGAGGAGGAAAAGACAGTGTAAGTAAGGAATAGTGAGCGGGGAGGTGGGGTGCACATGGATGGGGGAGGGGAGAGAAGAGTCCAGGGCAAGTGTGCTCTTGAGGGCCATGAGAAGGACATTCAACTTTGCCCCAAGAGACCTAGGGAGCCATGGTACTATTTTACACAGGGTCATGACAGGACAGAACTCATTTCTGAAAGGCTCCTTTAGTTTTGTTGGAGAATGTGGGGGTCAGAGTGTAAACACACAGACCAGTTAGGCCATTGTGGAAGCCTAATGTGGAAGACCATGAGGGCTTAGACTAGGGCAGAGATAAATAAAAGTGGACACACTTAGGGTATGTTTTAGATGTGGAAACCTGACACAAACTGTTGTTGATGGGTTGAATACGAGAAGGAAAGAATTAAAAATGACACATAGGTTTTTGACTTTACAGCTAGGTAGACGATGGCGCATTTGCTAGTATGAGAAAGGCCAGAGAAGAACAGCTTTTATGAGGAAAAGCAAAAGAGTCTGACTTGTTAGGTTTAAGGTCTTGACATCTGTTTTAGTCTGCTTGGGCTACTACAACAGAATGCCACAGACTAGGCGGCTTATAAACAACAGAAATTTTTCCTTTTTCCCATGATTCTGAATGCTGAGAAGTCTAAGATCAAGGTATCTGGAGAGGGCTCAATTCCTAGCTTATAGACAGCTTTCTTCTTGCTGTGTCCTCACATAACACAAGGGGTGAGGGAGCTCTCTGGGGGCTCTTTTATAAGGGCACTTATCCCATTCATAAGGGCTCTGCCTACCAACGGCCCCACCTCCAAATACCATCACATTGAGAGTTAGGATTTCCACATGTGAATTTAGGAGGGACATAAATATATAGTCTATAGAAACATCTAAGTAAAGATATTGATTAAGTAATTGGATTCCAAGGGAGAGACCAGGGCTAGAGACAATAGGTATAAATGTTAACAGCACCATATTGGTGGTTTTTAAAGCCGAGAAAATGGATGAGGTTTTATAGGAAGAAGAAGAAAAAGAAGCCAAAATCCAGTTGGCAGGAACTCCAATATTTAGAAGTAGAGGAGACAACATATACAAATGTATATCAAGAGCAGAAAGAATCATGAAATGAGGAAAGCCAGAGAACTTCACGTTTCAAAAGGAAGCAGAGATTTTGTTAAATGCTATTGTGAGGCCAAGCTAGGCGAGGATAAGGGTGTGTCCATGAGATTTTTTTTTAAGTGAAGATTATTAGGAAATTTGTCAAGTGTCTGGTAGAATAATGGGAAAGAAAGTTATGGTGGAAGGGCTAAACAATAAATAAAAACTTCAGTTTCCGGCCGGGCGCGGTGGCTCACGCCTGTAATCCCAGCACTTTGGGAGGCCGAGGCGGGCGGATCAAGAGGTCAGGAGATAGAGACCATCCTGACTAACACGGTGAAACCCCGTCTCTACTAAAAATACAAAAAAAATTAGCCGGGCGTGGTGGCGGGCGCCTGTAGTCCCAGCTGCTCAGGAGGCTGAGGCAGGAGAACGGCGTGAACCCGGGAGGCGGAGCTTGCAGCGAGCCGAGATGGCACCACTGCACTCCAGGCTGGGAAACAGAGGGAGACTCTGTCTCAAAAAAAAAAAAAAACAACAACTTCAGTTTCCAACAATATAATGAACAAGATGTGCAAAGAAAAGCCTCTTGATATGGAACACCTATAAATAGTTGCCTAGCTTTTCTTGGGGGATGAGGTGGTGCTCAGTAGTCATGTATTGAATAAAATGAATGGCTCCAGGCTTTGCCAGATGTCCTGAAGTAAGCACAACATCTAATGTCCAGCTCCTCTCTTTTTGTCAATCCCTATGGTTTCATCAAAAACTCAGACCTAGAGTTAGATCAGGCTTTCAGTACCTTTACATGAATTGCATAATTCTTTGAATCTCTCTGAATCTCTGTTTCTTCTCCTGTAAAAGGGGGATGACCTCATCTATCTCAGAAGCTTATGAGTGGTAGGTGGCCTTATTTCGCAGACACGATACTCTCTGAAGTCCACATTGTCATGATCAGAGACTACACTGCTAAACCTGGCAGCCTGCTGGGTGCCTGTATCTCCTTACGAGTATATAGATCCCTGTTTTTGCTTGGCTAGGCCAGGAACCCGAAACTCAACTTTGTGGAGTCCCACGAAGCTCTTGGCTAGAGCAGCCCTGAGTTTTCTGATGAGCTGCAGCCCCAATCATTAGCTGCTGCAATGGTGAGAGGAGAGGCTTTTCTTGAGTAAAGCAGATCAGGTGGGCTATACCATTTTGTAACACTTCTCAATAGCCATCAGAAGCTAAGATTGTCAGTGCTCCATTTACTGAGTACTTACTATATACCAGGAAATATACATAGGTTCTTAATATCCTCATTTTACAGATGAGGATATATTTTGGGTCAGAAATAGTAAGTGAGATGCCCTGAGCCATGGATTTCAGCTCTATCAGTTTTTGCTTCATTTATTTTCCTCCCTTCCTTCCTTCCTTCCTTTCTTTTTTGAAACAGGGTCTCACTCTGTCACCAGGCTGGAGTGCAGTGGTGAGATCTCAGTTCACTGCAACCTCCACCTCCCAGGCTCAAGCGATCGTCCCACCTCAGCCTCCCAAGTAGCCTGGACTACAGGCACGTGCCACCAAACTCAGCTAATTTTTTTTTTTTTTTTTTATAGAGATGGGGTTTCTTCATTTTGCCCAGGCTAGTCTCGAACACCTGAGCTCACGTGATCTGCCACCTTCAGTCTCCCAAAGTGCTGGCATTGCAGGTGTGAGCCACTGTACCCAGCCTTTATTTATTTTGAGTCTCTATTGGTGTAGACACATTTAAGATTGTTATATCTTCCAGATGAATTAATTATTTTATTGTTACATAATACTTTTCTTTATTCCTAGTGATTTTCTTTGCTCTGAAGTCTACTTTACCTGATATTAATAGAGCCCCTTTGGGTTTTTTCAAAAATATTTACATGGTATACCTTTTCCCTTCCTTTTATTTTCAACCTACCTATGAAGTATTTGCAGTGAGATTTTTTGTAGCCAGCGTATTATTGAATCACGTTTTTAAACCTACTCTGTCAATCTCTGTTTTTGAAATAGGTTTATTTAGACCATTTGTATTTAAAGTAACTATTGGCTGGATGCGGTGGCTTATGCCTGTAATCCCAGCACTTTGGGAGGCCAAAGTGGGAGGATCACTTGCGGTCAGACGTTTGAGCCCAGTCTGGGCAACATGGTGAGACCCCATCTCTACAAAAAATTTAAAAATTAGCCAGGCATTGAGGCACATGCCTGTATTCCTGGCTACTCGAGAGGCTGAAGCAGGAAGATTGCTTGAGCATAGGAATTCAAAGTTGCAGTGAGCTATGATCATACCATTGCACTCCAGCTTGGGCTACAGAGTGAGACCCTGTCTCAAAGAAATAAATAAAGTAACTATTGATATGCAAAGATGTAAATTTGCCATTTCATTATTTGTTTTCTCTGTTTCTTATTTCTTTCTGTTTCTCTTTTCTTACCTTTCTGTGGCTTACTTTAAAATTTTTTAGGATTCCTTTCTGACTTGTTTATAGTACTTTGGATATATCATATTACATAGTTTTCTTGGTGCTTGCTCAAGGTATTATAATGGACATACATAACTTCCCTGTCTACTGATACTGAAGCTTTACCACTTGGAGTGAAATGTAGAAACCTTACTTCCATTTAGGTTTCTTTACCTGCCACACTTTTTAAGTATAATTGTCTTAAGTATTTCCTTTATACTCATTGAGCACCATATCATATAATGTTAAAATTTGTACTTCAACCATAAAATATGATTTAAGAAATTCCTGAGCATAGTCTATTATATTTACTCCTATTTTAGCCATTCCAGTGTTCTTCCCTTTCTAAAATTTCAAGCTTTCTTGTGTTACCATTTTCTTTCTGTTTAGGGAACTTCCTCCAGCCATTCTTTAAAGGAGGACTTGCTAGAAACAATTTCTCTGATTTTTTATTCTTCTGAAAATGTCTTTATTCTCCCTTCATTTCTAAAGGATGTTTTCATCAGATACAGAATTTGCAGCTGACAGTTCTTTTTCTTCAGTTATTGAAAAGTATTGTGCCACTACCTTTTGGCCTTGATGGTTTGAAATGAGACACTTGCTGTTGTTTGAATTGATGTTCCTCTATATAGAATGAGTCTTTTCTCTCTGGCTGATTTTAAGATTAAATAAAATTTTGGTCTTTAGTTTTTCGAATTTAACTATGATGTCTCTTGGAGTTGATTCCTACAGATTTATCCTAATTAGGGTTTGCTCAGCTTCTTGAATCTGTAGATTTAAATCTTTCACCACATTTAGAAAGTTTTCAGCCATTATTTTCTTGAATTATTTTTTCAATCTCCTTCCCTTTCTCTCCTTTTTTTCTGAGACTCTGATGATATATGTGTTAGCTCTTTTGTTATTTTTCTTCAGATCTTGTCTGTTTTTCTCTCCATTATTCAGATTGACTAAATTCTATTGATCTATCATGAAGTTCAATGATTCATCTTCTGTCACTTCTACTCTATTATTGAACCCATCCAGGCAATTTCTTGCATTTTATTTGGCTATTGTATTTTCTACTTCTATAATTTTCATTTTTTTTCTCTCTCTATAACTTCTATTTCTTTGCTGAGATTTTTCTATTTTTTCATTTGTTTCAAAAAATCATAAATACTTGTTTAAGCATTTTTATAATGCCTCTTTTAAAATTTTTTATCAGATAATCCAACATCTGATTTTCGGTGTTGGAGTCTATGGACTGCCTCTTTCCATTCAAATTGTGATTTCACTGATTTTTACTATGACAAGTTTTATGGTTTGAATGTGTCCGCCAAAGTTCATGTGTTGGAAACTTGATCCTCCATGTGGCAGTGTTGGGAGATGGGGCCTGATGGGAGGTTTTTTAAGTCATGAGGAAACTGCCCTCATGAATGGATTAATGCCATTATCATGGGCGTGGGATCCTTATAAAAGGACAAGTTTAGTTCTCTCTTGCTCTCTCTGTCACCGTTTCTTGCCCTCTTGCCTTCTGCTATGTGATGACACAGCAAGAAGACCCTTGCCAAATGCCAGCCCCTGAATCTTGGACTTCCCAGTCTCCAAAACTGTGAGCCAATAAATTTCTGTTTATTATAAATCACCCAGTCTCAGGTATTCTGTTAAACAGAACAAAACAGACTAAGACAATAAGTAATTAAAAAAAAATTTTTTTTTGAGACAGGGTCTCACACTGTTGCTCAGGCTGGAGTGCAGTGGTACAATCATAGCTCACCTGCAGTATCAAGCTCCTAGGCTCAAGTGATCCTCCCACGTCAGCCTCCCGAGTAGCTGGGACCACAGGCGCATACCACGACATTTGGCTAATTTTAAATTTTTTTCTGCAGAGACAAGGTCTCACTATGTTGCCCAGGCTGGTCTCGAACTCCTGAGCTCAAGCTATCTTCCTGCCTCAGCCTCCCAAAGTGCTAGGATTACAGGTGTGAGCCACTGCACCGAGCCAGGTGATTTTCTAAATTGTATTTCGGACTGCTTAGATATGATATTATGACTCTAGACCCTATTAAAAATTCTAGATGTTATATTATGAGATTCTGGATCTGTTTAATTTTCTTTTCTTAGCAGACAGTCCCCCTGTTAAGGTATAACATAAGAGCCAAGTAGCTGTGTGTGCTCATTTTCCCACTGGACTTTACTAATACCACCCCAGCAATTAGAACACTGACTCATACCACCAAATGCTTCCGAGTAGAGGGGTAAGCTCAGCTTCCTGTTGGACCATACTGACTCCAAGGAGGAAAGACGTGGTGATCTGACACAAGCTTTGTTGTGCAAGGCCCCAGTGACACTAGGCCTTTTTGCTGCCAGGTGGGGTGGAGGCTCAGCTATTTGCTGGGCTCTACTGACACTATCTTGGTGAGGGAATCAGAGCACCATATGGCAGAGCAGGGCATGGAAGACTTCTCCCCATTCAGCCTTTTACATCACCTGGCAGGGGAATCAAAGCATCAAAGCACTGCCTGCTTCTATTAGGCAGTGAATTGAAAATCAATTGTCTATTCTCCCTGAATACCTCTGGGCAGGGAAATTAGAGTGCTTCTATGGGACAGACTAGGGGTGGGTTGGCGAGAAGATCTGCTTCCTACTGAGAGTCAAGTCCTATTCATGAATAACCAAATCTAAATCTCTGGGGATAGAGTATTAGCAGTCGTATTAAAAAAAAAAAAAGCAGCTTATTCTAATGTACAGTGAGGGTGAGAACCATAGGTCTACGTGAATGCTGAGGTCTTCGAAGTGGACAACAGGTGCTAGTATTCCTAATGAATAGGTGCTGAGACTGAAGGATGATACTATAAGACAAATATGGATCAGACACTTCAGAGAAGCCTTGGTTTTCAAAGAGGAGAAGATTGGCAAAGAGAAACGTGAAGGATAGTTCATCTACCTTAGGTGTGGCAGTAAAAGGAAAAACAGCCTACCTGTGAAAGAGCTCTAAGGCCAGCCAAGTTCCAGTTGAACAAGGATGTGAAAGGATTTCTGAAAGAAGAGGTTGGGAATTTGCTGATGGAAGATTTTGGTTGATGTAGGGAATAGTAGATGGGTTTGCAAGGACAGGGAGTAGAGATATTGGATCACATTAGAGATTTTTCCAAGCAGCATAGGACAAGTGTCTAGGTGAAAATGGATGACCTAGGAGGCTTCAAGTGGTGATTTATGGAAACTGGGAGATGCATGTGATGGTAATACTGAGTGTCAACTTGATTGGATTGAAGGATACAAAGTATTGATCCTGGGTGTGTCTGTGAGGGTGTTGCCAAAGGAGATTAACATTTGAGTCAGTGGACTGGGAAAGACAGACTTATCCTTAATGTGGGTAGGCACCATCTAATCAGCTGCCAGCATGGCTAGAATATAAGCAGGCAGAAAAATGTGAAAAGAGAGACAGACCTAGCCTCCCAGCCTACATTATCTCCTGTTCTGGATGCTTCCTGCCCTGGAATATCAGACTCCAAGTGCTTCAGTTTTGGAACTCAGACTGGCTCTCCTTGCTCCTCAGCCTGAGACCTTGTGATCATGTGAGTTAATACTTAGTAAACTCCCCTTTATATGTATATACCTATTCCATTAGTTCTGTCCCTCTAGAGAACCCTGACTAATACAATGCAATAATGATGGAGTTCATATCATCAATTAGTGGAACGTAGTCAAAATTCAGATACAGTTGAACGTCTTTCTTTGGGAGATATGAGGTCATGAAGCAACTACGAAATCCTATGGCAGCCTATGGGCCAGGCCGTCTCACCTAAGAAAGATGGTGTGATGACTTGGGGGTGACCCTTTTCCACACATTCATGGCCTCCCTGTGCTGCAGCCTTGGAATAACCCCCCTCTCCCTGTTATCAGTCCACAGGAAATTTCTCTCCTCTCCTTTGTTACTCTTAAAGGCATTCTCTCTTCCAACACCCCTCAAACACATAATCTCTTAGAGTGAGTTCATGATTTTACAAAAACTTGAAGAGTACCAGATTTCAGACAGCTCATTTACAACTCTGCACAAGTCACAAGGTCAGGGAAATACAAAGGCCTAGTTATCTACTTAAAACTGAAAAGGAGGGAGGGGTTAGAGAGCAAAATACAAATTCATATCTCCAAATTATTATCCAGACTCCCCTTGTAGGAAATATTTAGTTCAGGCAAGTGTTGAGAACCATAGTTATTATAAGGAATCTTCATAGCATTACTGGGATATGAAATCGTCTTATGTACTTGTTAATATCTTTCAATAAAAAAAAATTGTTGGGTACCCTTTATATGCCAGACACTATTCTAGGTGAGGACACAGAGCCCAACCATGGATGAGCTTGAGACAAACTAAGATAATTCTTTTTTTTTTCTCACTCTGTTGCCCAGGCTGGAGTGCAGTGGCACAATCTTGGCTCACTGCAACCTCTGCCTCCTGGATTCAAGTGATTCTCCTGCCTCAGACCCTGAGTATCTGGGATTACAGGTGTGTGCCATCATGCTTGGCTAATTTTTTTGTATTTTCAGTAGAGACAGAGTTTTGCTATGTTGGCCAGGCTGGTCTTGAACTCCTGGCCTCAAGTGATTCACCTGCCTCAGCCTCCTGAAGTGCTGGGATTACAGGTGTGAGCCATGGTTCCCGGCCTTTATTGTTTTTTTTTTTTTTAACAATAAAATAATAAATTTTCATTGTAAGAATTTTGAAAAAGTTGCTTATGGAGAAAGAACCTTACATTTATTTATATTTAAATATAACATGGATCATAATTGTGGTATATATACTACTTGTATCCTAAATATTGTGACATGAGAATTTTTATTTCATTTTATTTTTCAGTAGCTTTAGGGGTACAAGTAATTTTTGGTTACACTGATGAATTATATAGTGGTGAAGTTTGGGCTTTTAATGTCAACCCAATAGTGTACATTGTACCCAACAAGTGACCTTTCTTTTCTTTTTTCTTTTCTTTTCTTTTCTTCTTTCTTTCTTTCTCTTTCTTTCTTTCTTTCTTTCTTTCTTTCTTTTTCTTTCTCTCTCTCTCTCTTTCTTTCTTTCTTTTTCTTTCTCTCTCTCTTTTTCTTTTTTTTTTTTTTTTTGAGACAGGGTCTCACATTGTCACCCAGGCTGGAGTGCAGTAGTGTGATCTTGGCTTACTGCAACCTCCGCCTCCAAAGCTCAAGTCATCTTCCCACCTCAGCCCCCCAGTAGCTGGGACTACAGGTGCATGCCACCATGCCTGGCTAATGTCTTCATATTTTTTGTGGAGACAGAGTTTTGCCATATTGTCCAGGCTGGTCCTGAACTCCTGGGCTCAAGCGATCTGCCCACCTCGGCTTCCACAGTGCTGGGATTCCAGGTATGAGCCACCAGCCCTCACCCAATAGGTGTTTTTTTTTTTTTAATCCCTCACCTATCTCTCACCTTCCCAGCTTCTCTTCTCTTCTTCTTCTTCTAATAATAATAATAATAATAATAATAGAGAGGAGGCCTCTCGCTATGTTGCCCAGGCTGGTTTGGAACTCCTGAGCTCAAGTGATTCACTCCCTTGGCCTCCCACAGTGCTGGCATTACAGGCATGAACCATTGCGCCTGGTCCTCTCCCTGCTTCTGGGTCTCCAATGTCCATTATACCACGACATGAGGATGAGGACTTCTATCATTAGATTTTCTTCTCTTTTACTGCACTATTGCCAGAACTAAAGTATGATTTTTTTCTCAGTATCTGGAGAGGATGGTAAGCACAGAGGACTAATGCTATTACCCTACAGATGTTTTGCAGTCTTTTTTTCTTACCGAATTTGTGAGTATTGGCTACACTTACTGGGATCAAAATATGAACTCAACAAGAGGCACAATGCACCACTCAGCCCTCAGCCTTCTTTGTCTAAGAAAGTAGGTATTCTCTTGGTGGAATTTCTGATTCACAGATGGGTAGTGACAGGAAGTTTAAAGTTTTGACAATTCAGAAATTTGTTTAGCCTCCCAGGCTTGATCTGAACACTTGATGCCTAGCAGTAAGAGAAAAACATTTCCATTTTCAGAATAATCCTGGACCTGAACGGAAAGGGATCGCAATATGCAGTGAGTCTAGTGAAGCAGCTCCTGAGTTGAGAAAGAGATTAGGGAATTAATCACCAAAAGACAAACTTGTGTATTCTTAACAAGGGAATTTATTTTTTTGTTGCCCCTTATGACCATACTAAAGTCAGAGAAGAGCAAAAGAAAACATGTAATCTTCTGGATTTCTTTCTTATAGGCATAGAATTTTAATGTCTGAGAAGTCTTTAGCTATATACTATTAAGAGACTCACGTGGGTTGAGACAAATATGCCCAAGGCCACCTAGGAGGAACTGTCCAGCACTCATATGTCTAACTCTTATGTCTGTGCTCTTTCCTCTGCACCATGTTGCCTCTCCGTGGCTAACAAGCTTAGCTTTTTCAGACTTTCTTCCAGCCTCTACTGACATATTAACTTCCAGTTTCTTGAACTTCACTACCTTGAGGAGTTGTTGTGGTATTGATAGGAAGAACTTTCCTTAAGCAAAATACAGGATAGGCGAGGTGGCTCATGCCTGTAATCCCAGCACTTTAGGAGGCTGAGGCGGGTGGATCACCTGAGATCAGGAGTTTGAGACCGTCCTGATTAACATGGCGAAACCCCGTCTCTACTAAAAATACAAAAATTAGCTGAGCATGGTGGTGCATTCCTGTAATCCCAGCTACTCGGGAGGCTGAGGCACGAGAATCATTTGAACCCGGGAGGCAGAGGTTGCAGTGAACAGATTTCATGCCACTGCACACCAGCCTGGGCAAAAGAGTGAGACTCTGTCTCAAAAAAAAGAAAAGAAAAAATGGGGATAGTCATGTGTTTCATCAGGACTCATTATAGGCATTATTACAACACATGGAAAATGGGCATTATTACAATAAATACTTTTTTAATTTTTAATTTTTTTTGTAGAGATGGTATCTTGCTATGTTGCCCAGACTTGTCTTGAACTCCTGGTCTCAAGTGATCCTCTCACCTCGGCCCCTCAAAGTGCTGGGGTTACAGGCATGAGCCACTGTGCCCAGCTATTATATAACAAATACTTACAAAGTAAGCTATATCACATTGCCTATTGGATTTTCTAATTTTTAAAAAGAAAACTTTGGTCATTTTGCCATTTAAGATCAACTTATTCAAATGAAAGTAGAAAACCTAACATTTAATTTTCTTTAGAAGGAAACTAGACACAATTGGGTGTTGACTTCATCAAACTCATTGCACTAGGAACTTGGCACTGTACAGGAGAAAATGGAAGAAGAATGTTGACATTTGCAATAGAATTTAGAGGAAGCTTCACCTCAAGGAAGATGTCTCTGTGAAGCAATTGGCTCTCGGAGGCTGGATTCGGATGTGCTGATCCAGATATATACCTACAACCTTGGTTGTAATGGGTACCACTGATCTTGTTACTGTATGTGTCTACTCACAGATCTTTATGAGGGGGTCTTTTTATGTTGTTTATGAAACATTGCTGGCTTTAAGGAAACCTCAGTGTTCTTGCTAAATGAAATATTTTTTGTCTCAGTGCCAATAGTATTTCTGCACTTGACATTTAATGTGATTCATTATTGTAAAATTATATATTTGGAATGGTTTGGATAAGAAGCAGCTTCCAAATGCCTACCTAGCCAATAGGCTTTTAAATACAAAGAATACTAATAGAATCCCTGGGGCTGGAATCTCACATTTAGAAAACCCATCAGTAATGTTCTTACTAATTTTTGAACATCCATGGATGATCTGTGTCTTACTCAAAAGAAAACCAACAATAATGAAATTGTATATTTTTTATTTTGTAGAGAAATTTAGTAATGGCCCAATTATGTTCTCTAGTAAAAGGTCTCTCTAATTAGTGGATAAAAGTTGCAGGGAAGCTATGACCTTTTGTTCCTTCTTTTACTAATGGAAAAGGCCTTGTACTGTGTGAGGGTGGGCATAATAAAATTGTACTGAAACCCAGTAAATAGGGCAATACATATATTTTGACTATTGTTGATTTTTCTGTGAGATAACCAAAAGACTATTCTGTCAACTTTAGCAGATGCTTAGACTCTGGAAGACTCAACAATGATGCTTTTTCCTTTAAACTTGAGATTCCTCCCCGAGTTTTTCTTGTCAAATAAAGATCAGCGGAATGATAGGAACTGCTTTGACAAGCTTCTAGTAATCCTACTCTCAGGAAAAACAGGTAGATCACCAAAAGGTACACGTTTAGCCTGGGTTTCACTTCAAGAGAAAATGCAAACAACGTTTTTCAGAACACACACACAGTCCGCGGTCAGACTTAATAAGAAGTGCAGAGTTAAAAATTATCCTCTGAAATAAATAAGCAAAGAAGTTTCCTGAATCTAAAAAAAAAAAAAATGTAATCAATTGAAATCAGAAGTTATAACACAACCAGAAGCCCAGCTCAAAGCTTGAGGAAGAACCAGCAGAACAGATCAGATAAAACAGTGAAAATTGTCATAAAGATTATTAATGCTACTTGCATTCTACTACCTAATACCTCTCAAATCTATCAGCTTTTCTCCATTCTGCTACCACTACCTCAGTCCAAACCTCATCGCTCCTCCAGTGGATTCTGGAATCAACTCTAACCTGTCTGTCTGCGTGCTCTCAGAGATATAGGGAATTTTTTTTTTTAATGCAAGTCAGATCATAATAATCTCCTATACATTCCTCTTCAAAACCTACGTTGCCTGCATGATTCCGCAATTGCCTAATAGCTCAGTATTTCAACCCCAGAGAGTTTTTCTCCAGAGGGTCATTATCTGAGACATTTTTCATTGTCACATTGAGGTGTGTTATTGCCACCTAGTGGGTATGCTGCAAAACACCCTACAAAGTACGAGACGGACCCCACCCCCACAACAAAAAATTATCTGGCCACAAATAATGTCAATGGTCCGGGGGTTGAGAAATCCAGACCACTCTCCTAACTTATGCTTCAGGCATGCTGGATTTCTTTTAGTTTCACAAATTTGCTATCTTCTCTTCCATTTATCATCCTTTGTACATGTTATTTTCTTTGAAGGATGTTTTTTCTCCCCTGCAATTCTTCCTACTCATCATCTAAATGCTACTTTAAAAGTCCCTTCCTCAGGGAAACCTTTACTAATGTCCAACTAGCCTCTTACATGCTTACACACATTGTTAGAATTGTCTTAAATACTGGGTAGGACTGAGACTACAGATTTAAAATTTTCAGTATTGGCAGCTAGCCAATGGGATAGGGCTGTGGTGGAGACCAGTTCCAAAGGGGTCCATGTGGACATGGCTAAGTTCTTGAGTTTTCTTATGCCTGATCAATTCTCTTGTTGACATTCTCTATTGCATTTCTCATTTTCTTTATTGTATTTTCAGCTCCAGGATTTCTGTTTTATTTTTAAAAAGTATTATTTTAATTTTTCATTACGTTTCTAATTCTGGTCACATTGTTTTCCTCATTTTGTTTAACTGTTTCTCTGTATTTTTTTTTCCCAAGAGTCCAATAAATTGTTGTGATTTATTTTCTCATTCTAAATTCACATTCAATTCTGTACCTGTATTAGGGTTTCTCTGTATTTTCTTGAAGTTTGCTGAGCTTCCTTAAAACAGTTATTTTGAATCCTTTGTCAGGTAGTTTCTACATCTCCATTTCTTAAGGGTTGGTCATTTGTACCTTATTTTTTCCATTTGGTGATGACATGTTTCCCTGATTGTTCTTTCTATTATTATTTTTTAAGCCAGTAAAATTTAGCACTTGGAGGTTGTATACCCCTGATTGTTCTTGATCTTTGTAGTCACACATCAATATCCGCACATTTGAAGAAGTAGCTACTTATTCTAGTCTTTGCAGACTGGCTTTGTCTGGGAAAGCTCTATAGCAGGGGTGGCACTGGGGCATACTAGAAGCCCTAGGCAACTGTGGCTGGCATGGTGCTGCAAGAAGCCCAGACACACTGAAGGATGCCTGTCATTGAGGGCTGCCTGGAGCCCAGGGCCACTGATATCAGCCTGGTGGCAATGCAGACTAGAGATCAAGTCCACCATGCAAGCCTGAACCCTGGAGCTGTGGGGTCCAGGGACAAGTCCTGTGCTAACTTCCCTCTCTTTCCCCCAAGCATACAGAATCTCTCTCTGCATTGTACTGCTTGGGGTTAGGGAAAGGGTGAAACAGGTAATGTAAACCTGTCTTTCCTATCCTCTTCGGTGCATCACAACAAGGTACTTTGATCTCTCACCTGTTTTCCTTAGCTCTTATGAAGGCATTTTTGTGTGTAAATAATTTTTCAAATTGATGTTTCTGTGGGAGGATGATTGCTGGAGGTTCTTACTCTGCCATCTTGCTCCACTTCTCCTAAGTGCTTAAGTTTTCTATTTTCAATGATAATTAACCAACAGACTTTTTAATCAAATAAATTTCAAGTATCCTCTATGTGTAGGGATTGTGTCAGGTAAGGGGAAGAGGAATACAAAGATGAACAAGACATGCTCTCACTTTGTGTGGTATTGTTAAAAGCACCGTACCAAATGTAAGAAGAACAGCAGGATGAGGCAGTGACTAATTTGGTCTATGTTTGTTGTTCATAATTATGCAACCAATATTTACGAAGTGTCTACTAAATGCTGAGCATTGTGCAAAGTGCAGGGGATACAAAAGTAAATAGGAAACTGCTCTAACTCTTAAAAAAATTATAATCCAGTAGAAATATTAGCTGATTTATTGGGACTTACAATTCCTTCACATGAATTATCTCATCCATTCCTTGTACCCCACATGCTCCTCACAAATTAGATGTTTTATAGCCCCATATTAATAGAAGGAGCAACTGAGCTTTGGAGAAGTTAGTTAAGTAGAATAAAATTTCTTGAATGAAGGTTTCATGTTTGAGTTGTTTAACTGTTTAAATTGCAGAGTCCAGAATGTACTGGATGGTCAGTATTTATTGGTGGAATGAAGGAGTAAACTTCCTGGCCAAAGGTTATAGCTTATTAAGTGATGAGCTAGAACTTTTTGATCATAATTGAGAGAGGGTATCCTACCATGATAGAAGCTGTAAACATGAGTGGCTATGTATATCAATCCCACAAATACTATGCTCTTTGAAATTAATTTAATAACAACATAATTTACTGTTTACCATGTAATCTGCATTTAATTGTTTATAGAATAACGTTTTAAAGTCCAGATTTTGAAGAAAAAAAATTTCTGCTGACATGGGAAAAATAGAACCTAAAATGAAAGAAAATTATTTCCCCAAATATTAAAATAGCAAAAAACAGATAAAATGCTTTCTACTTTGTTAGCATCTTCTTATTGCAATTACAGCTAAAATATTTTTAAAGAGAAAGTGATTTATAAAAATTATTTTTTTCCCCAAATGAATTTCTAGGCATTGAAAAAGCATTTCTTCTACTGTCTTTGCTATAATAGAGATCAGAAGAAGGAAAACCACATTCAAATTGATAATAGAAAACACTAGATCCCATGAAAATATTTCCATCTTGCCAGCCTCTTTATTTGTACTGTGTCACATTTCCTGCATGACACTCTTTGTTATTGTATTTAATGCACAGACATAGGAATCTATTTACACAAGCAAGTTCAAAAACTAGTGCCATTAAGTAGAAAAAAGTAGTCATTTCCAAACGAAAGACACAACTCGCTGCTTTTTAAGACCCTTCCAGAGGACACACAAAAAAGCACAGCTAAGTCTGAAATCTGAAAAAGTATTCTGTGCCCCCTCTGTGGTCAACTCTGATGCTCTGCTTTAGAAGGAGGTCCTTTTCTCCCTCTCTAGGGAAATACCATCCCTAGGCCTCACTTTGGCATTCTTTATTTGCATGCGCTCGCCTTTTTATTGCAAATAGGGCTCTAAATCTTATTTTAGAAATGGATATTGCACTATGTGCGAGTACATGTGTGAGAGAAGCTATCAATAATGTTAGTTATGAAAACCTGATCATAAGTGTTTTTAGTCCATTAGCCATTTCACTTTATTTATGTCCCCTTTCAGGCGGGATTTGAAGCAAATATTCAAAAGATGAAGTTTGGATGAAGAGCAACACAAGAAGGTATAAAACACTGTCACACTTTTTCATGCTAGAAAATATTTCTTCCTTATATCATTTCTTTAAACAGCTCCTAACAATAAGTAACCTCTGGGGGAAATAAGAAGTGCAGAATAAGGAACTGGGCCAAGGATAGGTATTATTTAATCTATCTATATCTATCTATCTATCTATCTATCTATCTATCTATCTATCTATCTACTATTCTTTTTCTATTATTACATTTAATTATTTTTAATGATCATTACCAAATTTTAAAAGTTACTATGCACCCAGTAAATTTACCTATAGGCAATTACGACATAGTTTGCTCCATTTCAGCTCCTAACAGAAATTCAGCTCATGGTTTATTAATAAAATCCTGTTTGCTCTTATTTGTGGCTTTATCTTCCAAATAGCATGCATTATGAACAGTTGAACCTGCAAGGAGATAATGCTTCCTGTGCCTTTCCTGGTGTACAGTGGCTTTCAACTATTGAGATTGCTGGTGCATGATTACCAATTTAATATATCCCCAAAGCCGTTGCTTGATCCTGCCGCAGTGAGAAGTGTGTGGAAATGTCAGCCAGCCCCCAGACTTCTCTCAATGCCTCACCTGAGCTGTAGGTAACAAGACTGTGGCAATCACTCCCAGATTTTGCTCATATTTCACAATGCCCAAGGAGAACAAGGAGAGAAAACAAGACTGGAGAGGAAAAGGATGTCTCACATCATCTTTCTTTCACATCGTATTAAAACTCATAACAAAATAAATGCAATGGAAAATAAATTTTCTCCGGTAGATCAATAGGAACTGAGGGAGACTTTTAAGAAAATAATCAAATGTTTAGTCTAATGTCCAAAAACAGTAAGCAACGTTGTGACTCAACATTGGGCCAAATATCTCGCTTGAGTCTTGTGCACTTGATAGTGAGCCTCTGACTTTTATATTAATTTCCATCAATGACAATGCAGATAACATGTTTTAAATCTTCATGCAGCCCCAAAAGAAAGTGAATACTAGCTCTTTGAGTCACCTAGTCTTTCTCTGTGGAATCATTTCTAATTGAATGTTAAGAGCAAAGTTTAAGTTTATAAGAAAGAAAAACAAGTGCAGATAAATAGTTATTATCTGACATCCTTATGAAAATTCATGACCTGCAGTTTTATCAGAGGCCTTATAAGAATTCTAATTGTGAAGTATGCAGAGCTATTAAATGTCTAGTACGCTTCAGTCTCTTGATAAGAAGTGAGTTAAATAATTGTCCTGTTTAACTTGTGCTTGTTAACCTTTAAGGTCAACTAGTTTGAACATACGTTTAATGAAATCCTGGAGCCAGAATTTATGATACTGCTGCTGAATGTTAAATTGGACAATTTACATAAGCAGGACATTAACCTTCTGAGCACTAAATAGCATTTTAGCACTTAGCCGCTGGGGACAATAAGGGACATGTTCTATATATTTGTGATTAGCTTGCCTGGAAATTCTCATGATGACCAATTGGCCTACCAAGTTTAGCAGCATAATTAAATGAAAGGACTCAGCCTAAGTAAATTATCAGTGCTGTGTACAGTATATCATTATAGTCCAAAGGAAAAAAGATATGAATAATTTAATAATACATTACTAATTTATCAATGCTAAATGACTTCGAGGAGGCTCTTTGTAGTTCATTGTTTTAAATTTGATATTTGATTTACTGCTTATGTGATTAAATTTGAACCTATTTTATTTTCTACCAAAAATATATAGAAGCAGTAATTTTGTTTTATTATTTTGAGGAGAGAGGAGTGTTGTTTTCTGCTTTGGTGACGTTACAAAGTACCTACCACTGTGCACTGATGAGCACGTAAACCAGTAATTTGTCACAATCAGATGTACATAGTCCACACTACTTGGTAGCCTTACTGGAGGGGAGGGCACCAACCCTGGAGTTGTTCATAAGCCCAGCTTGCAACACAGCAGCAATTATCATTATGGTTTGGAAGGGTCAAGCACCAGGGAAGCAATTTGCACTTCACCTAGGAATGTTCCTGCTGATTGTGGATAATCAATCCACTGGGCTGGCTATCCGGGAGTTGTATTCTGCAACCGCAGACTCACGTTACAGTGTATTGAACTTTAATGGCCAAGCACATATTTGGGGAAATAGTATGTTACCCTGAAGTCAGCTGGGGCCCCTGCCCCTTAGACTTCTAAAGTCAGTCTGGCCTGGATCTCAATCCTTGTCAGTGGCATTACAAAACTCCTCCTTTTATTCCCCAGGGGCTCTGCATTTTTACTTCCTTATTCTTTTCTCTCCATCTCGCTTGAATTCTCCTTTTTTTTTTTTTTTTTTTTTTTTTTTTCTGAGCGGCTCCCTGAATGTAGTGCTTAGCCCTTTTACTGGCTTTCTTCACAATCTACTCACCTCCACCCTTTCGGGGTTTTATTGGCAAGTGATGTGGTGGGGTCACATTGCTGAGCCCCTGATCTTTGACTAATCTAGTTATCATCCTTTCTTCTCTCCTCTTTCTCTTCTTCTTCCAAGGAACAGTACTGTTTCTCTCTGTCTTCCCAGATCTCCTGTGTGGTTTACCTTCTATCACAAAGATTCACGCAAGTATGTTTTCAAGTGAATATTTTCCCCTTTATGAGATGAAAAATGTCTTCACAGTCGATGTTAATACAATAGGAATATGGTTCCAAGTGGATATTTGACATATATTTGGTTGATTTGCTTGATGTAGCAAATCTAACTGTATATGTTAACTCTTCCCTTTCTGACTGCATGAACTAGAACATGCCTCACCCATAAATAACAACAATACCATTTTTACACTTTAGAGAATCTTTATATTACCTCATCTGATCCTTGAGAACCTGTGAGTTGTGGGGTAGATATTAGTATACCAATTTCCCTTAAGAAGAAATTGAAACTAAAAGATTCAGATCTTATACAAAGAAATCCAGCTAGTGGTGACAGAGCCAAATTTAAAATTGACGTCTGATTCCAAGTCTAGTGCTTCTGGATTCACATGGCTCATGTGTTCTAATCACTGTTCAGGTCAACGAACGTTGATTGAGCATCTATTAATTTTTATTAATGTTAAAATACTTTTAAGTAATTCATGCATATGATAAAAAATAATTAGAATAACAAATAATTATTTTCTTTGATTCAGTTACCCTTTACAGAAACAATTAATAACACTGATAGTCTATTCTATATTAGTTTATATGTCTATCTTTTAAAAAATATTTGGGGGCCGGGCACGGTGGCTCACGCCTGTAATCCCAACACTTTGGGAGGCCGAGGCAGGTGGATCATGAGGTCAGGAGATTGAGACCATCCTTGCTAACATGGTGAAACCCAGTCTCTACTAATAATACAAAAAATTAGCTGGGTGTGGTGGCGGGTGCCTGTGGTCCCAGCTACTTGGGAAGCTAAGGCAGGAGAATGGCGTGAACCTGGGAGGCAGAGCTTGCAGTGAGCCAAATCACGCCACTGTACTCCAGCCTGGGCAACAGAGTGAGACACCGTCTCAAAAAAAAAAAAGTATTTGGTAACATACTAGACATAACCTACTCAGAACTTTGATTGTTCACTTAACACTATGTCTTGGTGATTGATTTATATTAGCACAAATGCATCCATTTCGTTTAATAGTAACACAACATTCCAATTTATGTATTTGTCATAATTTATATAATCCTTTTGATAGCCATTTAGATTTTTATCCTTTCTTATTATAAACATTATTAAAATCTTTGTAATATATCTTTATATGCAAATTTAAGTATATTAAGAAGATGAATTCCTTATTTTTTAAAAAAAATCACTCTTGATATTATTCATAGCCATGCACTGGCTACTCAGCTTGGTGCTAACCTCCCCTATCAAAAAAAAGTGGGTTTTTCTATTAATATCTACTCCATTTGCTCCCACTTGCTTCAACTTCATCCCATGTTTCTAAACTAAGCTGTTTGTGTTAGATCACCAGAACAGAGCAAAACAAATGAAAGATTAGGAAAACTAGGAATAGGGCAGAACATTAGAAAACTAGCTGAGAAACAGGATCTAGCTAAGGTAAAGTCAAGCCAGTGTGGTGAGGACGCTGGAATAAAACATACCTAGATTCAAATGTTGGATCTACTAGTTACTAACTCTTGTGAAGCAGGTGAGTTGCCCAGGCTCTCAGTCATCTTTTCTCATCTCTATGTGGCTAATAACAGCACCAATATTCATAGAATCATAGAGAGATGAAGTTACATAATGCTTGTAAATGCAATTTCTGTCTCATAGTAAGCAGTTCACAATTCTTAACTATTATCAGCTATTAACATGATTAAAACTGTCCTAATAGTTGATTAGACAGTTGAGTTTATCTTAGATAACGTTTGTTTATTTTTAATTTTTAAATTATTCTCCTCAAGCTCTTACTTGGCAATTGAGTGTTAATTGGTTATAATAACAGACAGAACAATCAATTTGACCTAACACTGGAATAGTCTTATAAGTAGATTTAACACAAAGGTTAGCCACTACTGTATATACATTATTAGAAGAGAAGAGTATTGTTGTTCAAGTGAGTATTTTCAAATGAGACCTTATACTAAAATATTTTAAAGGTATAAATTCCTAATTGTTTCTTTCTCTGTTGCCAGTTTACTTTATTATTAATTTTGTATTTTCCTATAAAGTGAATGTATTAAAAAAAATTTGGCCTTTAATACTTTGGATCTCCTCTTCCTTTTTTTTTTTTTTTTTTAACAAACGTAAAGGAAAGATACAATCAAGTTTCATGTCAGTTGTCTCCCTGATGCCTAGCCTGACTATACAAAGCTGAAGTCTCTGCTAGAATTCTCTGTGAGGACTACTGTAATCAATTGTTTTCTGGGATATTTGATTCTCACCTGGATTGGACCAGCCCTTCTCAAAGTCTGCAACTTTGCCTCTGGATGTTCCAAGGATTGACAGTTTGAGATAATTTGGCACAGTGAAAAAAGCACTTGGATTTGGAATTAGAGGATTTGGGTGTTTTTTTACCTTCAGTAGGGCAGTTGCTGAAGTCAAGTGTTATAAAATATCTGTCGAGTGTTATTAAAAAATACTGGCCCTACTTACTTCAGGAACAAATAAGATGATGAAAGTTCTTTATGAATAATAGAGGATGGGATAAATGCTAGTGATTATTGTCATTATAATTCCTATCAAGATTGGAAACAATGTTCAGAGAGGCAGAGATATTATAGTACTTGGGGGCCAGTAACAGAAGAAGCTCTGCCAGGTAGGCTGGAGAAGCACCATTTCTTTTTTTTTTTTTTTTCACTCTTTCATCTCTGAAATTAGCTGGCTCTTTTGTAGTACTTCCCATTCTGTTATACAAACACCTTGTCAGTATTTTCAGACCTACTAGAGCTTATCCATTGGCAGAACTTTTCTCTTACTCATGGTCCAGCTGGGAATTTTATATACAAATGTGTTGACAATCACACTGAATAATTTTCTTTTCTTTGTTCCCATGCACAGTTTCAGCTGGCTCACTTGAAACTGTAAAGGTTCTTTTCCTTTCTCATGGGGTCTTCCCATCATCTCCCTCCTACTTTGTCTGCCAGTGGTCTCTAACAAATCACTGTATGTTCTGGAAATGCAAACTCACTAGAACAATAGTCATACTGAGGTGAAATGAGAAAGGTAACTTGTTGCAAAGAAACCCTATAAACCTATTCTGCTTTCAAAACCAAATAGATATGGTTTATGAATTAGCTAACAGTCTGGATTAGCTAAACCAACATTCCCCTCTACTATGTTTGATACTCAAAGCGTTAATTCTTCTTAAATGCACAGTTGTTTAATTTATGGCCAACAGATGCAGTAAGATAATAGTCTCAGTTTTGTCCCCACCTTTTCTTTGTGACACACGTTCTCTTGCAAATACATCTGTAAATTCTCATTTTTTAGAAAAATTAGGTATGGAAAATAACTATTGAGACCAGTAAATCCTGGGACCTAAATATCCATTTGGGAATCCATAGTGCCCCCTAACGGTTACCGTATTCATCCACATAGAGTTAATCTGCTTTTTCCTTCAGCCATATTGCTTGCCAGACATTATAGAAGCATTAGTTTCAGAACACTTCTCAAAGCATGCAAATAATTTCATAGCCCTCTTCTTATTAGCCAGTATAATCTTAGCTTGAGCTACTTTTCGATAAGCATTTGATGCTTCAATGAGGCAGGTTTCCTTGTCTCCTATTTATTGCTCTTCTGCCTTCCTTATATTTTCTTTCTTTTCTTGGCTTGGAATAAATTATTTAGTTGGGCAAGGGTAACTCTGCATTAGTCTTAATCAACACAGGGGTAGAAATATATACAGACAGATTTTAAAAATCTATCAGGACTCACTCAACGAATTTGAAAAATGAAAGTGTTGGTGTTGCCATCTGAAAAGATTTGAAGCATTCTTTCAACTTCATTGCAACCATCACCCACTTTGCAAGGAACATGCTTCCTGCTAACTGAAAGGAAAAGAAATTTTTCTGACATATTTTCCAACCAGACCTCTTCAAGATAATTCCTTTCATTGCTTTGGTAAGTCAATCACACTAACAGGTACCAGTTATTTTCTGCCTGCCTTGGGCTAAATACAGCAGGTGACAAAAACTCTTTCTGGTTGTCGGGTATTAATGTAAAATACCCCTAGACCTCACTGCTTATTCATCTTCATCTAGTTGACTAATGCTTTTCCCATGTTGTTACATGTTGGTAAATTAAAGGAAGCTTCCAGACAGTTCTGTCAACAGTTTACTGAAATGTACCTCATTAGTGAGGTTGAGTTGTCACATGAGTGTAATTTAATCCTATTGAATTATCACTCAAAAATGCCTAAGTGCCTGGTTTTTATACACTGGATAGAAGGTTTGCTACTAACACTGTCACATTTCCAGTCGATGAGAGAAGAAACAAGCAAAAAATATGCAGGGCCTCTTTGTCCCCACCTGCCCTGCTCAATGCGGTGATACTATGTCAACTCCTGAACAGAATATTACATTTCACTGTAGATCAAAAACATCCCCATGGATCATTTTCTTTACAAATCTAAAATGTTAAGAGCGAGCACTTACTGCTCCCCCCTTCGTTTCCCTGTCCACTAACAAAAGGAATCATTGACACAAAGGCCACTCTGGATGAGACATTCAGTTTCTCTAATGTTAATGGAACTCTTTATTGTAAGACAGCATTTGTGAACTGCTGTAAGTGGCATTGTGTTTTGTAAATGGCAATATAGCACATGCGATTATTTTTCTATAGTTGTATTCTCATTGTACTTTTTATGCTATTCTGTGGTGAGCTATGTCAAGGGAAGGATAAGAACTAATTATAAGAAATGAATACAGGCTGTGTGATGCACAGTAGGAACATTTTGTTCATCTCTCTTTTCCAGAACACATTTGTAACTCTCTTCTCGGGTATTCTGATAATTGTGGTGATGTGATCAAGGCATGAGTTTTTAATTATTGTGTCTTGCCAAGTTGGTCAGTCTATCTGATATGGTTTTGCTGTGTCCAACCCAAATCTCATCTCGAATTGTAGCTCCCATAATTCCCACGTGTTGTGAGAGGGATCTGGTGGGAGACAATTGCATCATGGGGCAGTTTCCCCCATACTGTTGTTGTGGTAGTGAATAAGTCTCATGAGATTTGATGGTTTGATCAGGGGTTTCGCCTTTCACTTGACTCTCATTTCTCTCTCTTGCCTGCCGCCAGGTAAGACGTGCCTTTCGCCTTCTGTGATAATTGTGAGGCCTCCCCAGCTATGTGGAACCGTGAGTTCGTTAACCTCTTTTTCTTTATAAATTACCCAGTGTCGGGTACGTCTTTGTTTGCAGTGTGAAGTGACTAATACACTATCTTACAGAAACTGAGGAAAGTCTCTAGTAGCTAAAGGCAGATAGCCAAAAGTTACGTAGGCAAATCCAAAAAATTAGCCTGACACCACAGATACACTGGTGAGGTATCTGTCATAATCATAACAGCTAATTTTTAGTGTGTGCTCAGCATGTGCCAATCTCTGTATTATGCATTTGACGTGAATACTTTTTTTTATTGTTGTCATTTCTCTCAACAACTCTAAGGGTTTGGCTTCATTCTAATCACCTATTAAGGAAGTTGAAACTTAGAAAGGTTAAGGTTATCCAGCTCACAAATGATAGAATCAGAGTCTGGACTCAAAGCCCATGCACTTAGCACTGATGAAGCACTGTGGTAACAGCTACAATGTCACGGACTCTGGTCATAAGTTCTAGTTATCCTAACTTGTCACTACTGTTCTCCAAATGAATGTTGGCAACCAGGCAATGCTAGTTCTATCATTCATATTCAGGTTCCTGGTTATTGTTTTCCTCTTTCATCAAAGCAGATTAGCTATGGTCCTAGAGTGGGACATTGGTGCACTGCAATGCAGGTTGTGGGATAATGAAATAGGGTCCTGTAGCTTTTGGAGGCCTGGCTGGTGCCCCTCTGACAGCATACTCGACCTTACCTGCTTGCTGTCCTTTTATGGGAATGAGGATTGTAAATTATATAGCTGTTTTCTTAGCCCTCTTACCTTTCTCCAACCTCCCCCTGCTCACCCTCCATGTACCTGTCAGGCTTCACCAAAGATGCACTAAATTCTAGATGGTGAAAAACTGACTCTGAGTAACGGGTGGGTGAAAAAAGGCCATGATACCTTATATTGCCATTAAGATGGCAGCCAACTTTGCCTGAGAAATACAAAAGGAAATGCTAGGGGAAAATTTTTCAGAAAAAACATATATTTTTCATACTCATTTTTTCTTCTAAAGGCAAAGCAAATAAATCAAAATCAGAGTAGTGCAGGTACACTTCTTCTGTTTTTTCCATTGATGGAATAAAACCCATAAGCAATCTCTGAGACTGCTCTAGACACAGAACTCTTATTGATCTCGACAGCTATTTTGTATGAGAGACAAAAAGGCTTCTGGTGATTTTACTAGGTCTGGGAAACCTCATTCAGGAAACAGCAAAGATGGGAGAAATAAGTTGGGTCAGGAGTACTGAGTTCTAGTACCAACACTAGTGACTAAGAACAACATGTAATTAAAATTCATGTCTGGTGATTTACTGACACAGAAATATGTGTGTTTACCTGGGAAATTATTAACATGTTGACATCACCTTTTTGGAAATGTCATCACATGTCTTGGTACAGGAAAAGGAACTGAGAAAGATGCATCAAGGCTGTTGATAAAGTCATTACAAACCCTGAAAGGGAAGAATAAGTTGCTAGCCTTTTCCAAGGAATGACACCAAGTGAAAAGCCTACACTGAAAAAATAGGTGTTTCACTGTCATTCCTTGCCCCAAACCATATTGAGCCAAGCCACAATTAGTTCGAAAATAATTACAGCTTTCAGATTTTACACCTCCTGCTACTCTTTTAATAAAAGTGGGCATGCTCTTTCTATGAACATGGTAACGAAAAAATAAGAATTAATGATACCATGCATTTTAGGTGACTTCAGAGTTAGTGTATCAGTGTTATTCCCTTCAATGTCTCTTCTTTGTCCTATTATTTTTGTTAATGAACTACATACAAATTACATGCAAGCATATAATGTACAACTATGTGCCACTACAAACAAATTACACAGCCAATCACCTATTCATTCATTTATTTATAAAGTGGTCAAGCCCATTCCCCATTCCAAATCTTCATCCCATTGTGCCTGGTCAGTTATAACAACCTCTTGCTTATTTTCCTACCCTCTGTTTCTTTGTCTTTTGTATTTACTATTTTCTTATCTTTTTAATTTTATTTTTATTTCTTAGTTTATTTTATATTTTCAGAGATAGGGGTCTCACTCTGTTGCCCAGCTGTTGCCCAGGCTGGTCTTGAACTCCTGGCCTCAACGGATCCTCCCATCTGAAGCCTCCCTAGTGGCTAGGATTACATGCATGTGCCACTGCACCCAGCTCTGGTATTCACCTGTTTTCAAATTTCATTGTCCTTTATCTGCCCTCAGAGTCTTCCAGAAAACTGGAGAAATTGTAGAGCTCTTCACATATGTAGAAAATGTTGGAAGAGGATTAGAATTAGAGAGTGGGTGGGTGGAAAGAACAGTTTGGAACTTACTGCATTAGGTACCAAGAAGGTGGAACAAATGTGAAAATGATTTCCAATATGCAATTGTTTGTATAGATCTGGGGCTCAGAAGAGAGATTTTCTGTGACAAAACAAAGGTAGACATGATGGTAGATGAGATCTCTAAGAAGATCAAGTAAAGGGAAGTGAGAACTGAGCATAACAGTGAATACCCAATAAATTTTTGCTATTTGTGGTATCCTTAGTGGGAAATGTGTTCTTAGTATGTTTGTTAGGATGGTCATGACCTGATTTTTTTTTTTTTTTTTTTGAGACAGGTTCTCATTCTGTCACCCAGGCTGAAGGGCAGTGGTACAATCACGGCTCACTGCAAACTCCACTGCCCAGGCTCAAGCAAGCAATCCCCCCACCTCAGCCTCCTGAGCAGCTGGGACTACAGGCACTTGCCACCACGCCAGGCTATTTTTTTTTATCTTTTTGTATTTTTAGTAGACACAGGGTTTTGCCATTTTGGCCAGGCTGGTATCAAACTCCTGAGCTCAGTGATCTGCCTGCCTTGGCCTCCCAAAGTGCTGGGATTACAGGCGTGAGCCACCACACCTGACCTCTAATTCTTTTAAATTGTGAAATTCTTTTATTCCTTGTGTTCATTATGGATTCTAACTCTCTACTTGAAAAGTTATTTGCAAGAGGGATATTCCTAGAAACTTTCTTTCGACAATCAAATAGCAGCTCAACGGATGGAAAGTTTCCAAAAACAAATCTTTAAAATAGATTGTAACCCTCGTCCATATTGAGGCTAAGAAAATAAGTCTGAGTTTTGTAGAAGGAAAATCCAATAGCAGCTGCAGAAAAGAAATGCCAGAAAAGACTTCAGAGATCATAGCTGAAGCACTTGTTTACTATAAGAGAAAACAGGCGAAGAAAGGTTAGGAGACTAACTCAAGGCCTCCTGCTTATAACTGGTAGAAATCTCAACCCATATCATCAGGGGGGATTTAGAAAAAGAAAACTCACTCAACGTTCTGGTAATGATGTTTGCGCTCCCTGGAATCAAATGTCAAAATAGAGACCCAGCTCACGATCTCAAATTAAAACTTTAAAATGTTACTTAATTCAAAGAAAAAGCAGGGGCATTTTTCAAGAATGCCCCTTCCCTTTGCTTGAAAATCAGAAAACAACCAATGTCAGCCAATGATTCAGATCTTTTTCACTTGCTATCTAAAAACAGTCACAAGGCTGTCACAGAGTAGGAGAGTACCTTGGTGGCAGCCCCGGGAGGGCAGAGCAACCCCACAAGACAATCTGGACTGGACCCACTGCCCTTCACAAACTCAACGTGATTATACGCTTTACCACATTTCTAGATCTGTATCATGAGCATGTTTCTGGAATTAGTGTTAAATCTTTTAGAAAATTCGGAGCACAAAAATCTTTAAAGATGGGGACAATATGGTACAGGTATAGTGAAGAGAATAAAGATGAAAATGCCCAGGTTTAAATCTTAAATCCTTCTATGAACCTCAGCTTTCTCATTTTAAAAACAGGAATAATAATTCCTGCCACGCAAGATTGTAATGAGAATAGACAGGTAACCAAATAAAGTGTCAAATACAACGGTGGTTCTCATCTTGGAATAATTTTTACCTCCCTACCTCCTGCCAGGGGGCAGTGGAAAAATCTAGTGATATTTTTGTTATCACAACTAGGGAGGGAGTGTTCCGGTGGGTAGAGGCCAGCGATGCTGCTAAAACCCTATAATACACAAGACAGGCCCCATGACAGAGAGTTATCTGGTCCAAGTGTGGATAGTGTAGAGGCTGAGAAACCCTGGTATGCACAGCACACAGAGCAGGTAGGCAGGGAATGGTGGTTATTACTATTACCCACAATATTTCAATACTAGATCTGATATGAAATAGACACATCATGAGTAGGGGGGAGATGAAATATTTCCCCATCTCTTACAATGAATTAATTCCTAGGTTTCCTTGAAGATATATATAATCATCTGAACAACTTGAATACCATTCTCAATAGCTCCAGTAACATTCAAAATAATATCTAGGCTGAGACCGACTTCTATGAATGATTAAAGGAATTTTCCTGTCAATATTATTGTATGTCAAATAGCAAACCTCTTAATATACATGACAACCAAAACCTAAGACAGGCATAGGCTGAAAATACCATTTAAAATTTAGATCTCTCAGCCTGGGCAACAGAGTAAAACTCCATCTCTACCCAAATACAAAAATTAGCCCAGCAAGGTGGTGCATGCCTGTAGTCCCAGCTACTTGGGAGGCTGAGGTGGGAGGATCACTCGAGCCCAGGAGGCGGAGGCTGCAGGGAGCCGAGATTGTGCCACTGCCCTCCAGCTTGAGTGACAGAGTGAGACCCCCCCATCTCAAAAAAAAAAAAAATGGATCTCTGTTATGGTAACCTGGCTATTCCTTCCCACTCTCTCCCACCTGCATTACCATGCACTGAAATCCTTGCAAGATTTTGGCCTTCTTCGCAGCCTTCTTCCCAGGATAATCAGGCTTTGGGGTCAGTGAGATATTGCACACTATTTATAAAATACATCCTAAAGCTCCTGAGCTCTTGGAAATCTTTTTTTTTTTTTTTTTGAGACGGAGTCTTGCTCTGTTGCCAGGCTGGAGTGCGGTGGCGTGATCTCGGTTCACTGCAACTTCCGCCTCCCGGGTTCAAGCGATTCCCCTGCTTCAGCTTTCTGGG
Organism: Homo sapiens; assembly: GCF_000001405.40. Lineage (NCBI taxonomy): Eukaryota > Metazoa > Chordata > Mammalia > Primates > Hominidae > Homo > Homo sapiens. Next base: position 218,243,882 of record NC_000001.11, on the reverse strand, counting down.
TAGCTGGGACTACAGGCGCGCGTCACCACGCCCAGCTAATTTTTTGTATTTTAGTACAGACAGGGGTTTCACAATGTTGGCCAGGATGGTTTCGATTTTCTGACCTCATGATCTGCCTGCCTCGGCCTTCCAAAGTGCTGGAATTACAGGCGTGAGCCACCGCGCCTGGCGGGAAATCTTACATTGTTATTTCTGTGCTCTTCTACAAATGTGATATTCCTCTGTCTTTTCTATTATGGAATTGTCCCATGATGTTCCTGTGTAGGAATTTTTTTCCATGGTAACTATGAAAAATCACACAGTAGTTCAAATGCATTACACTTGGACTATTTTTTAATATGCCAATAAAATAATTTTTTAACTCAATCCATTAAATCAGATTCTGACATTTTCTGAAAAGGACCTGTATTAAGTTGAATTTAGTTTCTCACACACTGTTTTTACGGATTTTTTAAGATTAGCCATCCTCAGGTAAAAGTTTCCTCTTTGTTTTGTCATATGACAGTTTTGAACATAGTCACTTACAACCCCTTTCCCAATTTGCCTCAGCCACCTACTAGGAACTTCAACCTTTCTGCATCTCCATAGCCATCGTATATGTATATATTTCCAATATTACCCATGTACTTTTTTTATTATTACTCTTTCATACTCAATTTAGTTATTCATTCACACCAGATTTAAGACAGTGGTTGTTTTAGGAATCTTTGTATTTCTACAAAGAGTCTAGCACAATGCAGATACACCATAAGCCCTCACTAAATGTTAATTTAATGAAGAAAGACTGATATACATTCAACTAAGTTATACGTAAGTGTTTTTGATTCCAAAAGAATTGTGTTTACATAATCTTATCAATGTCCCCTTGGTTCTTTCTACGTAATATTAGGAACATCATGAACATGTCACAGGTGGAATTTATCTGTAAATAGCACCAGATCTTATAGTAGATCAAAGTTTTGTAGCCACAGGGAGGATTCTGAAGGTAAATATTGTTAAGGATTTATATCTATCTTGAGCCCCTTAAAGATCACGAATAGGATATAAGATTGTATCTTTGATAAATATGAAATGAAGTGAAATGAAATGAAGTTAAGCAAAACCTTAAATATGAATAAAAGAACCCACTACATTGATGCAGTTAGTTTATTGCACACTCGCATACCAAATGACACTGGCCTAAAACTTTCTTGCCAAGCTGTAATTTTGTAACATACTGTCAAAATACGGGATTTCAAGATTTTGAGATGATTTTTAAGTAAATGATACTAATTAAAACTGAAAAAAAAATCCAGTCTTGCCTTTAACCCAACAAATATTTATTGAATACCTACTACATGTTAGACACGGTTCTAGGTACTTGGGGCATAACAGTGACCAAACTTTTTTTCTTTTTTTTTTTTTTAAGAGAGAGAGTCTCACTCTGTTGCCCAGGCTGCTGGAGTCTAGTAGCAGCCTCACTGTGACCTCGAACTCCTGGAATCAAGGAATCCACCTGACTCAGCTTCCCAAAGCATTGAGATTACAGGTGTGAGTCATCACACCCGATCAAACCTGTTCTTGAAGCTCACACTCAATCATATCCATTTTCAACTGGAGAAATATGGAAGGAATAATGGTTTGCTTCTTAAATGTATTAACAAACATATTGTTTGCATTTTTGTGATATATTTAATAAGTTGAGGATCTGGATTTTATATGAAATAATTAGTGAGGAAAGAGTGCATTAATTTTTAAAAATTATTTCCAAATAATTGAGATTGAATAGTTTGAAAGCTATTTCCTAGAATGCTTCATTGATGGTAAGGTGAATTCTCAGGATGATTTCCTACTTTACTGTTTTACTTACACATAATCATTGTTCGTTGTCTTACAGATATGGAACAAATAGTTTTATCTACCTAGATATTTAAGTGATATGTTCAAATTTTAATCTCTTATTTTAAAATAAACAAATGCAGAGACTTTATCTGAGGAAAAGGAAAAACAGCCAAAAAAACCCCCAAAAACTTACCTCTGGTCATTAGTGTAAATTCAGTTGTCTGTACATTATGGGGAATTAGTCACTTTTTAGAAAGAGCTTTTAATTGCTTAATCTAAGTAATGTGGGCAATGGCATACGTGTTTTATTTTAGGGTCTATCTAGCCCACTCAGAAAATGTAATGGACCTAATTTTCATTTGGTATAGGTCTGTGCAGTTCCTAAAACATCTAAACGGCTATTAATTTAATCAGGTAATTTAAGTATAGCTCTAGAAAAGGCCACCAGCTAGTTGTCACGCAATGATTATGAGGATGACATTTCTATCCCATGATGCCAGAGGCAGATTTTGATACATCATTTTCTTTTTGAAGGTTAAACTCAGATAACCTGCCTTTGGCATTTAATTAGCTACATATTAAACACTCTTTTAATAATAAAATGATTAAAAATTTTATTGCTTCTCAAATGAGGCCCTTTTAGATAGATTCAATGACTTGGTTAGAGCTCTGTAGTTTGTGAACCAAACCTTACTTAGACCAGTATGTAGTAATGATATGCTTTACAGCTTGCAAAATCTGTATTTTATTCAAATGATGGCCATAATCATTTTGGATAAAACTTATAATGCTTTCTTCTGTATTTTTAAGTCTAACTGTTAAATGTCATTGGAAAGTATCCAGAAACACATTGATTCAAAATTTTCAGAAATTACCAAGTTCAAGATTAATAAAGAGACTGTGAAGTCTGTTTAATGTGCTGAATCCTATATTCTAATTGTTTACCCTTTGTAAAACCATTTGTCACCATTGAATACCTGCAAAAAAAGTATTGTAGAAATGGCAGAGAAGTGTGAGTGGATGGCAAATCCCCATCCGTATTTTCAGTTAATATTAGTTCTTCAGTGAAAACGGTCATCAAGAGACCATTCATTGTTCATCCTTAGCATGAATTGAGAGGGAAAAGGGGGCATTAAAGTATTTGTAAAATAGAGTTGCAGAGACAAAATGCTGTCACTCAAGAGCATACCGTAACTATAGTTTGAATAAAAGTGGCCATTTTACTTTTATTCTTTTTTAAAGTTTTTATTTAATTTTGAATTTATTTTATTATCTGTATCTGCACAAGTTTTAAGTGCTCAGTTCCATGAGAATTGATGTAATGCCCACCTCAATCAAGCTATAGAACAATTCTGTTATCATCAAGAATTCCTCATGCCTTTCTAGTCCAGCAGTTCTCACCACTGCCCTAACTCTGTTGAATTCTGTCACCATAATTTAGTTTTGCCTGTTTTAGAACATTACATATAAATGCAGTCATGCAGTGGGCATGCTTCTTTTGTCTATCACATTGTTTTTGAGGTTTATGCAAGTTCTTGCATATATTTATTGCTTCTTTTTATTGCTGTGCAGTGTTCTGTTGTGTGAATATATCACAATTGTTTATCCATTCACCTGTTGATGGACATTTGGGCTGTTTTCAGTGGTTTACTGTTTTAAATAAAGCTACAAACATTGTTTTACAACTCTTTTTTGGAACATATGTTTTCATTACTGTTGAGTAAATACCTAAGAGTGGAATTACTAGGTCATTATAATACAAGTACATTTAACTTGAGGAGAAACCGCCAATATTCTTACTTTTGATGTAGTTGTTACTGAGCCAGTATCTACTCCTTTCGGCTTGGAAAGGTGAAAGAATTCAATGAATAATATTCATTGTAACGAATGATGCAAAGGTGTTCAGAATTTTAAAGGTAATTTTCTTCTTTCTGTACACATAAAAATTTTCTTTTTGGTGGTTGAAAGAGAGTCCTCCCCTGCTCCCCATTCTATATTAACAGAATATTGCTTTGTTTCTTTTCTTTTTAATTTCTAAAGATGAGGTCTTTCTATATTGCCCAGGTTGGTCTTGAACTCCTAGGCTCAAGGAATCCTCTTGCCTCAGCCTTCTCAGTAGCTGGGATTACAAGCATGTACAACCAGGCCCAACTAACAGGTTGCTGCTTTTATTCCAGGTTTTAGGAAAATGTGGGATTTTGGTAGTTAGCAAAAATAAGGGAAAACCATAAATACACAAATTGTTAATCAGATTAACATGAATAATATAGAAAAGACCACCTGTTACTTTATCAAATATATATCTATTTGAACATTAAAGAAACATATATGGCTGGGTGCAGTGGCTCACACCTGTAATCCCAGCAGTTTGGGAGGCTGAGGTGGGTGGATCACTTGAGCCAAGGAGTTCAAGACCAGCCTAGGCAATATAGTGAGACCCTGTTTCTAGAATAAATAAATAAATAAAATAATAAAAATAAAAAAGACACATACATAACCAGGCTTTGTAGATAAATGGCAACGATGTTGGTCATTAGGGTCTATAGTAAGCAGCAAGTTACCTAATAACATAAGAAATTTTTTCTCTCTATTGTAGAATTCAAGACAGCTGGCCCAAATTCTGAAGATTTTAGGTCCTTCTTTAACTTCTTCAGTGCAGTTCATTGAAATTAAATGAGATCCTAGGAAAAGTTTTTTCCCTACTAGAATTGTTATTATAACTTTCCCGATTACATTCCTGACATCCATAAGTCTAGGGAAGTGTACTTTCCCCAAACAGACTTAGTATTTTAGTCATTCCATTTACATTTTGTGCTAGTTTCTTCCTTTGTAATTGTACATCAGAGTTTGTCAGGCCAACAAATATACAGATTTTTTTAAAAAGATAACCAATAGATAAATGCACATTTTTATTTTAAACATTACTGATGTGTTTTATTGATGCAATAGGTATTTGTTAGAAAAAAATAGAAAATACAAATAGGCAAAAAAGAAAAATGAGTGGCAATCCTCCCATTCATAGCCATTGTTAACATCACAGTGAATATTCTTTCAGGTTTTTATGTTTATATGTATATATAGGTGACCCTTGAACAACCCTGGTTTGAACTGCACAAGTACACGTATACACACATTTTTTTCCAGTAAATACAGTCAGCCCTCCGTGTCCCTGCATCCTGCATCTGCAACCAAATGTGGATGGAAAATATAGTAGTCACTGGATGCGGAAACCTGCGGATGTAGAGGGAAGTTTCCATAAAGGCAGATTCCACAGGGCCACTGCAGAACATGCAGATTTTTAGTATCCATGGGGGTCCTGGAACCAATCCCCAGTGAATACAGTATGTGTGTGTGTGTGTGTGTGTGTGTGTGTGTATCCATATATAAGGAATATACATACTTTTTAGAAACAGTAACCTACCATCTTCACCAAGCAAAATATAAAAACATCTTTATATTTAATACATATATCTACAACATAATTTTGAATACTTGAATAATTCTCTATTGTCTTATAATGTATATAACCAATCCCACATTGTTGAACTTTTATGTTGTTTGTGATTATTTATTTATTTATTTATTTCAATTATTATACTTTAAGTTCTGGGATACATGTGCAGAACGTGCAGGTTTGTTACATAGGTATACATGTGCCATGGTGGTTTGCTGCACCCATCAACATGTCATCTACATTAGGTGTTTCTCCTAATGCTATCCCTCACCCAGCCCACCACCCCCCGACAGGCCCCTGTGTGTGATGTTCCCTTCCCTGTGTCCATGTGTTCTCATTGTTCAACTCCCACTTGTAAGTGAGAACATGCAGTTTGGTTTTCTGTTCCTGTGTTAGTTTGCTGAGAATGATGGTTTCCAGCTTTATCCATGTCCCTGCAAAGGACATGAACTCATCCTTTTTTGTGGCTGCATGGTATTCCATGGTGTATATGTGTGCCACATTTTCCTTATCCAGTCTATCATTGATGGGCATTTGGGTTGGTTCCAAGTCTTTGCTGTTGTGAATAGCGCTGCAGTAAATACACGTGTGCATGTTATAGTAGAATGATTTATAATCCTTTGGGTATATACCCAGTAATGGGATTGCTAGGTCAAATGGTATTTCTGGTCCTAAATCCTTGAGGAATTACCAAACCGACTTCCACAATTGTTGGACTAATTTACACTCCCACCAACAATGTAAAAGCATTCTTATTTCTCCACATCCTCTCCAGCATCTGTTGTTTCCTGACTTTTTAATGATCACCATTCTAACTGGCGTGAGATGGTATCTCATTGTGGCTTTGATTTGCATTTCTCTGATGACCATTGATGATTAGCTTGTTTTCATATGTTTGTTGGCTGCATAAAAGCCTTCTTCTGAGAAGCGTCTGTTCATATCCTTCGCTCACTTTTTGTTGGAGGTTTTCTTCTTGTTTATTGTTCTTTGTAGATTCTGGATATTAGCCCTTTGTCAGATGGATAGATTGCAAAAATTTTCTCCTATTCTGTAGGTTGCCTGTTCACTCTGATGATAGTTTTGTTTGCTGTGCAGAAGCTCTTTAGTTTAATTAGATCCCATTTGTCAATTTTCTCTTTTGTTACCATTGCTTTTGGTGTTTTAGTCATCATGAAGTCTTTGCCCATGCCTATGTCCTGAATGGTATTCCCTAGGTTGTCTTCTAGGGTTTTTATGGTTTTAGATCTTACGTTTAGGTCCTTAATCCATCTTGAGTTAATTTTCATATAAGATATAAGGAAGAGGTCCAGTTTCACTTTTCTGCATATGGCTAGCCAGTTTTCCCAACACCGTTTATTAAATAGAGAATCCTTTCCCTATTGCTTGTTTTTTGTCAGGTTTGTCAAAGATCAGATGGTTGTAGATGTGTGGCATTATTTCTGAGGCCTCTGTTCTGTTCCATTGGTCTGTATACCTGTTATGGTACCAGTACTATGCTGTTTTGGTTACTGTAGCCTTGTGGTATAGTTTGAAGTCAGGTAGTGTGATGCCTCCAGCTTTGTTCTTTTTGCTTAGGATTGTCTTGGCTATATGGGCTCTTTTTTGGTTCCATATGAAATTTAAAGTAGTTTTTTCTAATTATGTGAAGAAAGTCATTGGTAGCTTGACGGGGATAGCATTGAATCTATAAATTACTTTGGCCTGAATGGCCATTTTCACGATATTGATTCTTCCTATCCATGAGCATGGAAGGTGTTTTTTTCCATTTGTTTTTGTCCTCTCTTATTTCCTTGAGCAGTGGTTTGTAGTTCTCCTTGAAGAGGTCCTTCACATACCTTGTCAGTTGGATTCCTAGGTATTTTATTATCTTTGTAGCCATTGTGAATGGGAGTTCACTCATGATTTGGCTCTCTGTTTGTCTATTATTGGTGTGTAGGAAAGCTTGTGACTTTTGCACATTGGTTTTGTATCCTGAGACTTTGCTAAAGTTGCTTATCAGCTTAAGGAGATTTGGGGCTGAGATGATGGGGTTTTCTAAATATACAATCATGTCATCTGCAAACAGAGACAATTTGACTTCCTCTTTTCCTAAATGAATACTCTTTATTTCTTTCTCTTGCCTGATTGCCCTGGCCAGAACTTCCAATGCTATGTTGAATAGGAGTGGAGAGAGAGGGCATCCTTGTCTTCTGCTGGTTTTCAAAGGGAATGCTTCCAGCTTTTGCCCATTCAGTATGATATTGGCTGTGGGTCCGTCATAAATAGCTCTGATTATTTTGACATATGTTCCATCAATACCTAGTTTATTGAGTTTTTAGCATGAAAGGCTGTTGAATTTTCTCGAAGGCCTTTTCTGCATCTATTGAGATAATCATGTGGTTTTTGTCATTGGCTCTGTTTATGTGATGGATTACATTTATTGATTTGCATATGTTGAGCTAGTCTTGCATCCCATGGATGAAGCCAACTTGATTGTGGTGCATAAGCTTTTTGATGTACTGCTGGATTCGGTTTGCCAGTATTTTATTGAGGATTTTTGCATCGATGTTCATCAGGGATATTGGCCTGAAATTTTATTTTTTGTTGTGTCTCTGCCAGGTTTTGGTATCAGGATGATGCTGGCCTCATAAAATGAGTGAGAAAGGAGTCCCTCTTTTTCTATTGTTTGGAACAGTTTCAGAAGGAATGGTACTAGCTCCTGTTTGTACCTCTGTTTTTATTTTTATACATAGTGATGAAGTAAACATTCTTGTAGACAATCTTATACATTAAAATTGTGTTTTCTTAGAATAAATTTTTGTAAATAGAACTGTATAAGTAATGGGTATTCATAGTAAAGATTTCTGTTAAGCAAATTATTTTTATGTGAAGAGCAAGTAGATTTGAAACAGTATTGTACTATTAATCCCTGTTATTCATTTTTAACTCTTTATGGAGCAGTTTGCTTATTACAGTACCAAAATTGAGGACTTATGTGATGTATAGACATATCCTTGGCCTTTAACCTTGTGAAAAGAAATGCACTGGAGTCTGCCTCCATCAGCTGAGAGTAGATCCCTAGTTACATAGAACCTTTGTCTTTAGAATAAATCTATAGTTAAGGTCTCAGCAGAAACTAAACAATTTTGAGATCCAACCTAATAAAATGGATCTGCCTTCTGGAGCCACTTTAGTTTAACATTACTCTTAATGACTTGCAGCCTCTTTTATTTTATTTTTTAAATTAAGACAGGATCTCGCTATGTTGCCCAGGCTAATCTTGAACCCCTGGCCTTGAGTGATCCCCCTGCCTCAGCCTCCCAAAGTGCTAGGATTACAGGCGTGAGCCACCTCACCTGGCTTTGCATCCACTTTTGATGACCCAGAATTGCACTGTCTAGTATGGTAGTCACTGGCCACATGTGGCTATTGAGCACTTGAAATATGGCTGGTAAGAATTGAGACCTAGTATCAAAAAATGTAAAATATTTCATTAATAATTTTATACTGATTATATATTAAGAAGATGATATTCTGAATGTATGAGTTAAATAAAATATATAAAAATGAATTTTAACTTGTTTCTTTTTACTTTTTTCAACATAGCTGTTGGAAAATTTAAACTTACATATGTGGCCCCCATTTTTTTGCTGATGGACATTGTTCATCTAGATGTATTAATATAGTCTCCTACTATACAAAATATTAAACAAGTATTGCTATATGCTGATGATATTTTTTGTGGTTATAAATGGTGAGTGATTTCCAGAGGTGACTGATTCACAGAAGTCCCTTAAAATTGGCCTCTGATGAGTGAATTAATGATTAAAGAAGAAATCTTAAGTTTGTCTGAAGCACCTAAACTGTATGGGTACCAGAAGACCAATTCTGCCCAGTAGTATCATAGACTCCATCCCGCTGAAGTTCTGGACTATTGACAGGGGTGGTTATAACCAGTTTTCATAAGGATGGGTTGAGAGCAAATGGATAAAGCAAGCAGAATTCCATTCTAGATTATCTTTTCTCATTGCAAATCATGATGATCACCACTTCACAGAGGCATAATTTGTATTTATCCTCATACAATCTCAACACAAAAAGATGAGGATGAATGCAAGTGAAGAACGAACCTTCCCTAAAGACAGCCAGGGACTTCAGCGTGTGAAAATAGAACTCCACGTAAACTTTTCTTCACGTAGTTATCTATAAACGTAGAACACAGTAAATAATTGGAGGCGTATATCCTACTTTAAAAAGAACAAACAAAAAACCCCTAAAATTTATAGAAAAAAGATTAAGTAACTCAAATTAGACATTTGACTAGATGCTTTATTTTTTTTTTATTTTTTATTTTTCGAGACAGAGTTTTGCTCTGTCGCCCAGGCTGGAGTGCAGTGGCCTGATCTCGGCTCACTGCAAGCTCCGCCTCCCGGCTTCACGCCATTCTCCTGCCTCAGCCTCCCAAGTAGCTAGGACTACAGGCGCCCGCCACTATGCCTGGCTAATTTTTTTGTATTTTTAGTAGAGATGGGGTTTCACAGTGTTAGCCAGGATGGTCTCTATCTCCTTAGTGATCTACCTGCTTCAGCCTCCCAAAGTGCTGGGATTACAGGCATGAGCCACCGTACCCGGCCTTGACTAGAGGCATTTATGTGATTGCTGTGTGTGTAGGTATGGCCAAAAGGCAGATCTTATAGGATGATGGAAACACGCATATTTGCTGAGAAGAGCAAAGAAAGTTCTCTGACTTCTAAGAAAACTCATCTACTTTGAGAGTATCTGGGTCATAGGCCTCATTGATAACATTTAAAAGTGGGTCTGTGGAGGGTACACTAGCAAGAGTTACAGAAAAAAGGAAAGAAAACAATGTTACTCTATTATTTAAAAAAAAATTTTTTTTTTTTAAATAGAGGTGGGGTCTCACTATTTTGCCTCCGCTGGTCTTGAACTCCTGATCTCAAGTCATCCTCCCACCTGGGACTCCCAAAGTGTTGGGATTACAGGCATGAGTTACTGCTCCCAGTCCACCCTATTCTCAACAAGATTAGAACTTTAATTTCTTAATCCGTGTGTTGGATGCTGTATCTAATGCAAAGCTCTCCCCACCCAAAGTTACTCTGTTTACAGAAACCTCTGTTTGTTTAATCTTCCTTTTATAAATGTAATCTTTGCTGAAAATGTCACATTGCGTCTTAGACTGCCTATGTTCTCCCCACCAAAGAGATCTATCTCTGCCTCCCCAAACAAATTCTATCAATGCATTTTAATCATGTTATGTCTTCATAACCCCAAACAGTTGACCAATGTGAGAAAGGACTGGTTAACCAACAAGTTGCTTGTTCTATGTAAACTGAACTAGCTGATGTGTTTGAGTAATTGGACTGGGCAGCAAAGCTGTTTTATGTGAAGTTTCTAGTTGTAGGTAAGACAGAGTTCCATGAATTATTTTGTACTGAAGAAATGCTCATGAATATGACAACTGGATTTCTGAATTGTGATGTCCATAATTCTTTGTATCTACTTATCAGCTGTAGTTTATATGCACAGACATTTAACTGTCAGAGACTTAGGTGGTCTCCTTTATTATACAGGGCCACTATGGTATGACATTTAAGAGCAACGACACTGGAGCCAAACTGAGCTCTGCTGCCTACTAGCTGTGTGACCGAGGTACTCATCATTCTGAGCCTGTTTCCTTGTCTTTAAAATGGGGTAATAATAGTATGAAGTACAAAAGCTGTTCTGAGAATTAGGATTTTTTTTAACATGTCTTAAGAAGTGCTTGGAATATATAAACCCTGTTAATTGTTTGTTACCTATTTTATATTGCAATTAGAAAGTCTCACCAGTTCAATGGCAGTTATGGATGCATCAGTTTAGAAAGACTTCTGCTGTTACACAATACACCTAAGTTTCTTATTTTTATTTTCTTTTTTATTTATATTTTTATTTTTAAAAATTGAGACAGGTTCTCTATTTGCCCGGGCTGGTCTTGAACTCCTGGGCTTGAGCCATCCTCTCTTCTTGGCTTCCCAAAGTGCTGGGATTACAGGTGTGAGCCACCACGCCCGGCCAGAACACCTAAGTTTCTATTGCCTTGGACAGTCTTAGACGTAAAGAAGTTCAGGTAATTCCCTACAACCTTCCCACAAATTACTAAAAATGAGTTTTATCTTTTCTTGAAGAGAAATGATTTCATAACAGGAAGCTAGAGTCAAAACTCCCCATTCTTCCTCAAAATTACATACTTTTATATGAGATTCTTTGGAAAAGTTTGTGCAAGCTAGCCACCCGTTGATGTTTGCTTCTTCAACCTAAGATGTTAGCACAATTCGTGGAAGCTTTATCTTGGGGAGGAATGGCTCGTAGCTCTGAAGAATCAGCATAGGAGAAGTTATGCACAACAATTCGGGCTCCAGGCTTCCAGGTGTCTCTTCTTTATGAGACCCAAGGCAAGCCACCTGACCTCTTTGGGCTTCAGTTTTCTCCTCTGAAAAATGGGGATGATATAAGCCCCTGCCTCATGGGGCTGTTGTGACAATTACATGAATTAAATGCATGTAAAAGTAAGTATAGCACTTGACCCACAATGAGTCCTCAAGAAGGGTTTGGCCTATTGTTAGAGCTGTGACTCTGAACTTCAACTCTTAATTTCTCAGGGCCTTTTGGAGAATTGTCTTGGTGTCTTATGTCTAGTTTTCTCCCTGGAGAATTGTTAGTGAGCCCCTATGACTTCATCAGACTTGAAGAAGAGTTTTATTGTAAAAAGAGATGCTCATTATCAGGCTGGTTCTGCAGTTCATTTTCTTACTTCTCAGAGCAAGGGTTTCCAGCAGGCCTAATTCCATCCTGAGAGCTTCACTCTTAGGATTTAATCACCTCCCAAATTCTCCGCCTCCTGATACCATCCCATTAGGGGTTAAGGTTTCAACATATAAATTTGGGGAAACACAAACATACAGTCCAAAACATAATCTAAAGAAGTAAAGAAGTTTCAGAGAAAAATAACTAAAATGGTTGAGGAAATGAGGTGGGAGAAAATTATAAGATTGCCAAAATTTTCCCTCTGAAAGAGAACATGAAGATATAAATAATGTAGATAAATAAACCTGAACATTTTTATCAAAGCCAGAAATACTGTAAAGAGAAGCCACCATGTGAAACTAAATCTAAATAAATGTAAAGCAAACTGCCGGGCGCAGTGGCTCACGCCTGTAATCCCAGCACTTTGGGAGGCCGAGGCGGGCGGATGGCGAGGTCAGGAGATCGAGACCATCTTGGCTAACACGGTGAAACCCCGTCTCTACTAAAAATACAAAAAATTAACCAGGCGTGGTGGTGGGAGCCTGTGGTCCCAGCTACTAGGGAGGCTGAGGCAGGAGAATGGCGTGAACCTGGGAGGCGGAGCTTGCAGTGAGCGGAGATCGCACCACTGCACTCCAGCCTGGGAGACAGAGGGAGACTCTGTCTTAAAAAAAAAAAAAAAAAAAAAAAAAGAAGCAAGTTTAAAAAATTAGAATGTTAGAATGTACAGCTTTACACATCTAATTAATTTTGGGGATTCAGTATTCTGTGGGGTGGTACTGGCAAAAAGTATAAATTGATCAAGAAAAAATGTGAACAAATTTGTGTACGTTGGAGCTCCAAATGGGCTTTAGGGGAAGCAATGCTTTCCAAAAAAAAAAAAAAAAAAAAAAAAAGATCAAAATCACTTTGAGGAACTTTGAAGCATATATATCTTGGGCTGCATACCCAACAGATTTCACTGTTTAGGTGAGGAAGATGCTTCAGATCCTAATTTTTTCAAAAGATGGTCTTATACTGAAAAAACAAAAAACAAACAAACAAACAAACAAAAAACCACAAATATTCCTTCCTCCTTTAAATGTTTATACTGTTATATTTCTACAGAAGAAAATTAGGTCCTCAGTCCTACTTGAAGGCATAAAATTTAGTCAGAAGAGAGACCTGGGTTCATACCTTGGTTTATTTACCTACTAGCTGTGTAAACTTTGGGCAAGAGAAGCCATCTTTCCCAAGCAATTCCCTATTACGTCCCCACCCTTTACCTGAAAAATGGGATAAAAATGCCAACTTCATAGGGTTTTTTATTTTTAGGATTAAATAGAATAATAATCTATCACTTCTCAGACTTTTGGCTAAGATCAAGCATAAATAAAATAATCCATATAGTACTTAGTGCATGCGTTGTAAATATTAGGGGCTCCATTAATGGTGACAATTATTACTAACAACTTAGTCTTTACTGTCCATGTTGGTGACACACTCCTTGATTGGATGGGACATAGTATGACAGTTCCTGTTCCTATCATTTTATAGTTTTGAAATTGATAAGAAAAACAAGATGTTTTTTTGTTGAGGGAATGTAGTCTCTTCCCTTGTTTTGAAAACTGCATTAAAGTAGACCTATCTGTACACACTGGAAGGTAGTTAGCACATGAGGGTATATCAGAGAAATAATGATAGCAATGATGATGATAATAATTCTGTCACTTTCTGAGATCCTACTATGTTCCAGGTACTGTCCCAGGTTTGTTTGGTTTTGTTTTGTTTTTTTTTGAGACAGAGTCTTGTTCTGTCACCCAGGCTGAAGTGCAGTGGCACATTCTTGGCTTACTGCAAACTTTGCCTCCCAGGTTCAAGCAATTGTCCTGTCTCAGCCTTCCAAGTAGCTGGGATTACTGCACCCGTCATCACACCCAGCTAATCTTTGTATTTTTAGTAGAGACGGGTTTTCACCATGTTGGCCAGGCTGATCTTGAACTCCTGAACTCAAGTGATTGGCCCACCTTGGGCCTCCTAAAGTACTGGGATTACAGGCATGAGCCACTGCACCTGGACTGTCCCAGGAATTTTGTGTACTTTATCTTACTTCAGTCCCATAACAGTCTATTAGGATTATGCTATTGTTTTCATTTACAGATGAGGAAACAAGTTTGGAGATTTTTAGTCATTTGCTCTTGGACTGCTTATAAGAAGAGCCAATATTCCAAACTGTTGTCTGAGTTGGTTGTAGACTTGATAATCTACTTAAAGATAGGAACCTGTCTTGATTATCAATATTGTCTCTTCAAGTATTTATGGAAAGAATGAGAGAGTAAGTGAATGAATGAATGAATCAATGACAATCAAGGCAAAGGTGCAGAAAATGTTTAGAGCATTAGCAATGAGATTTCTGACCTGCTATTAGATCAAAAACAAAAACACACAGAAAAACTTTCCAAGCAAAGTTGTGATATTCAAGAGAAGCAAAGTGGATAATTTGAAATTGTTCAATTTTTGAAACTGCCTTTACTAAAAGATGTTGCTTTCTCCTTCTCTCTCAAATTGGCATACTTTTCTAAGGGCTTACTTATTATTGTAGCTAATTTCTTAATATTAATGTGTTCATAGGGAACTTTTGGGCAGTCTAGGAATAAGCATGTTAAAGGGGTTTTTAGTGTTGAGGAGATCGAAATTTCAGATAATTTTCTACTTATGCTGTTCTTTCCGTAGGCTTTGGGATGAGTCATAGCTTTGTCCAAGAAATCAGCTGCCATTTGCAACCCTATTTTGTCAATGGAACCTATTTTAATAAAACTGTCAAAACTATCCTCAACTGAGAAGTTGTGTAACATTTTACTTTTTTGATATTGTTGCTGTTATAGGGTCTTCCATGTTTCTTGTCTTTGGTAGTGGTTTTCGTTTTTTTTTTTTTCTTTGCTTTTGCTTAGCTAATAAGATTTACTCAAGTAGAATATTCACACCACTCTTACCTAAACCAACTTTGTTTCCTCCTTTTAGCTTATTCTTTCTGCCAGTTTAATGAGTTTGGGGAGGAGTTTTAGTTCTTTTTAAACCTCTGTACATTCTAGAGGTCTCCAGAGAGTAAAACAAAGACTCCTGATTATGGCTATAAACATTGGTTTCAGTGGAGACCTCATGATGGAGGACAACGGGAGATTTTTCTATGTCTCTGTGATTTCAAAAGATCCATCTCTGTACTTTTCAGAACAGAAAAAAAAGCCCCTAAACACCAGCAAATCAACAAATACACATTTTTTTTTCAGGCCAAATATTCACTAGAGTAAAGTGACATCCAGGCAAAAGACATCCCAAAACACAAGTCTCTTGTGTTGGAATTGTACCAGTGGTCATTTTCCTTGCAGCAATCTCAAATGCCCCCAGCCCTGAGCAAAGAGCCCCTGTGCAGAAGGGTTGAAATTGCTTCCCGGCGGTGGCCACAGCAGGGACATCAATCCTCATCTGTTCCCCACCACTGAACTTTCCGCTGAACACTAGAAACAAGCAACACACTCTCCAACACCAGTGGGACCCAGCTTTTGGAAGTAAGATTGAATGGCTATTAGAAGGAGTGACGGGTATAACCTACCACTCCGTGCAGTGAGAACACAGTAATGAAGTAATGCAGAATCATAGAAGGGTAGACCTAGAAGGCGCCTTAGACATTATCCCGGCCAATGTCTTCATTTTACAGGTGAAGAAACTGAGGTCCAAAGAGGTTAATTGACTTATCCAAGGTCATGTTGTAAATTGTTGTTCTAGGTCGCCTTTAAACAAAATTATTTTTTTCAAGGTTTCTAAGAGTTCAGAGTCCATAGTCCATCAGCAATTATAGTTTGAAATGCTTCCTTTTGGAACTCATTCATTCTGTGGTGTTTAAGGGGAACCGACAGTGAACATGTTCTATATATTTTAGGAGATTTTAAGAAGGAAAAGAGATTTCTACACTTAAATATCTTAAAATTTAATTGGGGGTTTCATAATTTAAATAGCAAGAGGAAAATCAAATGCTCAATTTAAGTATATAAATGCTATATATAAAGTAAATTTGATTGAACTAGTTTCTTCAGCTATATCTCAGAGGTTTAAACTTACAGCCATGTATTGGTATTAATATATGGAGAGCTGACTGGGCACAGTGGCTCACAACTGTAATCCCAGCACTTTGGGAGGCTGAGGTGGGAGGATCACTTTAGCCTGGGAGCTGGAGACCTGCCTAGGCAACATAGTGAAACTCCATCTCTACAAAAAAATTTAAAAATTAGCCTGCTCTGGTGGCACCCATCTATGGTCCTAGCTACTCAGGAGGCTGAAGTGGAAGGATCACTTCAGCCCAGGAGGTTGAGGTTGCAGTGAGCTGAGATCATGCCACCGCACTCCAGCCTAGGTAACAGAGTGAGATCCTATCTCAAATATAAATATATATATACACACACACACACATGCATACACACACATACATGTATCCACTATATGTATATATGTATATATGTATACATGTGTGCGTGTGTGTATATATGTATATATACACACACAGACATATGGAGAGAGAGCGAGCGCTATTACTTTGCTAGAGATTGTAAACTAAAAGTGATAAACGAGAATTTATACCTTGTGATCTGTACTCTTCCCATATACCACCAAGGTCTTCTGGGCATTTAAGCAGCCATGTGCATCAGTTGAGAATATGCTTATGATCTATGAAAAAAAAATTTGAGTCTTAGCTCTTTGAAGCACAGTTTCCTTTCTTGATCCTGGTTTCCTCATCTCTAATATTAATAATATAAAGTGGTCAGATAGGCTGGGTGTGGTGGCTCATGCCTGCAATGTCAGCACTTTGGGAAGCTGAGGCAGTCGGATCACATGAGGTCAGGAGTTTGAGATCAGCCTGGCCAACATGGTGAAACCCTGTCTCTACTAAAAATAAAATGAAAAAAAATTTAGCCAGGCATGGTGGTGCACACCTGTAGTCCCAGCTACTTGGGAAGCAGAAGCAGGAGAATCACTTGAACCCAGGAAATGGAGGTTGCAGTGAGCTGAGATCACACTACTGCACTCCAGCCTGGGCAACAGAGCAAGACTCCATCTCAAAAAAAAAAAAAATATATATATATATATATAAAAATAATAAAGTGGTCAGATCGGATGATATTTACATTCTCTACTAATTTCCACCTTCTATGTTTCTTTGATTAATGAGAAATCCAAAACACTTCAGATGTTCTAGCAGATTTACATCTGGATCTGACAAAAGTCCTGATGCATCTCCATAGTTTTAAATTGTTTTTCGTTTTCTTGAGTGGCAAAATACTAATACCGCTGAGAATTTTCTATGAGATCCTTTCACTAGAAAAACTGATTTTAGGGCTATGCACTGTTTAGCTTTTTGACAGATTTGGGTTAATCATTAATTCCACTGGGTAGAACAATATTCTAGTATCAGAAGAATCAAACTCAAGTTATACAGGCACAAGTTTAATAGATGTAACACCTTGACAATTCTTCTCGAACTGATGCTCTGTTTTTGTCTACCCATCAAAATAATTGGCAGAGGTAAATAAGCACTCACTGTCTACGTGAACTTTTCCACGTCTGTGGCTACAAAGTTGTTTCTAAGTGTACAGTAGCATTAACAACCACTGAAATCCCTGAGTCAACAATGGTCACTTAAAAAGCTCCTGTGACTTACGAACTTGTATTCACAGGCGCCAGGTATCTGAATGTCTCTGAGATACATTTGACAGTCTTTGCCAATGCAGCTTTAGCCAGTAATAATAGCTAACACTTAGTGAGTACTAACTATGAACAAGGAACTTTACTAAATGTTTTGCATATATGATCTTATTTAATACTCCCAATAATCTTATGAGGTAGGTACTATTATTTATTAGTTTATTTATTTTTGAGAAAAGTCTCATTCTGTCGTCCAGGCTGCAACCTCTGCCTCTTGGGTTCAAGCGATTCTCATGCCTCAGCCTTCCAAGTAGCTGGAATTACAGGTGCTGCCACTATGCCCGGCTGATTTTTATGATCTTTAGTAGAGACAGAGTTTTGCCATGTTGGCCAGGTTGGTCTTGAACTCCTGATCTCAAGTGATCTGCCCACCTTTCTTCCCAAAGTGCTGGAATTACAGGTGTGAGCCACCATACCCGGCCAGAGGTAGGTACTATTATTATCCCCATTATGCAGATTTCAAAAACCTGAAGATTAGAAGATTAAGTAGTTTGCTTAAAACACATCTAGAAAACAGTGAAGCTGAAATTTGAAACCACTGTTTGACCCCATAGGCAAGCAATGATCACTATACAGTATTGCCTCCCTGCCTGCAGTCTAGAAAACTGAGATTATTTTTAAAGTTGCTTTGAGTAAATGCGTTTTATGTAGTAGGATGATGAGTGTGTAGAGTAAGTAGGTATATGATGGTAATAGGGGTTGAAGGTGAGAGGAATTGTTAATATTTATTGACTTTAGCAAATTGTATTTAATTAAAATCTGACCATATTTTGCGAGTGCATATTATGCTGGTCTGCAGTATCACTGGGAGAAGGGATGTGGGTAAAAGGCTTAGTATCCATCATTCCTTCAGAACCTTCACTTGCAGACACAAGTGTGCATCACCCAACCCAGGTCTGCACAGTGAGACCAGAAGCCATTTCATTATTTAAATTTCTGATCTGCAGTGTTATATGAAATACTGTTAAGAACTCTGTGCTTTAAATTATGTGGAATATCAACACACCTCCAAGCCTAAATCTAAAGTGATGGTGCTTAATAATTTATATGACCGCATTCCCCCCACTCAATGTTGTTAAAAATAATGAAATAGAGAACCTGCACTCTCTGAGAATGTAACAGGCCAATTTATGATTCTAATTCTCTGTTTGGTCATCTGAAATATACTATTTTAGCCGCTTTATGCCTTTAACAGGTATTTCTTAAAAGCAATTCCTACTTGCATTACAGTTCCATAATGTTTTGGCTTGAGAGAGAAAATGTGTCCTTCAAACAAGTTTATTTTGTTCAGGGCTACTTCTGTACATGAATTCCTCCGTGGTGACTACCCAGGTTTTTCTGTTATCATCTTCTCAGGGTTCAATTCATTACCCCTGTTCATTATTCAATTTGTTGGGCTTTGAGCACCTGAATAATTGAAAGCTATGCAAGTATTATAAATTATATTGTCCATGTTCATAATCCCCATTTTAGAGTTTATAGCTTCACTGTAAAAATTCACTGTGTTGGAACCTTACATACAAGGTCTTATATTGAAAACAAATTAATTTATAAATACATTTTTTTCTTCTCCAAACTCTATTTTATCAAATCTTACATTTTTCAGTGATGGTTTTTATGGCTTTTACTGCCACAGCAAGACCAATGGAAAGAATGTTTTACATATTCACTTGTTCATTCTTTTTTGCAACAAATATTTATTGAATGACTATTATTCTTTTGACAATGTGAGACTGGGGCTAGGTCAGCCTATTCTCTTTGAAAAGAGTGAGAGGGAGTGCTGGCTTCCTTAAGCCAGCTTTAAGCTCTTTTTCTTTAAAGCCCATTAAGTTAGGACCTCCACCTTCTGAAGCTTTCCAAAAACAAGACAAAAAAAACAATGAAAAAGCATATTATCAGCAGCTCTGCCTCTGTAGTTCCTGCCCCTTGGCTCTTCCTGGTCCACCTAGGGCCACGGAGACTGAAAGATTCTCCAGCCTCCTGGGAGCAGGTAACCCAGTTCTTGGCTCTGTATATGAATATTGGAATACATTTCTCAATGAGAATAACAGAACTATGCTTTAAAAGTTAAAAAAGAAAAGAAAGGGAGCAAGCATGTGGGTGAGGTTTAAGGGACACCCATGACACCCACGCTAGTAAGTGCCTGAACTGGATCAAGTCTTGTGGATGCAAATCTGGCGAGGTTTTTCACTTTGTCAGTGCTGCCTTACTATTGATAGACTGATTGATTGGCTATACCACAATGAAAATAGCTCTACTGGTTTTTTTTCCTAATTATAAGACCCATACTGACCATTCTTGTAAAAGTTGAAACAATGGATGAAGGCATCAAGTTGAAAGCAAAATTTGCCAGCAAATGAATGTGTTCAACATGAGTTTAACAAGTATATATGGAGTACATATTCTGTACCACTCAGGCTGGATAAATAGTGGTGAATGATACCAATGTGATTCCTGCCCTCATTTAGTAAAAAGTTGGTGAAAGACACAAATAATTAATAAGAATGCAAGCAAATAAGTATATCTAACACTTTCTTTCTTTCTTTCTTTCTTTTTTTTTTTTTTTGAGACAGGGTCATGCTCTATCACCCGGGCTGGAGTGTAGTGGCGCGATCATGGCTCATTGCAGCCTCGACATCCTGGGCTAAAGGGATCCTGCCACCACAGCCTCCCAAGTAGTTGGAACTACAGGTACATGACACCATACCTGGCTAATTTTTTATTTTTTGTAGGGACAGGGTTTCCCTATGTTGCCTAGGCTGGTCTCCAACTCCTGGGCTTAAGCAATCCTGCTATGGCCTCCCAAAGTGTTGGGATTACAGGTGTGAGCCTCCACGCCCAGCCTATAAAATACTCTTATGAAGACCAAAAACAGAGAATCATGATGAAAAATCAACAGGGGAAGAACTGCTTAGGTCAAGTTGTCAGAGATGACCTTTCTCAGAAAATGGCATTTGTGGGAAAGCCTTCCAGACTAGTTTCTGTGTACATGTATATACATTTTTATTTTTTACATAAAGAAGATCATATATGCACATTGTTTTGCAACTTGCTTTTTTAATACAAAAGTATGGATGTAAATCTTCCATGTAAACAAGTCCAGATTGAGAGTATTCTATTGTATGAGTATATTATAATTTTACAAAATCAATTTCCGTTGATGAATATCTATTTTTTTGCTTTCATACGCATTGTTGAGATGGATGCCCTTTCATATATCCCTTGGGGCATATTTACTATTATTTCTTATCATAAAGACATGGAAATGGAATTTCTGGGTCAAAGGGTATGCGCACTCTAGAAGTTTTGATACATGTTATCAAAATACCATATGGAAACGTGTATTAATTTCTACTCACTGCAACGTAATGTTCAAGTGGGAGGTAGAATAGAAGAATGATTTCAGGGACTGGGCTTTGGAGTGAGATTATCTGGGCGTAAATCTCAGGTCCAGCTGTGTGACTTTGGACAAGTTAAATTACCTCCCACTATTTCCGTTTCTTCTGGGGTTGTGAAGATTAAACGAGATAACCCACATTAAGCATTTAACACAGTACATGGCATATATTAAATGCTCATTGCTTATCAGGTATTACTGTTAGTTACCCAATGCCTTTGTCAATTCTGGGTATTGTAATTGTAATTTTTCTAATTTTTTACTTTTTTTTTTTTTTTTTTTTGAGACGGGGTCTCCCTCTGTTGCCCAGGTTGGAGTACAGTGACACAATCTTAGCTCACTGCAGCTTCGATCTCCCAGGCTCAAGCAATTATCTCACCTCAGCCTCCCAAGCAGCTGGGACTACAGGCACCTGCCACCATGCTTGGCTAATTCTTGTATTTTCTGTAGAGACATGGTTTCACTATGTTGCTGGTCTCGATCTCCTGGGCTCAAGTGATCCACTCACCATGGCCTCCCAAAGTGCTGGGATTACAGGTGTGAGCCACTGCACCCAGCCAATTTTTAACATTTTTAAGTTATAAAAATAATGCATGCTTACAGTAAAGAAGGTCTCAAACCATATCAAAGGATATAAAATGAAAAGCCTCCTAATTGCTCCTTCATCTGCAATTCCACTCCCTGGAGATAACCACTTAAAACTTCCTAAATTGCCACTATTACTCTAAAATAAATGCCTGCAATGGCTATTCCTGATTGATCAATTTTAGACAAAATCTCTAGACGGGTCACTATGAAAGAAGAGGAATTTAGTTCCCCTCCCCTCTATGTCCACCTGATTTTTGTCAGTTTATTTTCCAGTTCATAAAAAAAAATAGTATTTTAAATCGAGTGTCTATGTTGTTAGAAACCTAATCAAAGAACATTTACACTTCCCTTTTCATGTTGACTTCATAAAATCCACTAAATTAGATACTTCAATGGGACATCTAGCAATGGTGACTTTGTAGTCATAGTGCACCTACTCATCCTGGTTTGTCTAGGACTGTCCTGGTTTACATTTTTTGTCCCAGTGAAACTTTTATTAGTGTTCCTCGTCACTTTCAAAACTATGTTATGTGGATAAGTTATGGGGTCACCTAATTTATAAAAATAATGGAGGAGAGCCTTCCTCAGGATGAGACTGTTGGCAGAAGGGGACCTCTGGTGGCTTCTTGACCACTCTAGCTCTATTCATATAATTACTGAGTGGTTACAGAGTACATTTCTTTGCTATCAAAGTTCTCCTACCGCTTTTCGTGGGCTTCCGTATTTGCGGTTTATGTCCCTTTGCTGTGTTTGATCTAAAGGGCGCCCTTCATGTCTGTGCACAGTTCTGTTGAAGGCAGTGTTTTATTTAACTTTGAAACAATAAAAAGAAGAATCAAATTAGGATATTTATGCCATGGTAGATTAGCTACTATCTTGTTAATATTCTATTCTTAGTTCTTTAAAAACTACTTGAGATTTATAGAAAGGTAAAGAGAGTAACAGTACAGATACTCCTTAACTTACAATGGTGTTACGTGCCCATAAACCCATTGTAAGACGAAAATACTAAGTAAAAAATGCATTTAGCACCCCGGTAAACCCATGGTAAAGATAAAAAAAGTCAAACTATTGTAAGTTGGGGACTGTGTAATTAGAAATTTCATGTTTTCAGCATCCAGCTCAGAAAGTAAAACATTACCAATGCAACTGGCCTCTGCAGTGTCCCATGTTCCTGTAAACCTCTGCATGACTGCAATATTCTTTCCTTACCTTACTAACCACACAGTTAAAAGTACTTTAGTGCTTTTTATTCCAATGCATTAAAAATATAGTTATGATGTATAGCATATGACTCAATAGATAGTATTGGTTTTATGCTTTAAAACTTTATGTAAATGATATGCAATTTTTTTCTCCATATCTCTGGGAGGGTCATCTATGATGGCTTGTGTAGTTGATACTTTTTCACTATTCTATGACATTTCTTATATGAATACGTCACTTGTAATCCATTATCTCTTTTCACACTTACAAACTATGCTGCTATGAACAGTCTTGACACTAAGTGTAAAAACAAATTGCCATTAAATAGTTGCACCAATTTATACTCTTACCAGCTGTGAATAAGAGGTATTATATTGTTGTAAAACTATTAAACTCAGGAAATTAGACAACCAACTAATATTTATTGAGCATCTATTCATACCTTTTCTAGGCACTGAAGATAGATACAGACAAATCTAAGGGAGTCCCTGCCATCTGACTTGGGGTAATGGAATGTATATGTACATGAAATTTCTTACTGATACATACATTTATCAAGTAACTACTACACACCAGAAACTGTCATAGGCAGTAGAAATATCAGTAATTAAGATACAATTCCTGTTCTCAAAGCTAACAGACTAAGGTTAGCAAGTGCTTCCATTGTTCAAAGGAGGGTAACATTATTTCCAACTGGGTTGAAGATCGGGAGGTAAAGTGGGGAGGCAAGGTTTCACCAGAAAGATTAGAATAAAGGTGGAAAACAATTGAAGGACATTCCAGAAAATGTGAGTGACTTGTGTATTCCCTTTGCCACTCTTTCTTTTGCACCTTCTGTACAATGGTGAATATATACCACATTGATGAATTTTCTAGTTACTAAGGAAGACAACTCAGAAATGAAAATATTTCATAAATGTAAATAGATGGCTTGATTACATAAGGACTTTTTATTGTTATTGTTATTGGTAACATCCAATATCTGAGACTAAATATATATTTAAGTAAAAATGCTTATTATTATTCTAAATGGACTTCAGAAAATTCCAGCTTTCTATATATAGACTTTTGTTTGCTAGAGAGAAAGAATTGTTATAAGAAGATATAAAAGCTACTTAATTTTTATGGGACTTCTGCATAAATCTTACATCTATAACATGATCTAGTGACATAAATTTTAGCAGGTTGTTTCTGTTTCACCGGCTGTGGAACCAGTGCTGTCCTACAGCAATATCCAGGAGTGGAATTGAGCTATTTGCTGGTGTCATAAATAAGAAAGGATGTCATGGCTGTTTTCATTTGACTGAGCAGTAATGGAGTTAATTATACTTTCCGTCTCTTTGTTTTTGATCTGTGTTTCCAAAGTCATCTAAGCTTTTGGGAGTCCTCATATTTTAACTCTTCCCTTGTCTAATTGGATTTCATAGCCTTTGAAATTTCACAGCTATCGATTATTATTCTCCTTAAATTTTCACCTTTCATTTGTAACTGTGCAGGTTGTTTCACAATAATTCTTCTTCAAAGGAATATGGAAATTGACAACACTATTTTGTACTTGATATGTAATGGGGGGCATTTTTATATAAATTATCTGTGAAGAAGGAAGAATTTTAGCCCAGTTTTCTAGGTGAGACAAACACAGGAAAGGTGAGTTTTGAAGTGTAACCTAGCAGTCTAACAAAAGAGTCAGAAATGGATTTAAAATTTTCTTTCATATTTCTGCTGGGATTATGCACCATTGCTGAAGTGCAAAAGGGGTTCCAGAATTTTGCTGCCAGGCCATTATTTATTGATTAACTTGAGATGACACAAATAAATAAAAACACATATACATATAAACATTTGGAGCCATCAGATTAATTTTTCATCTCTATTGATATTAAGTCTGTGACTATATAATCTGAAATACTCAGATTATTAGTTAAAAAGAATAATTTAGCTTTAATTAATTATCTTAATTTTATATATGTAAATATTCTCTTATTTATGTGGGAACTAAGCTCCTAAAGAAGAAAATTAAGGAAAAAAATTATTTGTATGTCTTTTTATAACAACAAATATTACAATAGTTGGAAATAAGATTTTCTTTTTTTTTATCAATTGCTGGACAGTTTGGATAGCAGAGGCAGAAAGAGCAGTATATTATTCTCATACACACACATATGCATATACATACACATAATACACATTAAAAATAATAGAAGAAATTTACCAATATTATGGTTTAATTTGATTTAAAATTTGATTTGGCTTTTTAAGAGATAGAACTCTTCCTTTGTAATGTTCCCTTGATAATGAACAGCTTCACACCAAAGCTTTCTGATCCTTAATAGCTCTTGTAGGTTGGGATTTGTTTTCAAAGGTGATTTAAATAATTCCCAAACTGCTTATTTTATTCAAACTAAAAATACTTGAGAAATCCTGAATACAATTGTTTCATTTCATCTTTTGTCTCCTGCACAAATGACTTTTTACTATAAATCATACTATTACTACGATTGCCACTTTTTTATGAGAATCTGCAAGTCTTTTTTTTTTATTACACAAAGAAATAGGTTCAACACAGAAGCAGTACACTAAAAATAGGGCTGGGAATCACAAAGAGATTTTGTTGAAATCTAGGTGAGAAATTGAGTAAGAATTCACAATAAGGCAGAAAAATGTGCCTTAATTTTTGGCCTGAGGTTTTCCATAAGGAGTTAAGGTAAATCTTTGTAGGCAGGAGTGTGGAGGGGTTGGGATGGTATTAGTTGTCAAGGATTTTCTGCAGACCGGCAGAGGATACTTTTTCTATCCCTGGATACTGAGGTATGACCCCTGTGGACTTATTTTACTTTTTAGGGTATTGGTAGGAATTTTTGTTAGTGACTCGGTTAGGTTAACCCTGAACTTACTATAACAGACCCAAATGCTGCCATGGCAAAATTCCTTTGCAAACTGATAGGAAAATAAACTGCGTGAGAGCTGAGCCTTGTATAGGATATACCTGTTCAACAAAAACCTGGTATTACAAAAAAAAAAAAAAAAGGTGAGGAGCATAGTGAATTAGCATTTTGTATTAATTCAATAATTCAACTAGCTTTATTCCAAAGTGACCCCAAGTAAATCAGATCTGCTGTTCAAAAGTAAAGAAAGAAAATACACTTACCCAGAACAACTCCAAAAGAGTGGAGTTGAAAAGGAAGAACAAACAAACAAACAAACAAACAAAAACCAAACCCATAGCTGCTGAAGTTTCAGCCTCAGTGTTATATGCATTAATGTACAGGAGAGGTATGTGTCCCTTGATGTCCCTGGCTCTTTAACAGGCACGCATTTCAACCATGGGATTCACCATAAGAGTAAATTTTGACACATTTTGACCCAGGAAGTAAGATACAAAATTTGACACGTCTTTGGCATTTAGAAAAAACGTACAAACTAGAATTCCAGCTTTTAGTTTTCTGGGTTGTTTAGGAAGTCAATTAAAGGAAAATGACATTCTTCATGTGTTTTATAAATGCTATGGAAATTCCCTACCTAAAAGTGAATTTAACTGAGCAATAGCCTTTTACTAAGGAAGGTCAAATTTTCTTCTCTTTGAAGCCTTTCAGGCTCCTAACCAGTTTGCATATTGAGCTTCCCAGAACTATTTTCAACTACCTGGGGCAGTTGAGCATGAAGAACACCATTCTCGATGTCTTTAGCTACAAATTGGTACGCAAATGGGCTCCGGAGGCCTGGTGAGGAGGGGCACACCCCTTAAACCCGTCTGTTTATTACTGAGGAAGTTCTGATCAAGTTTATGGTGTTAAAGACTCCAACATATCAACTCCATTGAAAAGCAGGACAAGCCATTGTAAATATGAACCATCAAAGCATTAGCCATTTCAATGAAATGAAGCAAATCAATTGTTTTTCAGAAAGGTGCCTTTCAGATCTCCTTTCTCAGGTTCTGAGTTTCTGTATTAAGTTCACATTAAAACAACTTGTGCTAAGAGGATTTTAACTCAGGATTTTGGAAGGTCAGTGAGTTGGCCAGTAAACCATGATTTCCCTAATCTGTGGCAAAACAACAAACATGCTACTTTAAAGCCATTTAAAATTATTCGGTGACATTAGCACTAGGACAAAAACAAAATAGCTAAAATAATGGCAGTGATTTAGATTTTGAATTTGCTTCTATGTATCAGTTTTCTTTTATTTAATATAACATTAATTGTCCTCCCTCCTCATATCTGTTCTGGATATGTGTTAGATGCTTGTGGACTTTAGAGATGTTAGTTTTGTAAATAAAAATGTATTTGGTTAATATATTTGTAATTTTGTGTTGTATAAAATAATTTCAGATGCAAAGAGGATGTTGAATGAGGTTTCTGAATAAACCAGTAAAATAGTAATTACCATATCACATACTGATTATTTATTCTAATATTAGTTGAGTGCCTTCTATGTAGCAAACATTGGATTCAGCATTCTTGGATGTTATTTCACTGAATGTGAACATTATCAGCCTCCATGCACTGTAGGCTTCTAGAGATTGGAGATATTTTCAAAACCTTTGTTTATCCTTAGGAACTAGTAATGTGCCTAGTATATAATAGGTCCTCAAAAATGTTCTGTTAGATAAATATGAATATATGTAGGCATTTTTTTAAAATATTAATCTCTGGGCTGAGAATTTGAATTCAACATATGAAGTCATTTGGACAAAGCAAAAACAGAGAAGCAAACTACAGAATTTTTTTTTGTGTGGTCACAACAAAATTTTAGCAAATATTTTGTAAGTTGCATCTACATTTAAATTGGGAAGTGACTGAGATTAGAGGAATATATTTTGCCTATAAATTATATTGTATTGAGCAAGTATAAAAATAAACCTGCTGTTAGCTAGAAGTTTTGGGACATTTCTTGAAGGTGAGCTATTTTATTAAAATTAAAGCTAGATAATGAAAATCAGAACACCTGACCCACAGTCAAAGAATTACTTCTCTTTTAACTGGTTAGATGTTACTTTTGTATAATACACAACCTACCAACATGGATAGGTAGGTAAAGAGATAGAGAGAGATAGATAAAGAAAGAAATAGAGATGGGGTTGGAGGGGAGAGAGAGAGAGAGAGTCATTTTGCATCAGGAGCCAGGCACTAAGCTAGGTACTACAAAATATAGCATAGAATTTGAAGTCTGGAAACAGACAATAAGCAGATAATTTTAATACAAGTTAGGCAGAGAAAGTGAGTGGGTGGAGGGGGTATTGGCACAATCCCATCAGAAAGAATTTCAAAGACAAAAAGCCCAAACTGTGAGAAGTTTAATGTAGCTAGAGGACAGTGGAGCTGTCAGCAGGTTTCCAGTAGGGTGAGTAGATGATATGATTAGGCTTTGTGTCCCCATCAAAATCTCATCTTGAATTGTAGTTCCCCCAAATCCCCATAATCCCCATGTGTCAAGGGAGACACAAGGTGCAGGTAATTGAATCACGGGAGTGGTTTCCTAGTGCTGTTCTTGTGATACAGAGTGAATTCTTACGAGATCTGATGGTTTTATAAGGGGTTCTTCCGCCTTCGCTGGGCACTTCTCTTTCCTGCCGACTTTTGAAGAAGGTGCCTTGCTTCCCCTTTGCCTTCCCCCGTGATTGTAAGTTTCCTGAGGCCTCCCCAGCCATGCTGAAATGTGAGTCAATTAAAACACTTTCCTTTATAAATTACCCAGGCTCAGGCAGTTCTTTATAATGGTGCGGAAATGGAATAATACTGTAGGATAAAGCTTTGTTGAGGACTGTAAAACCTGCTAAAATATTTGCTCCCCCATGTCCCCACCCCAAGGCAAAGAGAATCTTTTCAAATATTTGCCTGAAGGAGCAGCTTGATCTGAAGCGCATTCCAAACTTCAGCCAGCATCCCTCCTCTGGATGAAGTTTGGAGAACAGATTGGGAGGATTGACCCTGATACAAGCTGCTGTAGTTAACACTGGGTATTTCCATTATATGGTAGGAAAGGTTGGAAGAAGCAGAAGTGGGGGAATTTAAGAAAACATTATGGGAGAGAGAAAGGGTTGAAGCAGGAATTCTATATTTCTGACTTGAGCTTTTGGGAGAGGGTTGAGTTGTAGTCCATAGATACGATGCAATAACACAGGGGAAGAAAACAATAATGGGGGGGAATGGGGGAGAGAGTAGCACATAAGTCATTGTGAAACGGGAAAAGTTCCCTTGTCCCCTTCGCAGGGCGTGCGATAGGGGGTGTGGCTCGCTTCTTCAGTGCTCCGATGCTCAAACCTCTAGGGGAGCATACAGACAAGTAGGTTGTTGGGCTCTGACCCCTCGGCAGAGTCTAGGGTTGGATGTTCACAGCTCCTAAAGCCCCAGTGGGCGTGTGTTACCATGTGCTCTTTTAGTTTTGTCATCTATAGGCGGCTTGTGTTAACCAGCAAAATTAGATCCTCTACCTCGTTGCAAAGACAGAGGGCTTTCTGTATCCCGGGTTCTTGCCTTGGTGTACCAGAAGAATCGGATCACACCTGGACTTGGAGAATGAGTGTAAGGTTTTATTGAGTGGAGGCAGCTCTCAGCAGATGGGGGAAGCCAGAAGGGGATGGAGTAGGAAGGTTTTCTCCTGGAGTCGGGCTGCTGAGCGGCCTGGGGTCTCCTCAGGGACTGCCGAGGCCAAACTTCCCCTCTCTCTACTGGTAGATGGCCTGCCGGTGTGCCAACATCTGTCATGTGCTCTTCCGCTGGCGTGCTCCCCTCGACGTTCAGCTACTTGTGTCTTCTTCCACCAATGTGTTCCTCTCCACATCCAGCCACTTGTTTGTCTGCCTGCTAGGGTCTTGGGGGTTTTTACAGGCACAGGATGGTGGTGTGGCAGGAGAGGTTGGTCTTGGGAAATGCAACATTTGGGCGTGAAGGCAGGAGTGCCTCTCCTCACCTAGGTCCATGGGCACACGCCGAGGGATGCAGCCCTCATCAGGGACCTCCCCCTTCTCCTCCCAGCACTTCCCTGCCCCCCTTCTGCATCAAAGGTAGAAGAAAAAGATGGATTAATTTAATTTTAGATCTGTTGAGCTTGAACAGTCCTTGAGACATTCAACTGAAACATTCAGTAGTTCGTAGATTGGAAACAAAATTTGGAATAGGCAAGAAACTTGGAAGTCATTTGGCATTTTCTAAATCCTGATTCTACTAGTGCAGGGTCACTTTCAGCTCCAAAACTAAAGTCATCTAGGAAGTCTTTATTTTGTATTGCTCCCTGCAAAATCTATGTCTTTTTAGTATTTATGGTTTAGAATATATAGCTTTTTAAGAGCATAATGATGTGCAATGTTTTAGATATTGCTTTGCAGAAAAAAAAATAATAGTGTCTAAGGGCAGAGATTGTATTCAGGCATTCTGAGCTGAAATTCCATGTCTCTTACTTTCTAGTTGTGTGACATTGAGCAACTTACCTAACCTCTCTGAATCTCAGTTTATCTGTAAAATTAGCACATCATTAGCTGAATAAAGAGTTTTTATGAGGATTACATAAAATAATATATAGAATGGTTGGCAGAAAAGGTGACATGTCACAGCAGCTTAATAAATGGCTAGATTAATGTTAATAGAGTAAACACTGTTGACCAGTAACACATAATAGACATTATAATTTGTCCTACCATATTTTCTCATTTATTGCTCACAGAAACCCTGGGAGGTAACTATTATTTCTGTTTTATAGAAAGATAAATGAATCACAGTGGTCAATAGCTAAAAAGTCATACATAGAGCCAAGATCGGAAGTCAGATTTTAAAATTCTTATGTCTAGTGTTTTATCTGCTCCCTTCTGGATTCTGGAGATTATGGGTCAAAAGTTCTTGTCTATTTCTCAATAGCTTCCAGCTTCATACTGTGCAGAAGGATGCTCTGTAAATATAGATGAACAGGTTCAGGACCATATGGAATATTTATTGAGCTTCTACTACAGGCCAGGCACTGCAATATCCACTGAGAATACAAATAATTTATGCTTTACTTTTGATTTATTGATGCAGCAAACATTTTTACAGAGAACTATAATACAGTGGGGTCTGTGCTCAACCAGAGGTAAGAAAAAAACAAAACCATGAGGAGGAAGCACTTAATTTTGTTATAAGGTTGGGGTATGGAAGTGAAATAAAGTTCAAAAAAATCTCAAAGGAGGTGAAATCTGAATTACGCTTATTTTGGAGAATTTAATTGAAAATAAAAATGTTTAATCCATGTTTCTATTTAATTGAGAAATCATAGTTGGTGTTGTTAGGCCTCTCTTATTTCTTACAATAAGATTTCTTATCCAAACACTAGACATAATACTGAATTAGATACAGCTTATGATAATTGATGGAACTGTTTTAGAAAAATAATCTGACCACTTCAAAAGATCTTAATTTAGAAAATTTTAATTTCATTAGTAAAAACCATTTAAAAACCAAATAACTATTCTGACTGTCTGAATTCAAATTCCAAAAGCAATCTCTTACTTGATATGTGGCCTTGAGAAGTTACTTGACCTTTCTGTGTCCAATTTTCTTTGTAAAATAAGATTTCTGTAAAAATTAAATATTAGAAAGAGATAGTAAAATGATAAAGGCTCAGACTCTGTAATGAACCTGCCTAACTTTGAGTCTTAGCTCTGTTAAATATTACCTGTGTGACTGTGGGAAAGTTACCTAACCTTTCTGTGCTTTAGTTTCTTCATTTGTAAAATTGATAACCTACATCAATTGTCAGTACAATTTAATGAAGAGTTTGCTGTTTCCTCATAGATTAAAAAACCTTTTATTATATATTAAATTCTTAAGGTAGGTAGATTTGGGGACTTTTTAGTGCAGTCATTGATTTGTCATTCCTTCTCTATCACTGAATTTGCATATTTTGTTGTTTTAGTTCTATATGACATAATTTTAAATACATAAAAATTCAATTCTCCCTTCATCATTCACTCTTTCTCTCTCTCTGTGTGTGTATGTGTGTACTTATATATAAACACAGGGGTTTTTTTAGCTTATTTAGTCTTTATCATGAACTTAAAATCATTTTGTAAACACAAAATAAAATTCCATTGAATTTTGTTAGGAATTGTATTAACCAACAAATTAATTAGAGAGAAATTGACTATTAGCTCTTACCAGCCAGAAATAAGTCAATTGTTTCAAGTCCTCTTTCAAATCCCTTTCATATACCATAGGAAGATTTTCTGATTTTCTTCACAAAAGCCTCTATCTTTGCTTATAGTATTCATTTCTTACTCTGTTAAAGGTATCTGTTGTTAACATGAATGGGATAATATGGAATAATAATGTTTCCATTATTTTTCTGATTAGTGCTCTTTTATAAAAATGTTACTGACTTTTGATGTTTATTTTGCAACTAGCCACCTTTCTGAATTACCTTATGATTTCTAATAGTCTCATAGTGGAAAATACCTATCAACTGGATTTTGCACTTATGACTTCTTAAGAAAGAATTTATATTATGTTTGTAATGTTTTGTGGGTTATTGCTAAAAATGTAGTTAAATTCCTCCAATGTACATGGGTTTAACAAGTAAAAACAAATATTTTACTCCACAAAAACTTCATAAATGTATATTAAGATATTGAAATGAAACAACTTATAGTTAACATATCCAGTAGAAAATGTAATTCCACTCTTTTTTATAGTTCAATGTTTCACACTTATTAAATAATGTTTTATAAAAAATTCTATCATTTTTTATCTGCTGTGTTTTGCTCCCTAAATTATAGGAAAAATAAAAGTCCATTAAATGGTATACATTAACACCTACTATTATGGGGTTAGCTATGGAGAGTGAGCAGCTGCAATACTCAGCAAGTTTGATTGCTTTGATGTCTGAACACAAGATTCATTTAATAGCACTTACTTATTTGTACAAAGAAATAATACTGACCTAGGAAACAATTTGTTTTGAAACAGGTCAATGGCAGGAATTGTTCCAAAAGCAGCCTGAAAAAGAAAATTGATAAGTAAAGGGGAAAACTTATTTGAACTGAAAATATAACATTTTATTAGCTAAGATTTTAAAAAGACCATATTTCTATATTATTGATATATTCAAACTATATATTTGTTAGAAAAATAAATTAGACTTTCTGACATGGCTCTCATAGGAAAACTGTTTTTTATTTTGATATTTTATTTAGCCATATTATGACTGAACATTAAGGAAATACAAGTACAGTAGTCCCTTCTCATCCAAGGGGAATATGTTTCAAGACTTCCAGTGGATACCTGAAACCACAAATAATACCAAACCCTAAATATACCTGCCATATTTTTACCTACAATTATTTGCTGCATAATGACAATGTTCTGGTCTCAACAGCCGACCACATATATGACAGTGGTCCCATAAGATTATAATGGAGCTTCTATATGGTATTTTTACTGCACCGCCCCTTTTTTCTTTTTTGAGACAGGGTCTCACTCTGTCACCCAGGCTGGAGTGTGGTTCACTGCAACCTCCACTTCCTGGGTTCAGGCGACTCTCCTGCCTCAGCCTCCCGGGTAGCTGGGACTACAGGCACACACCACCACACTCAGCTAATTTTTGTATTTTTTGTAGAGATGGTGTTTTTGCATGTTGTCCAGGCTAGTCTCAAACTCCTAACCTCAAGTGATCCTCCTGCCTCGGCTCCCAAAGTGCTGGAATTACAGACTTGAGTCATCGCACCTGGCCTGCACCTTTTAAAAATGTTTAGAAACGTACCATTGTGTTACAATTGCCTACATTATTCAGTGCAGTAACATGCTATACATAATCCTAGGAGCAATAGGCCATATCCTTCCACAGAAGTGTGTAGTAGGCTGTACTATCTAGGTTTGTTTAATACATTCTGCGATGTTCACACAACAAATTCGTCTAACGGCACATTCCTTAGAACATATTCTGTTGTTAAGTGATGTACCACTATACATACATATCTATAATAAAGTTTCATTTATAAATAGGCACAGTAGAAGAATAACAATGATAGCTAATAATAAAATATAACGATATGCCAGCAGCACTACTTTTGTGCTTTGGGGCTATTATTAAGTAAAATAAGGGTCCCTTGAACAAAAGCACTGCAATACTGCAACAGTCCATCTGATTACTGAGGAGGCGACCAAGTGACTAACTGGTGGGTAGCTTTGATATCAATGTGGTTGATTCATGTCCTGGACAAGACAGAGTGGGATGGCATGAAATTTCATCATGCTCTTCAGAACAGTGCCCGATTTAAAACTTATGAATTGTTTATTTCTGGAATTCTTCATTTAATATTTTTGGACTGATGCAGACCATGAGTAAGCAAAACCACGTGTAAGGAGAGATTACTGTAATGTTTATTCTTATAGGCTTTGACTAAAAACATAAGTGTGAAGACATCTCTGAATATCTTAAGTCCTAGCATTTTAAGATTTGGGATTGTGTACACAAGTGACTAAGCCATGCAGTCTTTCATCTGTACACACACAAGGAGAAATGCTATTTCCTTTCTGCTGGCAGGTTCCAAAGGACTGAGTACATTTTCATTATGTGAAAAAAGGTAAAGGAAGGAAAGATTTTGAATGCCAAAGATGCTATGAAACAATGCAAGGCAGGCTAAAGGAGTAGAGAGAAAACTTGAAGGTGTCAGAAAGGATTTCTGCTATCAGAGCCATCAGAAATGGATTCCGTCATTAAAGCATAAAACGATGCTTGGGGATGAAATCAGCTGACAGTACCAGTTTTATTTAGAAAGGCAAAGTTTTATTAGTTCATTATGGTTTGTTTTAGTATTATTCTGAATTAGTTTTATGAGAAGGGTATTTTTTAAGCCTTCAAAATCATAACATCATATATTAGGATATTAACATAGCATATTCTTATATGAAGTGAACAGATTTTTTTACAGTGTAAATATATTTGATAATGTATTGTATAAGACATTCATTTTTAAGACAATACACAATTAAATAAATAAGTAAATAAGTTTTGCTAATCTGACAGAGAAAAAGCCTATCTCATTGTTATATTCAGTCCAATACATCTCATTTGAACAGTTGTTCATTCACAAGATAATATGCAACTTGAGAAACTCATGTGTATTCAATTACCTATCACACTAATTTATGTATAATAGGCACTGAATAAATATTTTTGCTTCAAGGAATGATACTTCCACTGGCTATTTCCAAGATCTTAGAAGTTTTAAAATTAAAACTCAAGTTTGCAACTTAAATCACATGAATTAGGGCCAAATTTTCTATGTACTTTAATTTAAAACATTTTAATTATTAAATAAATTAAGGTTGAGTTAGATAATTAAAATTAAGGTAATTTAATTTAATTTAATTATTTAATTTAAAATATGTTATAAACTTTATGGCATTCTATGCTATTCTTTACTAAAGGACATATGTGCTTTATATTATATTATTTCCAAGGCATATGGTAACTAATATTATTTCTAAGGCATGAATGTGTTTTTAAAATGTTTTTTTACTAGACATGGTGGGGCAGGCCTGTAATCCCAGCTATCCAGGAGGCTGAGGTGAGAGGATGCTTGAGGCCAGGAGTTTGGGGCTGCAGTGCACCATGATGGTGCCTGAGAGTAGCCATTGCACTCCAGCCAAGCCAACACAGTGAGACCCTGTCTCTAAAAAAATAAAAATAAATGTGTTTTTGAATGAAGATATAATACTTTTACACATTATATTCTGCATTAGGTTTCAAGTAAGAGCATCATTTGTAATAAAATTTAAATAAACTAGTCTGTTAAAAATATAGTAAGTCCAGCTGGGTGTGGTGGCTCACACTTGTAATCCTAGCACTTTGGGAGGCCAAGGTGGGCAGATCGCTGAGTCCAGGAGTTTGAGACCAGCCTGGGCAACGTGGAAAAACCCTGTCTCTACAAAAAATACAAAATTAGCCAGGCATGGTGGTGGGCGCCTGTAGTCTTAGCTACTCAGGAGGTTGAGGTGGGAGGATCGCCTAAGCCTGTGAAGTCAAGGCTATGGTGAAACATGATTGTGCCACTGTACTCCAGCCTGGGTGACAAAGTGAGACCCTGTCTCCAAAAAAAAAACAAAAAAAAACAAAACAAAACAAAAAAGAAGCCTTTAAAATTATTTTTAATTAAAATATATAAAGAAAAAATATACACATACATATAAAGTCCTAGTAAAAAAAACTGTGTAACTTATAGATCCATTAAATATCTTGGCTTTAGACAAAGCCTCTGAAACTATAGTATCAAGAAATCATAAAACAAATGTTTGGTAAATTAGAATGGCTTTCACAGTCATTCTCAATCACTCGTTCCTCTGCAACCTTCATATCTATCCCACCTTCAAGTTCTGTTGATTTCTAGGCAAGTCACTGTCCATTTGTCCAACATATCCATATTGCCTAGGCAAAGCTTCAGTGCTGGAAACTGATGGGGCCTGAGAAAGTCAATGACACATATGGAAACACTCAGTATGCTCAGACTCATGTGCAGCTACTGTCCACTGTGGTAGGTGGATAATAGCACAGTATTTTGGATGATTTATTACGACTATCTCCCAGTTCTGATCTTGTCTGATAACATGCATTCCAGTCAAGAACTCAGCTTCTCTTAAGTTCATCTACGTGGTGGACTTGGCAAGTATAACCCGAGGAAGAAATGATAAATAATTTTAAAAATCATGTTACCTAAGTGTCTCTCCAGCTGGTACTTGGATCCGTGCAAATGAAATTTTAGTGGCCAGTATAAAAGCTTGAGGGTCTTTACATTTAAATCTACTCTTTTAAAAAAGTCAGTGACTTTAAAAAAATATCTGTTCTCTCTTTTTTCCTGAAGGAAATATGAAAAGATGTGTCTAAGTAATTTCTGACAACATGACATAAAAAAAAGGACAAGAGACTTGGCTCTTTGGTAATAAATCCTTCCTCTCCATTATTGGCTACTGTCTATTTTATGAGCTTTGACTAAGCCACAAATAATCCAACAGCATAAATCCCTAATTTAGTAGAAGATGCTAATGAGAGGAATGTCTCCTACATTCTAGAGGTAATGAAATACCCTTTCAGGTAACATTTTTATGGTGTTTGTATTTTTTTATTTTCACTAATATCCAATCATCCTGAATTAATTGAGATCCAAAAGTATTAAATGTACAATTATCGGACACACATACCCAGCGAACAAGTATAAAATATTTGCATTATGCACCATCCATCAGATTTATGTTATTTTCCGTATCCATTATGATTGTAGGCTCAAATGGCAATGGCCATTAACCTGGTGAAAATACTAGTCTTCAAACAGTTGTGTAGTAATGAAAGCTTTCTGATTTGTCTAGTTTTAACATATTTATGGAAAATTTAAAATATTGCCATTTTAAAAAAGAGATGAATAATTCTTATCACTTCTTTGAGCACAAGAATAAATGAATATAACAAATGAATTACTTTTATTAGAGAAGCTGGGTTGAGGGAGAATATGCTGTTTCCAGTTCTAGTTACGCGGTCCCTTCCATCAGAAAGACTTTCCTGAACATTCCTGCTTGACTAAGAACCCACTTCTGTCTTTCATAAACCATAATCTTTTGTAAACTTTTCCATAACCTTGGTTAATTTTATGGAATTTATTTTTCTAACTCACTGGCCTGTATTTATTATCTTTGTATGTTCAGTGCCTAGAAAAGTACTTGCCACACATAGGTACTCAACAAACATGTATTGAACTAACTACAAAGGTAACTTTTATATTTAAAGTCTACTAAACTAAGTATTATTTGAAGATATATAAATTAAAATAAGCATTTTAGAGTCTATAAACTATAAAAACCTTGAAACCATTTTTCTCTTCTTTGAGGGGATTATATGATTAAATTTTAGAAATGCCATAAGCAGATACCATTTTTTTTCTATAGCAGGGGAGATAGTAAATACTTTCAGATGTCTGAATTTCCAGATGGTCTGGCCAGACAGTCTGTATCATAGCTATTCAACTCTGCTGTTATAGCATAAATCAGCCATAGACAACACATAAATGAATGAGCATGGCTGGATTCCAATAAAACTTTATTTTGGACATTGAATTTGAATTTTTATGTGTCACTAAGTTCTTTCTTTCTCTTTCTTTTCTTTCTTTTTTTCTTTCTTTTTCTTTCTTTCTTCTCTCTTTCCTTCCTTCCTTCTTCCTTTCCTTTCTTTTCCCTTTCTCTTTCTCTCTCTCTCCTTTCTCTCTCTCTCTCTCTCTTTTTCTTTCTTCTTGGTCTCAGTCCATCACCCAGGTTGGAGTGCAGTGGTGTGATCACAGCTCACAGCAGCCTCGACCTCCTGGGCTCAAGCCATCCTCTTACCTCAGCTTACAGGCACGCACCACCATGCCTGTCTATTATTATTATTATTATTTTGTAGAGTCAGGTTCTTACTGTGTTGCCCAGGCTGGTCTTGAACTCTTGAGCTCAAGCAATCCTCCCACCTAAGCCTCCCAACGTCCTGGGATTACAAGTGTGAGCCATCACACCTGGTGACATTTTTTTCAACCACATAAAAATGTAAAATTTACTCTTATGTCACAGGTGTTCAAAAACAAGTGGCCAACAATGCTAGAATTTAATATAGTATTAAATTAGAATTCTACTATAGAATTTCATATAGTATTAAATTGTATATTGCTACCATCCTTACCTAGTCACTAATAATCTTTCCCCCATACTGTAAATATAAATATTTGTGGTCAATAACTATTTGGAAAATAAATTACTTAATGAATATTGGACCCTGCTGGACTTGTGAAAGTTGAGTTTGAGAAGTCAAGAATAGAAGCAAGAGGTTTTTGTAAAAATCTTCATGAGAGAAAATGATGACTTAAACCTGTAGGAAGAGCAAGTAAAAATTAGAGTTCAGAAATATTTAAGGCCTTGATAATTGATTGTTTGAGGAGGAATCAAGAATAACTTCTATCTTTGGGGGTCTTTGTGGATGGTGGTACCGTGAAGGAAGATTGGAAATACAGAAGAAGTTTGGGGGAAAGATGGGTTTCTATTGGGCATTGAGTTTTGGGTGCTTGAGTAATATCTAGATTGACATATCCAGCAGGCGGTTTGAATAAATGAACCTGATCCCCAGCATAGGTCTGGTCTAAAGGTGTGAATGTGTTAGTTACTTGCATACAAATAGTTGCCAAAACCAAGAGAAGGGGGTAAATCTGGTCACTCAGGAACAATATAACAAGCCAGTTAAACCTTGAGATAAATATATTATATAAATGCCAACATTTAAAGGTAGGAGAAGAAAGAGGAGTTCATGAGCAAGAAGGAAGACATGGCCAGAGAAGGGAGGACAGCCAGCAGAATGGAGAGTTTGAGTGCTACTACAACAGACATAGGTATCAAATGCCATAGAGAAATACAATAAAATGCCAATTTGGCAGTAAGAAGGTGGAATTTTAGAAAGTGCAATCAGGTGACGCAAGTCAGACACGCAGAGGTTGAGCTGCACGTTGACAATATGAAATGAATACTACACTTTAGAGAAATTTTGATTCAAAGGGAGAATTAGACTGAAGATAGACAGCCATGAGGAGAAGGTCAGTTTTTTCTTTTTTTGTCTGGAAGAGGGAGCTAGAAGGCAGGAAGAGGGGAGACACTGATGATGCAAGAGAGAGAAAGAAACGAGATAATAAAAGAACAATGTCATGGAGTTGGCAGGAGGAGAAGGGGTTAAGGATATTGACAAGGCTTGAAGAAAAGGAGACTTTCTTTTCTCTAAAATGGAAAGAAAAAAGATAGGAATCAGTGAGAATAGAATGCCTAATTTTATGTATGAAGTAGGAGGTATAATGATCTCTTGAGGATTGGGCAGGGGCAGGGGATGAAAAGAGCATTGAAGAATGGTGCCATGGTTTGGAAATATGTTGAGGGAAATGAGAGAGTAGATTGATCGAAGACAAGAAAAGGTTTGAATAAAAGTGGTGTTGCAGTCTGTATTAGTCCGTACTCATGCTGCTAATAAAGACATACCCAAGACTAGGTAATTTATAAAGGAAATAGGTTTAATGGACTCACAGATTGTAGCTGGGGAGACCCCACAATCATGGTGGAAGGCAAGGAGGAGCAAAGTCACGTCTTACATAGCAGCAGGCAAGTGAACTTGCGCACGGGAACTCCCATTCATAAAACCATCAGATCTCGTGAGACTTATTCACTACGACAAGAACAGTATGGGGGAGACCATCAGTTATCGCCCCCGGCCCTGCCCATGACAGGTGGGAATTATTACAATTCAAGGTGAGATTTGGGTGGGAACACAGCCAAACCATATCACAGTCCCAGCAGAGATCTGAAATTACACACTTGCTAGAATTGTGTGATTTCTTAATTTTCCTCTAACATTGTCAAACCATGTAACAGTTACAGCAGAGATCTGAAATTATACACTTGCCAGAATTGCATTATTGCTTGACTTTCTGCTAACATTGTGTGGTTACCTAGATCCAGAGCTTGGATTTGGGAGGCTTGGTGCAGGAGGGAAAGGAAATTGAGAGGCTAGTGAGAGTGTAAGTTCATAGTAGTTCCTGTAATCAACCATAGGGTCCAGATTGGATTTAAAAGGAAGAGACCAAGAAGAATTCATGGCATTGGAGGCCTCCATGCAGTAGAGTGCAGAGACAGCTGGAAGGCCAAGTGGTTATGGTCAGAGAATTTAAGGTTTCCAGGATTATGGATCCGATAGATAAAAAAAAAAAGCCAAAAAATTCCAAGATGTGGCTATAATAATGTGTAGCTTAAGAGTCAAGGTGAAGGTCACTGGCATTTAGAGATAGTGGTGGATGAATCAGCCTGTAGAATGAGGGAGAGTGACTTGGAGGTAAATTGAGGCAAGGGTTATGAGTGTTGGTATGGGATGTATAGCATGGAAGAAGCTCAAAAAAGGATGGGCTAATAAGGATACCTGAAGAGGCTCTATTACTATAGGCTTTATAAAACAAGAGTAAATATTCTTCTAAAAAGGACTGAATCTGGGCCAGGTGTGGTGGCTCATGCCTGTAATCACAGCACGTATGGAGGCCGAGATGGGCAGTTGGCTTGAGCCCAGGAGTTAGAGGCCAGCCTGGGTGACACAACGAAATGCCATCTCTACAAAAAATATAAAAATTAGCCTGGCGTGGTGGCACATGCCTATAGTCCCAGCTACTTGGGGCTGTGGTAGGAGGATCTCTTGAGCCTGCGAGGCAGAGGTTGCAGTGAGCTGAGATCATGCCACTGCACTCCAGCCAGGGCCACAGAGCGAGACGCCGTCTCAAACAAAAAACTGAAAAGAACAAATAAGAACTGAGTAAAGTTGGGTGCACATCTCTAAGAGCACAGAGACTTTTTTTCACTGCAACATTCCTAGCCCTTGTCTGACTCAAAACAGCAGAACACAATAAATATTTGGTCAAGGAATGAGTGAATGAATGAATTTTTCCAGCTCTTGTCTTTAATGTCCTACCTTCTGGTATTGTTTTTACTCTTAACTTTCAAATTTTTACTGTATTTTGATTTTAGTAATCCCATTTTTAAATCACAAGAGCTCATTCTTTATCTTCATGGGTCTCTTCTCAAAGAGGCTTATCCTTTTGTGAATTATGGTATTGCTGCAGATATCTTGAGATACAGTTGGAAATTTGTATACTTTCTCTTCTGTTCTCTGAATTACATGTTTTCTTTGCCATCTAGTTGTGCTGTTTGATCTCCTCAAATCATATAGTGATTTTGACTCTGTTTTTATGTTTTTGAAGAAATAGGTGGTTTTATTAACATAGGTAATTTGAGTGGATTTCCTCTAACTCTGTGTAGATATTTCCCTCAAAATACGTTTTGAAAAATGTTTGGCTGAGCACAAAGTTGTTTGCAAGATAAATGATCATAGAAATCTTGACTCCATTGTGCACGAGAACAGTGCATGTGTATTACCCAGGGAATCTTGTAAAAATGCAAATTCTAATTCAACAGAATTAGAGGGGCCTGAGATTCTGCATTTCTTACAAGCTCCCAGACATCTATTTGCTACTTGAGTAGTATGGCCCCAGAAATCCTCTAGCTTCTTTCTTACCTTTTATACTTTCCTTAAAACAATTATGCCTAGGCATGTAGATAGTGGAATCTACTCAATTCTAATTCATTTAGAAGTGTGAGGATTATTTTGGATTACAGTGGGATATATTCCACATGAATAGCCTAATTATGGTCATGGAATAACACAATAACCACCAGTGGGAAAAACAAAGTTTTTTTTAGATTGGCAAATATGCATAAGGGAAATATTTACATATATTTCCATGAATGTTAACTATGATCAAGCTTGTCAACAAATCTGAAGCTGAAAAATCAGTTAATAGAATAATAGAGGAAGCAGCTTTTGTTATAGCAAAAGCCAGCAATGTCCCCATTCATTCGGAAACTCACCATTTTATTTAAGAATACAAGTACGCTCAGCATACATATGTGGAAAAATCATGGAGCAAGTTATTATAGGGTTAAAACTGAGTATGTGGGCAGCTAAAGTATATGCCACTTTTGAGAATAAAAATAGTGTGTACCTTATTAAAAGCCGCCTGACAGGGTCAGCAGCCTAGTCACAGAATACCTACCAAGAACAATTTCAATTTTAATAGGTTTTACTATGTATTTCATAAGCATGCCCATTGAAATTGAGTCATCAAAGCCTCCCAGTTCCTCCAAGACAGATTTTAGCCTGAGAGCTTGGAGTAATTATCCCACTGGATGTTAGCCTGTGTAGCTATTTCAGCCTCGTTCATCATTTCAAACAGCTACATACTCTGCCTGCTAATTTCTTCCGATGGATTAGCTGCTCTCACTTGTCTATCTTTTTTTATTTCTGGGGGGTGAAATATTGCCTTCTTCCCATGTTTTAATAAGCTGAGCAGGCATGCACCACTGCACAGCTTCTGACTCCTATTTCTTTCAGCTCAAAGAACGATCTTCTGGGGGAAGAGCTGGGTATAAATGTGAAGGTGAAAACTTGGCCATTACTACCTGCAGCCTGAAACCAGCTGCATTTGAACAAGGGCTGAAAATACAGT
The DNA here is from genome assembly GCF_000001405.40 of Homo sapiens. Taxonomy (NCBI): domain Eukaryota; kingdom Metazoa; phylum Chordata; class Mammalia; order Primates; family Hominidae; genus Homo; species Homo sapiens. The sequence continues at coordinate 218,200,838 of NC_000001.11, read as the reverse complement.
TCTGAGCGGGTCTGCATTTATCTGTTTTTAGTACATTCTAAGTTGCTCGTCCTCCACTGTATGACTTTTTTCTGCTTCTTTTGGACTCTGATCTTTATTTTGTCCCCCACACCTATATTTCACCTCCGCTCTGCCTATGTGCCTCCCATTAGAAAACCACAATACACAGAATTATTCATTGCAGGATATAACTTCCTCCGTTCTTCACAATAATGACCCCGTTTGAGCCTTTTAATTCTGAGGTTCAATGATTTCTTTATTATGTGACCTCCCAGTGAGAACACAGAACTTCATGTGCTGGAATATCATTCCTTCTTAGGTAGATTGGAAGAAAGCAGGGATCCTGACGACAAACAAACCAAAGTTTTCACCCCATCTCTGCCACTTACTTAGAAGCTTGGTGACTTTGGGTAAGTTTTTCACCATTTCTGAGCTTTCCCATCTGTATAATAGGGACAAATACTTTTTTAAAAATTACAGGGCTGTAGTAAGAAATTAACAAGTGAGGTCGTGTGTGCCTGTCATACAGTAAGGCACCTCAGCATATCGAACTTACGTTTCTTTTATCTTAGTAATTTAATAAATGGTCTTTTGACTCCCTCACGCTTGCTGTTAATGTTGATTAGCTGTTAGAGAGCTCTGGCAGCTTTGCAGTGGATCTTTAAAAAAACAGATGAAATGACAGCAGAAGTTGAGGGAGGCTTGTTCACTCAATTCACGTCTAGCCTGCCTAACATTCAAAACCATCTTTTCTGAAAACGTGTCTGAAGTTCTACAGCATCAGTCTAGGTGACTCCACTTAACACTTTCCCATGACCCCATCTGAGTATCTTGACACTGGTTTGAAAGACGTATATTTTCACTGAATCGAAAATAGAAAACTAACCCTGCAAGCCAAGGTAAAGAGGACAAGAGGACAGCAGGTAGACGGCTTCTTCAGATAAAATCTTCAAACAGATCCACAGAAAGTTAATGGGGGCTAAATTTTCTAACCTTTAGAAAAGACCAGTCCCCCAAGAGCTGCCAATTTAAGGAAAAGTTTCTTTTACTCTTGGTTCCAGAACTATAATGTATTTGCTGATAAATTGGAGATGGATAATTTTTATCCAGCTCAGGAGGAAGTGTGAAAAAGAGTAATTGGCTATTCTTAGACAGAGTGGTGCAGCTCTCAAGTCACTCTCAAGAGATTTTTTCAGAAATATGATATCATTTGGAATTATATTAATAAAAGCATTGCCTGGGATCAGAAACTTGGAATTGGTAGAAGTTTCTTTCCTTCAGAAACATAAAGCATCCATATTCTTCATTTACACATAAATTATGTAAGTGGATAAAATCCTCATTATTAGAGAATGACCTTGATGTTAGGACACATTGATATTATGGGTGATGTTCTTCTTTGAATTTTTGCAATTTTTTGACATTAGTTATGGTTCAGTGCCAGTATCAAGATCATTAGTATTGAGTCAAATACTTTTGTATTCACAAGGTAGTAATTAAAATGACGTTTCCCACTATTTATGTATGTTTCATCCAATGAGATTTTACATGTATGTATATTTCATCTACAATTTTTCATTTTTTGTGGCCTCTTATTTCCTTCCCCCATTTTTTTTTTTGGCAACTAGTGAAGTGAAATAGATAGATTTTGATAATAGCAAAGAAAGGGCATAACCCAAAGACCTCGCTAGAGCAAGTCACCATTCCCATGGATGCTTTGTTCATCTTCTTGAGGGAAATTTCCACAGTTGCATTGCTTTCTTTATTTCTCCCTTGTCCCATCCCAGTGGAATGAACAATTTCAAAACAGTTTTATTACCTTAAGTGAAGAAATAAAACTAAGTATCAGACAAAATCTCCTTTCCAAAAGTTGGTAGCTTTGTTTCATTTATCTATTTATTTTTTGAGATGGAGTCTTGCTGTGTCTCTCAGGCTGCAGTGCAGTGGTGCGATCTCAGCTCATTGCAACCTCCACCTCCCGGGTTCAAGCGATTCTCCTGCCTCGGCCTCCAGAGTAGCTGGGATTCCTATAGTGTTGAATTCTATTGCACAGAAGGATGGTTCTTAAATGCATATACCTTTATTGTGATCATTTAATAATGTACATGAGAACTTATCACAGAATAAAACTATCTCATAAAATATTGAATCTGTCTCATCATGTTTATATCACATATCATATATGAGGTATTGTTATAAAAGATTTTTAAACCAAATTTACCTTGACCTATATAGCCAAATATGCGTCATCCTTAAAAATGGTCTCTGGCTCTGAGGGTAAAAGGCAAGCTCCATAGACATGTGGAACATCAGCATCCTTGGCCCAAGAGGACAAGTGAACTTAGGGAAGATGTTTCTCATGCGTACATCCTGAAATGTGAAGTAAATGAGTCCATTAACTCAATACCTTATAAAATCAAAATGGAAGCCCATGACATTTCCCTGACAAACACTGACACTCATGCTTAAAATGAGTCTGAGTGAGGACCTGCATCCACACAAATGATTAGACATTAAGAAAGAAAAATACAAAGAATTGAAATGAATGATTGTGCTCATTATTGTTTCTTGATTCAGATATTATGGTTTGTCTTCTAAATAAAGTTTATCGGGCCAGGCGTGGTGGCTCACCCCTGTAATCCCAGCACTTTGGGAGGCCGAGGCAGGTGGATCACCTGAGTTTGAGAGCTCAAGACCAGCCTGACCAACATGGAGAAACTCCATCTCTACTAAAAATACAACATTAGCAGGGTGTGGTGGCGCATGCCTGTAATCCCAGCTACTCGGGAGGCTGAGGCAGGAGAATCACTTGAACCCAGGAGGCAGAGGTTGCAGTGAGCCGAAATGGCGCCATTGCACTCTAGCCTGCACAACGAGAGCAAAACTCTGTCTCAAAAAAAAGAAAAAGTTTATCATTGCTTCTTGGCCTTATGGCTAACATCAAGTGAAGATTTACCATAAAAAAGGAAATAAGCATTCATAAAAAAGTTTGAAAAGAAAGGTAAAAATCTTCACTCACCATTGAACACAGAACTATTAGTGTTCAGAATTTTAAAGAATATTTTATGCGCACATATATATATCTGTATACATTTAACAATCCTAATCAAACTTTGCATGCCATTTGGTGACCTTTCTCCATTTAAATATTTTCCATATTTTTACATAATAATCATAGTATTTGTTTATATGAATGTGGTAAATTTTATTGTAAAGATGTTGCACTAGTTATCCCTTTTATTAATGGGCATTATCATTATTGGCAATTTTTAAGATTATGAATAATTCTGTGATAAATTTCCTTGTGCATAGTGTTCCTCATAAATCGAGTATTATTTCTTTGGAATAAATTTTGAGAAGGGATGTTACTTTCCTCAATTATAAAAAAATCTTACTTTTTAAGAGAGAGATTTTAATCCATTCTGGTTCTAAAAACCATAAAAGTAAAGAAAAGTATGAAGATGAAAATAATTATGCACAATCCTACAAACTAGAAAAAGTATTACTAATAGCATTTTGGCATGTTTACTCCACCTCTCTTTCTTCTATACATACATAAATACAAACAAACATACAATACATGATTCATAAAGTTGAAACCTTATTGTGTATGTTGAGTTGGGTTCTGCTTTTTTTCATTTCATATTGAGTAATAAGCATTGTCTCAGGCCATTAGTTTCCAAAATATGATTTTCCATTATTCGTTAGTCATTTCCTTATTGTTGAATTTTTAAGCTGTTTCCAAAATTTTGCTGTTATAAATAATATATCTTTGTATGTGATAGGGTTCTTTAGGATGGAGTTCCTGAATTCATATTACTAGGTCAAAGGCTGTGCTGTTTTAGAAATTCACATTACCCATTTGCTTTCCAGATAATTAGTATCAAAATATATACACTCTTACTGGCTGTGTATGAAGGTCCCTATGTCATTGAACTCTCAATAACAGTTAATAATATGATCAGATTTTACTATTTTTCATTATAGAAATGCAAAATGACAGCTGATTTAAAAACTTTTCATTCATTTTATTACTGGCAAAGTTTTCTTTTACCATATGTTAACTGGCAATTTTTAGTTTTTCAAAATTGCTTTTCATGTCCTTTGCATGCTAATGATTTTATTAATTGAAAATTAGGTTTGCTATACTAAGGGCTGAACTCTGAATTTTTATAAAGTCGTATTGTCTTCTACTTTTAAAGTTTATGGGTATTTTTTGGTACAGTGTTTACCTTTTTTAGTTGGATGTTATGTTCTTCATTATTCTTTATTGCTCTTTGACTTACATATGCTGAGATCAAAAAAACATTGATTTCTTTTCTTCTTTTTCTAGTTTTACGTTTTCCTGACTTTATAAGATTTAACCCTTTAATTCTTACAGAATTGATTTTTTTGTCTGAACTTTTAAAATATTTTCTCATAACAGAATTTTACATTAAAGCAAAAGCAAGGGACCACGGAAAATAGCCCAGCAGCTAGTTACTCATGATCTAAGGCTTGGGTAACTGCAGATTAGGATGAACAGTGCCAACAGATCATTACATTGGTATTATAATGCCAAACAATGGTTGCATCACATAAAATGGCACAATTTGACTTTTATTCCAAGTGAGTTGGGCAGTTTTATGTTCATTCACTCATTGTAGTTAACATACATTGTCTCTTCATGTCTTTTGTTCAGTATTTATGAACAGATCTAGTGCTCTATTTGCACAGAAGCATCATTTTGACTTCCTTTTTGAATGTTGGCCCTGCATGAAATTCTCACAATGTGATATTTTCATATTCTGGAACTGTACCTACCCCTATCCATTGACCCAATTAAGGGTACAGAACACGTGAGAACCAGCATCTTCCATCATCCCACATTCTCCTAGCACTTCATAGGCCAGACACTTCCTCTGGCTTCTGAATACCAGACAGCATAGAAACTGAAGTCCTCATATCTGACAGAGGAATGCTCACCTATTTCTCACCATGGGGTTGGAGTCTGGGACCGGGATGGACAAGTGCTCCTAAAGCCATTAATCTTTGTGATTCACTTTGGAGGAGCCATCCCACGTACATTGGTAAGAATTTCCTCTCTCAGAGGAAGCACTGAACTCTACAGAAAAAAATTACCAAATAAAAGTATTTTCTTCAATCATGTGCCAAATAGCTGTCATCTTTCTGTTCTAACACTCTTAGCATTTGCCCTAAAATTCAAACATATCTATATGTTTAGTGAGTATTATCTTCCTAGCTGAAAGGTTTCTGCCTCCTTTTTCTTGTCTTTCTGCACCCACATTCTGACCTACCCAGGTTTGTACGGCTGTTAGTTTACTTGTTTATTATAAAGCATTATATGAATGGTCTATGATTATTCACAGTGTTTTACAGAATACAGATTTTTCATTAAAATATATATGCCTATTATAAGAAATCCAGTTACAAAGATGAAAGTAATAATTGCTTAAAAATGTCAACACTCAGATATAATTTCATTTATACTAAGTGATCATCATTCCAGATGACCACATGCAACTATACATTTTAAAGCAAAAGTGAATTGATATATTGACGGATAATATTTATAAGGTGGAATCACATTAGCAATGGCGGTTAAAAATAAAAGGTCTTTAAATTTTTTGACAGCAGCAAGAGTCTAAAATGTAATTTAAGGATCTGTTAAACTTCTGAAAAATATTTTCCACTTCAGAAGGAATTAATTTCCAAAATCAAGGGGAAAAAGCATTATGAAACAATTTAGTTATTGACCAAATGACAAGTTTCACTTTTTGAAAAATTTTTATTTAATTTTTGATAACTTTGACACCAGAGGTTTCCCTTTTAGGCAATATTAATTGACTGATTCCCTGCTGGGCAAAATTCAAAAATCAGCATATTCACAGTTCCTCTTACATCTTGATTTGAATTAATTATGCATTATTTTTCTCACAGTTTGTTTTCATGATGCTTAATAGTGACATAGCCGAGACTGGGTAATTTATAAAGGAAAGAGGTTCAATTGACTCACAGTTGAGCACGGCTGGGGAGGCCTCACAATCATGGTGGAAGGCCAAGGAGAAGCAAAGGCATGTCTAAATGGCAGCAGACAAGAGACCATGTGCAGGGGAACTCCCGTTTATAAAACCATCAGATCTTGTGAGACTTAGTCACCATCATGAAAACAGCATGAGAAAAACCTGCCCCCTTGATTCAATGACCTCCCACTGGGTCTCTCCCATGACATGTGGAGATTATGGGAGCTACAATTCACGATGAGATTTGAGTGAGGACATATCCAAACCATATCAGATGGGGTCTCACCATGTTGCGCAGGCTGGTCCTCAAGCAATTTTCCTGCCTCGGCCTCCCAACGTGCTAGGATTATAGGCATGAGCCACCACACCCAACATCAATTTCACTTCAGTTGTCTAATTTTCAACTCCTACTATGCTATTATTTCCTTAATGAAAGATGGCTTAATCAATTCTCCAAGGTCATCCCTCTTTTGCCCTAATTTTGGCTTTGTTCCATAAATACACCAACCTATTTTGATTCTAATAGTTATTTTTTAACTGTAACCAAAGTATAGCTTGCAAACTCCTCACAGATTTTGTCTGCTGATATTGTATCTTGGACAGTTGATAAGAACATATGTACAAATGTGTTATTTTAGACAGGATTAATAAATCATTTATTGATCAAAAAATGTTATTTTCCAAACTAATTCCTTAAATTTCAGAATATGGAAGAAATTAAGGCAAATATGTTGTGTAAGTTTGGAAGATAATGCTTTTCCAGAATTACCTCACAATATAGATATTAGGGTAGGAAATGGAAGAAAAGGGAAAGGGACACTGAGATTGATATTAACATTGATTTGAGAGAAATATAAGTTGTTTTTTTTTAACTATAACATTGGATCTTTTAAAAAAGCACACTAAAAGTTCATGGATTTGCCCATTCTATTTACTTGCAAGCTCATTTCTTTTTATTTGAGGATTTCTGAGGTCCTTTCACTTACAGGTATTAGGAATCAAACAATACTGTGAGTCAGATGAATACCATATGACATGAGCCATATTTGAAAACTTTAATATTATTTTCAGGGAAGTTCAAGAAGAACACAATTCAACTGTAGTTTTTAAAGGGTTTTTCTGTTGATATTAAGTATATAAAATTGTTGCTTAAGTATTACAAAGTAGATTCAGAAGAATAAGCATATTATTCTGAGTATTCCTAAAACATATTCAGCGAGGATGGGGCCAACCTAGATGAATGTGATCCCCATTAGAAAAGTTAAAAGACAAGTGACCATCCTTTCCACTTGCCTACTTAACATTGAAGCTATCTTGAAGTATCTCATTAACTGATAATCAAAAACTCAGTTTTTTATTCCCTTCTAGCTATTCATATCTATTTGAAATCTCATGGAAGCCAATATAAAAAAATCATCATAATGTTTTGAGTTAAATTTGCATATATTTGGTGAACACATTTTGGTATGTATATGCAAACATTAGGATAAATATCATCCTTAGTCAAATGATCTTAATAACAGATGATAGGTATAGCCAATGTCAAATTATTTCAAATAGAAAGTTACCTTACTGATAAGAAGTAGAATAAAAAAGGAAAAGGATATCAAGGCACTGTAAAGAATAAAAACATGATATTAGGTTTAGAATTTCCACATTTTTTTGTCTTCAAGATCTTTGCCAACATTAATTAATTAGTATGCATGGTGCCTTGGGAGGTAAATATTATCATCTCAATTTTAAATAAAATCGAAGAATAAAGATTAAGTGGTTTCCCTCAGGCTACAAAGGGATTAGATTTTATTTTTTACAAGGAAAATGAAAATGAGTATTTAACCACAATGTTAAATAAGATAGTGGATGTAAAAGTCCCTATATACAACATCTGACACATAGTAGGTTTGCAATAAATATGTGTTAAATATTTTAATCATAATACCAGTTAAATATATCTACTTCTCTTTTTATGAATTATATATACATGCACACAGTCATGATTTGTATATATAGTTAATGATTAGAAAAACTAGAACAATTTTAATGCATGATCTTGTTTATTCTTTTCTCTTTAAAAGAAAGCTGCTTTCCTTGAGATACGAAGACAGTCGTTATATTTTTAAGCATCATCATGGAATGAAATTATCGATTCTCTGTAGTCCCTAATGACACCCATGTTGATACCAAACTGTGTGGTACATTTAATCAGGGCAATAAAGAATTCAGTTGATCATTAATAGGCTTTATAGATCTAACACCACTAAGTAAATGGCCTGGTTGGATTTTTTCCTCTTCATCCAATTGACTGACATTTGATTTAAATTTACCAGGGATGTCAGTGTAATATTTAAATATTCTTTAAGTCAGATTGTTCTCCTCTACAGCTAACCTAACAGCTAACCTAAACTCTCTATGATACTCTTCTTGAATATTAGAAGGTCCCTGTTTTCTTCCTGGTCTCTCCTGGGCACACATTGGGATCAGGGCTCAGTGGATATTGAGTGGTATCAAGAAGAACTGCCCACATAACCCCACACAATTCAATCGCCCTTCATTCTAATCCTCCTTAGAGTTTGATTATGTGGTACTCTTCCTGACTCTTTCCTGATTTCTTTCATAGTAAACAAAGATTATTGTCAGCTGTTTTGTTGTGTGAAACAAAAACTTCTTCATATAGTTTCAGCCCCTCAAACTCATCCCCCCACCTTACATGTTCAGGAATGCTATTTCCTGGATATATTTATAAACATCTCCAAATTCTCCGTAGGATGTTTGGATCCAGATTTTGCATGAACATATGATATCAGCAGAAGGCAACCAGATTAATGATGGAGATGCAGAGTTCAAACCCGTGTACTGGGATGGCCTCCTGGAATCTTCCCCCAGATCAGTCAGTCAAGTATCAAAACAGTCATCAGAAAGTGGGGGCACTAAGCCCAGTGAGGCAGCTCCCCAGAGCCAGGTGGAAGAGGAAGACTGCAGAGTGGACCACACCACACTGGGGCAAAAACATAGAAGAGGCAGCAAGACTGCAATTGAGGCAAGAACACTGGGCTCGACGTTCCTAAAAAATATATCATTGCTGTTGTTGGTGCAGTCAGGTAACTCAGGTTTGACTCTCAGCTTCAGAGTTTCTATAATGTTTAGCAGCAGAAAATTGTTCTGGCAAGTGACTTAATCCTTCCATGCCTCAATTTCCTCAGTTGATAAGTAATGAATAATAATCTCAGAGTTGTTATGAAGGATAAATGAGATAATACATAATAAAGAGCTAAGAACAGTGCCTGCCACATATTATTCCTTCAATAAAGGTTAGCTGATGATGATTGCAATTATAATGATGAGGACATATTTAATCCACAAAAATAGATGCATATTTAAAAAATAGATGCATAATTTAAAATAGATTTTTGGATGCTAAAGAGTAGCAAAAAATGGTACATAAATACTAAAACTAGGACTAATACAATACAAATAGTTATCAGTCTCCAGTATAAAAATTGACTGAGAATATTTATTTGCTGGGACAAGGGAATATGTAATCACCATGATTTTACCTAAGCAGTTCCCCTAACAAAAATGTATAGCGATGAATTTTATAAAATTAGACTTTGTTGTACAAATGATCAATGGAAAATGCATTTAAACCTTGTCAAGGCCGGGCGTGATGGCTCATGTCTGTAATCTCAGCACTTTGGGAGGCTGAGGTGGGCGGATCACGAGGTCAGGAGATGGAGACCATCCCGGCCAGCATCGTGAAACCCCGTCTCTACTAAAAAAAATACAAAAATTAGCCGGGCACGGTGGCGGATGCCTGTAATCCCAGCTACTCAGGAGGCTAAGGCAGGAGAATCGCTTGAACTCAAGAGGCAGAGGTTGCAGTGAGCCGAGATCGCGCCACTGCACTCCAGCCTGGCGACAGAGTGAGACTCCGTCTCAAAAAAAAAAAAAAAGAAAAGAAAAGAAAAGAAAAGAAAACGTTGTCAAATAATAGCATGAAACATAACAGTTTTCTCCTCCCATCTTCCTCCCTTCCCCAAAACCCAGTGGTCTCTCTGGTAAACAAATTGAAATTTTCCAGACCAACTTCAAAATAATGCCCTTGTTATTTTGGTACAAAACCATTGAAATTTACAGCAAAAATTAGATCAGAAGACCAAATTACAAAGCCATCCATCCTTGTGGCAAAATCAGGCACATATTACAGCATAGCCAGTAATTCTGTAAAACTGGCCACAGTATAAGTGATAAATACATTCAGTGGTTCTCTTAAGAAACTGGCTCTGGGAGAATCCAGCTGCCTTGTCTGAACACCTCAAGATTGTCATGCTAGAGACACCACATGGGGTGCTCTGGTTGGCAATTGCAGTGGTGCCCAGCCATCCAGCTACCCGTACCAAGGCACTAGGTATGTGCATGAAGCTATTGCTGACTCCAGATGAGCCCCATCCACCATCTAAGTCCCACTGAATGACCTTCATCAATGCAATGCGGACTAGAAGAATTGCCTGGCTGAGAGCTGCATGAATTCCTGACCCCTAAAATCCATGCAATATAATTAAGTGGTTTTTGTTTTAAGCCATTAAGTTTTGGGATAGTTTGTTACCCAGCAATGGTAACTGAAACACTTCCAAGCAGGCTTTATGTAGGTTCTGATACCAACTCACCTTGTCTAGTAAACATGACTCCATAATTTTTCCATTTGAGTTTAATGGCAATATCCATGACTATCTGATAGTCACGTGTTTCAATTTTCAATGATTGATTATTATTAGTTAAGAAATTATAGTTTAGAAAGACAAAGAGTAAAATATTTTACAAATTAAGAAATAAAACCACCTGGACATGAAACTTGACCTATGGTGTAAACCTATATTGGACCCCAGTTTTAGGAACTTGGTTGAGGGTTGAAAACAAAACTGTAAATACAAGTGATATGAAGCTATTATTATTCAATTTTAATTGTGCTTGTAGATTTTTGTATTTTAACATTTGTAATGAAGTTTTAAATAAATTTCTTGAAAATAATGATGTGTGTGACAAATGCCCTTAGGCCCTTGGCTGTAGCTTGAATTATATCTAAAGTCTTAAAGAATAAAACACTTGACATAAATTGCTTAAGTGTTAGTAATCAATGAAAGTGATAGAAATATAGTGCAACTTGGGTTCATACTCCAAGTTCACCACTGTATATATCAGCATATCTCATCATCACAAACCTAGCTTTTAAGGAATAATGGAACTTGCAAATTTGAACACCTGCTTCATTATTTTACACTTTCCAAAGATATTGTTTAAAGAAATGAAGGAGAAATAAAGTCTGTCTCTCTCTCTCTTTCCCCACCCCACCACTCGCTTCTCTGTCAGTCCCACGGACTTGTGTACTCTAGTGGTTGAGTGGAATCACAGAAAATATAATGAAAGGGCCGGTATGGTGGCTCATGTCTGCAATCCCAGCACTTTATGGAGGCCAAGGTGGGAGGATCACTCAAGGCCAGGAGTTTGAGACCAGCCTAACCAACATGGCAAAACCCTATCTCTACTAAAAATACAAAAAAATTAGCCAGGTATGGTGGTGCCTGCCTATAGTCCCAGCTACTCGGGATGTTAAGGCACAAGAATTGCTTGAGCCTGGGAGGTGGAGGCTGTAGTGGGCCAAGATCACGCCACTGCACTCCAGCCTGGGTGACAGAGCAAGACTCTGTCTCAACAAAACAAAACAAAAAACAGAAAATACAACATTGATTCCTAAGGACCAAAAATGTCCACATTTAATAAGTTTTTTTTCAATTTTTAGCAAATAATCTGATCATCTTGAAAAAGTGGTCTATTAGATAATCTAGGTTAAAAACTTGAAAGTATGCTACATACATAAATAGTCATATATACATACACAGACTATAGTCTACATATGCTATAGTCTATATATTCTATAGGATATTATATGTAGAGAAGATGCACATACACATGTACATATGTATATATTATACAGTCAATGATATGTTTAAGATAATTGAGACAAAGCTTCAGTCTTTTAAATATATGAATATTTGTTTCAATTTATGACTTGACTTTGCTAGAGTATACTTGGTTACATGATGAAGTTACTAAACTCTCAGTAGCTGACCCTGGCAGATGCACTGATATGATCATTTTAGCCAATGTGTTAAGCATTTTTACAAACTGGAAGAAAAATGATGGAGCCAGAGGAAATGAAGTAAAAGGTAAGATAAAGCGTAAATCTACTAAGGGTAGAGTCTGTTTCCATAAGCACTCATGTCCTTTATAAAAGAGCTATTTAAATTTCACCCTCGTTGTCATTTCTCTTATGCTTCTTGATCAATATGGATCACAGGCAAATGGGGAAATACTCCAGGCAAATTTCTGTTTCTTTTTAAAAAGGTGTCTTTTGTCTTTTAATACAACCACATAGATATCTTAATAACTATAAAATCACAGAATTCTGCCAATATTTAATTTCATTTTAGAATACTGTATATTAATTCTTATATAAAAGAATAATGTTCCATAGTATCAACTTGTCTAAATCTGTGTACAAAAGAAAACATTCAATAAGAACTATGGTTTTTGCATAAAAAGTATTGCAAGGGTTAAATCAATAGCACAGAGGCTTCAAATCCTTGCTTAAAATATGCCCCTTCATAGAAAAAAAAAGAAAAATGATGGATATTCACATGATTGACAACCTTTCCAAATAGAAGTGTTGCTGTAATTAAGCAATAATGTATGAGTGAGTGTACATTATGACAAATTGGAAGCTTAGTTGATTAGATTGAGCATATAAGCTGTCAGTATAATTATCATATTTTAATCATTTTTCTCCATTTTTTATAACAGCATTGTCTTCAGCCTCATTTGGTGCTTATTAGATTGATATTCTAAGAGGAATTGTACAACATAAAACATGTCCTTAAACAGGATGAACTTTAGATAAGGCTTTAGTTATGTCTATAAACATTTATAATGATTGCTGTTATGTTTCTACTTTCTTCTATCTACTGTTTCACTTTATGTAATAATGAAAATTTCTTTTTCAAGACAAAATGAATAACCTTCAGCATATACATCCCCACAAAACACTATTTTTAATAGAAACAAGTAAAATATTTACTATAAATGCCTTCAAATATACAGTATTTCCCCTCCATTGCCTGCTCTATCAGTAGACAGATAATTCAGATAGATAGTTCAATCCTTCAAGCTGAATGCTTTGGTTCTATTCCTTGGTTTGGCTCTCTTCAATCACAAATGTTGAATCTTCTAGCCACACAGGAAGGGAATTTGAGGGGAGTGGGTGTTGGGGGCAGTGGTAATGGTCCAGCTTCTACTTAATAAGGGCCACTCAAGTAACCAATGAAGAGACAGTACTAAGAAAAAGGCAAGATGCTACTTAATATTCAAGTTATAAATACAAAGCCTGTACACAGATTATTCTGATTTTATGATGTAGAAATTTAGGAAAGACTTTAAGAGACTTGAATGTTAATGTTCATCTCTGCCTTAAATCAGAATGCTAGCCAGCAGCCTTAGTAATCCATCCTCCTACCATGGAAAGAAAATTCTAACGAGGCTCTCAGGTCTACATTTTGTCTTAGTGAGCTGCAACACAGTAGTATGAACCATAGGGTTTACAGTGATTCAGAACGTGCATACCTAGAACCTAGCAAAGTTTCCATTTCCTTCAGTTTTCAGTGTACTGAGATAGATGCCAGAGCTTTCAGTATGTCCTTCTAACTCGGATGCCCTTAACTCAAAGGCTTGTAAGCTACAACATTTTCCCATTTATTCATTAAGTTTTGCCGAGGGCCAAAAAAAAGGAACTGTGTTAAAGTCATCTGTTGTATGGCAGTAAATTATATGATGGTAAATACCAACACTACCTTGTATTAAGAGCAGTTCAAGCCATTAAGCCATCATTCAGCACACTCATGAATTCAGCAGGCTCAAGCAATAATTGGAGAAAAGATCATTCTTCAAGATGGCCAAATAGCTGAACTCCCAAGCTGTCTTTCTGTTCTACACAAACACATTTTAAAAAATATTTAGAAACTGTACTGAAAGATTTTATATATGTTGATCACAGCCTAAAGCTCTGGTATAGTCTTAGGTAAGTAAACAACTATGGTATGTTATCTAGCTTGTACAGATTAGACTAATGATTAGCTATATCCAGGTGGGAATTCCACAGGATACATGGGTTACTATGTGGAATTGGTAATATTTTTACAATGGCATGGGTAAATTTAAAATCATGACCACTCAACTGCTAAGGAGAGAACAGAAGTTTAACTCAGAAGAAAGACGTACAAAGGACAGAGGATGGACACTCGGAATTATTATTATTATTATTATTTTTGAGACAGGGTCTGGCTCTGTAGCCCAGGCTGGAGTGCAGTGACACGATCTTGGCTCACTGCAGCCTCCGCCTCCTGAGTTCAAGCCATCCTCCCACCTTAGCCTCCCATGTAGCTGGGACTCATGCCACCACACCCAGCTAATTTTTGTATTTTTTATAGAGATGAGGTTTCACCATATTGTCTAGGCTGATCTTGAACTCCTGAGCTCAAGGAATCCACCCACCTCAGCCAAAAGTGCTGGGATTACAGGTGTGAGCCACTGTGCATGGCCAGAATTATCATTATGAAGACTTCATGTTTGATTCGTGCTTAAGGGAGCACTAAAGGTTAAGGAGGGGCTGGGGTCAGAGGAACATGGATGTGGCTGTTCAAGGGATAATATTAGGGATTCATGTGGTGATGAAGTGTTCTGTGTCTTGACTGTATCAATGTCAGCACACTTATGATATTGTACTATAGTTTTGTAAAATATTACCACTGAAGAACACTGGAAAGAGAAAGTGTTCATGAGATCCTTGTATATTGATTCTTACAACAGCACGTGAATCTAAAATTATCTCAAAATTAAAAGTTTAATTTGAAAAAGAGACTTGAGGCCAGGTGCAGTGGCTCATGCCTATAATCCTAGCGCTTTGAGAGACCAAGGCAGGAGGATCACTTGAGCCAGGAGCTGGAAACCAGCCTGGGCAATATAGCGAGACCTCATGTCTACCAAAAAAAAAAAAAAAAGCTTTAAAATATTAACTCCCAATACGATGGTTTTGATTTGAATACGAAAATTATTCTGCATTTTCTCTAGATTTATGCCACAAATTAAATTCAGAAGCAACTTCTGATTTACTTTTTTTAAAAAACTATCTGAATAAGTTTGATTTCTTTAGCAAAAATTTTTCAATTGTCATTTTTATTTTTTCAGATCTAAGGCCAGGATCTTAAAATATCAACATGCCTAGAAATCATGTAATTCCTCTTTTAATATAAGACTAATTTTTATCATCTCTAAAATGGGGATACCCTTATCTATCTCATAGTTATTCTGAGTATTAGATTAATGATTACCTATATCCAGGTGGGAATTCCACATGATACATGGGATACTCCTCTTTTAATATAAGACTAATTTTTATCATCTCTAAAATGGGGATACCCTTATCTATCTCATAGTTATTCTGAGTATTAAACTATAATTTATGTAAAGTATCTAACACAGTGCATAAGCATTCAAGAAATATTAGTAGCTCTCCCTGTCATGTTGCATATAAGCCCCCAGTAAATATTGAGCTTTGTGACAATCTGGTAAGTGCCTGGCTCTATGATAGTCACTGAAGACACAGAAATAAGTCATCATTTCTGCTCTCCAGCAGCCCATCATGTTAACTCCTGGAGAGAGTAACCAAAACAACATGTACAATGCACTGCAGAAAGTGTGATAACAGTGGACGGGGTGCCCAGGAGGACCACACAAAGTGGCTTGGGACTCAGGCCAGATAATCAGGGAAAGCCTCTGAGAAACAGCAATAACTGTGCTGAGTCTCGAGGGACCAAGACACTTGAGTAGAGAGAAAGCAGAATAGATAAGGACAGGAGGCCTGGGAGAACAGGAGAAGGTGGATGGTTTGCTAAGACCCTAGCTGAGATTCCAAGAGGCTAGATGTGAAAAATGTCACTGAATGATGTTGTCCTGGTATTTCAGGTCAAGGAGGTATTTTTTATTTTATTTTTTATTTTTATTTTTTATTTTACCTTGGGAGCAACAGCTTTGAAGGGTGTTAAGCAGGATCATTGATTAGATTTCAGTTTTAGGGAAATTATTCCGGTGGCAGACTGAAGAAGGTTTGCAGAGGGATGAAACT